>NC_000007.14:138131779-138756779 GCF_000001405.40 Homo sapiens | reverse complement strand
AACCAGCATCGGGAACAGGGAGCCTGTCACCTTAAGGCTGCATTAGCCTCTGTGAGGTCCTGGATGGCCTTGCTCTCAACTGTGAGCTATGAACTTAGATGAACTAGGAAAGTTACAGTTTCCCAGTTTTAAATGTATGAATTGTGTAAGCCTAAAAACAGGACTTTACATTTCTCTCTATTATGTTTTAACCAGAAAGAAACCCCCCCCTTTTTTTTTAACTTATTCTGATTTTCCAGAAAGAAGAAATTCAGAAGAACATATTCATCATATTTTACCAAGGAGAGCAGCTCAGGCAGAAAATCAAGAAGATCTGTGATGGGTAAGAGGGAGTGAATGGCTCTTTCTTCAGTGATTTGGGCCAGGATTAGATAAAGAGATGTGCAATGCCAAATGCACATGACTGTGGCTTCTAGAGGTCAGTAAGGCTTTAGAATAACTTTCTCACATAAAAGTCAGCCCCAACTGATTTTTAATAGTTGTAAGAATATGAATAGGGAGAACTTGAATATGCAAAATGTGAGGGTAACTAAAAGTGGACATGTTCCCCATTTCAGTCTATTCCATCTGAGACTTTTCATCAGCTGCTCCAGAGTAATCCAACTGCATGGCTAACTTGTTTTGGATTTTACAGAATCGTGTTACATGTAGCTCCATAGAAGCAGAAATGACTCAGTGCAGAGGATATTAATACATTAATAGATTCTTAGGAAGGGGCAAGCCCAGCTTGCAGTCTTATTTACCCAGCAACTCACAGGTTTTATGGTTTGAATGAAGCTCATTCATATAACAGAACTGCAGCCTCAATTCACAGCACAAGTGACGTACTGGGAACCCTTATGACTGGGACTCCTTTTCCAGTGGCCAAAGACGCAGTTATTCTAGGATAGGCTGGCCATCTAACTAAAGTCAGCAAACGATGTCTTAGCAGAAAAGGGGATGCAGAATGCTTTGCAGCAAGAACTCACCTGTTTCCTTTGGAATATATTAAACACAGGTTTCGAGCCACTGTCTACCCTTGCCCAGAGCCTGCGGTGGAGCGCAGAGAGATGTTGGAGAGCGTCAATGTGAGGCTGGAAGATTTAATCACCGTGAGTGAGGGGTTTGGGCGCATGGTCTGATGGCAGCTGCAGGAGGGCTGCCTCTGCTGTTTTCATACAAGCCCTGCCCCCCAGGGCCCTTGCTGGGAGGCTGGCTGGAATGCTGGCTATGCCTTTCTGGTTGTGGCTGTGGAAGATTTCACAATTGGGAAACTGTTCGATAAGCTAGAGGGAACGAAGCTGTGTCTTAAGAATGCTTTGCCCAGGGTCAGATTTGACCACAGCCCTAGTCAGCCTTCAGGTGGCCACCCCGATCTGATAAAAGGCACCCTTTATTGCCAGCCTCGGCCTAGACGGAATCTATGATACAACCACCCAGCCAATTAAGTTGAACAACCAGTTTGACTGATTATTTTCCCACTGAATTGCCTGGTTGTTTAAGCTGATGGGTTAATTCTGTAAAAACAGTGAGTCTAGTTTCACCATGTGAACATTCATTCATCCCAAACTCATTTTCTTTGTAAAGTCTGTCACCATCCAGGGTCACTCAACACACTTATGATCAGAAATCTTTCTTCAATCACAGCAGCTTTGAAAGTAATCACTGAAAACAGCTGGGCCTCCCTCGCTGGCAGACTCTCATCAGTGCTAGAGTTCGATAGAACTTTCGGTTATGATAGAAGGTTCATGTGTCCTGTGCTGTCCAACACTGTAGTCACGAGCCACATGTGGCTATTGAGCCCTTGAAACATGGCTAGTGCCACTAAGTCATTTAGTTTGTATTTTTAATTTTAATTCAATTTAAATTTTAGGGCTGGGTGCGGTGGCTCATGCCTATAATCCCAGCACTTTGGGAAGCTGAGGTGGGTGGATCACTTGAGGTCAGGAGTTCAAGACCAGCCTGACCAAACTGGTGAAACCCCATCTCTACTAAAAATACAAACACTAGTCAGGCGTGGTGGCAGTCACCTGTAGTCTAGTCTCAGCTACTCGGGAGGCTGAGGCAGGAGAATCGTTTGAACCTGAGAGGCAAAGGTTTCAGGGAGCCGAGATCGCGCCACTGCACTCCAGCCTGGGCAACAAAGCGAGACTCCATCTCAAAATAAAATAAAAGGAAATAAAATACATAAAATTTAGTAGCTGCATGTGGCTGTGGTAGAAGTCAACTCAGTTTTAGATTCTGGACAAGTATGTTAAGAAATTAGATATGTGCCTCTTTCAAAACCCTTAGGCTAGCAGACAACTTTACTTTTCCAGAAAACCTGTGTTTAATTTTTTTTTTTTTTTTTTTGAGATGGAGTTTTGCTCTTGTTGCCCAGGCTGGAGTGCAGTGGCGCAATCTCGGCTCACCGCAACCTCCGCCTCCCGGGTTCAAGTGATTCTCCTGCCTCAGCCTTCCGAGTAGCTGGGATTACAGGCATGCGCCACCATGCCTGGCTAATTTTGTATTTTTAGTAGAGATGGGGTTTCTCCATGTCGGTCAGGCTGGTCTCGAACTCCCGACCTCAGGTGATCCACCCACCTCATCCTCCCAAAGTGCTGGGATTACAGGCGTGAGCCACTGCGCCTGGCCTGTGTTTAATTTTTTAATCCTCTCCATTACTTCTTTGTCACTTGTCAGGAACACTGTTTCCCCAAAGCCATTGAAGTCCTTTCCCCCCAATTCTCCATGCTTGATTTTATGAAAACGTCATGAGGAGAATGGAAAATAAATTCTGCTAGATGTGTGCTTACATTTAGTATGACGGGTTGCTGCTGTGTCGAGGGCTTCAGATGATCCCAGCTGAGCAGCTTCTGCAGGGGCAGCTTTCTCCTTTGGCTCAGTCCCTGCCAAAGATGAATCTTAGACACTGTCTGATGCTGAGGCATATAATTCGGGCTATGCTCTTTGAGGTTTCTGAAAGTCACCTCTGTGCTGAGGTGCTCTTGTCTCCTGGAAATCCCCAGGCCAGGGGGCATTATATTGCAAAGTGACAGGTAGTATTGGGCTTGTGAGATGCTTCGGTGGCCTCATGGCTCTCGTTAATCTTAGAGCCAGCATGTCTGTCTTACAGTGTGTCTCTTACAGAGGCCATGTGTGCTGAAAAAGATTACCCTGTTTGTTGTATCATCAAAACATAAAAATGATTCCATTAAATAAATTCTGTGTGGGCCCAATTGTCCATTCATTCCTTCATTCATTCACTTGTCATTTATTGGAGGGATTATGTATGTAAAGGGTTGTGGTAGATGTAGTAATCTCTTAGGGTTGCTGTAACAAATTACAGCAAACTGGGTGGCATAAGACAATAAAGATTTATTCTGTCATGGTTCTGGAGGCCAGAGGTCTGAAATCAAGGCGTCAGCAGGGCCGTGCTCCCTCGGAAGACCTGAAGGGAGCCCCCTCCTTGCCTCTCCCCAGCTCTGGTGCTGCGGGCCGTCCTCCGCATTCCTTGGCTTGCAAGTGCCTACTTCTCTGCCTCTGTTGTCACGTGGTATTCTTCCCTGTGTGCCTCTGTGTCTACGTTTCTTATCAGGACAGTGGTCATATGGGATTAGAGCCCATTCAAATCCAGTATGACCTCTTCTTAACCTGATTCCATCTGCAAAGACCCTCTTTCCAAAAAGGCCATATTCACAGGTATCAGAGTTCAGGACTCTTTTATGTGGACAATTCAACCCATAACAATAGGACAATGAGGAATTTAGAAGAAAAGGAAGATACAATCTCTGCCTAAGGGTTTTAGCCTCTAGCGGGGGAGATAAACTGCTCAGGAGAGTTCAAGGCCAGGTGACAGCCACAGGTCAAAGGAGCCTGCCAGAGCAGAGGAAGCTGCTGTGGCCTGTGACACTCCATTTTTGGCACCTTGTCAAACAGCTCTGTGAAGGTTCTCTGTTTTCCTGTGTGTTGTTTTTTGTATAGGTCATAACACAAACAGAGTCTCACCGCCAGCGCCTGCTGCAGGAAGCCGCTGCCAACTGGCACTCCTGGCTCATCAAGGTGCAGAAGATGAAAGCTGTCTACCACATCCTGAACATGTGCAACATCGACGTCACCCAGCAGTGTGTCATCGCCGAGATCTGGTTCCCGGTGGCAGATGCCACACGTATCAAGAGGGCACTGGAGCAAGGCATGGTGCGTGGCAGGTGGAGCCAGGAGGGGTCCGATGAGTCAGCCCCTCTGCTGGGCTCTCAGAGGGTGTTGGCCTCATGGGCCACATGAACTCAAGTGACTTGGTGGTAGGATTGCTTCCTTCATCTTTGTGTCTTCAGTTATCAACCCCACTCGAGGACATAAAAGAAATTCCTTTGTCTTTTCAGTGTTTGACAGTTGTTCACCATTTTTTGACCTTTTGTGAGTACGTATTGAGGTTTTTTTAAAAAAAAAAAAAAAATAGAATCTCGCTCTGTAGCCCAGGCTGTTGTGCAGTGGCACAGTCTCGGCTCACTGCAACCTCTGCCTCCCGGGTTCAAGTGATTCTCCTGCCTCAGCCTCCCGAGTAGCTGGGATTACAGGTGCGCCCTACCACGTCCAGCAAATTTTTGTATTTTTAGTAGAGACGGGGTTTCACCATGTTGGCTGGGCTGCTCTTAAACTCCTGACCTCAGGTGATTCGCCTGCCTCAACCTCCCAAAGTGCTGACATTACAGGTGTGAGACATCACACCCGGCCATACTGAGCATTAATGTGCCAGTCTCTCAGCTAGACTATCGTTTTGGGGGGATTTTGTCTTTTTTTTCTTATTAAAGATGGGGACCTCGCTATGACACCCAGGCTGGAGTGCAGGGCTGTTCACAGGCATGGGCATACTGCCCTACAGCCTCAAACTCCTGGGCTCAGGTGATCCTCCCATCTCAGCCTCCCAAGTGGCTAGGACTACAGGCACGCGCCACCATGCCCAGCTCCACTCTGCTAGACTGTAGATACCACCTGTTACCTCATGGAGGTTATAGTCTAGCTAGAAAGATGAATAACCAAGCATCTATAATAAGAGCCAAAATATGTAGATCGCTTGCGGTGTGTCCGAGATGGCTAAGCACTCTGTCCTCGTTGAGTTCTCACCGCTCCCTCCATTCATTCCTTAGACATTCCCTGTGTACTAGGAACGGATCTAGGGCTTACACACTGGCAGGCCAAGACCCTGCTTTGATAGACATTCTAGAAAGGGACACGGAGGCATGTCCGTGACTAATGAGATTTCAGGCAGTGATGAGTGGTGGGCAGGAAACCAAGCAGGGGACGGCGAGGGGCAGGATGGAGAGTGGGGGCTTGTTCTGATCACCGTTATTCACCCCATTGAAGGAGGGACCCCCTCCTGCCCTAAATAGTACAAGATGGCCGAACACATTACCCTGACACTGGACAGACGGGCTTGACAGCTGTTTTTAGTCACTCGTCTTCAGAGCCCAGGGGAGAAGGACACCGCACGCCATGCGGGCCACACAGGGCTTGCCCTCGGGAACTGCGTTTGGGAGCAGAGTGAAGCAGCAGGGCCGGTGGGAGGCAGGCTCTGCAGTGAACGAGGGTGAGGTGACCTTTGGTTCTTGCAGAAGGATGTGATTAGCTTGTTTGAATAATTTCACGGGGTGGGAGGAGTGAAGCCATTAGGTTGAGGAGTGGGTGGCATGCAGCTGGTTTGGCCGATGGGGAACTAGCTGGGTGGCATATCTGGTGACGGCAGATCTCGTGTTATCTGAAGAAACCCTCTCTGAGCAGGCGGCATTGATAGCATGGGAAGGTTGGGGGCGGGAGGAAGGGTTTTTCAGGCGGAGGAATCTGAAGGTAAAGGCCTTGCAGTAGGAATGGGTTAGAAGGTGGGAGCTTTCTTTATCCCCTTCGTACAGATAAAGAAATGGAGGCACAGAAAGTAGAAGTAACCTGACTACAGTCCTATAGCCAGGAGGCAGGGTTTGAATACAGAAACTGTTCCTCAAAACAGTCGATGCCCCCACATCATGGTCCAAAAACCACCTAAATGGGGCACTTAAAAAGCATTTCAACCAGGCTGAGCAGGGCGGGGGTGCGTCCTGGAGGAAGTGATGCATGCGCAGAGCGCTGGGAGGCTGGCCGGGGAGCAGGTGAAGGGAGGTGCGGCCTCCTGAAAGCAGAGGAGGATTGAAGCTGGGACCGTGAGCACTCGTCCAGCTGGTGTCAGATCCCAGTGGGTGTGCATGTGGCACGTGCTGTCGGGTGTGCGGTGGCTGTACGGTTCCTGGACAGGGAGCACTTGGAATTGTTAAGACTCGAGTAGGTAGAATGGATGCAGTGGCTCACGCCTGTAATACCAGCACTTTGGGAGGCTGAGGTGGGAGGATCATTTGAGCCTAGGAGTTCAAGACCAGCCTGTGTAACATAGCACTGTATGGCTGTAGTCCCAGCTACTCAGGAGGCTGTGGCGGGAGGATCACTTGAGCCCAGAAGTTTGAGGCTGTAGTGAGCTATGATCATGTTACTGCACTCCAGCCTGGGACTTCCTGTCTCAGGAAGAAAAAAAAAGAAAAAGAAAAAAGACTTGAGCAAGTGGAGAAGAGAGGTGGCTAGTGTAGACATGGCCAGTTTCCATGGGGAAGCGTGGGGAAGGGTGAAGGTGTGAATGGAGGATTAAGGCATATTGTTAAGTAGTCTTGATCACAAGACTAAAGAGTTTTGATTTCATTCTTTAGGCGATAGGCAGCCTTTGAAGATTTTAAAGCAGGAGAGTAACATGAGTAAAATAGTGCTTTTTGTTTGTTTTATTAAAAGAGTGCTTGAGCAATCTAGGTGTTAGATAAACGGAGAGGGGAGAGGCTGGCAGAGATGCTGAGGCTTGGAGCTAGGGTGATAGCTGTGGGAATCGGAGGAAAGATTCCGAAAGGAGAACTAGCAAGCTTTGCTGGGTGATCGACTGACTGAAACCAGAGAAGGACAAATCCATGATTCCAAGATTCTAGGAATCTGGGAGAATGGAGGCTCTGCTGAAGGGGCAGGGAGTTTGTGGAGGGGACCTGGCTTTGTGGAGAGTTGATGAATTCAGGATTAGACTCCTGGATTTTGTGGGGTTGGTGACACATTGGAGTTTGAAAGTCTAAGCAGGCAATTAGGAAAAAATTGGGGAAGGGCCAGAGCCATTTGGAAGAGGGGGATGAATTGAGAAAGTGGAGAGGAGGAAAGCATAGAGGGCCAGGAGTCATAACATTCGCATTTACAGCAGTAGGAGACGGGAGATTGTCAGAGACTCCAGAGGGACTCAATTCTCTTGACAGCCCTCCCATGAGATGAATTGGATAAGTATTGGGAAGGTATTAACTCTCTACACATAAGGTCGTGAGTCTCAGAGAGATCAAGAGATTGCCCCAAGTTCGCTCAGTGAGGGACGGCAGGAGCTGGGACTGTGACCTTTGTGCTGACACCCAGCCCAAGACTCTTCTCCTTACATCTTTGTCGCTTTTTTTTTTTTTTCCAGGAACTAAGTGGCTCCTCCATGGCCCCCATCATGACCACAGTGCAATCTAAAACAGCCCCTCCCACATTTAACAGGACCAATAAATTCACAGCTGGCTTCCAGAATATTGTTGATGCCTATGGTGTCGGCAGCTACCGGGAGATAAACCCAGGTAAAGATCTGATGAACTGCACGACTGGGTAGCTTGAAAGTGAAAACTGGTAAGATGGACCCCTGAGGTGACCGAGGTGGTGAACTTGTTAAAACTGTGAGGCTTGGGGCTAGGGTAGTAGCTGTGGGAATCAGAGGAATAAGTAGGATAGTAGGGGCAAGTAGTAGGATTCCTAAAATCCTCCTTGGTTTCGTAATACCCTGTGGTGTCGTCTATAAATGCCGATTGGTGAAAGAATTGTTCTTTGTCTTCACCTGTGCACCCTTAAACTGCAACCTCATCAGGCAGCCGAAGTCAGTGTTCATTTCCTTCACCAATACAATGAGGGCCATATCTTGGCATCTTCACAGTCCTGTGGTTATTGTGTGGGAAAGACACCAGTACACAGAACTTAGAAGACTCGATTCTTGGTGTCCTAAGCTGTGGAATCTTGCTACCTTGGTTAATAAAATAAAGGTGTAGGCTGGGTTTGGTGGCTCACGCCTGTAATCCCAGCACTTTGGGAGGCGGAGGAGGTGGATCGCTTGAGGTCAGGAGTTCGAGACCAGCTTGACCAACATGGCAAAACCCTGTTTCTACTAAAAATACAAAAATTAGTAGGGCATGGTGGCAGGCAGCTGTAATCCCAGCTACTCAGGAGGCAGAGGCAGGAGAATCGCTTGAATCCAGGAGGCGGAGATTGCAGTGAGCTGAGACTGCACCACTGCACTCCAGCCTTGGTGACAGAGCGAGATCCTGTCTCAAAAAATAGATAAAATAAAATAAAATGAAAGGATAGACCAGATACCCTTTATCCAAGGAGTGCATGGTGATTGTTCTTCTCCAGCCTGAGGCCCAGTCGAATTTGTGGCCTGTAATGCAGGGGCCTCCTGGGTTGAGGGTCCCTGCGAGCAAACTGCTGGTGGTGTGTGGTGCATGTGAATGGTGGGGAAACAGACAAAAGATGGGTGTGGAGAAGAGTATAGAAAGCACCTAGAGAGAGAAAGCTGATCTTGTGTTCCATCAAACTTTGTGATTTTTTTTTTTTTGACTTTGTGATTTTTGACAAGTCACTTAGCTTCTGTAAGCCTCAGCACATCTGTAAAGTGGGGAATAAGAATGCCTACTCATAGGCTGGGCACAGTGGCTCATGCCCATAATCCCAACACTTTGGGAGGCCGAGGTGGGAGGATTGCTTGAAACCAGGAGTTCGAGACCAGCCCGGGCAATATAGCGAGACCTCATCTCTATAGAAAATTTTAAAAAGTAGTTAGGCATGGTGGCACACATCTGTAGTTCCAGCTACTCAAGAGGCTGAGGTGGGAGGATCACTTGAGCCCAGGAGGTGGAGGTTGCAGTGAGCCATGATTGTGCCACTGCACTCCAGCCTGGGTGACAGAGCGAGACCCACTTTCAAAAAAAATTGAAAAACAGAATGCCTAGGAACAGATGCACTCATTTATGTGGCAGCTAAGCATGTGTCAGGGTAGGGATGGTGAGAAAAGACAACCAGAAAGGCTTAAGGAAACCCGCATGCAAATCGTGGAGCTGTGGCAGGGAATCTGAGGTGGGGGCCCCGAGGCTGTGCTGAGGCCTCAGGCGTTGTGTGTCTCCCCTCCGCAGCCCCCTACACCATCATCACTTTCCCCTTCCTGTTCGCTGTGATGTTTGGAGACTGTGGTCATGGAACCGTGATGCTCCTGGCTGCACTTTGGATGATTCTGAATGAGAGACGCTTGCTCTCCCAGAAGACAGACAATGAGGTGAGTGTCCATTGACCGTCTTGCCCTGATTCATTTTCAGAATATGAAAATCTGTATGTGGTTTTCACCATAGAAATAACACATTTTTATGAAAAATAAAGGAGAGAAGGAAAGTAAAAAAGAGCCAAATTAACCTAAAACTTCTGGCCAAAGGTAATTCCTTTGGATGGTTTGGTGCCGTTCCTTTCAGCATTTTTGGGTTTTTGTTCATGACTTGATAAGGCATCGATTTTTCTTTTTCATTATATATTTTTTCTAACTCTGATGTTTTTGCCTGATTATGAAAGCAATACATAATCACTGTAAAAATTAGAAAAATGCAACCATCTAATGACCGAGAGAAAAATCACCATGAATGCTTTTGGATATCTTTCCAATTTGTTTGTGCTTATCCACCAATTTTTCAAAAATTGGCATCAAGTAATGCATACTATTTGTAGTGTTTTTACTTAAAATATCATGAGTATTTGTTCATGGCAGAAGCAGCCTGGGACCCGTGTTCTTCTGAACACTGAGAAACCCTGAACATCGTTTCCCCACTCTTAAGTTTCTCCACCTTTGCAGAGTGCTGTGAAGGCTGAGACAACTCAGGAGGGTGCATTGGTTCAAAGTTTATTGGCTGGCCAGGCACAGTGGCTCACACCTGTAACCCCACCACTTTGGGAGGCCATGGTGGGTGGGTCATTTGAGATCAGGGGTTCGAGGCCAACGTGGCCAACATGGTGAAACCCTGTCTCTACTAAAAATACAAAAATTAGCCAGGCATGGTGGTGGGCACCTGTAGTCCCAGCTACTCGGGAGGCTGAGGCTGGAGAATTACTTGAACCCGGGAGGTGGAGGTTGCAGTGAGCTGAGATTGCGCCACTTTACTCCAGCCTGGGTGACAGAGAGGGACTCCATCTTAAAAAAAAAAAAAATATCTGCAATGTTTTATTACAGGTTGAATTAATTACAGCTAGGTCAGCGATGTCGAGGTTAGTGAGCAGAATCAACCTGTGACCAATATAGTTTTCCATGCCAAGCTTAAAGATATGATTTTGTATGGTAAACATTTTGAGTTTCAGAGTTACACGTCAGCACTTCTTGGAATGATTGACACACATTATTCAGTATTATGAGAAAGCACTTTATTCTTCTCAGCAGACATAGTCAGACAGGGAATCAACTTTACAATGACAAGACGCAAAATGAGTATATATCTGACTTGTCATAAATATAGCAGCCATGGGAGGCCAGTTCAGTGCTTATTTCCTGGAAGCACCTGAGACAACAGCCACCTGCTTTCAAGTCCCTTCCTAAGCAGATGAGGCCTTGCTTGCACTTCAGTTTATTTTCTAATGCAGGTGCAATGGAAGAATCTGAGGCATGCATATATATATAATATATATTATAAATATATATTATGTTATAAATATATATATTATTTATATTTATAATATATATTTTATATATATATATATATTTTTTTTTTTTTTTTTTTTGAGACAGAGTCTTGCTCTGTCACCCAGGCCGGAGGGCAGTGGGGCAATCTCAGCTCACTGCAACCTCCGCCTCCCGGGTTCAAGTGATTCTCCTGCCTCAGCCTCCTGAGTAACTGCGACTAACGTGCATACCACCACATCTGGCTAATTTTAGTAGAGACGGGGTTTCACCATGTTGGTCAGGCTGGTCTCGAACTCCTGACCCCAGGTGATCTGCCCATGTTGGCCTCCCAAAGTGTTGGGATTACAGGTGTGAGCCATCACACCCGGCCTTTTTTTTTTTTTGAGACACAGGCTGGAGCGCAGTGGTGCAATCTTGGCTCACTGCAGCCTCCAACTCCCAGGTTCAAGTGATTCTCCTGCCTCGGCCTCCCAAGTAGCTGGGATTACAGGCATGCACCACCACGCCCAGCTAATTTTTGCCTATATGGTTTTTGTTTCATGATAACAAATACCAGCCTAGGACTTTTTGGTGCACCTATATGTTCCAAAAACCATGATGTGTGTGCTCTTCCTGTCTGGATGATTGATGTCTGCTGTGGTCATGTGGCTCCCCCAAGGGTGCCTGCACCGGTGATGCTGGAGATATCCTGTAGAACGCTTCCCTCTGGGGTCTGCTTCAGAGCCCACTGACAATCATCCTCTCTGTCTCTCTGAGGCCAGATTTGGAACACCTTCTTCCACGGGCGCTATCTGATCCTACTTATGGGCATCTTCTCCATCTACACGGGTTTGATCTACAATGACTGCTTCTCCAAGTCCTTGAACATCTTTGGCTCTTCTTGGAGTGTCCAACCCATGTTCAGAAACGGCACATGGAAGTGAGTTGACAGACAGAGATGGTGTAGTCGCTGGCCATCCAGGTGGCCTCAGTGACTGTTTTCATGGTTGGGGGAGTCTACACCTAGGTCTACTCAGAGGTGCACTTGAAAATTCAAATAGGCCAGGCTCAGTGGCTCATGCCTGTAATCCCAGTGCTCTGGGAGGCTGAGGCAGGTGGATCACCTGAGGTTAGGAGTTCGAGACCAGCCTGGCCGACATGGTGAAACCTGGTCTCCACTAAAAATACAAAAATTAGCCAGATGTGGTGGCAGGTGCCTGGAATCTCAGCTACTCGGGAGGCTGAGGCAGGAGAATTGCTTGAGCCTGGGAGGCGGAGGTTGCAGTGAGCTGAGATTGCGCCACTGCACTCCAGCCTGGGTGACAGAGTGAGACTCCATCTCCAAAAAAAAAAGAAAAAGAAAAAATAGCCAAGTGTGTTGGCACGCCTTTAGTCCTAGCTACTTGGGAGGCTGAGGCAGGAGGATGGCTTGGGCCAAGGAGGTCAAAGCTGCATGAGCTACAATCACACCATTGCACTCCAGCCTGGGCAACACAGCAAGATGCTGTCTCAAAAGCAAATGAGAGGCTGGGCACGGTGGCTTACGCCTGTAATCTCAACACTTTGGGAGGCCGAGGCGGGAGGATCACTTGAGTTCAGGAGTTCGAGACCAGCCTGGCCAACATGGTGAAACCCCATCTCTGCTAAAAATACAAAAATTAGCTGGGCATGGTGGCACATGCCTGTAATCCCAGCTACTAAGGAGGCCAAGGCACGAGAACTGCTTGAATCCAGGAGGTGGAGGTTGCAGCGAGCCGAGATCACACCATTGCACTCCAGCCTGGGCAACAGAGCAAGACTCCAACTGAAAAAAAAAAAAAAAAAGCAGATGAGGAAATGGTTGGTTTTGTAATGCTGTCTCCCTGTATTTGTCCTGTGGCTGACAGAGTTGGGGGCAGGGGACACCTGGTAAGGATATGTGGGTACTGTAGAATAGAGAGACCTGGAAGCTCTCTAAATCCCCACAGTCCACCCTTCCCCTATGCATTCTACAGTGATTTTATGCAGTTAATCAGACAAGCAGACTTCAGAATGGAAACATAACCTTTTAGGAATGGAGACTTTTATGGGGAGAAAGATTTTAGAGTTTGAGAGGTAGGTCCATTTAATGAACTGGGGGAGAACAGGGGACTCTGGAGGAGAGGGGACTGTGAAGTGAACAAATAGAAATTGCGACAGCCTCTTGATTTTGGGGGTGATCTTAGGCTACGTGCATCACGTACCTGAGATTCCCACAGTAGCGTGAGGGCTAATTTGTAAAACCTACATATCAATGGTGACGTTTCCTAACATCTGTCTCTGCCCATCTCCTTTGGGTCAGCTTAAGATTTCCCTGTCTCATTCTGGAACTTTCCTTTGAACAAATGAGAAAAGAGGACCAAAGTGAAGACTGAGCTAGGTAAACATGTTCACAATCTCTTTTCCCATTCTTCCTCTCCCAAGGAAGGGACTTCACGGGTCTTACTGGCTCACCAAAATCTGTGGTGAACGTCATAAATGGGGGACAGAATGAACAATCAATTTCATCCAAGAGTTTTTCAGTTAGAAAAGATTCAATCCTGGGTTTATTTATTTTTTTTCTTTTTCTTTTTCTTTTTTTTTTTTTGAGATGGAGTCTTGCTCTGTCACCCAGGCTAGAGTACAGTGGCACAATCTCAGCTCACTGCAACCTCCACCTCCCGGGTTCAAGCGATTCTCCTGCCTCAGCCTCCTGAGTAGCTGGGACTACAGGCACACACCACCACACCCAGCTAAGTTTTGTATTTTTAGGAGAGGTGGGGTTTCACCATGTTGGCCAGGCTGGTCTCAAACTCCTGGCCTGAATTGATCCACCTGCCTCAGCCTCCCAAAGTGCTAGGATTACAGGCATGAGCCACACGCCCGGCCCAATCCTGGGTTTCTTTTGACAAAGCTTTCCTGAGGGCATTCAAAGGGCTTGATGTTGGCACAGAGAGGCTCCAAGAGACTGTAGAAATATTTAGTGTGGGGCAAGGAGATTCTAACGCAGTCTCTTCTTGTTTCTCTGCTAGGCCTAAGTTCCCTGAAGTAGAGATGGGATTCCCCACCTTAAATATAGAAAAACAAAAATATAGAAAAATGAAGGATAAAACGTTTTCTGGAATGACATACAGACAGCTATATCTGTGATTTTTTTTTTTTTTTGCTTTGCAATTAGTATTCTAAAGAGATGCCCAAAAGAACAAAACTTTCATAAATTTAAAAACAAATTAGGTTGAGCACGGTGGCTCACACCTGTGATCCCAGAACTTTGGGAGGCCAAAGTGGGAGGATTGCTTGAGCCCAGGAATTCAAGACCAGCCTGGGCAATATAGGGAGACCCTGTCTCTACATAAAATGAAAAAAAAAAAAAAAATTAGCTGGGCAGTGGCACATGCCTGTGCTTCCAGCTACTTGGGAGGCTGAGACAGGAAGATCATTTGAGCCTGGGAGGTTGAGGCTGCAATGAACCGTGATGGCACTGTTGCACCCCAGCCTTGGCAATAGAGCAAGACCCCGTCTCAAACAAACAAACAAACAAACAAACACATTCATTCTTACACTTAGTTCTGCTCTTTAGATTTAAACTCATAAGTATAGAGATGAGTTTTATTTTTTTATTTATTTATTTTTTATTTTGAGGTGGAGTCTCGTTCTGTGGCCCAAGCTGGAGTGCAATGGTGCGATTTTGGCTCACTGCAACGTCTGCCTCCCGGGTTCTAGCGATTCTCCTGCCTCAGCCTCCCAAGTAGCTGGGATTACAGGCGTGTGCCACTACACCCAGTGAATTTTTATATTTTTAGTAGAGACGGGGTTTCACCATGTTGGCCAGGCTGGTCTTGAACTCCTGACCTCAGGTGATCCACCTGCCTCGGCCTCCCAAAGTGATGGGATTACAGGTGTGAGCCACCGTGCCCGGCCGAGATGAGTTTTGAAACTTGTTCAATCTGCATAATTTCGCCAGCCTACCAACATGAAATTCCATTTCCCATAGAGTATGATTGTGAAAGGCCCGAATTAACTGTCTTGTTACCACTCTGCAGACATGGGTATGAATGCTGTTCTCTTATGCACCTGCAAATGTCTTCTTCCCCAATTCAAGACTCTTTGGTCTTGAATTGGAGCAATGCTCAGCCATATGTGAAGGGTCAGGAGTATAAGGCAGAACCTCATTATCACTGTGGCAGAAGAAAACGACAGCTGAAGTACACAGTGAGCTGATTCTGGTCACCAGCTGCGACCTGGGTCTTGGACCTGCTTCCTTGATGGTTGAAAGACCACTGAAAACATTCCTGTAGTCACTGGAGTTGGGCGTATTGACTCAACAAGGGAAATGGTGCATCATTGGGAAAACCATCTCTATTAAGAGGGTATTAGAAAGGGCTTAGAGGATTTAGCCTTTGTTAGGAGGCGGGGATGTTGGGTCATTTTTGTGGTTTGGACCGTGTCCTTCTTTTTGCCTGTATCGAGGTATGATTGTGGAATGATCTTGTTTTTTCTCACTCTATCATAGTCGCCAGGTGGCCTTGCCTGATGTTGCTGTTCTATGAAGTTGCTTATGCTCAGCAGGAGACACGATGGCTTAGCTATGGGTGCCAGGCCAGTTCCTTCCTGTCAGGGGTGACTTTTCCCTTTATGAACACACAAACACTTCTCTGCTATGGAAATCCAGCCATTTGCACTGAGTCATGCCATTAGGATGGGGGTCACGTCTGGGCAAGCGAGTCACGGTCAGCTGCTGCCACTGCACATTGAGGGCCAGGACAGTAGGCCAGGCTTCCCGATTCCCTCAGCTGCTACCTAAGGCCCTCAGCACCTCACTGCAGAAGGGAGGGAGTGTATTTCTGGGCAGCCTGTCAAGACTGTCTGCTGTCTGCTCTTCACATTTCATTATTTTTTAATTTAATTTAATTTATTTTTTGTAGACGGAGTCTTGCTCTGTTGCCCAGGCTGGAGTGCAGTGGTGCAATCTTGGCTCACTGCAACCTCCGCCTCCTGGTTTCAAGTAATTCTTCTGCCACAGCCTCCTGAGTAGCTGGGATTACAGTCATGTGGCACCACGCCCAACTAATTTTTGTATTTTTAGTAGAGATGGGGTTTCACCATTGTTGGCCAGGCTGGTCTTGAACTCCTGACCTCAAGTGATTCACCCACCTCAGCCTCCCAAAGTGCTGGGATTACAAGCATGAGCCACCGTACCAGGCCTGTTCCTCATCATTTCAAATGCTCATTCCTTGGGCCCTTCCACAGATGCAGTTCTTAAAAAAAAATCAACTCAACATTCTCATCCCCTTAAGGCTTGCAGAGACAGAGTAAGAAATTTCTGGGCCGGGCATCGTGGCTCACACCAAATCCCAGCACTTTGGGAGGCCGAGGCAGGCGGATCACTTGAGGTCAGGAGTTCGAGACCAGCCTGACCAACATGGTGAAACCCCATCTCTACTAAAAATACAAAAATTAGTCGGGCATGGTGCCACATGCCTGTAATCCCAGCTGCTCGGGAGCCTGAGGCAGGAGAATTGCTTGAACCTGGGGTTGGGGGGTGGGGGTGGCGGAGGTTGCAGTGAGCCAAGATCGTGCCATTGCACTCTAGCCTGGGCAACAAGAATGAAACGCAGTCTCCAAAAAAAAAAAAAAAAAAGAAATTTCTTCCCATTGACATCCATTCTTCTGGGTGAAAAGGGGACACAGATTTAAAGACATACAATGGGCTACATGTTTTTAGAGTTAAGTTTCATAGCAGTTGAGGTGTATATGTGAAAAAACAATCCATCCTTCAGAAGCAGCCCCAGTGTTCCCTGGGGAGACTTCCCAAGCATGTCCCTGGGCTGGGGTTTCTTTCCTGTGTGCTCCCAGCATCCCTGCTTTCTACCTCATTTCTGATGTGGTACAAATCCTGATCTCCCTTCCTTTTCCTTCCCTTTCCCCTTCTGTCCCCTCTCCCCCTTCTCCCTTTTTTTTTTTTTTCCTTTCAACAGAGTCTCACTCTGTTGCCCAGGCTGGAGTGCAGTGGTACAATCATGGCTCACTGCAGCCTTGACCTCCCAGGCTCAAGGCAGTCCTCCTGCCTCAGCCTCCCAAGTAGCTGGAACTAAAGGCATGTGCCACCACAACCAGCTGGTCTCAAACTCCTGGACTTAAGGGATCCTCCCACCTCAGGCTCCCAAAGTGCTGGGATTATGAATGTAAGCCACTGCTCCCGGCCCTGAGTTTCTTTACTATAGCACATCAGGCTGAGATCTCTTTGCAAACTCAGATTGTAGCCTCAGTGTTTAGGACAATACTTGATGTGTAGTAGATATTGAACCAACCAAAGTGATGAATTGCACCAGTAGTTGGACTTTGATGGGCAAGTTCGTGACTGGTGGTATTATAGTATCTTTTCTGCCCCGGTTGATCATTGTTTGTTTTTCTCCTTTTCTCCCTCTAAAGTACTCATGTAATGGAGGAAAGTCTATATCTGCAGCTGGACCCAGCCATACCAGGAGTGTATTTTGGAAATCCATACCCGTTTGGGATTGATCCGGTAATAATGTCTTCTTGGGTTAAATATTTCTTATGTGAACTATCTTGAGGAGACCTCTGGAGAGAGAAGAAAAGGCCAACAAAGCCTGTCAAATCAACAAACTTGTGTTGAGATAAAATAACTTCTGCTGACGTTTTTGTGACACATAGAGCCAGAGTCAAGTAAAAGTTCTGTCTACACCTTCTACCCAGCCCCATTTTCCATACAGTCCCCCAAACGTCTGCCTCTTTCTCCATCAATCATATCCCTGGTGGTTAATAACTGCTTCTTTAAAAGGCACTTGGTTGCCTGGGGAGTATGCATATTACATGAGCTATTTAGCGTCCTAATCAAGTTTAAGTTCCCTGCTTTGTATTTTCTTGCAGTGGGAAACATTTCCCTTTTTTCTAAAAAAGTGTGGATTTACTTTTATGTTTGCTTTGTTTTACTGCATAGAATTGACGCTTTTTAAAAAAGGTATTTGCTTCATTTTATGTTTGTTATATCTATCTCAGTCAGCTAGATTTGAGCTAAGCAAAACGATACTTCCTCGCAGCCTGTAGATATAAAGCGGTTTTGAGGAGATACAACACATGCCCGTTCATGTAAAGCTGTTCATTTCTATTGGCCCAGTGCATGCTGCCACCAGGTGGCGGCCTTGTGCTCCAAATGAGCGTGAGTAGTCTGAAATTGAACCTGGCAAATGCTGTCCATGTTTCTTCTAAGCTCTTTCTTTATGGGAGAGAACCTGAGACCTCCGTTTTCGTTGCTGACAATTAGGAGTAAATAGTACTAGCCCTAAAACTGGTTTCCAGTCTCTCCCATCTTACAGGTCACCTCCTCTTAAGTTTTCCTGTGTCATTCCGCTATCGCCCGCCTCCCTGCCCTTATAAAAACATGAATTTTGCCCAGGATTTGTTTATACTTGCCACCCAGGGACACTTGCATTCTAAGTTTTATCAAAAGTGGTAAAGTCCTTGAAGGCTGGTGTGTAAGTTGCAAAGTGCTAAAAACTAATTTGAATTTTTGTGGCCTGCAAGACGTTGTCCTTGGTCAAAGGAATTTCATGTTTAGTAAGCAGGTGGAGAAGGAATCTAGACGGGGATGATCTTAGGGTCTGGTTGATCTTCCTTTGTTTGGAATCTCATTGCTCCAATGGTCTCGTCTCTCCCCTCCACAGCCCACAGTTAATTCATCAGCAAATCCTGCCTGTCCATTTCTGCTCCTCAGACAGAGTGGAGCTACGGTATTTCACATTGCAGAACTGAGTGATCCTGAGTTTCTACTCTGATGCAATTTTGTCATCTGCCCACAAGTTAGAAAAGAAAGAAAATATGTCAGGGTGAAAGAGAATGTGGGATATTGAAAATAATGAAATCTGTTCCTAGTAACATTTAGAATTTTGAAAATTTCTGGTCTTTCTATCCTAAAATAATACATATATATGATTTAAAAAAATCTATACCACACAAAATATTATATAAAGAAAAGCAGGAGTTGGCCAGATGTGGTGGCTCATGCCTGTAATCCCAGCACTTTGGGAGGTTGAGGCGGGTGGATCACTTGAGGTCAGGAGTTCGAGACCAGCCTGGCCAACATGGTGAAACCTTGTCTCCACTAAAAATACAGAAATTAGCTGGGCATGGTGGCACACACCAGTAGTCCCAGCTACTTGGGAGGCTGAGGCAGGAGAATTGCTTTAACCTGGGAGGTGGAGGTTGCAGTGAGCTGAGATCATGCCACTGCACTCCAGCCTAGGCAACCAGAGTGAGAGCCCATCTCAAAAAAAAAAAAAAAGTAAAAATACCAAAATTAGCCAGGCATGGTAGCATATGCTTGTGATCCCAGCTACTCGGGAGGCTGAGGCAGGAGAAGTACTTGAATCTGGGAAGCAGAGGTTGCAGTAAGCTGAGATCACACCACTGCACTCCAGCTTGGGTGATACAGAGAGACTCTTCTCAAAAAAAAAAAAAAAAAAAAAGAAAAAGAAAAGCGGGAGTTGCCTTTCCTACCTCTCCAGTTCCTGCAGTCCTGTTCCTCAGAGATAACCACTTTAACAGAACACGTCTGTATTAGTCCCTTTTCATGCTGGTGATAAAGACATCCCTGAGACTGGGTAATTTATAAAGAAAAAGATTGTGTGGGGAGGCCACACAATGATGGTGGAAAGTGAAAGGCACATCTTACATGGCGGCAGGCAAGAGAGAGAATGAGAGCCAGGTGAAAGGGGTTTCCCCTTATAAAACCATCAGATCTCATGAGACTTATGCACTCCCATGAGAACAGTATGGAGGAAACCACCCCCATGATTCAATGATCTCCCACCAGCTTCCTCCCACAGCACGTGGAAATTATGGGAATACAATTCAAGATGAAATTTGGGTGGGACACAACCAAACCATATCAATGTCTGTGCCTATGTTAGTTTGTATCATATATATATATTAATAAGGGCTTACTTTTTACATAACACAAATTTCTACAGTGCATTTACTGACTGCGTTTGGCATCTATTTGTGAATCAAATCACAAAATATTTGGCCTTCATCATAGCCTGGGCTCTTAACGCAGGAATCAGATTGCCTGTGTTTAAATCTTTGCTTTTCTATTTACTTGCTCTGTGAGTTTGAGCACGTTAACATCTCTATGTCTGTTTCTTCACCTATAAAACGCATATAATAACAGCCCTAGGCCGGGCGCGATGGCTCACACCTGTAATCCCAGCACTTTGGGAGGCCAAGGCATGCGGATCATTTGAGGTCAGGAGTTTGACACCAGCCTGGCCAACATGGTGAAACCCCATCTCTACTAAAAATACAAAATTAGCTGGGCATAGTGGTGGGTGCCTGTAATCCCAGCTACTTGGGAGGCTGAGGCAGGAGAATCGCTTGAACCCGGGAGGCAGAGGTTGTAGTGAGCCGAGATTGCACCATTGCACCCCAGCCTGAGCAACAGAGCGAGACTCTGTCTCAAAAAAATAAAAATAAAAATAAAAAAAACAGCAGCCCTAACTCCTAGGATTGCTTGGCAAATGAAATTATGTTTACATGTAAAACTGCCAGAACAGAGTCTTATGCACAAACGTGGTAAATGCTCCTTGAATATTAGTTCCTCTTATGTTATTTCTTCCTAGGTATGTAAGTAACTTAATCTTCCTGAGGTTATGATAAATTACCTTATCTGTAAAATGAGAATAACTATATCTCATAGAGTTTTCAGTAGAACTAAATGAGATAAACACATCTAAATTGCTTAGTATGTACTTGGTACTTAACTATTAACATTTTAAAATTTTCTTTTTATTTATTTATTTATTTAGAGACAGAGTCTTGCTCTCTTGCCCAGGCTGTAATGTAGTGGCATGATCATGGCTCAATGCAGCCTCGACCTCCTGGGCCTCAATCTCCCTGCTTCAGCCTTCCAAGCAGCTGGGACTACAGGCACGTGCCATGCCATGCTGGGCTAATTTTTGTTTGTTTGTTTGTTTGTTTTGAGATGGAGTTTCACTTTTGTTGCCCAGGCTGGAGTGCAATTGTGCGATCTCGGCTCGCCACAGCCTCCACCTCCTGGGTTCAAGTGATTCTTCTGCCTCTGCCTCCTGAGTAGCTGGGATTACAGGCATAAGCCACCATGCCATGCTGGGCTAATTTTTTAAAAAAGCTTTTGTAGAGACGGGGTCTCACTTTGTTACCAGCCTCCCAAAATGGTAGGATTACAAGCGTGAGCCACTGCACCTGGCCAACATTTTTAATGTGTCAGATTTGGCTGGGTCTAAAGTGTACTAGCAGACCCGCCCTCACTGCATTGAGTGTGCCTGTGGGAACTGTCCAAACAGGTGAGCAAGGGGAATGCCGAGGGCTGGGGCAGGCTTGGTGCCACTTAGATGCCAAAGCCCATGTGAGGGTAGAGGAGGCATCTCTGGGGTCTGGGCACCTGTTATTGAAGTCCCTTCTCCCCGCTTCCCAGCAGCCGGCTCCTCAGTGGGTGCCCCTCTGGCCTGGCTCAGGACATTGCAAAGGAAGGATCAGTGCAAATTAGCACCTGACTGTGTGAGCACGTGTGTGTGTGTGATGGAGGGAGCGAGATGATTGTGTCTGAGGTTGTGTCTGGTTGGATGTTGGCCCCTTAACAGAAGCAAAGAAGTTTGGAGGAGGAAGTCATTTAGCAGAAAAGGTGAGAAAGCCATTGTGCCCTTGTCGCCTTTGACATGTCCCAGAGCAAACCTGAAAACAATTTGGGATGTACCTCAAGTACAGGTGGGGACAGGGGAAGGAGCAAGGACTTGGAATCCTTTCCACAGAGTGGGAGTGGAGACCATGGGGCTGCCGAGATTTAAATGGGGAAGATGAATATTAGTGACTCTGGTCCTTAGCTAGTGTGAGACCCTAACTAACCCCTCCACCCACCAGCCCCCTGCACGACCACCCAGTGTGCTTTTCCTCATGTCAGTATCATCGATATCATTTGGGGCAGGACAGGTACACATGATCCCCACCTGGCAGTGCTGTTTAAAATGGGCCATGTAGAAGGCAGGGACTGTGTCTTACGCATCGTGCTTGCAAAGATTGGCTACAGGAACGGCTTCTTGAGAAAGGTCTGGGGAAATGCTTTGTAATGCGAAGCACTACAGACTTTCAGAGTAAGAGGTGGTGTTATTAAAAAGGATTGGATACATTCATGGGCCAATGAGCTATAGGCCATGATTAAGGAAACTGAGGCAAGTTTGAGATCTTGCCGTAATGGCTCAGATTAGCTTTCCTCTTTTTTTTTTTTTTTTTTTTTTGAGACAGAGTCTTGCTCTTTCGCCCAGGCTGGAGTACAATGGTGCGATCTCAGCTCACTGCAACCTCCACCTTCCAGGTTCAAGCGGTTCTCCTGCCTCAGCCTCCTGAGTAGTTGGGATTACAGGCACCCGCCACCATGCCCAGCTAATTTTTGTATTTTGGTGTAGAGACAGGGTTTCGCCAGGTTGACCAGACTGGTCTCGAACTCCTGAGCTCAAGTGATACACCTGCCTCGGCCTCCCAGATTATCTTTTCACGTAGGATTTTTCTCCCCTGTTTCCTTCCAGCAATTTGATAATAGCACTAATGATCCTGTTACTTTTGTCATTAAAGTTGCATTTATAAAGGGTTTCATCCTTTTTTCCTTTTTGGACTCTAAAATGTATGCATTGAGCTGGACTGAAATATGAAAGTGCAGTTCCCAGAGCGGTTTGCTTAGGGAAAGTTGTGCTGTAGCCCTCAACTCCAGTAGAACTTCTAAGACTCTCTCTCACTTGGTTTTTTGTCCCATTTCCCATCCAGATTTGGAACTTGGCTTCAAACAAACTCACATTTCTGAACTCGTATAAAATGAAGATGTCGGTGATCCTGGGAATTGTCCAGATGGTTTTCGGTGTCATCCTCAGCCTTTTCAATCACATGTAAGTTTCTTGATGCACTCTCTGCCTGCTCTGTCTGATCACACTGATGATGAATGGTGACAGAGCCACTGGTTTGGGAACTGCATCTCTCTGTGCAAGTTTTCTTCCTATGAGGGGTACTTCCCTGGGCATCTGGGCTTGAGCCAAGACAAGCTGGTTGGCTGGAAATGGCAGCACCTCCGTTTCTCCTGAGCAGAGTCTCTCCAAGGTAAGTGCTCCTCTGGCCCCAGAAATATTTGAGGGTTCAAAAAAAGACTGGAGGCCAGGTGCGGTGTCTCACACCTGTAATCCCAGCGCTTTGGAAGGCCGACAGGTGGATCACCTGAGGTCAGGAGTTCAAGACCAGCCTGGCCAACATGGTGAAAGCCCATCTCTACTAAAAATACAAAAATTAGCCAGGCATGGTGTCGGGCACCTGTAATCCCAGCTACTTAGGAGGCTGGGGCAGGGGAATCCCTTGGACCTGGAGGCAGAGGTGGCAGTGAGCCAAGATTGTATCGCTGCACTCCAGCCTGGGTGACAGAGTAAGACTCCATCTCAAAAAAAAAAAAAAAAAAAAAAAAGAGAAACCATTCTTAACTTCCAGGCTGTACAGAATCAGATGATAGTCTCCATTGGCCTGTGGGCCACACTTTGCAGACCCCTATCTTAGAGCATTCTTAGGAAAAAGCTTCCAGGTCCCCATTATATATCCTCTTGCCTTTAAATGTGCAACTCTGAGCTAGGTCTGCATGCGAAGCTGTAGTCAGATCACCACCCTCTCTGTGTGGGCATGACCTTTGCTTTAGACGTTACTTCTAGACCGTGGTTCTCTCTGACTCTTTTGTGCAAAAGCACTTTCCAGTATTTCCTTTCAATTTTCTTTTCTATGCATCCATACAGGATTGCTGTTTGCTGGGGGGGTGGGGGGTGCCGTTGTTTGCCAGTAGTGCAAAAAAAAAAAAGATAGAACATTTTGTGCTTTTGTGCTTTGAGAGAATAATTAAGTCCTAACGTTCCCTTGATGTTCTATCTTGTGTATGTGTGTGTCTTCCACCCCCAGATACTTCAGAAGAACTCTCAACATCATTCTGCAATTTATCCCTGAGATGATTTTTATCCTGTGTCTGTTTGGATACCTGGTTTTCATGATCATTTTCAAATGGTGCTGCTTTGACGTCCATGTATCTCAGCACGCCCCCAGCATCCTCATCCACTTCATCAACATGTTTCTGTTTAACTACAGTGACTCTTCCAACGCACCCCTCTACAAACATCAGGTATTTCTGCTATTTTTTTTTTTTTACTCTTCTTTTATTTACTTGATTATGTCAAATTTCTCTCCTACTCTTTTTTTTTTTTTGAGAAAGAGTCTTGCTCTGTCACCCAGGCTGGAGTGCAGTGGCGTGATCTTGACTCACTGCAACCTCCACCTCCTGGGTTAAAACGATTTTCCTGACTCAGCCTCCTGAGTGGCTGGGACTACAGGTGCACGCCACCACGCCTGGCTAATTTTTGTATTTTTAGTAGAGACAGGATTTCACCATGTTGGCCAGGCTGCTCTCGAACTCATGACCTCAAGCAATCTACCTGCTTTGGCCTCGCAAAATGCTGGGATTACAGGTGTGAGCCACCGCACCTGGCCTCTCTCCTACTCTTGAGTGTTGCAAAGAGTAGTTATTTGTAAAACTGAGCCATCTTGGCATCCAGTGGAGGGTGTTACATCCTTTACATCTCAAAAGTGTCTTATTAAATGAAGGTGCAAGCACTGAGGGCTATAGTGTGGCTCCAACCATTCTTGTTGGGGTAATACATGAAAGGGATAATTGCAGAGGGATTGAAGATTGTCTTGTACATTGGCTATGAAGAAAGAAAAAAAAATAACCCTTCAAATTGTTAGGCTTGCAGCTGTAGAATGTTCTATATGGCACCTTAATACTTAATAATCTTTTATTCAAAGAGTGAACTCTAGCTAAATTAACAAGAATAATAATTGAAATAGAATCAGAAGACAAAGCCCTGTATTCACATGGGCAGACAGTTTCTGGAAAAGCACGAATCAAACTCATGCTCTTCTGTGAGCTTCCAAAGCTGGCGGGAGCTGCTGTTTTCATTTTTTGCTCCTCTTCCAGAGACAGTTCATCCCAACAGTTGCACTTTATTGCCACTCTGATTTCTTCCATTTCTTTTAGCCTCATTATCAACTTAATATTTTATTTATTTATTTATTTATTTATTTATTTATTTATTTATTTTTATTTTTGGAGATGGAGTCCCACTCTGTCACCCAGGCTGGAGTGCAGTGGCACGATCTTGGCTCATTGCGACCTCCGCCTCCTGGGTTCAAGTGATTCTCCTGCCTCAGCCTCCCAAGGAGCTGGGATTACAAGCACCTGCCACCAGGCCTGGCTAATTTTTGCATTTTTAGTAGAGACGGGGTTTCACCATGTTGGTCAGGCTGGTCTTGAACTCCTAACCACAGGTAATCCATCCACCTCAGACTCCCAAAGTGCTGGGATTACAGGTGTGAACCACCACACCTGGCCAATATTTTATTTTTAAAAGGTATACAAATCCTATTGGGGCTGGATATAAAAATAACTCAGTGAGTAATTCTTTGATGACACAAATAACAGTAGCTTTTTCCCCCTGGCCTCTCCCAGTGATTAACCTGATCATATTATCTGAGGGTAGATTTTCACTAAAAAAGACCCATTTCTATAGGTCCTGATTCCTCTGGATGAAGCCCTGTGACTAGTTCCACAAGGCCAGCTGCCCTTCAGTGCAGAGGTTGTCTGTTGGGGATTGCACCCATCAGATGTCGTAGTTAATGTCATGCTTCTACGGCCATGCCCCTTCTCATGAGTTCAGTTCCTAGTTGTGTTCTCTTTCCCTACCCAAGCATCAATAAGAAAAAGAAAAGGCTGGGCGTAGTGGCTCACGCCTGTAATCCCATCACTTTGGGAGGCCAAGGCAGGCAGATCACCTGAAGTCAGGAGTTCGAGACCAGCCTGCCCAACATGGTGAAACACCATCTCTACTAAAAATACAAAAAATTAGCTGGGCATGGTGGCAGGTGCCTATAATCCCAGCTACTCAGGAGACTGAGGCAGGAGAATTGCTTGAACCTGAGAGGCAGAGGTTGCAGTGAGCCAAGATTGCGCCACTGCACTCCAGCCTGGACAACAAGAGCAAAACTCTGTCTCAAAAAAAAAAATAAAAAAAGAAGAAGAAGAAGAAAAAATGCCTTGTAATCAGGTTTTCATAAGGAGTGAGTGTAGATAAGAATCAGAAACAGGTGCATTACTGTTGGGCACCATTTTGTTATCACAGATGGTAACCATGAGCCATCCCCAGAATGTTGACATGAACTGAACGTATTTTGAAGGTTCATTTACTCAGTGCTGGATCTAAACAAACATTTATTTGGATTTCCCAAATAACTCTTCTGTTTTAAGGCAGAGAACTCAGATTCACCAAAATAGTTCGTGTGCTAACTGCTTTCATTAAGACTGAAGTCCTCACTTAGTCTGGAATAAGCACTGAGCATTGCACAGTGAATGCGTGGCTTATCCAACTTTTTTTCCATTCAAAAGCATTATTTGGAGTTGGTTGGTTTTCACACACCCTAGTGTGAAGATTAATTGTCTTGATACAGTTTGAAGTTTTCATAACCTCATTTCGGGGTTATGCAGCTGGAAGAGGCAATACAAGTTAATAAAGTCCCTTCCCAACATTGTCCTGGCTGTCTTTGAATATCAAAGGATAGCCACACACACACACACACACACACACACACACACACACACACACACTCATCCCGTTGCTTTGTACGTCATCGGGGGAAAATCCTGTTGCATAAAAATGGACAAAGGGCCATGAGACAGCATTGTGTGCGGGTACTAGGATGGATAAGTTCAGCTTGGGTTCACATGGTCTCCCTTCCTCTTTTGGACATTTAAAAGTAGAGTGAGGCCAGGCGCGGCGGCTCATGCCTGTAACCCCAGCACTTTGGGAGGCCGAGGCGGGCGGATCACGAGGTCAGGAGATCGAGACCATCCTGGCTAACACGGTGAAACCCCGTCCCGACTAAAAATACAAAAAAATTAGCCGGGTGTGGTGGCACATGCCGGTTGTCCCAGCTACTTGGGAGGCTGAGGCAAGCAACTCGCTTGAACCCAGGAGGCAGAGGTTGCAGTGAGCCAAGATGGCGCCACTGCACTCCAGCCTAGGCAACAGAGCGAGACTCCATCTCAAAAAAAAAAGTTGAGTGAGGATGGAAGATGGAACCGATAAAGTGTTCACTCTATTATCAGGGGGAATCTTGTTACAATTGGGATAATAAATTGTCTCCTGGCATTTACTGCGACCTTGGTCAGAATGCTTGGAGAAACGTGAAGGCTCAAGAAATGTTTTTCTATTTCCTTCCAGCACCGTGCTCTCAATCCTTCTCAGCAGCCCTGACCGAGCCTTCCGAGGCTGGCTGGTTCTTTTGACCATAGCAGCTATGAGTCACTCCTCTAAACTGGTCACTGGGGTGTGTATAAGAAAGGAGGCAGGGGCGTGAGGATGTGAAAGGTGATCTGGAGCAGGAATATAACAGGGACTCCTCCAGGGTTTCAGCAGAGGCCTGAAGACCGCAGCTGCCTCACTCCAAAGGGAAGGCGAGAGAGACCGAGAGTGAGTTCAAAGTGGGTAACCCAGAGCCTGTTGAGTAAATTGCCCACATGGAAGGGATGAAAGTCAGGTAGCGATGGTGAGGAACTTCTTTTTTCTTTTTTAAGAGATAGGAGCAAGAGAGCTCAGATAATTTTCTAGGACTCAAAATATAAAATTACCGGTTGAATACTGTTTGTGACTTAAAGTGACCCAAGGACTTTTGAGTACCACCGAGTGACTGGTAAAGTCATGAGGCCTGCCATAGTTTTCATGCAGGCCCAGGTGAAAACGACCCCCATGGGACAGAGTTCAAGACAAGGGGTGCCTTTATAATGTTTCATGCGTACTTCTTGTTTAAAAGATTGGTTACGTATGGTACAAGGGACTACTCAGAATAAGGAATACAGAGAGTTTCCAGTGTCTACCCCGTGTCGAACATTTGGAAACACTGGACAGATATTTCTCTATCTGCAAGGGGAATATTCCAGGCGTGAAGGTGAATGGATTCATTGAAATGCTTTAGATCTCTCAAAATAAAGTGCTAGTGAAGTGGCCCATAGTGGTCATTTTCATCACGTAAAGTGTGCTGTTCTGCCATGTGAAAATGATGAGATCTCGCCATTTTGGTCTTGCAGCAAGAAGTCCAAAGTTTCTTTGTGGTTATGGCTTTGATTTCTGTGCCGTGGATGCTTCTGATTAAGCCGTTTATTCTTAGAGCCAGTCATCGGAAATCCCAGGTAAGGGCTGTTTGTTTCAGTTCACCCTACTTTGCATAAGAATGTGGGTTTCTGGAAAGATGAATCTTGGGTTTAGAGAGAATCGTCCTGGGCTGCCAGGGCCAGAAGAATGGTGTTGAGGAACTGACCCGCCCTGAGTATGTTTCGTTCTGTGGAGCTAGACTTTTCCACTGGGCCGTCTTATTTCCAACGAGATGCTCTATTAAGGGCAAACACGTTTAA
Source organism: Homo sapiens (assembly GCF_000001405.40). Taxonomy (NCBI): domain Eukaryota; kingdom Metazoa; phylum Chordata; class Mammalia; order Primates; family Hominidae; genus Homo; species Homo sapiens. The sequence goes on along the minus strand of NC_000007.14, from coordinate 138,728,538 downwards.
GCCTTATGTCTCGGCTGGTCGCAGTAGCCCACGCCTGTAATCCTAGCACTTTGGGAGGCCGAGGCGGGTGGATCACCTGAGGTCGGGAGTTTGAGACCAGCCTGGCTAACGTGGCGAAACCCCATCTCTACTAAAAACACCAAAATTAGCCAGGCATGGTGATGGGTACCTGTAATCCCAACTACTTGGGAGGCTGAGGCAGGAGAATCACTTGAGCCCAGGGTGGTGGGGGAGATTGCGGTGAGCCGAGATCACACTTCACTCTAGCCTGGGCGAAAGGGCGAAAAACCGTCTCAAAAAATAAAATAAAATAAAATAAACCTTATGTCTGACAGACTTTGTTCAGGGTGTATGTGTGCTGAGTCTCGTGGTAGTTAATGATTTATAAGGGTCTGAATGTGGTTGTTTTATTAGTTATAAATAATATTTTATTATGATTTTACTTTTAAAACAAATATTAAAAGCTTTTTTCATTAATATTCTAAAGTTGTGAGACTTTACTGTATTATGTTACAGATTGTGTCAGGGAATTAGAAGAGTAAACAAATTCAATTAGGTCAGTTTTTGTTTGTTTGTGATTTTTCCCCTGTTGCCAAATACCAGGTTCAGCCCACTTTCTCTTTTTGTCTAAACTGCCCCTGAGCCTTAGATGTACTAGGGGGGTGAAGCAGAGTTTAATATCAGCCTGAACCAAATAGGATTTAGTAAGATTAACCTTCCAGAGGACATCAGCGTCTAGCTCTGACACACAGACGGTTTGAGATGGTCGTTCTCTGCTTTCCTCTATTAGTGCAAAAGATTAAGCGGAATGTGCTGAGACCGTGTATGTTTTAAATGGTTGTAGATATGTTCAGATTAAATTCTATTTTTCTGAGATCTTTGTTGGATATTGACCTGGACAGGCAGCAGAGTCAGGGACCTAGACATGACGAGACTTGAGTTCAGGAAGTTTGTCCCTATGTGACGCTCTGTTTCTCTGTCACCTGCCTCTCCTCCCACTGTCTCCTTATGCCAGTCCGAACTCGTTCCAAAGCTTAGCTGAAACGTAATCTATATGAGGTATTCATAAAGAGGAAGACAAAGCAAGGAAGACTTGGTTATTGTTTGGTTAACTGGTGGGAGAGCAAGGTGGTTGAGGGTTGTTGAGGTGGGTGCTTGTCCAGACAGGTGACCAAGTATTTCAAAGAGGGTGGCAAATACCTGTTTGGAGAAGTAGATGCAAGTTTTTTTTGTTTTGTTTTGTTTTCTAGAGACAAGGTCTCTCTCTGTCTCTGAGGCCAGAGTGCAGTGGCTATTCACCAGCACAATCATAGCTCACTGCAGCCTCCGACTCCCGGGCTCAAGCCATCCTCTTGCCTCAGCCTCCCAAGTAACAGGCATGCCCCCCTGCCTGGCTCAGCATTTTTTTTTTTTTTTTTTTTTTTTTGAGATGAGCTCTCACTATGCTGCCCAGGCTGCTCTCAAACTCATGGCCTCAAGTGATTGTAATTTTTTTTTTCTAGGAACTAAATCTGTCCATAAGCCAAGAGCCAGGTTACTGCAGGCTCTCCTGAGTTCCAGGACTGTAAAATAATAGCTTGTCTTGCTCTTTGTACCACACAAGCTCTTTAAATAGTTGCTGATCTCAAAGTGGTAGATTTCTCCTTTGCGCCACCAGATGACTTAAATAGAGGGAAGGAGGGAGAGAGGGTTTTCCTAGTCTGCCTTCATGGATGATAGCTCTGAAACTGACTGGTAACAGGAGCTCCTGAAGACGGCGTGGAGGCCTGTTCCCTTGGCCCTTGGGATGCACGGCTGTTGGTTGTTTCCTCAGGCGGCTGCTTAGGGTCCTTTTCGTGTCGGAAACATTACCACCTCCGTTCAAGAGATGGTCCTATAATGGCATTATTTGCCCCTTCTCCACCTCTCCTTCATGAAATCCTACAGACCTAATACATAAACAATTTGTTCTGACGGACTTCAGGTGATATGAACAGGGGTCCTGTCTATTAGCCTCTCCTACAACCTGGGTCCCTGCAGAATGTGGCCTGGGAACCTCTCCACTAGAGGGCCGCCTGTGGCGTGGCCCTGGTGACATGCCCCGTGGGCAGCGAGTGAGTACACATCTCCTTCCGAGAGCCCTTGTGGCCAGCCACCAGGCCCCCCACGTTCTGTTTCCCCTTCTGACTTGCTGCTATGAACCCAGGTCCCCCCATACTCCCACATCTCAGGTCACAGTGAAATAACTGTGTGTTTCTATTTAAAATCTTCGGCCGGGCACGGTGGCTCACGCCTGTAATCCCAGCACTTTGGGAGGCCGAGGCGGGCGGATCACAAGGTCAGGAGATCGAGACCATCCTGGCTAACACGGTGAAACCCCGTCTCTACTAAAAATACAAAAAATTAGCCGGGCGTGGTGGCGGGCGCCTGTAGTCCCAGCTACTCGGGAGGCTGAGGCAGGAGAATGGCCTGAGCCCGGGAGGCGGAGCTTGCAGTGAGCCGAAATTGCACCACTGCACTCCAGCCCAGGCGACAGAACGAGACTCTGTCTCAAAAAATAAATAAATAAATAAATAAACTTCATTTCAACATGTGCGTTTTTTATGGTTAATGTTATTGAAACATATAACATACAGACAAGTGCATGAATAACGAGGCACCAATCCATGAAGTATCGCAGCATGAACACGTTCGTGTCACCAGCACTTAAATCGAGAAATGGGTCATCCTTAGAACTTGAGAGTCCTGACCGGGCACAGTGGCTCATGCCTGTAATCCCAGCACTCTGGGAGGCTGAGGCAGGTGGATTGCCTGAGGTCAGGAGTTCGAGACCAGCCTGGCCAACATGGTGAAACCCTGTCTCTACTAAAAATACAAAAATTAGCCGGCGTGGTGGTGAGTGCCTTATAATCCCAGCTACTCGGAAGGCTGAAGCAGGAGAATTGCTTGAACCTGAGAGGTGGAGATGGCAGTGAGCTGAGATCGCCGCCATTGCACTCCAGCCTGGGCGACATAAGCGAGACTCCGTCTCAAAAAAAAAAAAAGTTTTTTTTGCCTTCTTCCTGTCACTCTTACCCCAAGAGCAAACATTGTGCTGACCTCCAGGACTGTCAGTTCGTTTTGCCTGTTCTTGAACTGTATTTAAATGAAATCATCCAGAATGTCTTCTTTGGGATCTATCTTCTCTCATCCAACATTGCAGTGTTAGTAATTACAAATGGTGATACTATAAACATCCTTGTATATATCTTTTGGCACATGGGTTTGAATTTTTATTTATTTTATGTATGTATTTTTAGATAGGGTCTTGCTCTGTTGCCCAGATTGGAGTGCAGTGGTGGGATCATAGCTGACTCACCTCCTGGGCTCAGGCAATCCTCCCACCTCAGCCTCCTGAGTAGCTGGGACTGCAGGCCTGCACCACAATGCCCAGCTATTTTTTAATTTTTTTGGTAGAGATGAGGTCTTGCTATGTTGCCCAAGCTGGTCTTGAACTCCTGAGATCAAGTGATCCTCCTGCCTTTGCCTCCCAAAGCACTGGGATTGTAAGTGTGAGCCACTGTGCCCAGCCACATGTGTTTTTAGAAAGTTGCCAGTAGCTAATTTACAATGATTGCTATATGTTTTATTTCATACGCCACCCAGCTTAAGCATTGTGCGATTTTAGTAAGAGGACTGCAAGTAAGTATCTGGAAGGAAGATAGTCACTAGGATTCACAAGTCCAGTATCACACTTCTACAAAATTATTCATGTTCATTTTAACTAATTCAAGAATAATGAGCAGAAAAGGGTAGAGTTTAGGGTTGGAAATGGAGAAACCGTAATATATCTCTCCTTTGATATTTTCTTCTATAAGTTGAAGGAGAGAGAAAATAGGATTTCGAGATGACAAATATAAAGTTAACTTGAGCCACGTCCCTCCCCATGGGATAAAGAACCACAAGGTGTTGGGGACAGCCTAACCTAGAAGCTGGCTCTTGGCACCTGGCACCCTGGACTCTTGTCTAGATGGACCTGAGCCCACTTCTGGGTCCTACAGAGGCCTTGTTCCTCAGTCTCCTGAGGGCAGACCAGGCCACTGGCATGGACACCACGAGTCCCTGGGTGGCCAAGGGGCAGCTGTCTGTAGGGAATGCGAGCAGAACTTAGACATTTTGGGTCAGGGTGTCTGTGTGCACATACAAGGCCCTCATGATATAGGATGAAGCCAGAGGTGAAAAAAAGAGGGCTCCCTGGTCCAGGGCCAGCTCCCATGCTGCCATGGCATGGCGTGAATTCTGAATTTCAACATAGCCTTCCCAGTTTTTACAAAGATTTATTTTTTAAGCTAGAACCCCTATACACACACTTTTTTTTTTTTTTTTTTTTTGAGGCAGAGTCTTGCTTGGTCACCCAGGCTGGAGTGCAGTGGCGCAAACACTGCTCACTTCAGCCTCAACATCCCAGGCTCAAGAGATCCTCCTGTCCTAGCCTCCTATGTAGTTGGGACAGGTGCTCCCTCAGCCAGGCTAAATTTTTTTTTTTTTTTTTTTTGAGAGATGGGATCTCACTTTGTTGCCCAGGCTGACCTTGAACTCCTAGGCTCAAACATGAAACATATTTTATTTAGGAATTTGTTGGCTTGATGTATAACTTTTAAATATTTCAACCTATGGCATGTGAACTACTGTCTTTGCTCTTGCCCAGAGCCCTGCAAATGTTAAGTGCAGACCTGCTAAAGAAAGGAGGGCCCTGGCTGGGTGTGGTGGCTCACGCCTGTAATCGTAGCACTTTGGGAGGCCGAGGCAGGTGGATCACCTGAGGTCAGGAGTTCGAGATCACCCTGGCCAGCATGGAGAAACCCCGTCTCTATTAAAAATACAAAAATTAGCTGGGCGTGGTGGTGGGTGCTTATAATCCTGGGTACTCAGGAGAGCTGAGGCTGGAGAATCTCTTGAACTGGGGGACAGAGGTTGCAGTGAACCGAGATTGTACCACTTCACTCCAGCCTGGGCGAAGGAGCAAAATTCCTTCTCAAAAAAAAAAAAAAAAAAAAGAAAAGAAAGAAGGGTCCAGATACGTTGATGCCTAATTTGCAATACCCCTCCCATGAAATCATTCTAGAAAAACTTTGGACATGGGACATTAAGCTTCATGGTGACTTGAAAGAAATATACCATTCACACTTAGGGGTAAAACCAGACCAAGTTGAATGGTGACTATGCCTAGATTTTTTTTTCCTTGAATTTTTCCTAAGCTATTTTTATAGTTAATTTCACAAGGCTACATGGAAGGTACGACTGATGATTTATGACCATGTGTATTTCTTTTAACAATGGAAAGGCACTTTTGTACTTGCATTGCTTTAGTGTCAAGACTATAATTTGGCACATTCTGGAGCATTGTGGAGAAAAAGCACATGCACTGGAGTCAGGCAACTGAGTTTGAATTATGGCTCTGCCACTTACCAGCCTTGCCAGCTGTATGATCTTGGGCACATATTTTTCTTTTTTTTTTTTTTTTTGAGACAGTCTCACTCTGTCCCCCAGGCTGGAGTGCAGTGGCACAATCTTGGCTCACTGCAACCTCTGCCTCCCAGATTCAAGCAATTCTCCTTCCTCAGCCTCCCGAGTAGCTGGGATTACAGGCATGTGCTACCATGCCCAACTAATTTTTGTATTTTTATGGAGATGGAATCTCGCTATGTTGACCAGGCTGGTCTTGAACTCTTGGCCTCAGGCAATCCTCTCAACTTGGCCTCCCACAGCACTGGGATTATAGGCATGAGCCACTGTGCCTGGCCTTTAACTTTTTTTTTTTTTTTTTTTTTTTTTTGAGATGGAGTCTCACTCTGTCGCCCAGGCTGGAGTGCAGTGGCGTGATCTTGGCTCACCGCAGCCTCCACCTCCTGAGTTCCAATGACTCTCCTGCCTCAGCCTCCCGGGTAGCTGGGATTACAGGCATGCACCACCACGCCCAGCTATTTTTTGTATTTTTAATAGAGACGGGGTGCCAGGCTGGTCTCGAACTCCTGACCCCAGGTGAGCCACGGTGCCTGGCCTAATTTTTGTATTTTTAGTAGAGATGGGTTTTCACCATGTTGGCCACGCTAGTCTTGGACTCCTGACCTCAAGTGATCTGCCAGCCTCCGCCTCCCGAAATGCTGGGATTACAGGCGTGAGTCACCACACGCAGCTGGGCACATTTCTTTTCTTTTTTTATTTTTATTTTATTTTATTTATTTATTTTTTTGAGACGGAGTCTCTCTCTGTCGCCCAGGCTAGAGTGTAGTGGCACAATGTCCGCTCACTACAAGCTGTGCCTCCCGGGCACATTTCTTAACCTTTCTGTGCTGCAGCTTACTTCTCTAGAAAATAGGGTGATAATTGTGCTTATATAAAATGGTTGTTGTGAGGGCTTAATGAGATAGTGTAGTGTTTAGAACAGTGTCTGGTACATAGGTAGTATTTGAGGAGAGCCTTTATTTATATTTATATGTGTTAGAATTCTCAGGGTGAGTTGAGCGCATTCCTCATTTCCCTGCTTGTTGTCAGCTGCAGGCATCCAGGATCCAAGAAGATGCCACTGAGAACATTGAAGGTGATAGCTCCAGCCCTTCTAGCCGTTCTGGCCAGAGGACTTCTGCAGATACCCACGGGGCTCTGGACGACCATGGAGAAGAGGTATCTGGGACGAGAGCCCCTGAGGAAGACTCCCCAGTTTGTACAAATTCTAGAATGGACATAGGCAGTAGAGCTGGGTGGGTCTGGAGGGCCCCACGGGGCAGTAGCCCTGTCACTGCTGAGTCCTGGGAAGCTGTGAAGGTCTCAGGGAAGGGGACCTACTAGCTAGTCTAAGAGGATCAGAACAGCTATTTAGCAACCAATCTGGGCACATTTTAATATTTCTAGTCCAAGTACCGCTGCATCTGTATGTGTCAGGTGAATATCAGCCTCGGATCTAGTGACATAGAAGGTCCTGCGTGTCACTGAGGACTCCTTGGCTCAGCACCACGCCCCTATAAGCTCTCTTTTTTGTTTGTTTTTGAGATAGAGTCTCACTCTGTTGCCCAGGCTGGAGTGAGCCAATTTCGGCTCACTGCAACCTCCGCCTCCCAGGCTCAAGTGATTCTCCTGCCTCAGCCTCTCTAATACCTGGGATTATAGGCATCCGCCACTGCACCCGGTTAATTTTTGTGTTTTTAGTAGAGATGGGGCTTCACCATGTTGGCCAGGCTGATCTTGAACTCCTGACCTCAGGTGATCTGCCTGCCTCGGCCTCCCAAAGTGCTGGGATTACAGGCATGAGCCACCGTGCCTGGCCCCCTATGATCTCTTTATAATGTTATCTGCCTCTCATGTGAATTCATAAATTGTTTTGTTCCCTCATCCCTCCCTGCCCCTGCCTGTGCAAGGACAGCCACTGCCCCTCAGGAGCCCGTGCCACATCCTCCCAGATGAAAGCAGCTGTCTGTTCCATGTGTTGACTGAAGTCAGCCACATTTGTGAATCCCAAGCTGGAGGCTTTAACCGGAGCTCTGTTCTAATTTGGGAGTGGGAACTGGGTTTCCATGAGGGCCACAGATGCTATAAATGGCTCCATTTGTGGTGTTAATTGCTTATTTTAAAAAGTTTTCTCTTGATAGCCATGTGTGGTGGCTCATACCTGTAATCCCAGCACTTTGGGAGGCCAAGGCGGGCGGATCACTTGAGGTTAGGAGTCCAACACCAGCCTGGTCAACATGGTGAAACCCTGTCTCTACTAAATATACAAAAATTAGCCAGGCATGGTGGTGAGCACCTATAATCCCAGCTACTGGGGAGGCTGAGGCAGGAGAATCACTTGAACCTGGGAGGCAGAGGTTGCAATGAGCTGAGATCATGCCACTGTACTCCCAGCCTGGGCGACAGAGCAAGACTGTCTGGAAAAAAAAAAAATTATCTTGATTAATTAGAATTAATGAAAAATCTCAATCGTGAAAATTCTTCCCAAGAAAATTCTAGGTACAGAGTGATCCACAGTAGTGGCTGTTGACATTACCAAGTCTGTCAGACTTGCTGGAATGTTTTAGAATCCAACCCACGCATGTTCTGACTCCTCAAGTCCTGGCCTGTCCAGGGCAACCTCCCTCATCTCTTCTCCTCCTGCCCTCAATCTATATCCAGACAATTTCCACCTGCCACCTCCAACATGAGCAGGCTGCCCTTGCTTGGGCAACTTTAGTCACCATTCATGGACCTCTTTCCCCCAGGTCTAATCATACATGGGTCTCCCGTCTCCAGGCAAATGTGTGCCTCCCCCTGTTTCTCTTTCAAGTTCCTTGCTTGCTTCTCTCCACGGTAGGGTTAGCCAAACTCAAGGTTAAGGGTGCAGTCCTTGACTGTCACATCTGCCCAAGACTGATCCCAGCCGCAAGTTTGGGGGTTCCCAGGGCCACCCTCACTTCAGGCAAGCTGACTATACATTCGCAGGACCCTTAGGGTCCTTTGGGGCCAAAATGACTCACAGAACTCCGGAAAGTGCTATGCTGACAGTTGTTTTTGTTTTTTTTTTTTGAGACAGAGTCTTGCCCTATTGCCCAGGCTGGAGTGCAATGGTGCGATCTCAGCTCACTGCAACCTTTGCCTCCCAGGTTCAAGCAATTCTCCCGCCTCAGCCTCCCGAGTAGCTGGGATTACAGGCACCCACCACCATGCCTGGCTAATTTTTTTGTGTGTATTTTTGTAGAGATGGGATTTCACCCTGTTGGCCAGGCTGGCCTTTAACTCCTGACCTCAGGTGATCCGCCTACCTCGGCCTCCCAAAGTGCTGAGATTACAGGCGTGAGCCACCGTGCCTGTCCACTTACAGCTTTTGTAGCAAAAGAATTTAAATCAGACAGGCAGAGAGGATAGGGCAGTATCTGGGACAGTGAGTTCCAAATGAGGAGCTGTGTCCTTGGAGGCACATTACTGTCCCCACATTGATGTGTGGCAAGATGTGCAGAGAATCGCCAGCCTAGGCCGGTCACCCAAGCTTCAGTGTCCAAAGTTTTACTGGAGTTTCCTCATGCAGGCAGGATTGACTGATTGATTGACTGATGATTGATTGGTGGATGCAGCCCCAGCAGTTGCTGCAGAGTCCCCAGCTCTCTCCCACCTTGCAGATCATTCCCAACTCTCTAAGCATGTGGTTGGTCTTTCTGGTGTGGCCAGACCCCACTTCAACTATAAGGTGCCCAACTTAAGCCACTGCATTCGCATAAACGATCAGGTGTGGTCCCAGGGGCCCAGCATGAATAACAAAGACCCTTTCACGTGGGAAATGCCAGTGGTTTAGAGGTTACCTCCCAGGAGCCAAGACAAAGCCAGTCCTGTTCGGTAAGGTTAATTATGATTATTATAATTACTATTTTGAGACAGGGTCTTGTTCTATTGCTGAGGCTGGCATGCAGTGGCACAATCATGGCTCACAGCAGCCTTGACCTCCTGAGCCCAAGCGATCTTCCTGCCTCAGCCTCCCGAGTAGCTGGGACCGCAGGTGCATGCCACCACACCTGCCTAATTTTTTGAATTTTTGGTAAAGATGGGGTCTCACTTTGTTGCTCGGGTTGGTTCTGAACTCCTTGGCTCAAGTGATCCTCATGCCTCGGCCTTCCAAAGTGCTGGGATTACAGGCATGAGCCACCACACCTGGCCAAGATGAATTCTTTCTTATGCAGTTCTTCTTTACCTTGACTCTTTCTACCTGCTCACTCCATCTCTGCCCATCCCTGTCCCTTCAATTCCTCACAGCTGCTTTCATTGCTAAATTGAGGTTCTCATTTTTATCTTGTCCCCATAACCTCTGACATCAGTGACTGCACCGCCATTCCTTCCTGGACGTCTCCCTCCGCAGACATCCGTGACTGCACCCCCCCCCCCCGCCCCGAATTCCTTCCTGGACGTCTCCCTCCGCAGACATCCGTGGCGGCACCTCCCCATTCCTCCCCATTCCTCCCCATTCCTCCCCATTCCGCCCCATGCCTCTCCGGATGTCTCCCTCCGCAGACATCGGTGACTGCACCACCCGCCCCATTCCTTCCTGGACGTCTCCCTCCGCAGACCTCCGTGACTGCACCCTCCCCGCCATCCCCCCCATTCCTTCCTGGATGTCTCCCTCCGCAGACATCCGTGACTGCACGCCCCCCCTTCCTTCCTGGACGTCTCCCTCCACAGACATCCGTGACTGCATTCCCCCCTTCCTTCCTGGACGTCTCCCTCCGCAGACATCCATAACTGCACACACACACACACACACACACACACACACACACACACACCGCCATTCCTTCCTGGACGTCTCCCTCCGCAGACATCCATAACTGCGCGCACACACACACACACACACACACACACACCCATTCCTTCCTGGACGTCTCCCTCCACAGACATCCGTGACTGCATCCCCCCTTCCTTCCTGGACGTCTCCCTCTGCAGACATCCGTGACTGCACCCCCGCCCCCCATTCCTTCCTGGACGTCTCCCTCCACAGACACCCGTGACTGTACCCCCCCACTCCTTCCTGGACGTCTCCCTCCGCAGACATCTGTGACTGCAGCGTGACTGCTCTAGCTTCTTTGATCTTTTCTTTTCCTCATCAGTTTCTTGTTTTGTTATCTCATCTCACTCTTTTTTTTTTTTTTTTTTTTTCCGAGACAGAGTCTCACTGTGTCGCCCAGGCTGCAGTGCAGTGGCAAGATCTCAGCTCACTGCAACCTCCGCCTCCCGGGTTCAAGCGATTCTCCTGCCTCAGCCTCCCAAGTAGCTGGGACTACAGGCATGCGCCACCACCCCTGTCTAATTTTTGTGTTTTTAGTAGAGGTAGGGTCTCACCATGTTGGCCAGGCTGGTCTCAAACTCCTGACTTCAAGTCACCCACCTGCCTTGGCCTCCCAAAGTGCTGGGATTACAGGCATGAGCCACCGTGCCCGGCCTTGTTTTGTTATCTCTGAATGAAGATGTTTCCCAAGGCTGGGAGCGCCTCTTTCTTTTCTTTTCTTTTTCTTTTTCTTTTTTTAGACAGAGTCTCACTCTGTTGCCAGGCTGGAGTGCAGTGGCGAGATCTCGGCTCACTGCAACCTCCACCTCACAGGTTCAAGCGATTCTCCTGCCTCAGCCTCCTGAGTAGCTGGATTACAGGTGCACGCCACCACACCCAGTTAATTTTTTAATTTTTAGTAGAGACGAGGTTTCACCGTGTTCGCCAGGATGGTCTCGATCTCTTGACCTTGTGATCCACCTGCCTTGGTCTCCCGAGGTGCTGGGATTACAGGCGTGATCTCCTCTTTCCTTGATCTTTCCCTTGTTGATCTCCTCCATCCTCCTGCAGATGCAGTCTCAGGAGTCCGTTTCCAGCCGGGACTTTTCTTCGGGGCTTCGGTAGTTCCACCTGAGCTCCCATGTGCAGAGTGTCTACTGATAAGGCCCACTGCCATCTGAAACTCAGCATGTGGAGAGCCAACTGCCCACCTCCTCTGTCAATGTCATTCTTCCAGCTACTTGGGCTTAGGAGCCTCAGAGCCCTGGCTGCCCTGGCCCTGAGTGGGTAAGGGGCCTTCTCTGTGTTCCCACGATACCACTGCATGCCCTGGTCATTGCGCTTCCCAGAGTGTGGCATGGGAACCCTTCTACATATTCTCCTGACTAGGCTGTGAGCAACTTGAGGGCATGTACAGCACCAGTCAATTGTCCCCCATGGCCAGGCACAGTGGCTCACACCTGTAATCCCAGCACTTTGGGAGGCTGAGGCAGGCAGATTGCTTAAGGCCAGGAGTTCCAGACCAGCCTGGGCAACATGGTGAAACCCCATCTCTACAAAAAATACAAAAATTAGCCAGGTATGGTGATGCATGCCTGTAGTCCCAGCTACTCGGTAGGCTGAGATGGGAGGATCACCTGAACCTGGGAGGTCAAGGCTGCAGTGAGCTATGATTGTGCTACTGCATTCCAGCCTGAGTGACAGAGCAAGACCCTCCCCCCCCCCCAAAAAAAAATTGTCTGTCACATCAGAGAGCATGAGGGGAGAATGAGCTATGGCTGTCTTCTTCGTTCTGTTATTTACTTCTTTCCTGTGTTACTGAGCTCATAACCAAATTGTCCTTTTTTTTTTTTCTTTAAGGCTGTCCCTTCTCTAAACTATGATGCTACCAGAGTAACCTGCCTCTATGGCTCCTCACTGAATCCAGGTTGTTTCTTCAACTTTACCCATAGCTTGCCTTTCTAGAAACTTCCACACAGGAGGACTGTCTTCTATTCCTCACCTAAACAAGCTCCCAGTTCCAGCCAAATTGTTTTCTTTCCGACTTGACTAGGTGATATTCCCAGCTACCTGTTTCTTTCCCAACCAGGGATCCTTTTGCTCCTCAGGAACAATTTCTTGTCCTTCAAGTCACATTCCTACCCAGCCTTCCTGGCACAGCACAAATCTCATCTCCCCTTACCACCCATTTGTCATCTTTGAGCTTTTTTTCAGCTATTGCTGGGGAACGTTAAGACACACATAACATACGACTTTGTGCTGATAATTCTTTCTCTAAGTCTATTACTATTTCTTTTCCCCTAGTTAGACTGAAAGTGTCTGAACAGCAAAGCCCATGTCTTATTCATCTTTGCATCATTTGGAATAACTTTTGTGTAGAAAATTCTCAATGAAGTAAAATAAACAATTCCGTCTTTCAGTTCAACTTTGGAGACGTCTTTGTCCACCAAGCCATCCACACCATCGAGTACTGCCTGGGCTGCATTTCAAACACAGCCTCCTACCTGCGGCTCTGGGCCCTCAGCCTGGCTCATGCACGTGAGTGAGCAGCCCATCGGGGGGACAGTCAGCTCTCCCCAACACCCCAGGAAATAGGTGCCATGTATTTGGAAGTAAAGGTGACTTCTCCGAGCTATTTGTGGATGTTTGCCAAAAGAATGACTCTTCTTTCCCAGGCACAGGTGCCTTTTCTGTGGGTCTGGCTGCACGTTGCTGGGGTGGTCACCCTCTATATTAATAGTCTCCTACTGCTGCTGTAACAAATTGTCACAAACACTCGTGGCTTAAAACAACACAAATTTGGCCGGGCACGGTGGCTCACACCTGTAATCCCAGAGCTTTGGGAGGCAGAGTTTGGGCGAATTGTTTGAGCCCAGGAGTTCAAGATCAGCCTGGCCAACATGGTGAAACCCGTCTCTACTGAAAATACAAAAATTAGCTGGGCATGGTGGCGGGTGCCTGTAACTCTAGCTACTCGGAGACTGAAGCAGGAGAATTGCTTGAACCCGGAAGGCAGAGGTCGCAGTGAGCCGAGATCACATCACTGCACTCCACCCTGGGCTACAGAGTGAGACTCCGTCTCAAACAAACAGACAAACAAAAAACCCAACAACACAAATTTGGTGTCTTCCAGTTTTTGAAGCCAGAGTCCTAAAATCAAGGCGTGGGCAGCCGTGCTCCTGCTGCAGGCTGCAGGTAGAATTTGTTTCCTGGCCTTTCCAGCCTCTTGAGGCTGCCTGCATTCTGTGGCTTGCGGCTCCTCTTTGCATCACTTCAACCTCTGCTTCCAGCATCAAATCTCCTTTTTCTCTGACTGTGACTCTCCTGCCTTCCTCTTACAAAGACTCTAGTGATGACATTGGGCATATCCAGATAATCCGGGATAATGCCCCTCTGTCAGGATTCTTGGCTTAATCTCATCTGCAAAGCCACTGTTGCCATGTAATATAGTATGTTGACAGGTTATTAGGATTAGAATTAGGATGTAGACATCTTTGGGGATGGGGGAACATATTTTTTCAGGCTACCATGCCCTTCTGCAAGGTGCTGACCTTTAAGAGAACGCCTGCCTTGGTTATGAGCATTGCGGGGAGTCAGTTGGCTGCCTGCTGAGCTGACCCTCAGGAAGTGCTCACCACCTTTGTGAATTCACAGCAGTCCAGGATCAGTCAGGCCAGGCCCAGAAATACAATTGTATCTATCTATCTATCATCTGCCTGTCTGTCTGTCTGTCTGTCTGTCTATCTATCTATCTATCTAAAAGAGACAAGGTCTCACTATGTTGCCCAGGCTGATCTCACACTCCTGGCCTCAAGGGATCCTCTTGCCTCAGCCTCCCAAAGTGCTGGGATTTCAGGCATTGGAAATACAGTTTTGATAAAGATCCGAGCCCCTGGGGTTGCCTAACGTCAGGAATCATGACTCACCAACTCACTTGTAAGCCCCATCTTGATCTCTGGGTCCTTCTCCAGTCTTGTTTCTTGTCAGTTTTCCTTAGTGCCCCAGCACTCCAGACCCATCCGTTTCATATGCAGTGGCCCTGAGGAGCGTTTTTTTTTTTTTTCCTAAGACAGGGTCTCCCTCTGTTGCCCAGGATGGAGTGCAGTGGCGCTATCACGGCCTCGAACTCCCAGGCTCATGTCATTCTACCGCCTCAGCTTCCCAAGTAGCTGGGACCACAGGTGCATGCCACCATGCCTGGGCCAATTTTTTTTTTTTTTTTTTTTGGTAGAGGTAGGGTTTTGCCTTTTTGCCTAGGCTAGCCTCAAACTCTTGGGCTCAAGCAGTTCTCCTGTCTTGGCCTCCCAAGTAGCAGGGACTATAGGCACACACCAACATACTTGGCGAACTTTTTTTTTTTTTTGGTAGAGACAGGGTTTTGCCATGTTGCCCAGGCTTGTCTTGAACTTCTGGGCTCAAACAGTCCTCCTGCCTTGGCCTCCCAAAGTGCTGGGATTACAGGTGTGAGCCATTGTGCCTGGCCTGAAGAACTATCTCCTGAAGACGCAGTACTCCCTGGGCCCCTCTGTGTGTTTGCCCCTGCAGCCCCCTTGCCTGAAATAGTCCCTTCTTTAATTCTCTCTCTATCTGATATTTAATTCGTCCTTCATAACTCAGCTGGAAATCTTCTTTCCTAGTCCCCCAGTCTGGAAGATGCCTTCCTGTGGTTCTGGGGCATGCTCTTAACCTAGCTTCAATTATAATTGTCTTGATTAGCCTGTCTTCCTACTGGACTATGAGCTCCTTGAAAGCAAAGAACCTGACTTTTATCTTAGCATTCCTGGCACTGAGCATAATGCCTAGAACAGAGAAGCCAGGCCAAGGTGTGTGCTGAAGGGATAGAAACGAAACTCCAGTACTCAGCATTCGTGTGATCTTCACAGCTCAGCTGTGTTCATTTCCTCCCACAAACTCACATACACACACTTTCACATGCACATGAACGCTGATGCACACACTCAGCCCTGCAAGTGGCTGCAGCACAGACACCCATAAGCATATCTTTTTTTTTTTTTTTTTTTCAGGCTGGAGTGCCGTGGCGTGATCTCGGCTCACTGCAACCTCCGCCTCCCAGGTTCAAGCAATTCTTCTGCCTCAGCCTCCTGAGTAGCTGGGACTACAGGTGCACACCACCATGCCCAGCTAATTTTTTTTTTTTTTAATTTTTGTATTTTCAGTAGAGACGGGGTTTCACCATGATGGCCAGGATGGTCTCGATCTCTTGACCTCGTGATCTGCCCGCCTCGGCCTCCCAAAATGCTGGAATTACAGGCGTGAGCCACCGCGCCCGGCCGCATGTCTTTACTCCTGTGCACTGCTGTGCATTCATGTGAAGTGGCTGTCCCAGGACTGTCACCTACTTGTTCCTTAGAGTGGATCTCAGCGCTTCGTGCAGTCAGTGGTGGTAATGTTGGTCTTCAGCTCTAACCCCAGCAGTAGTTGGAGGACTTGAGTCATAATAGGGCTGAGTCTAGATAAGACAGGAGGAGGAGTTTTGGTATTCTTGGCCCTATGTGTCGGGGTGTCCTCTGGCCAGCCCATACACACACTGAGGGGGTCATTTGATTCCTAAAAACCCATATGGTTCATGGCTGCCTGCCCTGATTCACCCACTGGGTCATTCTAGAAGTCCCTGCTAGACGTGGCTTCCAGTCCATACTAACACAGTTGCTTAAAGAGGTAATGTGGAAAAATGGGGAAAAAATTAAAACACTGACTTAAATTCTGGTTCCTTTTCTACCACTTTTGGTTGAGTAACTTATACAAGAAATTTAACCTTTGTGTGCCGGGGCTTTCATCAGTGGTCCTAGTAGTTAGCCTCCTGCACTGGTCAGGTTAGGCTAAACTCTGTTGCAATAACAACTTACCCTCTAAATCTCAGGTCCCTAGGCCAGAGTTTGGCACTATGTGTTGGGGTGTCCTCTGGCCAAAATTCCTCCTGTCTTATTTAGACCCATCCCTGGTATGACCCAAGTCCTTCAAACTACTGCTGAGGTTGGAGCTGAAGACCAACATCAGGACCACGGATGACTTGAAGCGCTGAGATCCACTTTAAGGAACAAAGTGGGGCTGGGCGTGGTGGCTCACACCTATAATCCCAGCACTTTGGGAGGCCAAGGTGGTGGGGGGATTACCTGAGGTCAGGAGTTCGAGACCAGCCTGGCCAACATGGTAAAACCCCCTCTCTACTAAAAATATAAAATTAGCTGGGTGTGGTGGCACACGCCTGTAATCCCAGCTACTCGGGAGGGTGAGGCAGGAGAATAACTTGAACCTGGGAGCTGGAAGTTACAGTGAGCCGAGATCACACCACTGCACTCCAGCCTGGGTGACAGAGCGAGACTCTGTCTCGAAAAAGGAAAAAAAGGAACAAAGTGGGTGACAGTCATGGGATAGCCACTTCACACGAATGCACATCAGTGCACAGGAGTAAAGACATGCTCATGGGTGTCTGTGCTGCGGGTACACGCAGGGCTGAGTGTGTGCATCTGAGTATTCGTGTGCACGTGAAAGTCTGCGTATGTGAGTTTGTGCAAGGAAATGAACATAGCCTGAGCTGTGAAGATCACACGAATGCTAAGCACTGGAGTTTCTACTGTAAATCTCAGGTACGGGTCTAACCCGACGGGGGTGAAGCTGCTCCCATTGATGAAAGACTCTGCATCACTGTAGCAGGCAGAAAACCAGATCTTGGGGGGCAGCAAGCAAATAGGGGTCCTCTTCCTTGCGTTCCATGTCTCTGCGTTTATCATGTTCTGATAGCCGCTTGCAAGTGGCAGGCCTGTGTCTCTCTGGGCTACATCATTGTGACCTTTTAGCAGGGGCCTTCAAATCTCAAGCCAAGGATGTAATGATGCTATTTCCCTGCAAGGTGCATATCCCAGGCTGTTGGGCATGATAACTAGGGAAGAAGCATTCACACGTGCTCTGTGACCAGGGACACCTAAGCATGGACCCTTACTTGCATAGGTTGGACAGTGAGAGCCCTTGTAGGGCAGTTAGCTGGGGACACGGGCTCAGCTACGAGTCCGGGTTTTTTCCGATCCCCATCCATGACCTCCCTCCTCTTGGATTTCACTCCCCTCAGGGCCTTTTAAAACATTCCCCGACTGTCAGCCTTTGAGAGACTCCATGGGCATGTAAGAAATGTGTAGAAAAGACCTTTAGAGCTGGGGGTGTGGGAAACAGCTGAGGAGGTAACGGGTAGGGAAGTGGGGGTGGGGGGACGGTGGTGTCATAGGAACAGGCCAGAGGGGGCTGTGTGGCATTTGCCCCTGAACTTTTCGGAACTTTAGTTTCCTTATCTATGAGATGGGCATCATAAAACCTAATTTATAGGGTTGATATGGGCCTTACTGGGATAATATGTGTAAACTGCTTCGAATTCCTCTGACTTGGCTCTTAATTTGGAGTCTGTGGCTGAACTTCAGGCTTTCTGTAAATCCCCTGAAACTACGTATAAGATGTTGTTGGGCGTCTCTGTGTGCATTTTTCTGGGGAAAGGATTCATGACTTTCTTCAGATTCCAGAGGGGACCCGTGACCACCAAAGAGTGAAAAGAGCCACTTTCCCGAGTGAGGCTGAATTCACCTCCTGTGCTCAGTACCTGGCATGTGCCCTTGTACATTGCAGTGACTGAATAAATATTAGCTAAACGTTTTTTGAAATGTGGTTAGGATTTCAATCTTTTTAAAAACATTTTTACTTTGAAATATAGCATGTTTACAAAAATGCATAAAATATATATTCAGCCTAATGGATTTTTGTAAAGCAAACACTCATGTAACCACTTCCTGGTCAAAGAAGAGGCTGTGGCTGGGCGCGGTGGCTTACGCCTGTAATCCCAGCACTTTGGAGGCCGAGGCGGGTGGATTATGAGGTCAAGAGATTGAGACCACCCTGGCCAACGTGGTGAAACCCCATCTCTACTAAATATACAAAAATTAGCTGGGTGTAGTTGCATACACCTGTAGTCCCAGCTACTCGGGAGGCTGAGGCAGGAGAATTGCTTGAACTCGGGAGGTAGAGGTTGCAGTGAGCCAAGATCACGCCATTGCACTCCAGACTGGGCGACAAGAGCGAAACTCTGTCTCGAAAAAAAAAAAAAAATTAACAGACAGTGGCGGCACACTTCTGTGGTCCCAGCTACTTAGGAGGCTGAGGTGGGAGGATCACTGGAGCCTGTGAGGTCAAGGCTGCAATGAGCCATAATTGCACTATGGCATTCCAGCCTGGGTGACACAGTGAGAACCTGTCTCAAAAAATAATAATAAAATAATAATAATCTGGGCTGGATGTGGTGGCTCACGCCTGATTTCCCAGCACTTTGGGAGGCTGAGACAGGAGGATTGCTTCAGGCCAGGAGTTGGAGACCATCCTAGGCAACAGAGTGAGACCCTGTCTCTATTTAAAATATATATATATTTTTAATTAAAAAGATGAGAAAATACAATAAATAACAATCTGCATTTACAAGATAATCCCAGTGGTTTCTCGTACCTTGCAGAACTGTCTGAAGTGCTCTGGACTATGGTGATGAACAGCGGCCTTCAGACGCGAGGCTGGGGAGGAATCGTCGGGGTTTTTATTATTTTTGCCGTATTTGCTGTCCTGACAGTAGCCATCCTTCTGATCATGGAGGGCCTCTCTGCTTTCCTGCACGCCCTGCGACTGCACTGGTAAGGATGGTTGTCCCCTGGAAGCTCAATGTGGTGTTGGGAAAGGGAGTGGGCTGTGGGGCCAGCCGACTGGGTTCAGATCGTGAGCTGTATGTGACTTTAGCAGCTTACATACCTCTTTGGAGCCTTAGTTTAGTCATCTGTTGGTGTAATATTAAATGATGTAATATATGTGTATATATATGTATATATACATATATACACACACACTCATTCATACTTATTCAGACTCTCATATATGTTAGTTCTCATTTACTCCTTCCCTTTTAGATGATCAGTGTTCATTTGTTATTACAATTGGCTTTAACCCAAGTGACATTTCCAAGTATTGGCAAGGTGGCATCTGAGATAGGCTCACAGAAGACATGCTTAGAAAATCTGGAATATTTGGCTTTTTTTTTTTTTTTTTTTTTTTGAGACAGGCTCTCACTCTGTTGTCCAGGCTGGAATGCAGTGGTGCAATCTTGGCTCACTGCAACCTCCACCTACCGGGTTCAGGCGATTCTCCTGCCTCAGCCTCCTGAGTAGCTGGGATTACAGGCGTCTGCCACTACGCCCAGCTAAGTTTTGTATTTTTGGCAGAGACGGGGTTTCCCCATGTTTGCTAGGCTGGTCTCGAACTCTTGGCCTCAAGTGATTCACCCGCCTCAGCCTCCTGAAGTGCTGGGATTACAGGCATGCACCGTCACACCTGACTAATTTTTGTATTTTTAGTAGAGATGGGGTTCCCCTATGTTGGCCAGGCTGGTCTCAAACTCCTGGCCTCAAGTGATTCATCTGCCTCAGCCTCCCAAAGTGCTGGGATTACAGGCATGAGCCACTGCGCCCAGTGAATCTGGGATGTTTGGCTCTTGTTGCTGAGTAGAGGAGTTATACCAACAAGGTATGAAAATCTCAAAAGTGGAAAGAGAAGGAGGGTACCACCAGGAGGGAGACGCTCACCGGGAGCCCTGGACATGCACAGATGTATCCAGTGACAATCAGCCGTCGTTAGGTTGATGAATATGGAAACATGTTTAGGCCTCTGGTTGTCTTCCAAGTTACATTTCAACCAAGAATTCTGAGTGTGCAGTGCATGCCCTTCAGCTGCAGAGACTGTACCCAGCTTGCCCTGATGTTTTCTTCCTCCCTCTATGGCCACTATTCATAAAGAAGCCTTTGCACTTCATGTACTGAGTGAGGAGAGCCACAGCATCCCCTGCCTCCATGATGACGTCATTCCCCTCCATGTCATTGAGGAGAGGAACTGAACTCTGTAAATTAATAAAACATAAATGAGGCTGGGCACGGTGGCTCATGCCTGTAATCCCAGCACTTTGGGAGGCCAAGGCGGGCGGATCAGCTGAGGTCAGGAGTTTGTGACCTGATCGACGTGGAGAAACCCCGTCTCTACTGAAAATACAAAATTAGCTGGGGTGGTGGCGCATGCCTGTAATCCCAGCTACTCAAGGGGCTGAGGCAGGAGAATGGCTGGAACCCGGGAGGTGGAGCTTGCAGTGAGCTGAGATGGAGCCACTGCACTCCAGCCTGGGCAACAGAGCGAGACTCCGTCTCAAAATAAATAAATAAATAAATAAATAAATAAATAAATAAATAAATAAATAAAATAAAACATAAATCATCCGACATGGTATCAGTTATGTGAGTTACAAAAATACAGGTCAAGGGTCTTTGCGTTCTATAATATGTGAGTCCCACATTTTAGAATTAGCTGGAAATGGAAAATGACATGAGAGAGTGCTGCACAGTGAGGGTGTCTTGGCTTGTCATGGGGGTGGGGAAGCTCCTTCCATGAAGGAAGAGTTGTTATGCTGTGACCATGAGCCCACAAGCAGAGAGGCCTGGAGGAAATGAAGGGGAGGGGAAGGGGAAGGTGGTAAGAGACAGATGAGAGAAGGGCTTAAAAAATCCTCAGATTCATGGCCTGGATGCAGTGGCTTACACCTGTAATCCCAGCACTTTGGGAGGCTGAGGTGTGTGGATCACCTGAGGTCAGGAGTTCGAGACCAGCCTGGCCAACATAGCAAAACCTGGTGTTTACTAAAAATACAAAAATTAGCTGGGCATGGTGGTGGGCATCTGTAATCCCAGCTACTCGGAAGGCTGAGGCAGGAGAATTGCTTGAGCCTGGGAGGCAGAGGTTGCAGTGAGCTGAGATCGCACTATTGCACTCCAGCCTGGACCACAAGAGCAAAACTCTGTCTCAAAAAATATATATATATAATATATTTATTTTTATATATATATAAATATATATATAATATAATATATATTATAATATATATATTATAAATATAAATATAAATATAAATAAATATAAATATATTTATAATATAATTATTATATAGAATATATAATATAATATATATTCTATATAATATAATATATATTATATAATATATTCTATATAATATAATATATTATATAATATATATAATATATTATATAATATATATAATATATTATATATTAATATATTAATATTGATGTATATATAATATTATATATAATAATATATATGATATATTATACACACACACACACACACACACACATATAAATTAGCTAGGCATGGTGGTATATGCCTATAGTCCCAGCTACTCAGGAGGCTGAGACAGGAGAATCTCTCTTGAACCTGAGAGGCGGAGGTTATAGTGAGCCAAGATCACGACACTGCACTCCAGCCTGGGTGATGGAGCAAGACTCTGTCTCAAAAAAAAAAAAAAAAAAAAAATCCTCAGGATTCTCATGGCAGCCATCAGCCTGGGTGCCTGCCGTGGCCAACCCTTCTGACTTTGTGCTTGATTTTACGAACGCTCTGCTTCCTCCTTCCCTCCACCTTCCAGCCTCTAACTGATGTGTTTCAATCTCCCATTTCTTACCCCACGGCCTCCCCTCAACAACAGGGTTGAGTTCCAGAACAAGTTCTATGTCGGGGATGGTTACAAGTTTTCTCCATTCTCCTTTAAACACATCCTGGATGGCACAGCCGAGGAGTAGGCTGAGGGCTGCACCTCCCACGGTGGTCACCATGCCAATGAAGGAAGTTCAGTCTTGTCTTTGATATCAGCCCCTGCAAGGCGCTCAATGGGAAGGTTGTTCTTGGCTCACCTGAAGCATGAAACTGTGTATTATTTGGACGTCAGCCTGTGGATTTGATACGACTTAACCACGTCAGAGGAAGGACTTTGGCAAGTGATATTGTCTTCATGTGGGGTATTAATTCTCAAATAATAAAGTAATTGACAAATGAGGGGAGAATGCTAAACAGATGTCTTCTTGCAATATTTTAAATATTGTATTTGAGAAAATAAACATCTGAGTCATTCACTTTTTCCTTAAGATGTCTTTATTCGGCCAGGCACAGTGACTCACGCCTGTAATCTTAGCATTTTGGGAGGCCGAGGCGGGTGGATCACCCAAGGTCAGGAGTTTGAGACCAGCCTGGCAAACATGGTGAAACTCTGTCTCTACTAAAAATACAAAAATTAGCTGGGCTTGGTGGCAGGTGCCTGTAATCCCAGCTACTCGGGAGGCTGAGGCAGGAGAATCGCTTGAACCCCGGGGGGCTGAGGTTGCAGTGAGCCGAGATCACACCACTTCACTCCAGCCTGGGCAAAAGAGCAAAACTCCATCTCAAAAAAAAAAAAGATGTTTTTACTCAAAATTATTCCATACCAGTCTGGGCACAGTGACTCACGCCTGTAATCCCAGCACTTTGGGAGGCTGAGGCGGGTAGAATACCTGAGGTTGGGAATCCAAGACCAGCCTGACCAATATGTTGAAACCCCGTCTCTATTAAAAATAAAAAATTATCTGGGCATGGTGGCAGGTGCCTGTAATCCTAGCTACTTGGGAGGCTGATGCAGGAGAATTGCTTGAACCCAGGAGGTGGAGGTTGCAGTGAGCCGAGATCAAGTCACCTCACTCTAGCCTGGGTGACAGAGCAAGACTCCATCTTGGAAAAAAAAAAAAATTATTCCATACCATTTACTACTGACAATTATAGGCCAAAGCTGAACAATAGAGCTACACAAACTAATCCCAGAGAAGGATCATGCATATTGTATTTCCTCATTTCCTCCTTCCTCAAACACCTTTTTCCGTTGTCTAGGGCTAAGCATTACAAGCTTAGGAACTTTCTCATGAATTTTCACTGAGGAAGAAGAGATAATGTTCTCTGTTTGGAGGGAGGGCCGCCCCCGGTGTGGCTCTCTGGTTGCTAAATCCTGTGAAATGAAGTGTGGCAACATGACATCATCGAGGACTTTGTTTACTGTCAATGCACGTTATGCTGGAGTAACTGGAGAAAGAGATTTGGAGGCTTCGACAAGTTCAGAAAATGGTGTGCTGGGAGGAAAACCACCAAGAGGTCTGGCCCGTTACTCCCTGGCTCTGTGGGCACCAAAGTCATTAGTCATTTCTTAAGTGCCTGCACTAACAAACTCCTAAGAGTCCGATAAGTTATATATATGATACACAAGATATATATCATATATGATATATGTGATAAACAAGATATATATGTTTGCATATATATATAGAGAGGTAGGGTCTCACTCTTGCCCAGGCTGGAGTGCAGCGGTGAGATCACAGCTCACTGCAGCCTCAGCCTCCCAAGCTCAAATGTTCCTCCCACCTCAGCCTCCTGACGAGCTGGGACTACAGGTGTGTACCACCATGCCCAGCTAATATTTTTTAGTTTTTTTGTAGAGTTGCCGTGGGTAGGGGGTGTCTCACTGTGTTGCCCGGGCTGGTCTTGAATTCCTGGGCTCAAGCTATCCTCCCGCCTCAGCCTCTCAAAGTGCTGGGGTTACAGGCATGAGCACCCGGCCCCACTGACTGTTTTGTCTGAATGGACTTTATCCATGTAGGTTATTATCTTCATGGTAACTATACTGATAGAATTAAGTATAATTATCTTTTTTTTTTTTTAGTGCTTTTAAAATTTACAAAATAATAGTATCTTATTTAATTTTAAATTTTCTTTTTCTTTCTTCTTCTTTTTTTTTTTTTTTTTTGAGACAGGGCCTCACTCTGTCTCAGGGACTTGCTGGAGTTTAGTGGTGCAATCTTAGCTCGCTGTGACCTCCGGCCTCCCAGGTTCAAGCAATCTCCAGCCTCAGCCTCCTGAGTAGCTGGGATTACAGGCAACCGCCACCATGCATGGCTAATTTTTGTACTTCTAGTAGAGACGTGGTTTCACTGTGTTGGCCAGGCTGGTGTCTCGAAATCCTGGCCTCAAGTGATCCGCCCGCCTTGGCCTCCCAAAGTGCTGGGATTACAGGTGTGAGCCACCGCATCTGGCCAGTTCTAAATTTTCATTGTTAGTAAAGTTCTAAAAGAGCTGATTAAATTCAAAATATGCTTTGGATGAGACCCTGTTTTTTAAGTGCCTACGTGCCCTGTGTGTGGTAAAGCTGATTGGTGCTCATGGAAGCGGCATTGCTCAAACCTAAAAGGAAGCTTCTGTGTCACCTTCCATGTCAGTATCATGACTTTTCCAGCACAGTGGAAGGCACATATTAGATGCTCAATATTCACTTAATGAGATTGAGCAAAAGAATGATAGCTAAGGTCAGAAGGTGTACATGTTTGAGTCCCAACTTTGATGCTTTATCATGAGTGCCCTCAGGAAAGAAATGGAGTTGTTCCCCTCATTGCCGAATGGAAATAATGATCTCCACCTCTCTGGACTGTAGAAAAGGTGGTTGTAAAGCCCTGGGTGTGGAGGAGATACTGTCAGTGATGGTTGAACTGGGAGAATAGACTAAGACAGCATGCAAATGGAGGGATAAGAAATCTACCAATCCCATGCTGCCATGGCCACTGGACGATTTTCAGGTTCTCAGCTCACAAATGTCCTTCTCAACAACTATCTAAAAAGAACCCTGTGCTTAAATGGATCACCAGCCTGTTGATCCTTAAGTCTATTTTTTTTTTAATTTTTATATACCACTGTGTAGTTTTAAATTAGAATTAGGCCAGGCATGGTGGCTCACGCCTGTAATCCCAGCACTTTGGGAGGTCGAGGTGGGTGAATTGCTTGAGGCCAGGATTTTGGGACCAGCCTGGCCAACTGGTGAAACTCCTCATCTACTGAACGTATGAAAATTAGCCAGGCATGGTGGTGTATGCCTGTAATCCCAGCTACTCAGGAGGCTGAGGCAGGAGAATCACTTGAACCCGGGAGGCGGAGGTTGCAGTAAGCCGAGATCACGCCACTGCACTTCAGCCTGGGAGACAGAGCGAGACACCATCTCAAAAAAATAAAAACAAAAAATTTTTTTAAAGTAAAAAATTAGAACTACCTAAAAGACATTGCACCTTTCAAGTGTATGACAGTGTAACAGTGTTTAACAGTTGTTTTATTAAGTGAATGCTTGAACGTATTCAACATTAAATTCAATTTACTTCACAGTAATGTTTGCAAATACATTATCACTTCTTAAATATTTCAAATCAAGCAACTTGAAGTTCAGAAGGCTTGCTCTCAAATAACTCTTCTACAGTGACGCAAAGACTGAAAGGAGCCTACAACTTGAGTCCCAGTCTCTAACCAACAATGACTGTGTCCTCACTGGTGAACCCATATGAGGGAGCTCCAAGCTCAAGAGGGGCAGGCCCCTTCCAGATCCTCCCAGATGCATCTGTGTGACCCCCAGCAAGGGCAGTAATCACCACCAAAATCTTCATTTGCAATAGGTGTACAACAGGATGAATGCAAACGCCTAGTAAAGAAACTCGAATGGGTTACCCTGATAGGCATTGCACTCATTCTTTACTCCTTTTTTATCTTTTTTTTTTTTTTTTCAGACAGAGTCTCACTCTCTCTCCCAGGCTGGAGTGTGCAGTGGCGCGATCTTGGCTCACTGCAACCTCCGCCTCCCAGGTTCAAGCACTTCTCCTGCCTCATTCTCCCGAGTAGCTGGGATTACAGGCATGGACCACCACGCCTGACTAATTTTTGTATTTTTAGTAGAGACGGAGTTTCACCATGTTTGCCAGGCTGGTCTTGAACTCCTGACCTCAAGTGATTCACCCGCCTTGGCCTCCCAAAG
This sequence comes from Homo sapiens, assembly GCF_000001405.40. Lineage (NCBI taxonomy): Eukaryota > Metazoa > Chordata > Mammalia > Primates > Hominidae > Homo > Homo sapiens. The sequence continues at coordinate 138,702,562 of NC_000007.14, read as the reverse complement.
TGCTTGGATTACAGGTGTGAGCCACCACTCCCGGCCCATCCTTTACTTCTTCTTCTTCTTCTTTTTTTTTTTTTTTTTTGAGACAGATTCTCACTGTGTTGCCCAGGCTGGAGTGCAATGGTGCAATCTCGGCTCACTGCAACCTCTGCCTCCCAGGTTCAAGTGATTTTCCTGCCTCAGCCTCCCGAGTAGCTGGGATTACAGGCACATGCCACCACGCCTGGCTAATTTTGTATTTTTAGTAGAGATGGGGTTTCGCCATGTTGGCCAGGCTGGTCTTGAGCTCCTGACCTCAAGTGATCTGCCCACCTCGGCCTTCCAAAGTGCTGGAATTACAGGCATGAGCCACTGTGCCTGGCCCTTAAATCATGCTATGGGCCCTCAGCTGGGACTCTTCAACTGCAGGTTCTTGGTCAATTTCCTTCTTGGTTCTGTGGCATACAAACAGGGATTTGCCTCTCCATTTGAAAGCCATGTTCTTGCCTTCTGGAATATCAAATAACTTGATTGCAATTTTCGACACGGCCGACTCATCAGCAGAAGCACTGATGCTGGAAACAAACTGGGAGATGACATTCTTGGCAGCATATGTGACACCCACAGCAGTTGTTGCAGTTACCAAATAGGAGAACCCTTTCCTAGCCTCGCCATCCTCTTTTGAAGACTTTGTCCCATCAAAAATCTCAATGCAACAGTAATCAGGGAAGTCAGGCACATTGATGTCTGTATGGGAATAACGAACAGAAGCAGGGACATTGAGGCCCACAGAGTTGACCCAAGACAGGCTCATGGCCTGGCCACTCAGTGACTCCTGGCATAGCAAAGGCTGCTCTTGTACAGCACAGGCAGCTTCAGGGTGGCAGGCACCATGGCCTATACCAGGGGCTACAGCATGCCTGCCACCCTGCAGGATATGGCTGACAGGATGGGCATGAACCTGCTCCTTAATTCTAAGCAATGGCTGTGAGCAAATGTTTGCAAGGGCAAAGCTTCCCTCTGCCCCTTGCCTAGGTCTTCTCTTTCAGAAATTCTTCCAGCTGTCCTGAGAACAACATAGTAATTTCCTCCAAAGTTCGGCAGCCTCTTTCAGTCTTAACAAGAAATGTAATTTCCCCTTTAAAAGGAGATCAAGTGCAGGCTGCTGAGAAGAGGGTGTGCCCTAGGTGTCATTCACTTGCCCAGAATGCGAAGTTGGCCCTTAAAGAATCCTGATCTGAGACCCGACCTGAAAGGAGAGGATAAGACCAGGGAGCCAGGCGTCTTGGGAACACAAGTCTGGCCACCCCTGAGAAGCCATCTGTGCTCCAATTTCCGTCTAAGACTTGGCCACGGTGAGGGGAGCAAAAGAGCCTGAAATTGGAAGACTGTCCAAGGAATATACAGAGGTGAGAAATTTGTGGGCAACATTGATCTGGACTTATTTTTTCCTGCTGCTGTAGAGGGTGGGGTGGGGCATTGACTGTTAGTTTGTGGCCGAAGGCAAATGGAGCATGAAAATTTCCTTGGATATTGCAAAACAAATTACATCACACATCACACACAAAACTCAGTTTAAAAAAGATCTACTGTGGCCCAATTATTTCTGGTTAAAAAACAATCAGTATAACAAAATACAATAGAATAAAATGTCAATCAGTCCTTTAGAATTTGTTTTAATGAAGCTTGAACTCCATCTGAGTTCAGGGAAAATCCCCAATCTATCAGTTTCTCACCAGGTTTTGTGAAGGTAGGTCATGGATTACTTTCCCATTGTAGCTTTTTAGGAACTTATAGTGAGGGACGCGAAGCATTCTTTTCCATGTTATTCCCTATTTTCCTGAGTTGGTCTAACTGATCATCCATCTGCCATCCATCCATCCATCCATCCATCCATCCATCCATCCTCTTACTGGGTTAGAAAGGATTTAGAATGACACAGGAAACCAGCCGGGTGCGGTGGCTCACGCCTGTAATCCCAGCACTTTGGGAGGCTGAGGTGGGTGGATCACAAGGTCAGGAGTTCAAGACCAGCCTGACCAAGATGGTGAAACCCCGTCTCTACTAAAAATACAAAAAAATTAGCCATGCATGGTGGTGGGTGCCTGTAATCCCAGGTACTCAGGAGGCTGAGGCAGAAGAATCGCTTGAACCCGGGAGGCAGAGGTTGCAGTGAGCCAAGATCACACCACGGCACTCCAGCCTGGGCAACAGAGTAAGACTCTGTCTCAAAAAAAAAAAAAAAAAAAAAGACATACGGAACCAAAGAACAGAGTATGTCAATTCAGCCTTTCCAGCATTCCATTGCTGAGTTAAGATTGCAAGCTCTATCTCTCAATAATGTTCCTCATCTCCATCTCTCAAACATGTTGTTCTCTTCTTTCTTCATGTAGCTTTTGGCTGAAACTCTAGAGACTACCAAGAAAATACATTTCATATATATGCTAACTAACTTTGAGTTTGTGTTTGAGTGTCCTTTTAATGACTTGGAGAGTAAGCCCCTTTCCAAGGTACAGATGTGAACGCTACAATCCTGATAATCTCCTGCCAACAGCCCTGTGCCCTGCAACTTGCTCCACCAAAGGAATCCTGTTGTTGAAAACTCTGTATCCTAATAGGGTGGGAATGAGGACTTTCTCTGTTGCAGGTAAACCTGTACGTTTGTTTCTTCCCCCTCTTGGCAAATTCCCCTGACACCGGGGACCCACCCGGCCCTGATTATCTTCAAGGGCTATGCATTGGGAAGACCAGTGTTACAAGTGACGGGCACTGAACGCTGTTCCGGTGGCGGGGCGAGGGCTGACTTGCTCCTCGGAGCCACACCTCACCACCAGCCCTTTTTTTCCACCCTCACCCCACCCCCTGCACCAACTATGCCTTTGGAAGAACTGAAGTTTGAAAGCTTCTTCTTCCTCTAAAATATATTGATTTTGCAATGTAGAACACAGGAGAATTTTGGTGAAAAGTATCCATTTTGTCGTGCCTCTCATAAGTAAGATGAAGTGACTAGTTTGGAGAGGTTTTGAGGTCTTATTTTCCAGTAGGAAAGTAGCACACTGAGGTCACAATTTCCCAACACCACTCAAGTTTACCCATGAAATAAAATCAACCTAGTTTAGAAAACAAGTGACTTTTTCCTCCCCTCTTTGGGTAATTTTTTATTTGATCCCAGTGTGTTCTAATATTAGCAGAATATTAGCAATAAATGCCTTTTGGAGACATATATGTATTTGGTAACTCTTTAGATACTTTATTTTTGTTTTTATTATTTTTTTATTTTTTGAGATGGAGTTTCGCTGTTGTCGCCCAGGATGGAGTGCAATGGCACAATCTCAGCTCACTGTAACCTCCGCCTCCCAGGTTCAAGAGATTCTCCTGCCTCAGCCTCCCAAGTAGCTGGGACTACACCCGCTACCACACCCAGCTAATTTTTTGGAGACGGAGTTTCACTCTGTCACCTAGGCTGGAGTGCAGTGGCATGATCTCAGCTCACTGCAACCTCCGCCTCCTGGGTTCAAGCAATTCTCCTGCCTCAGCCTCCCGAGTAGTTGGGACTACAGGCATGTGCTACCATATCCAGCTAATTTTTTGTATTTTTAGTAGAGATGAGGTTTCACCGTGTTCCCCAGGCTGGTCCCAAACTCCTGACCTCAGGTGATCCACCCTCCTGGGCCTCCCAAAGTGCTGGGATTACAGGTGTGAGCCACCGCCCCCAGCCTGTACATACGTTAAAACATTTCCTGAGTAAATGCTTTGTGATTATGGTGAATTGTAAAAATTTGTTCGATGGCTTTGCTCAGAGGTGAGAGACAGTACTACCATGAGGACTTTTGATGCAATGGCACATTGACATATTTTATAAACATCATCTAATTTCATTGTCATCACACACTTAAGAGAAAGTTTATCAGTTGAGAATTGCACAAAACTGCAAGTAACAGAGACCAGAAATCACAGTGGCTTGGATCTAAGAGGTGTATTTCTTTCCTTCATACGTGGTGTCTGGAGGTGAGCAGTCCGAGGCTGCGGGAGATCTCTTGGTCCTCGGTTTCCAGGCTGTTCCTGTCTTATGCTGGCCAGATTCGGTCCAAAGTTTCCGTCTTTCAATTTGCATCATGACCTGAGATGCCAGCCAGAGGGCCAGCCACCCTGCCTCTAGTCTAGCGAGGGGGTGTGAGGAAGAGACAAGGGGCAGAAGAAGGTTTTCCCTGAAGCCCCAACAACCTTCACCTGCATCTCAGTGGCCACTGCCACCAGCAAGGTACAAGGGAAACCCTGATGTTGGGTAGGCAATAGCAATTTCTCCCACCGGCAGGTAGAATTATTTTTATTCCCAGATGAGGAAATGCAGGCAGAAGAAATGGAGTAAGTTTAATCTCGATTTCACCATGACTACTGGCTTTCTTCCTTCCCCCTCCTTCTTTCCCTCCATTCTTTCCTTCCTCCTCTTGCTTCATTCCCACCTCTACTCTTCCCTCATCCCTTCCTTTCTTCCCTTCCCTCCTTCCTTTCTTTTTTCCCTCTCTCCATTCCTGCCAACTTCTCCTCTTTTTCATTACTTCTTCCTTCCCTCCTTTCCTCTTTCCTCCCTTCCTCTGTCCTTTCTTCCTTCTTTCTTTTCCATGTTTGTTAATTTAGTTGGCATAAAATTATACGTAAAGATTTCAAAATTATAATTTACATGTCCTCTTGTGAATTGTTTGTTCCTACAATTTGCCTGTGAATCTATTGGGATTATCTTCTTTCATCTTCCTCCTTCTTCCTTCTCTTCTCTCTTCTTCTTCTTCCTCTTCTTCTTCTCCTTCTCCTCCTCCTTCTCCTTCTTCTTTTTCTTCTCCTTCTTCTTTTCTTCCTTCTCCTCTTCCTCTTCCTCTTCTTATCCTTCTTCCTCTTCTTCTTCCTCTTCTTTTCCTCCTTCTCCTCCTCTTGTTCTTCCTCTTCCACTTCTTCTTCTTCTTTTTTTTTTTTTTTTTTTGAGGCAGGGTCTGCCTCTGTTGCCCAGGCTGGAGTGCAGTGGGTGGCATGATCACGGTTCACTGGAGCCCCCACCTTTCAGGCTCAAGTGATTCTCCCACCTCAGCCTCCCAAGTAGCTGGGACCACAGGCACGTGCCACCACACAGGGCTAATTTTTTAAAAAACTTTTTTTGTAGAGACCAGGTCTCACTCTATTGCCCAGACTGGCCATTAGAATCTTAATATTTTTGTCTTGTAATTTGTGGCTTATATCTGCTACAAACATTTACTGGGTACCTGTATTTTTTTGGCAATTTTTTCTTGTACTTTTAATTTTTAAAAACTATGGTAAAATACACATAACTTCAAATTTGCCATTGTAAATTTTTTATTTTTAAAGTTATTAGTAGTAGTATTATTTTTGTAGAGATGGGGGTCTCACTCTGTTGCCTAGGCTGGTCTCAAATTCCTGACCTCAAGCAATCCTTCCACCGTGGCATCCCAAAGTGCTGGGATTACAGGTATGCACCACCATGCCCAGCCTGTAACAGTTTTAAAATGAACATTTCAATGGCATGTAGTACATTCACAATATTGTGCACCCATCACCACTATCAAACAGGGCCTCTTATGCCAGGCTACCATGTGGACTTCTGACCAATCATTTGATCGTCTCCAGGTCAAGTGCCTATCCCTGACCCAATAGGTCATGGCCAGTAATGGAGAGCAGGTGGGGGCATGTGGCACAAAAACACAGGCCTTGGCTGGGCATGGTGGCTCACATCTGTAAGTCCCAGCACTCTGGGAGACTGAGGCAGGAAGATTGTCTGAGCCCAGGAGTTTAAGACCAGTCTGGTCAACATGGTAAGACCCCGTTTCTACCAAAATTTTAAAAATTAGCCGGGCAGACCAGGGTGCGGTGGCTCACGCCTGTAATCCTAGCACTTTGGGAGGCTGAGGCAGGTGGAGCACCTGAGGTCAGGAATTCAAAACAAGCCTGACCAACATGGTGAAATCCCATCTCTACCAAAAATACAAAAAATTAGCTGGATATGGTGGCGGGCACCTGTAATGCCAGCTACTTGGGAGGCTGAGGCAGGAGAATCACTTGAACTCAGGAGGCAGAGGTTGCAGTGAGCCGAGATTGTACCATTGCATTCCAGCCTGGGGATAAGAGAAAAACTCCATCTCAAAACAACAACAACAACAACAACAAACAACAACAACAACAAAATTAGCCAGGCATGGGAGTGTGCACCTGTGGTTCCAGCTATTTGGGAGACTGAAGCCAGAGGATCAGTTGAGCCCAGGAGGAGGAGGTTGAGGCTGTAGTGAGCCATGTTCATGCTACTGCACTCCAGCCTGGGCAACAGACAAGACCCTGTCTCAAAAAAAGAAAAAAGAAAAAAAACAGACCTGCCTGGCATAGGGAGCACTGTGGGCAACATGTCAACAACATGTGAGTAACATGTCAACATGTCCTCAGTGGTTCATTTTTTCAAAAAAGAATTCTTGGTGAAGGAAAACAGTCTTTCTAAAAATTCAAACTAGGCTGGGTGCGGTGGCCCACGCATGTAATCCTAGCACTTTGGGAGGCCAAGGTGGGCAGATCACCTGAGGTCAGGGGTTCAAGACAAGCCTAGCCAACATGGTGAAACCCTGTCTCTACTAAAAATACAAAATTGCCCAGGCGTGGTGGCACACACCTGTAGTCGCAGCTACTCGGGAGGCTGAGACAGGAAAATCGCTTGAACCCAGGAGGCAGAGGCTCAGTGAGCCGAGATCACGCCACTGTACTCCAGCCTGGGTGAGGCAGAGTGAGACTCCGCCCCAAAATAAATAAAAACAAATAAATAAAAATTCAAACAATGCATAAAAATATAAAGTAAAAAAGAGAACCGAGAAACCTAAAATCTAAACCCTGTAAGTAATTCTAACGTCACCCTTTTTCTCTTGGTCAACTACTACTTCTTTTGAAGTCTCAATTTAGACTTCCCTACAGAAGCCCCCCCAGGTCTCAAGACTCACAAGAGAAGGAGCCCTCTCTTATGTTGCCAGAGCATCCTTCACTAACCTTATCGCCATATTTGTCATACCTGAATATTTGCCTTTTTTCTTTTTGAGACAGAGTCTCACTGTGTTGTCCATGCTGTAGTGCAGTGCATGATCATGGCTAACTGCAGCTTCAACCTCCCAGGCTCAGGTGATCCTCCCACCTCAGCCTCCCAGGTAGCGAGGACTACAGGTGGGCTCCACCACACCCACTGAATTTCTGTATTTGAGGTAGAGATGGGGTTTTGCCATGTTGCCCAGGCTAGTCTTGAACCCCTAGGCTCAAGCAATCCGCCCACCTCGGCTTTCCAAAGTGCTGGGAATACAGGTGTGAGCCATTGTGCCTGGCGGAATGCTTGTCTTTCTTCCACAGTAGGCTGCAAGTTCTTTGGAAACAGGAACTCTTTTCATTGTATTTTATTGTCTGATACCTAGTAGTGCTCAAGAAATATTTGTTGAAAGACTAAACACAGTTTTGGATAACATCTTTGCTGAAATCATTCCATCTATAAAATTATGTAATTAAATAATTTTATAAATTGGCCAGGCGTGGTGGCTCATGCCTGTAATCCCAGCACTTTAGGAAGCTGAGGTGGGTGGATCACCAGAGGTCAGGAGTTCGAGACCAGCCTGGTCAACATGGTGAAACCCTGTCTCTACTAAACATACAAAAATTAGCTGGGTGTGGTGGCGCATGCCTGTAATCCCAGCTACTCAGGAGGCTGAGGCAGGAGAATCACTTGAACCCAGGAGGCGGAGGTTGCAGTGAGCCAAGACCATTGCACTCCATCCTGGGCAACAAGAGCGAAACTCTGTCTCAAAACAAACAAACAAAATAATAATAATTTTATAAATTGGGATCATTATATAGATAAATATTGGAAAACACAGTTCAACAATCAATAGCCTTACTTAAGAGCTTCTATATGGCATTCTATTATGGGAATATATTATCATTTGTTTAGCCACTTCTCTACTGGTGAGCATTTAGTTTGTACCTAATTCTTTTGTTGTTGTTGTTAAAACAACAGTGTGGGTCAGCACGGTGGCTCATGCCTGTAATCCCAGCACTTTGGGAGGCAGAGGCAGGTGGATCACCTGAGGTCAGGAGTTCGAGACCAGCCTGGCCAACATGGTGAAACCCCATCTCTACTAAAAATACAAAAAGTTAGGTGGGCGTGGTGGCAGGCACTTGTAATCCCAGCTACTGGGGAGGCTGAGGCAGGAGAATCACTTGAACCCAGGAGGCAGAGGTTGCAGTGAGCCGAGATCACACCATTGAACGCCAGCCTGGGCGACAGAGCGAGACTCCGTCTCAAAAACAAAAAAAACCCAACAGTGTGGTGACCTTCCTTATGCCCACCTATATCGTTGTATACGTGTTTGACTATCTCATGAGGATGAGTCCTCAGAGTGAAACTGCTCAGTCAAGAATTCTGTCATCCAATGCCTCATTGCCTTTGAGAAAGGTTGTACCAATTTACACGTCTGCCAATAGTTCGAGTGCCTATTTCCCTTGCACTTGGTATAATCAGTCTTTTAAATTCTTGCAAATCTGACAGAGAAGAATTATAACTCCCTTTAATGTGAAGGTACGGTGCGGGTGAACACAGTTTCATAGATTTGCCAGCCACTGTATGTATTCTTCATGTCCCTGATGCCTCCATCTTTTCCTTCCTGAGCTGTAAGAGATTCTATTAAACATGTAAGTTTCATATTGTTTTTTTGTTTAGCTTTCTTTAAATTTATAAATTTTTTTGTTGAAGTAATAAGGGCACATGGCAACAAATCCAATAGTAAAATGAGTTTATAACAGAAATAAGTGATCTCCTGCTTCAGCTTCCCACATCCCCAAAGAAATTCCTTCCCTCCCTGCCTCCCTTCCTTCCTTCTTTCCTTCCTCGCTCCCTCCCTCCCTCTCTCTTTCTTTTTCCCTCCCTCCCTTCTTTCTTCTTTTTTCTTTCTTTCTTTTTTCTTTCTTTCCTTTTTTCTTTCTTTCCTTTTTTCTTTCTTTCTTTCTTTCTTTCTTTCTTTCTTTCTTTCTTTCTTTTTCTTTCTTTTCTTCTTTCTTTCCTTCCCTTCTTTCTCTCTCTCTTTCTCTCTCTTCTTTCTTTCTTCTGGGTTCTATCATCCAGGCTGGATTGGAACTCCTAGGCTCAAGTGATCTTCCTGCCTCAGCCCTCTAAGTAGCTGGGACCATGCCCAGCTAATTTTTAAAAAATTTTTAGTACAGAAGAGGTCTCTCTATACCCAGCCCAAGCTGGTCTTGACCTCCTGGCCTCAAGCAATCAAACAATCCTTCCGCCTTGGCCTCCCAAGGTGCTGAGATGACAGGCGTGAACCACCACACCTGGCAAGAAATTTCTTTTTATTGTGTGTTTTTAGTTTTCTGAGTGATTACTTTTATGATTAAAACAATATAATTATACTTTATTTCTTGGTTTATGACAGTATCAATCCATTACTCACAAGAAAAGTAATTTAGGTCATAATTTTCCTTCCTTTGTGCTATTCTCCCAATATGTTATAGGTATCTTTAGTTATTCTCTTAGCTATTTTTGTAATTATACATGGTACACTTATAGCTCTAGTCCTTATTATGTGAACTTTAGTTAGCATGTTGATTCTTTGGGTAGGATGCCTACCAATCCCTCCACCTTTCCTCACCGACTTCCAACTCTCACCTTTGTTATATGTAATTGGCTGTCCCCTTGTCAAATATACTGACATTTTGTTCCGTCCTGAAACCACAATCAAGTCTTATATGTTTTATTCAAAACTCTGGAGGTTAACTGTGAACCTGAAAATGAATAAACAGCCCCTTTTTTTATGGCCATGTAAATCTTGCTCACTCTAGGACCAAGGGTTGCATATGAAGATTCTATTTATTTCTCTAGCGGTCTAATGTCAAGATCAAAAGGAATTTTATTTTCTTTCATATCATCAGTTGCCTAAAACTATGCCACATTTTAATTTTCTTCATATCATGGAAACAAAATATTATTATTATTATTTTTTAATCAGAAATATATAATGACTATGAAGTCAACAATGCTATTATGTTGACTTTTGTTATAAGAAATGGCAATCTGAAACTGTAATATGTACTTGTGTCACATATTTTTTGCATGGAGCGTTTATATGTGTTTGGCCCAATGTTGGGGAGCAGTGGCTATAGAATGGAATTCATGCTCAGCAGGTGGGGTGCTTCTGGCCTTGCCCACCTCTGCAGCTTCACCTCCCATCACTACTCCTTTCTCACTATTTAAACAACGTGATACTGCTTGTAGTCTTCTCAGCACACATGCATACACACATGCTTTTTGAAAGAATGATGGATATATTCAATTCCATTTTGTAGCAAAACTTGACGTGAAACTCATAAGGCTATTTTTTCTTTTTTGAGATGGAGTTTCACTCTTGTCACCCAGGCTGGAGTGCAATGGCATGATCTCAGCTCACTGTAACCTCCTCCTCCCAGATGCAAGTGATCCACCCGCCTCGGCCTCCCAAAGTGCTGATTCACTTGAGGTTAGGAGTTCGAGACCAGCCTAGCCAGTATGGTGAAACCCTGTCTCTACTAAAAATACAAAAGCTAGCTGGGTGTGGTGGTGCCTGCTTGTAATCTCAGCTACTCAGGAGTCTGAGGCAGGAGAATCCCTGGAAACTGGGAGGCAGAGACAGAGCGAGACTCTGTCTCAAAAATAAATAAAATTAAATTAAAATAAATAAAAACTTGGGCTGGGCACAGTGGCTCATGCCTGTAATCCCAGCACTTTGGGAGGCCGAGGTGGGTGGATCACCTGAGGTCAGGAGTTCGAGATCAGCCTGGCCAACGTGGCGAAACCCCGTCTCTACTAAAAATACAAAAATTAGCTGGGTGTGGTGGTGCACGCCTGTAATCCCGGCTTCTCGGGAGGCTGAGGCACGAGAATCGCTTGAACCTGGGAGGCAGAGGTTGCAGTGAGCCGAGATCACGCCATCGCACTCCAGCCTGGGTGACAAGAGCGAGACTTGGTCTCAAAAACAACAACGACAGCAACAACAGCAAAACTTGTTCTGCTCAGTAGTAAGTGGAAGATTTCCAGGTTTCTTGCTGTTCAATGTAGAAAACAAGGAGACTTGATGGAAATTGTTTTAGTGCCCCTCTAAAATGTAAACCTTTAAGATTGTTAAAATTGTAAAATACGTTTAGATGGGTCTGAGACATCATAAAACATGACTGATAGAAGAGATTTAATGTTGACTGAAGACTGAACTCATTGTTAAGCATTTTAGTTGTAACTGAACTTAGAATGAACTCACTAGGATTTTAAAATACTATTTTTCCATCAAACTGAATCGTTTTATTCCTAGATACTATAAAAGCCAGATTCCTTTTGGTTTTAAAGTCTGCCGCTGTGATTTGCATTACTATTTTATTTTTCTGTTTTTAAAAAAGGAATAAACATATAATTGACATAATCCACCTACATAAAAGTCACCATTTTAAAGAGTGCAATTCAGGCTGGGTGCGGTGGCTCATGCCTATAAGCCCAGCACTTTGGGAGGCCAAGGCGGGTGGATCTTTTGAGGTTAGGAGTTTGAGACTAGCCTGACCAAAATGGTGAAACTCAGTCTCTAGTAAAATTACAAAAAAATTAGTCGGGCATGGTGATGGACACCTGTAGTCCCAGCTACTTGGGAGGCTGAGGCAGGAGAATCATTTGAACTTGGGAGGCAGAGGCTGAAGTGAGCTGAGATTGCGCCACTGCACTCCAGCCTGGGCAACAGAGTGAGACTCTGTCCCATTAAAAAAAGAAAGAAAGAAAGAAAGAAAAGGGTACAATTCAGTGATCTTGAGTATGTTCACAAGGTTGTGCAACCATCACCATGGTAGAATTCCAGAATGTTTCATCACCTGCCAAAGAAACCTCACACCTATTATCAGTCACTCCCTACTCTCCTCCTCCCCCCGCAACCACTCATCTATTTCTGTCTCTGTGAATTTTCACATAAATGGATATTTCATATAAATGGAATCATACAATATATAGTGTTATATGACTTCTTTTGCTTAGCATGTTTTTGAGATTCATTCATCATGCAGCAAGTATCAGAACTCCATTCCTTCTTATTGCTGAATGATATTCCATTGTATGGATAGACCACATCTCATTTATCCATTCATCAGATGATGGGCATTTGGACCATTCCTACTTTTGGCTCCCAGATGCAAGTGATCCATCTTGCATCTGGAAGTTACAGTGAGCTCAGATCACGCCATTGCACTCCAGCCTGGGTGACAAGAGTGAAACTCTATCTCAAATGATGCTTCTCTGACCATTCATGTATGAGTGTTTGCGTGGACACGTGTATTAGTTCCCTAGGGCTGCCATAACAAAGTACCATACACGGAGCGGCTTAAACAAGAGAAATTGATCATTTCATGATTCGAGAGGCTAGAAGTCTGAGACCAAGGTTTTGGCAGGGTGGGTTCTTTCTGAGGCTGGGAGGGAAAATCTGATTCATGCCTCTCCCCTAGCTGCTGGTGGTTGCTGGCACCCCTTGGGGTTCCTTGGCTTATAGATGCATCACCCCCATATCTGCCTTCGTGTTGCCAGGCCATTCTCCCTGTGTGCTGTCTCTGTGTCCAAATTCTCCCATTTTATGAGGACATCATTTACAATGGGTAAGACTCCCACTCCACTCAAGTATAATTTCATCTTTTTTTTTTTTTTTTTGAGACGGAGTCTCACTGTGTTGCCCAGACTGGAGTGCAGTGGCATGATCTCAGCTCACTGCAACCTCCACCTCCCAGGTTCAAGAGATTCTCCTGCCTCAGCCTCTTGAGTAGCTGGGATTACAGGTGTGCGCCACCGTGCCCGGCTAATTTTTGTATTTTTAGTAGAGACGGGGTTTCACCATGTTGGTCAGGCTGGTCTCAAACTGCTGACCTTGTGATCCACCCACCTCAGCCTCCCAAAGTGTTGGGATTACAGGCAGAGCCACCACATCTGGCCCTTTTTTTTTTTTCTTTTTTTACTTTTAATTTCATTTATTTTAATGCTGAATTTACTCTCGTGTCATAAGTTTTTGTTTCTTCTGGGATATCTTTTTCTTCAGGGCAACCTTGTCTTCTGGTTTAGGAACAATCTGTTCCTTTTCAGTAAGGATCATCTCGATGTGGCAGGGAGAGCTCATGCATGGGTAAATCCGACCATAAGCTCTGTCGATCCGGCGGCGCATCTTAGGTGCTTTGTTCACTTGGATATGCTCAATGACCAGAGAATCTACATCTAAACCCTTAAGTTCTGCATTGCTCTCTGCATTTTTAACCATGTGCAGCAAAAATTCAGCACTCTTTTTGGGCCACCAACCTTGTGTCCAGCCCCACTGCTTGGCCTGGGCACACCTGCCCACTCCACCATTGTAACATCGGAATGGTACGCACTATTTCTGTAAAGTGACATCTTTCAGATACTTCGTGGCTTTTCATATATGCATACCCTTGATGACCTGGGAAGTGTCATGAGTGTTCTTAAAGTGAACACAAAGATTTGAACGTCTTGATTTGCATGATTTTGTGGAGTTCTCTGGGTCAAGTGAATAGCAAACCATTTCACAGATCACCTCAGGCCGCTTAGGGAAAGAGGAAGAGCTGACTTTATCTTAACGAATTACATCTGCAATGATCCTAATTCCAAATCAAGTCACATTCTGAGGTACTAGAGGTTAGGTCTTCCATATATAAATTTTGATGGGCACACAATTCAACTCATAAGATTATGTTCTCAATTCTCCTGAGGTTATACCTAGGAGTGGAACAGCACATACGGTAACTCTATGTTTACCCTTTGAGGAACTGACAAACTGTTTTCTACAGGGGCTACATGATTCTAAATTCCCACCAGCAACACACAATGGTTCTGATACCCCCACATCTTCACTAACACTTGCTACTGCCTTTTTAAAAAAATAATTATAAAGTATGAGAAACATACTGCCTACCTTTTTAATTTTAGGGATCTGGCTGGGCGCTGTGGCTCACACCAGTAATCCCAGCACTTTGGGAGGCCAAGGCAGGTGGACCACTGGAGGTCAGGAGTTCAAGACCAGCCTGACCAACATGGTGAAACCCCTGTCTCTATTAAAAGTATAAAATTAGCCGAGTGTGGTGGTGCATGCCTGTAATCCTAGCTACTTGGGAGGCTGAGGCAGGAGAATCACTTGAACCCAGGAGGCAAAGGTTGCAGTCAGCCAGGAACATGCCACTGCACTCCAGCTTGGGCAACAAGAGTGAAACTCTGTCTCAAAAAAAAAAACCCCAAAATTTTTCGGCATCCTACTGAGTAGGAAGTGATATCTTGTGGTTTTGATTTGCATTTCCCGAATGACCAATGATGTTGAGTCTCTTTTCATGTGCTCATTGGCCATTTGCATATCTTCTTTGTAGACATGTCTATTGAAATCATTTGCCCATTTGAAAAATTAGGTTGTCACTAGGCACAGTGGCTCACGCCTGTAATCCCAGCACTGTGGGGGGCCGAGGCGGGTGGATCACGAGGTCAAGAGATCGAGACCATCCTGGCCAACATGGTGAAACCTTGTCTCTACTAAAAAATACAAAAATTAGCTGTGTGTGGTGGTGCACACCTGTAATCCCAGCTACTCAGAAGGCTAAGGCAGGAGAATCACTTGAACCTGGGAGGGGAAGTTTGCAGTGAGCTGAGATCATGCCACTGCACTCCAGCCTGGTGACAGAGCAAGACTCTATTTAAAAAAAAAAAAAATTAGATTTTCTTTTTATTATCGAGTTGTAAGAGTTCTTTATATATTCTGGATACTACACTCTTATCAGGTATATGGTTTGCAAATACTCTCTCCCATTCTGTTTTTTTTTTTTCACCTTCTTGATAGTGTCTTTAGATGCACAAAAGTTTTAAATTTTTATTAAGTCCAATTTTTTTGTTTTTTGCCCAAGTGTGGTAGCACTCCAGCCTGGGCAAGAGAGTAAGACCCTGTATCAAAAAATAAAAATTAAATTAAAATAAAAAAAATGTAGGGCAAGTGCAGTGGCTCATGCCTCTAATCTCAGCACTTTGGGAGGCTGAGGTTGGCCGGATCACCTGAGGTCAGGAGTTTGAGACCAGCCTGGCCAACATGGCAAAACCCCATCTCCACTAAAAATAAAAAAATTTGCTGGGCATGGTGGTGTGCACCTGTAATCCCAGCTACTCGGGAGGCTGAGGCAGGATAATCACTTGAACTCAGGAGGCGGAGGTTGTGGTGAGCCGAGATCACGCCATTGCACTCCAGCCTAGGCAACGCTAGTGAAACTCCGTCTCAAAAAAAAAAAAAAAAAAAAAAAAGAGGAAAAAAGGAAAAAAAAGAGCTTCCAAATAAAGAACACCCTTCAAATGGTGTTCCAACAATGTCTGAAAAGGGAGCAGTAGTTTTAGAATTGTCTGTCCTCATAACTTTCAGGCTCCCAGATGGGCTGAGAGACCAATTATTTTGCTTTTCCCACTATGTGTAAATAACAACTTTTCATACTTTCTATGTTCGCTCTTGAGAGGGAGAATTTCATGGATTATCTCTGAGCATTATTGATCTTTTTCCCATCTGGGAATATTTATGTCTCTGTGACAGTGTTTAAGAAAACAAAGAATATATACACTGCAGTATAATTGTTTGTTATGTTTATCTTTTGCGTCCCCAGCTAGATTAAAAACTAGGCCAGGTGCGGTGGCTCATGCCTGTAATCCCAGCACTTTGGGAGGCCAAGGCAGGCAGATGACCTGGGGTGGAGAGTTCAAAACCAACCTGACCAACACAGAGAAACCCCGTCTCTACTAAAAATACAAAATTAGCCGGGCGTGGCGGTGCATGATTACAGGCATGCTACTCGGGAGGCTGAGGCAGGAGAATTGCTTGAACCTGGGAGGCGGAGGTTGCGGTGAGCCAGGACCACGCCATTGCACTGCAGCCTGGGCAAAAAGAGTGAAAATCTGTCTCAAAAAAAAAAAAAAAAAAAACCCAAAAAACAAAAAACTCCTTAGGCCAGGAACATGTCAGATCCTCCTCTGAAGCCTCCACAGGAACTACAGAGCCAGCACTTGGCAAACATTAATGACCTTGATGTGCTACTACACAGCTGTTCTCTGGCTTCTTTTTTTTTTTTTTTTTTTTTTTGAGGCGGAGTCTCACTCTTTCACCCAGGCTGGAGTGAAGTGGCACGATCTCGGCTAACTGCAACCTCCGCCCCCCCCGGGGTTCAAGCGATTCTCCTGCCTCAGCCTCCCAAGTAGCTGGGATTACAGGTGCCCACCACCACGCCCAGCTAATTTTTGTATTTTTAGTAGAGACGGGTTTTCACCAGGTTGGCCAGGCTGGTCTCGAACTCCTGACCTCAGGCCATCCACCCACCTCGGCCTCCCAAAGTGCTGGGATTACAGGCGTGAGCCGTGGCACCTGGCCCTCTCTGGCTATTTTTATGTTTTGGCAAAAGGACAGCTTGGCTTGAGATTTTTTTGTTTCTGTTTTTGTTTTAACCACTTTATTGAGACATGAATGACATAAAAACTGGTACATATTTAATGTATACAACTTGAAGAGTTTGGAGATAAGTATCACTGTGAAACCATCACCACCATCTATGCCATAAAGCTACCTCCAAACGTTTCCTCTAGCCTTTTTATTTATTATTTATTTTATTTTATTTTTTTTTTGAGACAGTCTTGCTCTGTTGCCCAGGCTGGAGGGCAGCGGTGCAATCTCAGCTCACTGCAACTTCTGCCTCCTGGGTTTAAGTGATTCTCCTGCCTCAGGCTCCTGAGTAGCTGGGATTACAGGTGCCCACCACTGCACCCGCCACCACGCCTGGCTAATTTTTGTATTTTTAGTAGATATGGGGTTTCACCATGTTGGCCAGGCTGGTCTCAAATTCCTGGGATTACAGGCATGAGCCACCACACCCAGCTATTATTATTTTTGTGATAAGAACACTTATCAGAAGATCTACCTTTCTGGCAAAATTTTAAGCGCATGATACCATATTGTTAACTATAGGCTCAATGCTGTAGGAAGATCTTTAGGACTCATTCATCTTGTATAGCCAAAATTTTGTGCCTTTGACTAATACTTCCCTGTTCCCCCTTCCCCTCAGCCACTCAGAATGGCATCCACTATTCCACTCTCTGCTTCTATGACTTTGACTATTCTAGATTCGTCATGTAAATGATACAACATAGTATTCATTATTCTGTGCCTGGCTTGTTTAATTTAGCATCGTGTCCTTCAGTTTCATCCACCTTGTTGCAGATGGCAGGATTTCCCTCTTTTTTAAAGATGAATAATATTCCATTGTGGCCGGGCACAGTGACTCACACCTGTAATCCCAGCACTTTGGGAGGCTGAGGCAGGTGGATCACCTGAGGTCGGGAGTCGGAGACCAGCCTGACCAACATGGTGAAACCCTGTCTCTACTAAAAATACAAAATTAGCTGGGTGTGGTGGCACATGCCTGTAATCCCAGCTAGTTGGGAGGCTGAGGCAGGAGAATCGCTTGAACCCAGGAGGTGGAGGTTGCAGTGAGCTGAGATCCTGCCATTGCACTCTAGCCTGGGCAACAAGAATGAAACTCTGTCTCAAAAAAAAAAAAAAAGAAAAGAAAAAGAAAAATTCCCTTGTATGCATGTACCCAATTTCCTTTTCCACACATCCGTTAATGGACATTTGGGTTGTTTTATGTTTTGGCTATCATGAATAATGCTGTAGTGAACATGGGAGTGCAGATATCTCTCTGAGATAACTGATTTCAATTCCATTTGGATATATGCAGAAGTAGGGCTGTTGGATCATATTGGTGGTTCTATTTTAATTTTTTGAGGATAGTTCAATACTGTTTTCCATAGTGGCTGCACCAATTTACATTCCCACCAACAGTGTACAAGGGTTCCTTTTTCTCCACATTCCCACAACTATCTCTCTCTTGACCTTTTGATAATCGCCGTCCTAACAAGTATGAGGTAATGTCTCACTGTGGTTTTGATTTGCATTTTTCTGAGGATTAGTGATGTCCTGCACCTTTTCATTGGCCATTTGTACTGGCTGCCTATCGGCAATTTGTATGTCTTCACTTGAAAACTGTCTGCTCAGGTCCTTTGCCCATCATTTGAGTTTTTTGAGTTTTGCTCAAGTTGCAGGAGTTCCTTTTTCCTTTTTTTTTTTTTTTGAGATGGAGTCTTGCTGTGTTGCCCAGGCTGTAGTGCAGTGGCACAATCTCAGCTCACTGCAAGCTCCGCCTCCCAGGTTCAAGTGATTCTCCCGCCTCAGCCTCCCGAGTAGCTGGGATTACAGGCACCCACCATCGTGCCCTGCTAGTTTTTGTATTTTTAGTAGAGATGGGGTTTCACCATGTTGGCCAGGCTGTTCTCGAACTCCTGACCTCGGGTGATCTGCCTGCCTCGGCCTCCCAAAGTGCTGGGATTATAGACGTGAGCCGCTGCACCTGGCCAGGATCTTCTTTGCCACCTGCCCCCCTGCCGAGATAGAGTCCCATTCTGTCACCCAGGCTGGAGTACAGTGGCATGATTTCGGCTCACTGCAACCTCTGCTTCCCAGTTTCAAGTGATTTCTCCTGCTTCAGCCTCCCGAGTAGCTGGGATTACAGGCATACACCACCACACCTGGCTAATTTTTGTATTTTTAATAGAGACAGGGTTTCACCATGTTGGCCAGACTGGTCTCGAACTCCTGATCTTGTGATCTGCCCGCCTCAGCCTCACAAAACGCTGGGATTACAGACATGAGCCATTGTGCCCGCCCAAAGAGTTTCTTACATATTTTGGATATTAACCCTTTGTGAGTTCTGATTCTACTACTTAACTAGTGATCAGACATTGGAAAAGTTACATAAGCATCTCACAACTGCCAGGCACAGTGGCTCATGCCTGTAATCCTAGCACTTTGGGAGGCCAAGGCGGGTGGATCACCTAAGGTCAGGAATTCAAGACCAGCCTGGCCAACATGGAGAAACGTACGTCTCTACTAAAAATACAAAAATTATTCGGGCATGGTGGAGGGCACCTATAATCCCAGCTACTCGGGAGGCTGAGGCAGGAGAATTGCTTGAACCCGGGGGGCAGAGGTTGCAGTGAGATGAGATCCCGCCACTGCACCCCAGCCTGGGCAAAAGAGCAAAACTCCATCTCAAAAAAACCCCAGAATCTCAGAACCTCATTTTTTTGAATTATTTATTTTGGAAAATACTACACATACTCAAAAGTAGTAGATAATAATCTTCTTCCAATAATTTTCAATAGATCACCATTCTTTTTTCATCTATACACCCATGTAATTCCTATACATGCTGCCCTCACCCTATTATTTATTTTAAAATAAATCCCAGACATCATCATTTCATTAGTAAATATTTTAGTATGTACCTCAAAAATACAAGGATTCTTTCTTATACCGTAGCCATAATACCATTGTCACACCTAATGAGGCCATCAGTAATTTCTTAATATCTTCAAATTTCCAAACTTGCTAAAATTTCCCTGATATTTTCTGTATCTATATCTCTCTCACATTGCTGTTTTTCTTTTTTTTTTCTTTTTTTTTTTTTTGAGATGGAGTTTTGCTCTTGTCGCCCAGGCTGGGGTGCAATGGCTTGATCGCTGCTTACAGCAACCTCCATCTCCTGGGTTCCAGCGACTCTTGTGCCTCAGCCTCCCGAGTAGCTGAGATTACAGACATGCACCATCACGCCTGGCTAATTTTGTATTTTTAGTAGAGATGGGGTTTTACCATGTTGGTCAGGCTGGTCTTGAACTCCTGACCTCAGGTGATCCACCCACCTTGGCTTCCCAAAGTACTGGGATTACAGAGGTGAGCCACTGCACCCAGCCACACACTTGTTTTATTTTTAAATTTTTTATAGTTGATTTGTTTGAATGAACATCCAAACAAGGTCCATTTTTGATTTGATGTGTCTCTTTTATTTTAGTCTATAGGTTCCCCTTTCCTCTTCTTTCCCTTGCCATTTATTTAATGAAGAAACTGGGTCATTTTTCTTATACAGCTTCCAGCATTCTGCATTTTTCTTATTGCATCCACATGGTGTTGTTTAACATGTTTCTTCATTTCCTGTGTAAGCTGGTAGCTAGAGCTAGATTCCTGATTCGATTCAGGTTCCATTTCTCTTTATGAGAATACTTCACAGGTGATGTTGTATACGTCTTCCTGTTGCATCTCATTAGGACCCAATGCAATCTGCCTGTCTCTGTTTCCATGGTGTTAAGATTTTTCAGTGGGTTCAGGTGTTATCAGTCATATTCCTCTCATAGCAAAGTTCACCATCAGCCTTTCACCTCATAGTTTACAAGCCAGTGATGACTGTTGCCTGGATCCATTATTTTTTTAGAAGGTGCAAAACAGTCATGATTTAATTCCATCCTTTTCTCTGCATATGTTAGCTTTATTATTCACAAATAATTTTCCCTCAGCAACTGTTTTGTTACCCTGATGTACAGACAATTTGTACAAAAAAGTCAAGATATTTACTATTTTTGCTAGTTTTCAGAATGAGTTTATTTCTTACCATTCTCCAAAGGTGATCAATGAGGTCTTCATTATGGTATTACTGTGAACAAAGGGATTTTAACATCTTCAATGTGTTTCAATTCTTGGCAGTCATTAGTTTTTCTGATGTTCAAATTGTCCCATCTTTGGCCAGTGGGAGCCTTTTCAATTTTAATTTGTTTTTGTTTTTTGAGATGGAGTCTCACTCTGTCACCCAGACTGGAGTGCAGTGGCCCAATCTTGGCTCACTGCAACCTCCGCCTCCTGGGTTCAAGCAATTCTCATGCCTCAGCCTCCTGAGTAGCTGGGACTACAGGTGCATGCCACCACGCCTGGCTAATTTTCCATTTCTAGTAGAGACGGGGTTTTGCTGTGTTGGCCAGACTGGTCTCAAACTCTTGGTCTCAAGTGATCCTCCTGCGTCAGCCTCCCAAAATGCTGGGATTACAGGTGTGAGCTACCACGCCCAGCCCTCAGTTTTAATTTTGTAATCTTTCATTACAACCCCAGGGGTCTTTGATATTGCCCATGCTATAGGCTACGACAAGATGCCCCAGGCTCAGTTTGTACATTTCCTGTCCCTGAGCCAGAATCAGCCATTTACCTAAGATGCCTGGGTTTGTTTGTTTATGTTTATTTATTATATATGTTATATAATAATATTTGTTAATATATTTGTTAATATTATATGTTATATAATAATCTCGTATTTCTATTTCCAGTTCAAAATTTGTCACCTAAAGTGCCTGGGTTTGTTTGTTTATATTTATTATATATGTTATATAATAATAATATTTGTTAATTTATTATATTTGTTAATAACATATATTTGTTAATATTATATGTTATATAATAATTTCATATCTCTTTCAAGTTCAAAATTAGGATTATAAATTTTTTACGTAGCTAAATTTGATTTTATATTTATCTTTTTCCTCTTAACAATGAAAACCTGGGTTCCTAACAATATTAACAAAATTACTTTCCTTATCCTAAATATGTACTAATATGCAACTGATGATACCAATATTATTACTAACAATATCATTAGCAAGAATAGTTTAGGCTTTCTGTTTATCCCACTAGGAATATACAATTAAGTTACTATGTCTTAGAGTCATCTGAAAAAAAGTCTGGCCGGGCAAGGTGGCTCACACCTGTAATCCCAGTACTTTGGGAGGCCGATGCGGGCGGATTCACAAGGTCAGGAGATCGAGACCATCCTGGCTAACACGGTGAAACTCCGTGTCTACTAAAAATACAAAAAATTAGCCGGGCGTGGTGGCGGGCGCCTGTAGTCCCAGCTACTCAGGAGGCTGAGGCAGGAGAATGGCATGAACCCGGGAGGCAGAGCTTGCAGTGAGCCGAGATCGGGCCACTGCACTCCAGCCTGGGCGACAGAGCAAGACTCCGTCTCACACACACACACACACACACACACAAAAGTCTGTGTGGGTAAGCCACTGACTTGGTACCCATCTTTACTTGTCTTAGTTTTCTTTTGGCTTTTAGAGTTAAGAATCCTTTTTAGGGTTAAATGCAAAAAGGCGAGGTTAAAAAGAAGCAGCCAGGCATGGTGGCTCACGCCTGTAATCCCAACACTTTGGGAAGCCAAGGCAGGCGGATCACTTGAGGTCAGGAGTTTGGGACCTGCCTGGCCAACATGGCAAAACCCCATCTCTACTAAAAACACAAAAATTAGCCCAGTGTGGCAGTGGGTGCATGTAAGAGGGAGGAGAATTTCTTGAACCAGTAGGCGGAGGTTGCAGTGAGCCGAGATCGTGCCACTGCACTCCAGTCTGGGCAACAGGGCAAGACTCTGCCTCAAAAAAAAAAAAAAAAAAAGACAATGACATGCAAGAAAGCACACTGGAAATACAGTATCTGCAGAAGTGTGAAGTGCTGCTTTGCGATTGTTTTTCTGTATCAAAGCCATCTTCCCTCCCACTCAGAGGATGCTCTTGGTTAAATTGCCAAGGCCTGCGTCTGGCCCCAGGCTCAAGGTTGGTTACCGGTCTCAGAGTCCTGGTTGTCTAATTTGGCCTCTTAATTTAGCTCGATTATCTAATTTAGCCATTTAGTCTCTCCATTTCTCAGGTTCCTTACGTGCCAGACAGTGATAAATTATGATATTTCACAGATCTTCTGTGAAGATTAGAGGGAATAATTCATGTATGTAAAGTGTTCAGGATAATGATTAGTGACAAATACATCCCTCATACAGAGTAATAATAGTAATGGCTTCCATTTATCAAGCACATTAGTACTTGCCAGTTATGGGGTGAGTGCTTTCCGTGAACTAACTCATTTAATCATCACAACAACCTTGAAAGTTGGGTGCCATTATTATATCATCCCCATTTTAGGAAACCCATTTGAGAAAACTGAGGTGTGCAAAGGGCAAATTCCTCAAAGCCACATACCTAAAAAGTAGTAGGGAAGGCTGGGCACAGTCGTTCACGCCTATAATCCCAGCACTTTGGGAAGCCGAGGTGGGCGGATCACCTGAGGTCAGAAATTCGAGACCAGCCTGGAGAACATGGTGAAACCCTGTCTCTACAAAATATACAAAAAAAATTAGCCAGGCATGGTGACGCATGCCTGTAACCCCAGCTACTCAAGAGGCTGAGGCACGAGAATCGCTTGAACTCAGAAGGCGGAGGTTGTAGTGAGCTGAGATTGCACCACTGAACTCCAACCTGGGCAACAGAGCGAGACTCCATCTCAATCAATCAATTAATAAAAAGTAGTAGGGGAAAAAAAACACTGAGCTGCTTGGTTCCAGAGGCCCGGTGTGAAAAGAGGATAAAAATACATACCTCATTCGATTTTTGTGAGGGCTTCAGGAAATTTTGTGTGTAGTGTGCCTGGCATATACTAACTATCCAATAACCATTATATTTCTTTCCTTCTTCCCTCCCTTGCTTCCACCAGGGAAGCTGTTTGGGGAACTTGAGCTATTTAGAAGATGGCAACCAAGCCAACAGAGCCTGTCACGATCCTCAGCCTTCGGAAATTGAGCCTGGGGACCGCAGAGCCACAGGTTAAAGGTGAGATTATCATAGAAGTCTCCAGCTCAACCTGCTGCTTAGAGTTAAGAATCCTTTTTAAGGTTAAATGCAAAAAGGTGAGGTCAAAAGAAGCAGCCAGGCATGGTGGCTCACACCTGTAATCCCATCACTTTGGGAGGCCGAGGCAGGTGGATCACTGAGGTCAGGAGTTTGGGACCTGCCTGGCCAACATGGTGAAATCCCGTCTCTACTAAAAATACAAAAATTAGGCCAGTGTGGCAGTGGGTGTGTGTAATCTCAGCTACTCAGGAGACTGAGGGAGGAGAATTGCTTGGACCAGTAGGCAGAGGTTGCCTACCACTGACCCCCCGTATTAACTTGTTTTTATAATAATGGGTTGGCTTTCTGAAGCTGATAGTCCACACGCATTCCCTTCCCTGCAGAAGCAATTTTTTCCACTTTGTCTTTCGTTGTTAGAGCCAAAGACGTTCACCGTGGAAGATGCAGTGGAGACTATCGGCTTCGGGCGTTTCCACATTGCCCTCTTTCTGATCATGGGCAGTACTGGGGTGAGTGCTCCTTCGAGATGTTGACGAAAAGTGTCAAACTCTGTAAAATATTTGAAGAGATTTATTCTGAGCCAAATATGAGTGACCATGGCCTGTGACACAGCCCTCAGGAGGTCCTGAGAACGTGTGCCCAAGGTGGATGGGGCACCGTTTAGGGAGGCAGGAGACATCCATCAAATACATTTAAGAAATACATTGATTTGGTCCAGAAAGGCGGGACAATTCAAATTCAAAACAGGAGTGGTGGGGGAGGGGGGACTTTCAGGCTATAGGTAAATGTAAACATTTTCTGATTGACAATTGGTTGAGTTTGTCTACAGACCTGGGATTGATAGAAAGGAGATGTTCAAGTTAAGATAAAAGATTGTGGCCACACACGGTGGCTGACACCTGCAATCCCAGCACTTTGGGAGGCTGAGGCTGGTGGATCACCTGAGGTCAGGAGTTTGAGACCAGCCTGGCCAACATGGTGTTGAAACTCCGTTTCTACTAAAAACACAAAAATTAGCTGGGCTTGGTGGCTGGTGCCTGTAATCCCAGCTACTCGGGAGGCTGAGGCAGGAGAATCGCTTGAACCCAGGAGGCGGAGGTTGCAGTGAGCTGAGATCGCGCCACTGCACTCCAGCTTGAATGACAGAGCGAGACTGCGTCTCAAAAAAAAAAATAATAAAATGAAAAAAAAAAAAAAAAGATTGTGTAGACTAAGGTTCTTTTGAAGTCTTATAGTGGCTGCCCTTAGAGACAATAGATGACAAATGTTTCCTATTCAGACCTTTAAAAGGTGCTAGACTTTTAGTTAATCTCTTCAGGATTGGGAGGGCCTGGAAGAAAAAGATCTAGCTCTGTTAATAGAGATTCTTTACAGATGGAAATTTTCTCCCACAAAGAACAGCTTTGCAGGACCATTTCAAAATACGGCAAAGAAACATGTCTTGGGGTAAAATATTTGACTTATTTCTTTTTCACATAATGTTATGCCAAATCGGAAAGTAAGTCACGATCTATAGGGTTAATAAAACCCATCTGATGAGAATTTATGGTTTGTAGGGCATGACTCCCCAGCCCCCTTAGACAGGAATTTGGGCAAAATAAAAACAATCAGAGCTTAGGCCTCAGAGATCACGTGGGTCTTCAAAGCTAACATCATTGGACGCAGCAGTCTTTTTTCTACTGACCTCAGGCTCTGGGCTCTCCAGTCCAGGGGGTGTAGGGATAAGAAAAAGAGCAGGAGGCCGGGCGCAGTGGCTCACGCCTGTAATCCCAGCACTTTGGGAGGCCGAGGCGGGCGGATCACGAGGTCAGGATATCGAGACCATCCTGGCTAACATGGTGAAACCCCGTATCTAATAAAAATACAAAAAAATGAGACGGGCATGGTGGCGGGCGCCTGTAGTCCCAGCTACTCGGGAGGCTGAGGCAGGAGAATGGCGTGAATCCGGGAGGTGGAGGTTGCAGTGAGCTGCGATAGTGCCACTGCACTCCAGCCCTGATGACAGAGCGAGACTTCATCTCAAAAAAAAAAAAAAAAAAAAAAGGAACCCCAAGAGGTGGGTAATCCAAAAATCACTTTCATTCACCTTTGGCAGGTGTTCGGTTATAAAGCAAGTGAGCATTTGTGTCTATGTTTTGGGAATTCAATACTCATTTTTTAAAATGATAGAAATGGAAGTATTGGGAAGAATGGAGAAAACTATGGTATTATTTTATGTAAATTCGAACACATGGCTCTCAAACATTTTGTGCATAAGAATCACCAGAGACACCTGCTGTAATTACATATTTTCAGATCCTTTAAGAGGCACTGATGAAGGCTTGTTTACTGCTAGGGTTTGAATGTGTCCCTTCCAAAACCCAGGTGATGCCAATGAGATAGTGTGAAGAGGCGGGGACTCCTCCCTCGTGAATGGGATTAAGGCCCTTATAAAAGAGGCTTCATGCAGCAGGAGTTTCAGCTTGTTTGCCTTTCCACCCTGTGAGCGCAGTGGTTCCTCCACTCTCGAAGGACACGAGGGAGTAGGTCCTCTCCGGGCAGCAGAACCTGCTGGCACTTTGATCTTGGGCCTCCCGACCTGCAGAACTGTGAGAAAATGAATTTAGATTTCTTATAAATTGCCCAGTCTCAGGTATTTTGTGATAGCAGCACAAATGGACTAAGACAAACACCCTACGCTATTTTGAAGAAAGAAGAATGACAGCTTCACCCAGAGGCTTTCACAACAGTGGTGATGTCTGTGAACCCACACCACTACTCCCGCTTTCTCCTTTAGTAGGTAAGGTGAAAATACGTTAAGAACTCCAGACCAGGCACTGTGGCTCATGCCTGTCATCCCAGCACACTGGGAGGTCAAGGCCGGTGGATCACCTGAGGTCAGGAGTCTGAGACCAGCCTGGCCAACATAGTGAAACCCTATTTCTACTAAAAATACAAAAAACTATGTGTGGTGGCATGTGTCTGTAATCCCAGCTACTTGGGAGGCTGAGGCAGGAGAATAACTTGAACCTGGGAGGCAGAGGTTGCAGTGGGCTTAGATTGCGTCACTGCACTCCAGCCTGGGCAACAGAGCAAGACTTTGGGGGTGGAAGGCGGGGAACAAAACAAAGCTTCATACCCAGATGCATAATGATAATCAGACAGAATGGAAAATCAAAGATATGGGGTCCACTCAACAATGGTGTTGGGCCGGAGGGTAAAAATACATAGGAGGGAGGTAAGTGAGAAAACTCTAGAGGGATCTGACCCTCCCCAAACAGCTAAAAAGTATAAGAAAGGGTTGTGTGGGCGGGGCATGGTGGCTCACACCTGTAATCCCAGCACTTTGGGAGGCCAAGGCGGGTAGATCACCTGTGGTCAGGAGTTGGAGACCAATCTTATCAACATGGCAAACCCTCATCTCTACTAAAAATAGAAAAAAATTACCGGGGTATGGTGGCACATGCCTGCAATCCCAGCTACTCGGAAGGCAGGGTCAGGAGAATTGCTTGAACCCGGGAGATGGAGGTTGCAGCGATCCGAGATCGCGCCACTGTACTCTAGCCTGGGCAACACAGCAAGACTCAGTCTCAGTTAAAAAAATAAAATAAAAAATAAAGGGTTGTGTGATCTGGAGGTAGCCATGTGAGTTTGATGCATCTTTCAAAAGTGTTGCATTCTCAGGCAACAGTCTATTTTTTTTTCTTTTTTTCTTTTTTCTTTTTTTTTGAGATGAGATCTAGCTATGTTGCCTAGGCTGGTCTCAAACTCCTCAGCTCAAGCAATCCTCCCACCTCGGCCTCCCAAAGTGCTGGGATTATAGGCTTAGCCACCAAGCCTGGCCTCAGGCAACAGTCTAGCATAAAAAAGAGAAAGGCAAGATGTATCCTAGTCCTATTTTGATGATAACCAATGGTACAATTGAGAAGATTTCCTTATCTGTACAGTGAGGTCTCATAGGCTCCAAATTTGTTAATTTCCACATTTCAAGGGACAAGTAGGTGTGACTAGGTGAAGTTTTACTATTAACTCTCCTCCACCTTCACCCAGAACATCTCAAGGAAGTGAAATGATCTCTGGTCTTCAAGTATCTTTTTTTTTTTTTTTTGAGATGGAGTCTCACTCCGTTGCCCAGGCTGGAGTGCAGTGGCGTGATCTCGGCTCACTGCAAGCTGTGCCTCCTGGGTTCACGCCATTCTCCTGCTTCAGCCTCCTAAGTAGCTGGGACTACAGGCGCCTGCCACCACGCCCAGCTAATTTTTTGTATTTTTAGTAGAGACAGGGTTTCACCGTGTTAGCCAGGATGGTCTCGATCTCCTGACCTCATGATCTGCCCGCCTCGGCCTCCCAAAGTGCTGGGATTACAGGTGTGAGCCACCGCACCCAGCCTCAAGTGTCTTACAGTCGTGGGAATTCTCCCCAGCTCACCAGCTAGGAAGGGCTCTCTGCCAGGCCACCCCCTCCTGTCTCACAAAGGAAGACAGAACTGCTTATTTGGGTGCAGGGACCAAATCTTTCGACTGGTCTTACGATGGGATGCTTTATGAGCAGGATTCTTCCATCAGCATTGATATGTTGACAGTGATGGGCCGTGGCCCCTCCACCTGTTCAGGCCCTTATTCAGAGGCCATAGAAGCAGCAGTTGGGTTTCCGGGCCTCGTGTGACGGTGTATATAACAGCATCCACAGCAGCTGAGCAGCCTCAGCCTGTGACCAGGACTCCTAAGTCCTGGTCTTCTGTGTATGTGTGTGTGTGTGTGTGTATGTGTTTTCTGGGAGACGAAGTCTTGTTCTGTTGCTCAGGCTGGAGTGCAGTGGTGTGATCTCAGCTCACTGCAACCTCTACCTCCCAGGTTCAAGCAATTCTCCTGCCTTAGCCTCCTGAGTAGCTGGGATTATAGGCACATGCCACCACGCCCAGCTAATTTATTTTGTATTTTTAGTAGAGACAGGGTTTTGCCATGTTGGCCAAGCTGGTCTCAAACTCCTGACCTCAAGTGATCTGCCCGCCTCAGCCTCCCAAAGTGCTGGGATTACAGGCGTAAGCCACCTCGCCTGGTCAGTCCTGGTTGTCTTTAAGACCTTCCCTGAGGTCTAGAGTGAAGCTCCTCTGTGTACCCCACCCTGGCTCCCTGCCTGGTCCCTCTCCCCTAAGGCTACTATAGCAGAATGGGCAGAGTTTTATTCCTTATTGGTTTATTTCCTTCTAGAACTCTTTAGAGGAGTGGCATCTTGGTGAATATGGATCTAGCTCTTCTGTATTACTGAAGGAAGATGAGTTTACTAAATCAAACATTATTCTGAGATTATTATTATTTGTAGACAGGGTCTTGCTCTGTCACCCAGGCTGGAGTGCAGTGGTGTGATCTCAGCTCACTGCAACCTCTGCCTCCTGGGTGCAAGTGATTCTCGTGCCTCACCCTCCTGAGTAGGCGTGCAGTACCGTGTCCCACTAATTTCTGTATTTTTAGCAGCGATGGGGTTTTGCCATGTTGGCCAGGCTGGTCTCGAACTCCTGGCCTCAAGTGATCCGCCTACCTCAGCCTTCCAAAGTGCTCAGATTACAGACATTAGTCACCTGGTCAGCCTCTTCTGAGATAATTATGCTCTCTTACTTCTGATACCTGTTGAACTAAAACTTGCCAGCTGGCCATCTGAACTCTGGACACCACTATAATGCTCTCTTGTGGAGAGACAAGTCACTATAATATGTGTACTTCAAAGTCCCACACGCTGGCTGACATCATTCCAGCTTTTTCATCCCAGACCTCCAAGTCATACAAGTATAAACATTATTATAATAACCCATATAGATATTCTATCAATGTTATCGACAGAACATGTGCCAAACAAATTCATTTTCTCCTTTAATTCCCTTTTTTTCCTCCTGATAACCTTGTCCCTGTCAATGATGTCAGTGTTCTTCCCTTCCACCAGACACAAAATCTCAGT
The DNA here is from genome assembly GCF_000001405.40 of Homo sapiens. Classification (NCBI taxonomy): domain Eukaryota; kingdom Metazoa; phylum Chordata; class Mammalia; order Primates; family Hominidae; genus Homo; species Homo sapiens. The sequence goes on along the minus strand of NC_000007.14, from coordinate 138,673,011 downwards.
CATCTTTGACTCATCCTTCATGATCCTTTACCTAACTTTCATCATCTATTTATAATTATTCCTTCAATTCTTTTCTAGCATCTCCTTCTTTTTTTTTTTTTTTTTTTGAGAGACAAACTTATCCCTATAACGGATTGCAAAATATGGATAAAGGATCATACTCAAACTGTATTGAAAGAAATATTTAGTAGCATTAAGTTTGTTAAATACACATTTTCTTAGGCTGAGTTCAGTGGCTCATGCCTGTAATCTCAGCACTCTGGGAGGTCAAGGTGGGAGGTTCACTTAAGCCCAGGAGTTTCCAGCCTGGGCAACATAGTGAGATCCCATTGCTTCTTTTTTTTTTTTTTTTTTTAAACACAAAAAAAAACACTTTCCTGCTGATGAACTCATATTACTTTGTACTCATTGCTTTATTTTCCAGCTTTCATGAATCTTACTATCCCAGCTTGAGATCAGAAACTGTCTCAAAAATCCATTTATAAGGCGTGTGCTCTGCAACCTTCATAATCATGAGTACAAAACAACAAAGCTAGTTGATGTGGATGCTGCCGGTTAGCTAGTTTCACCCCTTAGCTATGGGAGTGGCCTTCACACAGCTCCCTCCTAGTGCTACCATGCAACTGCATTGGTCAGCAAAATCATAAGTGAATATGTGTCACAAATTTTTGGGAACTCTCTCAAGTTGTTCAAACCATGAAAGTCACATCCACAAAGGCTGAAGTTCTATAGTTCCTTATCCAACTAGCAGTGCAGTGTGGGTATACAATAGATCCTCCCTGAATGGGGAAGGACAAAGGGGACAGGACTAGGTAGGATGATGGGCAGGCAGATATGAGAAGAAGTGATGACAAGCTGGCACTTAGACATGGCATGGTGTCCCTCTTCTTTAAGGTGGTTGAGGCCATGGAGATCATGTTGATAGCTGTTGTGTCTCCTGTCATCCGCTGTGAATGGCAACTGGAGAATTGGCAGGTGGCATTAGTAACCACGGTAAGTACCTGCTCCCTGTGCCGTGAACACAGCAACTGAGGGCGTAGGCTCCCTTTCCTCCATCCTGCAGGGCTGAGAGCCAAAGGGTGTCTCACCACTGCCACTGTTGGCTTCCAAAACTCAAGGGTTTGCAGCATTTGATGTCTTCGTCACCTTTTTCTTTTCCTAGCATGCCTAATGTTGAACTGCTTACTATCCACATGAGAGATGCAATTCAGAAAGTGATCCCTAAGTCATGGGTTAGTCATAGGTTAAATCGGGTCACTAAAGAAGCTATTTACATGGATCATAGTGACTTCACCAATCACCCTCGCTGAATTATACTGTTACTCCTTCAACTTTTCTCAAAGACCATTAAGAATAGCCTTATGGGCCTGGTGCAGTGGCTCATGCCTGTAATCCCAGCACTTTGGGAGGCTGAGGCAGGCAGATCACCTGAGGTCAGGAGGTTGAGACCAGCCTGACCAACATGGTGAAACCCCGTCTCTACTAAAAATACAAAAATTAGCAAGATGTGGTGGTGGGTGCCTATAATCCCAGCTACTTGGGAGGCTGAGACAGGAGAATTGCTTGCATCTGGGAGGAGGAGGTTGCAGTGAGCCAAGACCACGCCATTGCGCTCCAGCCTGGGTGACAAGAGTGAAACTCCATCTCAAAAAAGAAAAAATAGCCTTATGAGTTGCACATCAAGTTTTGCTACAAAGTGGAATTGAAGATATCCATTCTTTCAAAAAGGATGTGTGTATGCATGTGTGCTGAGAAGACTACAAGCAGTATCACGTTGTTTAAATAGTGAGAAAGGGGTAGTGATGGGAGGTGAAGCTGCAGAGGTGGGCAGGGCCAGAAGCACCCCACCTGCTGAGCATGAATTGCATTCTATAGCCACTGCTCCCCAACATTGGGCCAAACACATATAAACCCTCCATGCAAAAAATATGTGATACAAATACATATTACAGTTTTTCAGTTTGCCATTTCTTATAACCAAAATCAACATAATAGCATGATTGACTTCATAGTCATTATATATTTCTGATTAAATGGGTATGAAAGTTCACCTTCTATCATAGAGCTTTGCAAAATATTTATTTTTAATCTTAAAAGAGGCTCCTGATATATTAGAATGCTGTGGAGGGTGGAGAGCCATTGGAAGGCTTCAGGGAAGGATGTGGTCAGTTTTCTAAGAACTCCAAGGAGATAAGGCTGCAGGGTAGAAGGTCAATGAGGGTGTAACTGCCCTAGGGTTCATCTTTCCTAGTGCCCCAATAGAGCCAACTTATCAAGTGGAGGAATTGCAATAGAGAACATGTTTAATAGACATAGAGTGGCTAAACCAGAGGCCAGAATTTTATTGTATCAGCCTCCCTGAAAATTTGGAGGCAAGCATTTTTTAAAGATAGTTTGGTTGACAGGGGGCTAGAGAATGGATATTTCTGATTGGTTGGAGATGCAATCATAGTGGTGTAGAAAATGGACCAAGTATGCTGAGTCTGCTTATGGGTCACAGGACCAGTTGAGTCAGGGGTCATGGGTCTGGGTGGAGTCATCCCGTTGTCAAAAATGCAAAAGTCTGAAAAGACTTCTCAAAAAGCCAATCTTAGGTTCTACAATAGTGATGTTATTTACAGGAGTAATTGGGGAAGTCGCAAATCGTGTGACCTACAGAACAAAGGCTGGAAAGTGGCTGGTAATCCTTTAAGCCTATATCTTAACAGAATTCAGGCCCCTCTCATAATCCTACCTGGTGGCCTTTTATTACTTTATAAAGGTGGTTTAGTTTTGGGAAGAGCTGTTATCTAAACTGTAAACTAAATTTCTTCCAAAGTTAGCTTGACCCATGCCCAGGAATGACCAAGGGCAGTTTGGAAGTTAAAGCCAAAATGGATTTGGTTAGGGCAGATCTCTTTCACTGTCATAATTTTTTCTATTATAATTTTTGCAAAGATGGTTTCAAAGGGGCTGTGGTATAAGTGGTAGAGTGAGGGTGTGTGTTCTGGGACATATTTAGGAAGTAACATCAGCCAAGGAGGTCAAAGAACCAGCAGGTGGGGAGAGAAAGGTTGATTTACTTGGGTATTGAAGCTGGTTTTAATGAAGACAGGACTTTGTAAGTGCCAAGGGAAAACTTCCCTTCACCTTCCAAAGGTTTACTAAAAAAATCAACTGACAGAAGGTAGATTCATGGGGAAAAAAGGCATACAAAATTTTATTTTGATGGGCATAGCAGGAAGGAATCACAAGAGTGATTACCAATAACCCAGCTTGGGACAGAAACGTATATAGCCTTTTACACAGTGGAGGATGCCAGTGGGCAAAGATTCTTTAGATGGGCAATAAGTCATAAGTGAGAATGAATGAACCAGGGAGGAGTGAGGCACGCATTACAGGAAGGTGAGGGGTGGAGTTGCACAGGAACAAAGGTTGTTCTGTTATCCAGGTGATCTCTGGGAGCTGCCCTCAGAGGACTAGGTGAAAAGTCTGGAGCAATGTGATACCCCCAGCCTCTTCTCTTTTCTGGTGGCTGATCTTTGTAATTTGACATGATCCCTAGGGAGCAGGTTTAAGATAATTGCGTTCCCTTTTTTTTTGTTGTCATTGTTGTTGTTTTGTTGAAACAGAGTCTCCCTCTTTTGCCCGGGCTGGAGTGTGGTGGTGCGATCATAGCTCACCGCAGCTTTGAACTCCTGGGCTCAAATAATCCTCTTGCCTTAGCTTCCTGAGTAGCTAGGATGTGGGTCACCACACCTGGCTAATTTGAAGAGGCTAGTCTCTACTCCTGGCCTCAAGCAATCCTCCTGCCTAGGCCTCTCAAAGTGTTGGGATCACAAACTGAGTTACCACACCTGGCCCAGTTGCATTCCTTTTGGAACAAAGCTTTCTTGGTCAGATAAGGAAACTGCAGAGAGCCCTTCCCTGTGCTTGAGGGCGAAGGAGCAAGACAAGGTTAGAGGGACCTTGATTCTGATGCAGCTGCCTCTATCCTCTCCACATGTCAAAAGGCCAGTCTTTGTTGTATCGCTTTCTGGGCCCCAACGACTTAATAGAAGAACTGTGAGCCCAGGTGCTCAAAATCCTCACTAAAGAGAGTGTCTGGGAGGTAGGTAGACTGATGGGTGGAGGATGGCAGTCAGGTGGCAGAGGCCTTGAGGTCAAATTCTGTAAGACAGTGAGAGCTAGTCTGAAACTGGTGGTGGAGAATTCCAGAAGAATTCCTCCTGCTCCCCAGACTGACAAGGCTGTGCTCAAAGGAGTAGCCCCGGAAGGTGGCAGGGGAAGGGGATGTCCCTGTCACTCACTGTGTTAACCAAATCTTACCTGTGAATTTTAATCTTTGGGGGTGGCACCAGGGAAAATTCCCTCACTTGAGGAACTGGTTGGAGTTCTTCTCTCAGATAATGCATGGTATTGCCCAGTTGTGTTTCTTTCTGTGTCTTGGAGGCTGGGAAGTTTGGATTCCAGTTGTATGCCCAATCACAGCAGCACATCTAAAAATCTGCCCTGATTTTTGCTAACCCAAATGAGATATTGAGGCAAAAATCTCAGTCATCTGAGGTTTATTGAGCTAGAGCTTGAGGGTGTGACTGGGAAGAATGTAACAGCCCAGCGGGTTCACCTTGCCCGCTGACTAGACAGAGCTGATTTCTCAAGACAGGGGAATTGCAATAGAGAAGGAGTAATTCCCACAGAGCTGGCTGTGTGGGCAACTGGAGTTTTATTGTTATTCAAATCAGTCTCCCTGAGCATTTGGGGAGCAGAGTTTTTAAGGACAACTTGGTGGGTGGGGGAAGGTCAGTGAGTCGAGAGTGCTGATTAGGTGGGTTAGAGATGAAATAGTAGGGAATTGACGCTTTCCTCTTGCGCTGAGTGAGTTCCTGAGTGGGTGCCACAAGATCAGATGAACCAGTTTATTGGTCTGGGTGGTACCAGCTGATCCATCAAGAGCACCATCTGCAAAATATCTCAAGCACTGATCTCAGGAACAGTTTAGGGAGGGTCAGAATCTTGTAACCTCCAGCTGCGTGACTCCTAAACCACAATTTCTAATCTTGTGGCTAATTTGTTAGTCCTACAAAGGCAGTCTAGTCCTAGCCAAGAAGGAGGTTGGTTTTGGGAAAGGGCGGTTATCATCTTTGTTTTAAACTATAAAGTAAGTTACTCCCAAAGCTAGTTCAGCCTACACCCAGGAATGACCAAGGACAGTTTGGAGGTTAGAAGCAAGATGGAGTTGGTTAGGTCAGATCTCTTTCACTGACTCAGTTACAATTTTGCAGTGTCAGTTTCAAGAACACCAGCTATGGAAACATCTGTGGCTTGAAGCAGAGGTTTCCGGGTGACTCAGGATTTATACTCTCTTTTAAAGGAAAGAAAGCATGTAGGAAGAGGTGGGTAGCCAGCCAATGAGGCAAATGGTTACATGTCTGTGAGATTTTAATTAGTGCCCAGTAAATCTACATTTTATATAAAATGAGGTGAACATTGGAAGAAAAAAGGGAGAGTAAAGGAAGCATCAATTATGCAGATGTCTCAGGGCAGGTGGAAGAATGGTCTCATCTTCTGGGAAGAATGAGTCTCATCACTTGGGAAGATGAGCTTGCAATCAACATTATCAGTGTGAAATCTAACAGATGTTAGTTGTAGAAGCTAGACTTAGATAGAAAACCTAAGTTACAATGGACATGTCCTTGCTTTATAGGAGGATATGCATCTTGAAGGGTTTCAAGACCAGCAAAGAATTTTCCATGGGGGGTCTGGCTGATGGATAATACTTTGACATAAGATTGTAAAGCAACAGCTATTCAAGGATGGCTAGTGTTGCATTAGTCTGTCTTCAGGCTTAACCTCCTCTTTGGTGTAATGAGTTTAGGAGTCCCGAGATGTTTTATTTTTCCATTATATTATCTTAGTTCCATCTCCCTCATTAAAACTCCTCTTATTAACTTTGGAGCCCTGGTTCCTTTTTTGCGTTTTTAAAGCTCTCTAGTACTTGTTGTCCCAAAGACCACCAGGATGGCTAAATAATAGAAAGGACAGTTTTATTGGCAATAGTGATTTGCAAGCCTGAAAGAGACAGTCTCCAGTGTGCATTGAAGTTGCTTTCTCTTGGAAGAGGAGAAGGACAGGTTGGGTTTTATGTTTCACAAGGCTGGCATCATACATATTTGGCAGGTTTGGGGGCAAAGCTATACATGTTTGTGAGGGGATCCTACATGCAGACTAGGTAAGCTCGTTTGTAACATACATCACATGTTCACTTTGGGGCAGGGTTTTAGCATTAAAATGAGGTGGAATTTGGCTCTTTATGTCAAAGGTGAACTACAGAAAACAAACAGTTTGTGCACTCTCTGTATAAGCTGCTGAAACTGACCTGAGGTCTGCAGTAGCTTATCCAAAAAGAATGTCTGTAAGGCTGGTCCTCTGTCCAATCAGCACTGTAGTGGTCTGGGTTGTAAATCAGCTTGATATCTCAGACAGGAATTCAGAAATCTGCCATGTCTGCCAGACCCTGAACCCTTGACCTGGAGATAACGTTTGTTTCTTTAACCTTGGGGCCCGTCTTAGTTGCTAAAGGGGTGTCTATTTTGGTGTCTCAGATCATATGCTTTTAGAAAAACTTTTAGAAATAAAACAAAGTTTTTACTTAGACTTGTAATAAAGTGACTCGATTGCTTTCTATTTTCTTCTACATATAAAATACTTTAGAAAGTGTCAACCTAAAATAACAGAGAAGCTCTCCAGAGAAATGAGTTTATTTGGAAAGGAATGATAGGTGATTGCAATCTGGGAATTCCTGTGCCATGGCGAACCGTGGCCGGGCCATAGGTGTATCCAGGAAGGCAAGGAAAGTCGAGAGTTTTTTAAAGACAAAATGAGGAAGGCTACATAAGTTATTTTGAAATACTTTTCCTTGGCTACAAGGATCAGTAACAACGGTGGCATCAGTCCGAGGTAGAACAGGCTGGGTATTGTTCTTGCAGAAGCAGTTTCTTGTTTTTTGTTTTGTTTGTTTTTGAGACAGTGATGCACTCTGTTGCTCAGGCTGGCCTTGAGCTCCTGGGCTCAAGCGATCAGTGGTCTTTGTGCAAGGCTGTGGTTTTCAGAGTCCTTATTACAGTTTTTGTGTGCCTGAGAGCTCCTCCTCTGTTGCCTACAATCCCATTTTGGTAGGGTGTGGCCTAAGTGACTCCATTTTGGTTCTCATGGCTTTCAGAAAAGCGTTACTTGCCAATCCTTGTATCTTTAGGGTGACCCTATAACTTTATGTTTAATTCTAACTGATCTGTACCCCAGTTGGCTTGTGTATATGCACCTCTTAGATCCTTGAGAATGCTGGAGATCCAGGTGTGGCATTTGCACCTGCACTACAAAATTGTATTACGTGATACCGTTTTTTATAGTACATGACACACATGTAAATGTGATATTTACAGCTCATATTTCATTGGCTGCATTTGTGCTGTTTCCTAAGGTGCCTACAGAGGCTCCTTCCAGCAGGTACACAATCTCCCTCATTAGGCCATCACAGCTCAGAAGACTTCTCTCTAAGCAGCTGAACTCTCCCAAGGTGACTGTTTCCTGCTCTGGGCTCCTCCCATCCTCCTGTCTTGGCTTAGCCCATCTGACTCTGACCCTGTCCCTGAGCTTACTGGGAACAATTGTGCTAAACGGAAGGGCCAGGCTAATGAGCAACATTGTCACTGTCTCCCAGGCCCCCCAACCCTGTTTTCTAAGCGGTTGTTAATTGAGAAAACTAAAGAATTGTGGGGCTATGATGGCCCTTGTGTTTTGTGAGAGTCATGCTGAAGAAACGCTTTGTGTGTTGCTTAAATCAGAAACAGTGGAGTCATGTCATGTATTAAAGACAAGCACCTGCAGAAAAGAGCTGACCCTAGGGAGGTGGCGAGTGGGGGCGGGGGAGGGTCGAGCGTGGGGGTGGGGGTAGGAAGGGTCGAGCATGGGGGTGGTTGGGGGAAGGGTCGGGGGTGGAGGGGAAGGGTCGAGGGCAGGGGTCGGGGGGAAGTGTCGGGGGTCAGGGGAAAGGGCGGGGATGGGGGAAGTGTCGGGGGAAGGGTCGAGGGTGGGCGTGGGGGTAAGGAAGGGTCGAGCGCGGGGCTGGTTGGGGGAAGGGTCAGGGTTATGGGGGAAAGGTCGAGGGCGGGAGTTGGGGAGAAGGGTCGAGGGCGGGGGTGGGGGGAAGGGTCGAGCGCCGGGGTGGCGGAGGAGGAAGAGCTGGGGGTGAGCAGCAGCAGCGTGCGGGGGAGGGGGGAAGGGCGCAAGAGAGGATCAGGGGTCAGCGGCACACCCATGGAGGATCAGGGGTGCGCCCGATGGAGGGTCAGGGACGCTGGAGAGTTAGGCGCGCGCCCGATGGAGGATCGGGGGTGCTGGAGATTAGGCGCGCATCTGGTGGAGGGTCAGGGGCGTGCCCGATGGAGGATTAAAGGCGCTGGAGGGTTAGGCGCGCGCCTGATGGAGGATTAGGGGTGCTCGAGGGTTAGGCGCGCGCGCCCGATAAAGGGTCAGGGGCTTGCCCAGTGGAGGATTAGGGGCGCTGGAGGGTTAGGCGCCCGCCTGCTGGAGGATACGGGGTGCCAGAGGGTTAGGCACGCGCCCAATGGGTCAGAGGCGTGCCCGATGGAGGATTAGGGGCGTTGGAGGGTTAGGCGCACGCCCGATGGAGGGCCAGGGGTGTGTCCGATGGAGGATTAGGGGTGCTGGAGGGTTAGGCGCGTGCCCGATGGGAGCTCAAGGACGCTGGAGGGTTAGGCGCGCGCTAGGTGGGGCGCGCGAGGGAGGCAGGACGTCTTCCAGGTAGAAGGTGGGGGAGGGGGAGGGCAGGGTAGGGTGCACAAGAAGGGGGCACCACTGAGGATCGTTGGGGGCGAGTGAGGGAGGCAGAGGGAGAGCTGGAGCCCCAGCGAGCGGACAGGTTTCTGTCTCTGCAGTCTGTCAAACAGGGTTACGGAACGTTTCTGTCCTAGAAAGTGTAGCGTGCAGGACCCAGTCGTGGCTTTTGTCGTGCAAGAATATATATGATGAATTTTTCATGGTTCAGTGTGGGAGAAATGCATTTCAGTCTTCCCTCTAAAGAGTGAAGGAAGGAGAAAAAAAGCAGAACAGCGACAGCGAAAGGGAAACAGAGCTGTTTCTGGTTTGTTTTGTTTTCCCCTAGAAATGCGAGCTGACAGCATTCCTTTGATTGCCCTGGAGGCCGTCAGTCAGGGCTGCAGTGAAGCCTGAACTTCTTGAAGGCAGGAAAATAAGGAGCCCAGAGGCACAGACAGCAGCTGAGGTCTCAGGCCAAGTTATAATAAATAAAACCCTAGTGTCAAATCCCAGGTCCTTGAATTTTATCAGGGGAGGACAGGCCATTGTGAGAACGAGTAAGGAAAAGAAGTAGGTGTATCTTAGGACTTATGAATGTTCTGAAGAGTTTTTTAAATGAGTGATTGGATTTGGTGTTTAAAGTTATGTCTATTTGTAATAACATAAAGGGAGACTGCTTCTAGTGGCCCCAATTTGTGTACTGTATAAGGCAGCGCATGAACAGACAATTTTAAAAATTACAGTGGAAATTCACAAGTACACATCTGAATAGAGTGGAGCCGAAGCCGTCCTCTAGCAACAAGCGGGCGGCAGAGGACCCCGTTTCCACCTGGGGCAGGATCTGCCTTGTTAGGCTCCCACCAACAGGGAGCTGAAATCCTGAACATGAAGGGCCTCAGGGGCAAGCAAGACCAACGTGAAACCCTGTTCTTTAAATTAACTTCCATCCCTCCCGTATTTCCAGCCTACTTCTAGTGAAAATGGCTAACGGGGTAAAGTAACATGTAAAACCTGCTTAGAGAACCGTTTTATCTCGCTCCCACTTGCAGATGGTGTTTTTTGGCTACATGGTTTTCAGTATCCTCTTTGGCCTCCTGGCTGACAGATATGGCCGCTGGAAGGTAGGTGGGGCCTCACAGTAGCATTTGGAATTGTCTTTTGTGTATTCTTTTGGGGGCAACCTTATCACTGTTTCTCTTTAGTAGGCATCTCCCTCCCAATACCCAAGATAGAAAATGCAGACATTTCCCTCCCTGATGGAACATTCCAGGCTTATCTTCTGGACATTTTTCTCAGGGTACCTGTGCCTGCAGCTGTTCCTCTGCAGTCCAGGTGTGGAGTAAAAGGAGATGCGGGTATTATAGAGTTCTAAGAAATCTCTACCCAGAAGGATTAAAGGAAGGAAGGCCGCTAAGTGGCTCTATTTGAACTTTTAAAGGTTGGGACTTAGAAGCAGTCATGGGTTGGTTAGATGCCCCCACCACGTCCAGTTTACTGTGGTGGTGTTGAGAACAGAGGTCTGATATCAGTGGGGGCACACATCTGTTCTCCATTTATCCATATCTTCGCTTCTAATGAGTTAATAAGGGGAATGGAAAAGGCCCCTTAGCCCTTCAGAGCAGCCCTATTGGGAGGTTTTTTCCTCTGGTTTTCATTTAAATGACTAGTCCACTGCTGCAACAGCAAGCTCAGAAGAAGCTGTTCTTTCAGGACTATGTGTCATGAGTGAGTGTCCATAAAGTCTCTAACCCCCCAGAGCACCCAAGTAGGTTGGGAGGGAGCAAGTCTCCCTTAATTTTGGGGCAAGAAAACTCACCCTCAGGCACCTATCTGTTTGAAACTAGCAGGAACTGGCCACAAATGAAAAGAGAAGTCCAAATTACAATCAGTAGGAAACAGATGCAAGTTTTAAAGCCTGTGATGGAATTTTAGGACAAGAAAAAGTAAAATGACTAGTGCTGGATGGCCAAGACCATTAAGCCAAACCTGCTGCTATGAGGCAGAGGCAGAGAAAGCAGAAGTTCTCTGCAGAGCCATTTGCCTGAATGTCCCGTCCAGGGACAGAAATGGAAGCCCATGCTCTTAAATGAGAGAGTTTATAAAGAAGCCACCCAAACTGTAGACCTCAACCTAAAGGAAAGGAGGGCCAGATTCAGAAAGACTCACCCTTTTGCCCCCAGTGAAACCTCTGGAGTTAGGGGAACGCAGTGGGTTCATGCAGCAAGTTCAAGAGGAGCCTATTGGTAATTGTGGGGGTAAGGGGTGGTGTTGCTCTGAACCTTGCCAGCTATGCCAGAAATATTGACCTAAAGGAAGAAACAGAGACGAAATTAATATAAGTAGGGAGTTTATTTGGACCAAGATTGAGGATTGCAGCTCGGAAGTCATACAGTCCAGTTGCCCTGAATATATGCTCCGATTAGCAGCAGTTACAAGTGGGTTTTTTAAAGGAGGAGAGAAAAGAATTTGGGGGCACTTCCTAAGTTATTTACTAATAATTTACATTGGTTCGTTAAAATAAGGTATGCTATCAGCTGATTCTACATCTTTCTTGGTGTCACAAAATCTAAAAACATGGAGATAATGGATGAGCGTCACATTGTGCAACTTGCGGTAACCTTTTAGGTAATTTATCAGCTAGTCTGGAAACTACAGGGAAGGTAAGAAAAACAAAATGAAATACAATTACCCTGGGCATGGGTGCGGGAATGTGACCGGAGTCGCATGCTCCTGTGTCTCTGGACCTGATAAATTCTGCATACCTCACATTCCTCAGACTGTTCTGAGCCGCTTTTCTCTCTCAAGTTGATGGATGTACGGAGTTAAAACATATTAGAGTGTGGACATTTGCAGGTATAAACATAAGCAGCTACACATTTTGCTCATGTTGGTATAGCTTTGAAACTAGCTACGTGCTCAAAGTCACGTGCCTACTAAGATTAGACATCAAGACATAAATTATGTCTTCTGATTACAAACCCAGGTCTGTCTTTTCTATTTGCTTGATTTCTGGTGAAATCCTCTCTGAGCATAAACACAAATGGAGGAATCTCAAAGGAAAACATTAGTAGAATTGGCTGTATGTTTTAAAGTACATGAAATAAATAGCATAGATTCTTGTAAATTTGAAAACACGAGTATCTCAAAAAAGCACAAAAAGGCATTTTATAAAAGAAATACAAATTATCAAGAAACTTTGAAAAAACATTAAAGTACAGGAGTTATCAAAAACAAAATACATAGCAAGATATAATTTTTCCTTATCAAATATGTAAGGAAATTTTTCCTTAAAGAGTCCTGCACCGTTGAAATGGACATTTTCATGACTTGCAAGTATATAGACACCCTTACTATATATAACACCCTGTTGGTGTTAATATATCATTATTATTATATAATATTATTAAACCCTATTGGTATAATTTTTCTGACCATCAGCCTGGCAGTATGAAACATGAACCTTGAAAATATTCTGCTAACCTGAACATTTGTCTTCCAGAAATCTAGCTTGCTAAAGATATCAGAGAGGGCATAACGACTTATGTACAGATATCATCGCAGCTTATTTTAATAATGAGAAGATCTGAAACAACTTAAACTGCAACAGTAGAGCAAGGTCTTATGTATTATATTACATGTATGAAAGTACATCTTTCCACTGGAACATTTATAGCCAGCCATTAACACTTCGTTTTCTCTCATAAACAGAGAAGATAAAACAGTGTTAAGAGTTATCTTCTCTGGGTTGGACAATCAATGGTGATTTCAATTTCTTAATTTTCTTTTTTCTTCTGTATTGTTTACTATGAATTTATCCTTATAATTAAAGAAAAAGCAAATACCTTAAATGTTCTCCTTGTACTCCTCCCAACATACTGCCTCATTACGTCCCCAGCAGCCCTGTGAGTAGGGAGGACACGTTTTTGCCTTTTGATGTCCAAGTTCAGGGACCTGCCACCCATGAGGGTGGGCACAGCATGGTAGTTTTAAAGAATGGTCTGAACTTGGTAGGTCTGGGCTTCCAGACAGTAGAATGGCATGGATTGTATTGTTGGATGATTGTGAAAGACCAGTGGGCTTGCTACAGGTTAGCTCCTCAGAGAAGCAACTATCAGGATGGAAACCGAAAATCGCCTTCAGAAGTTAGGGCTTCTTCCCTCCCCGCATTGAGGCAGGTCCCATTCATGTGTTCTGCTGTTGCTTCAGATTCTGCTCATCTCGTTCCTGTGGGGAGCCTATTTCTCCTTGCTGACCTCGTTTGCTCCTTCGTACATCTGGTTTGTCTTCCTGCGGACGATGGTGGGCTGTGGTGTGTCCGGCCACTCGCAAGGGTAAATATGTTACCCAGGGGACCCTGAGACAGAAACGTGTACCCCTGCAGGCCCTGATGCACACACACTGCGCTTAATAGACCAAAAGCATTGTGAACCCAACATATCTGAGACAGGTTTCAGTCCATTTAGAAAGTTTATTTTTGCCAAAGTTAAGGATGTGGCTGTGACACAGCCTCAGGAGGCCCTGAGGACATGTGCCCAAGGTAGTTGGGGTATAGCTTGTTTTATATATTTTAGGGAGACATAACACATCAATTAATACATGTAAGATTTACATTGGTTCCATCTGGAAGGGCAGGACAACTCAAAGGGTGGGGGACTTCCAGACCACAGGTAGATGTTAACATATTAATTTTTTTTTTTTTTTTCGAGATAGAGTCTGGCTCTGTTGCTCAGGCTGGAGTGCAATGGCACAATCTCAGTTCACTGCAACCTCCGCCTCCTGGGTTCAAGCGATTCTTTTGCCTCAGCCTCCAAGTAGCTGGGATTACAGATGCCTGCCATCATGCCCGGCTAATTTTTTGTATTTTTAGTAGAGACGGGGTTTCGCCATGTTGGCCAGGCTAGTCTCGAACTCTTGACCTCAGGTAATCCACCCGCCTTGGCCTCCCTAAGTGCTAGGATTATAGGTGTGAGTCACTGTGCCTGGCTGATCTAAACATTTTCTGATTGGCATTGGTTGAAGGAGTTATCAGTAGAAAAGAATGTCCAGGTTAAGACATTCTGGTCTCCACAACCAAGGTTTTATCATGCAAATGAAGCCTCCAGGTAGCCAGCTTCAGAGAAAATAGATTGTAAATGTGTCTCACCAGACTTAAGGTCTGCGTTGATGCTAATGCTAGAGGGATATAATGAGGCATGTCCGACCCCACTTCCTGTCGTGGCCTGAACCAGTCTTTCAGGTTAAATTTTAGAGTGCCCTGGCTGAGGAGGGAATCCATTCAGATGGTGGTAGTTGGTAGATGAATGGGGTTGGGGTTGGGGCGGGGGGGCACTTCAAATTTTATTTCTAGTTTACAGCATTAATAAGTTACAGATTTATAGATGTCACTTGTGCAAACTCAGTTTAAGCTTTGTTTGGTTTTTAGTGATAGCTGCTTATTTAATGCTCCAGCAGGAGCAGTTTTCTCCTTAAAATGATGCTTGATGGTGAGGCTAGCAGAGTGCTAGATCAAGCAGGTGTTAGCTTTTTTGTTCATAAGGCTAGTCATTGTTTTTGAGATGTGCAATATTTTGTTACAGGAAATACTAACAAGTGTCAGGTAACAAAATGTCAACCCAGGCTGGGCGTGGTGGTGGCTCGCATCTGTAATCTGAGCACTTTGGGAAACTGAGGCAAATCCCTTCAGCCCAGGAGTTCAAGACCAGCCTGGACAGCATAGTGAGACCCTCGCTCTACAAAAACAAACAAACAAACAAAAATTTTTGAAGTCAATCCAAACATAATTTATTAATTTCTTGAATTTGTTGGAAGAGTTTAGTTTGACCATAAGCCCCTGTAACATTTAGGAGTAACTATTTTTGAGTACTATCACCCTATGATTTAAGACTCCTCTTGTAAAAGGGAGGGGGGGGAATATGTCAGATGGGATCGAACTAGAGTGACTCCATCTTTAATAGGGGCTGGGTAAAATGAAGCTGAGACTTGCTGGGCTGCATTCCCAGGAGGTTAGGCATTCCTAGTCACAGGAAGAGATAGGAGATCAGCAGGACTGGTTTCACAAGATACACATCACAAGACACCCCGCTGATAAAACAAGATGTGGTAAAGAAACTGGCCTAAACCCACTAAAACCAAGATGGCGACCAAAGCGAGCTCTGATTGTCTTCACTGCTTATTATACTCTAATTATAATGTATTAGCATGCCAAAAGACACTCCCAGTGGTGCCAGGACAGCTTACAAATGCCATGGCAATGTCCAGAAATTACCCTAAATGGCCTAAAATAGGGAGGAACCCTCAGTTGCAGGAACTCCCCTCCCCTTGAATTCACAGGACCCCTTGGGCTCTTCTCTTCTTGGTGCCTTGGAGGAGATTATTCTTAAAATATGTTAGGAGATGTCAAAGCACCTAATTACTGCCTTCATGTGTTAGAGAAAGAATTGTTCTTCCCTGGGGCATACAGTAAGCTTTGAGCTTTGGAGCCCTAAAGGAGTAGAAGCTAAGTAAAAATATAAAACATTCCCCAGGAAACAGCTCAATAAATATGTTAAAAATCCCCAAATTCTGGCTAACAACAGCAACAGAGAAGAGCAATTAGAAAACTGATGGAATATGTTTCTATTTATTCTTATATTCAGAAGAAAATATGTACTTAATTAGAAACTTGTGCCTTGACTGTCCTCATGAATTGAGAGAACTATTTACCTTCTCTCAGGTGTATTTTAATTTCCCAATGTGTTTTAGAAAAGGGAATCAGGCTGAGTGCAGTGGCTCACCCCTATAATCCCAGCCCTTTAGGAAACCAAGGTGCAACAGTTGCTTGAGGCCAGGATTGGCAATGCAGCAAGGTCCCATCTCTACAAAAAATTTAAAAATTAGCTGGGTGTGGTGGTGAGCACCTGTAATCCCAGCCACTTGGGAGGCTGAGGTGAGAAGATCTCTTGAGCCCAGGAGTTTGAGGCTGCAGCGAGCTGTGATCAAACCACTGTACTCCAACCTGGGAGACAGCCAGACCTTGTCTCTAAAATAAATAAATAAATAAATAAATAAATAAATAAATAAACAAATAAGAAAAGGGAATCAGGCTTGGGAAAACATTTTGCCAGTGCTTCCCTTGGCAAAACAGATAAGGCTTATATTTCTTTTTTTTTTTGTCTTTTCAACATGGAGTTTCGCTCTTGTTGCTGGAGTGCAATGGCACAATATTGGCTCACCACAACCTCCACCTCCTGGGCTCAGGTGATTCTCCTGCCTCAGGCTCTTGAGTAGCTGGGACTACAGGCATGCGCCACCACACCCAGCTAATTTTGTATTTTTAGTAGAAACGGGGTTTTTCCATGTTGTCCAGGCTGGTCTCGAACTCCTGACCTCAGGTGATCCACCCACCTTGGCCTCCCAAAGTGCAGAGATTACAGGTGTGAGCCACCACACCTGGCCAGGCTTATATTTCTTAAGTGTTAGAAGGTTTAAAGTATTGGGAGTAAAGATGTAAACCCAGGAGCAATTGTCAGTTTCGTTCTTACTGTTCTCTTATGTGGATATTAGCTGTCATAATTCTCTTCTGATATATAATCAACTTCTATGCTTTTGAATTCTTTATCCCTGTGACAAGAAAAACTGATTATTTTTTAAAAGATGATTTAGTTTTTTAAAACAAAATTATGCTTTTTCCTGCTTCCTGTTTAGGTTAATCATAAAGACTGAATTTTTGCCCACGAAATACCGAGGCTATATGTTACCCTTGTCTCAGGTAAGGCAACGTAGGAGTTCTACCTGCCTTTGGCATCCTATGGGATAAGATGTACATATAGGCATACCTTGGAAATACTGCTGGTTTGGTACCAGCTCGCTGCAATTAAGCGAGTATCAGAATAAAGTGAGTCACACAACCTTTTTGGTTTCTCAGTGCATGTAAATGTTATGTTTACACTATACTAAAGTCTAGTAAGTGTGCAGTAGCATCATGCCTAAAAAGCAATGTACACACCTTAATTTTAAAATACTTGATTGCTGATAAATTCTAATGATCTTCTGAGCCTTTAGAGAGTCATAATCTTTTTGCTGGTAGAAGTTCTTGCCTCAGTGTTAATGGCTGCTGGCTGATCAGGGTGGCGGTTGCTGAACATTGAGGTGGCTGTGGCAATTCCTTAAAAAAAGATAACAATGAAGTTTGCCACATCAATGGACTTCTTCTTTTCCTGAAAGATTTCTCTGTAGGATGCAATGCTGTTTGATAGCATTTGACCCACAGTAGAGAACCTCTTTCAAAATTGCAGTCAATTCTCCCAAACTGTGCCACTGCCTTATCAACTAAGTTTATGAATATTCTAAATTCTTTGTTGTAATTTCAACAATGTTCATAGCTTCTTCACCAGGAGTAGATTTCATCTCAAGAAATCACTTTTGTTGCTTATCCATAAGAATATAATCCTGTAATATATATTACAGTAATAAATGAATATATATCTATATTACACAAATATAGTATATATTACACTAATATTGCATGTACATATATGTAAATTATACGTAAATATATTAGTATAATATATATATAATAGTATATATACATTTATATGCACATATATTACTGTAGAGTGTGTGTGTAGGGGTGTGTGTGTGTGTGCGTGTGTGTAGCTTATATCACCTTGGAGGATAAAAGTGAGGCTCTGATATTTTTATTTTATTTTTTGAAATGGAGTTTCGCTCTTGTTGCCCAGGATGGAGTGGAATGGCGCCATCTTGGCTCACTACAACCTCTGCCTCCTGGGTTCAAGTGATTCTCCTGCCTCAACCTCCCAAGTAGCTGGAATTACAGACGTGCACCACCATGCCCAGCTAATTTTTTATATTTTTGGTAGAGATGGGGTTTCACCATGTTGGCCAGGCTGGTCTCAAACTCCTGACCTCAGGTGATCCACCCGCCTCGGCCTCCCAAAGTACTGGGATTACAGGCGTGAGGCACTGTGCCCAGCTGGCTCTGATTTTTCTTTTCTTTTCTTTTTTTTGAGACAGGGTCTTGCTCTGTCACCCAGGCTGGAGTTTAGTGGTGCGATCTCAGCTCACTGCAACCTCTGCCTCCCAGGCTCAAGTGATCCTCCCACCTCAGCCACCTGAGTAACTGGGATTACAGGTGCGCATCACTACGCCAGCTGATTGTTGTATTTTTTGTAGAGATGGGGTTTCTCCATGTTGCCTAGGCTGGTCTCGAACTCCTAAGCTCAAGCAATCTGCCCGCCTTGGCCTCCTAAAGTGCTGGGATTACAGGCATGAGCCACTGTACCCAGCAGGCTCTGAATTCTTTTTTTTTTTAAAAAAAAAAAAAAAAAGGAAGTGAAACAGGAAGTGAAAATGTGGTCTCACTATGTTGTGTGGAGATGTGGTCTCACTATGTTGACCATGCTTTTCTGAAACTCATGGCTATTCTCCTGCCTCAGCCTTCCAAAGTGTTGGGATGACAGGTGTGAGCCATCTTGCCTGGTGAGCAGTAATATTTTAAAAAACCTTTTTTTCCGAGAAGTAGGTCTCAACAGTAGTCTTAAAATAGTAAACCGCCTGTAGTCCCAGCTACTCGGGAGGCTGAGGCAGGAGAATCGCTTGAACCTGGGAGGAGAAGGTTGCACTGAGCCAAGATTGCACCACAGCATTCCAGTCTGGGTGACAGAGCGAGACTCCGTCTCAAAAAAAAAAAAAAAAACAAACTCAGTAAACCATGCTGTAAACAGACATGCTGTCATCCAGGTTTTGTTGTTCTATTTCTAGAGAACAAACAGAATAGATTAGCATCATTTAAACAATTTATTTTATTGATACATAGATTTACATATTTTGGGTATATATGTGATAATACATTCGTGTAATCAAATCAGGATAATTAGGATATACATCATCTTATCTCTTCTGTACACTAGGAACCTATGAATTATTCTCTTCTAGCTATTTTGAAATGTACAGTCAATTAATATTAACTATAGTCACTCTACTGATCTAGCAAACACCAGGACTTATTTCTTCTGAGTGTTTATTTGTGTGCAAGATTTACCATGATTCTTTTTTTTTTTTTTTTTGAGGGAGTCTTGCTTTATTGCCCAGGCTGGAGTGCAGTGGGACAATCTTGGCTCACTGCAACATCTGCCTCCTGGGTTCAAGAGATTCTCACGCCTCAGCCTCCCAAGTACCTGAGATTACAGGAGTGCACCACCACACCCAGCTAACTTTTGTATTTTTTCTTTTCTTTTCTTTTCTTTTCTTTTTTTTTTTTTTTTGAGACAGAGTCTTGCTCTGTCGTCCAGGCTGGAGTGTGGTGGCATGATCTCAGCTCACTGTAACCTCTGCCTCCCAGATTCAAGTGGTTCTCCTGCCTCAGCCTCCTGAGTAGCTGGGATTACAGGCACATGCCACTACGCCCAGCTAATTTTTGTATTTTTAGTGAGACATGGTTTCACCACGTTGGCCAGGTTGGTCTTGAACTCCTGACCTTGTGATCCACCCACCTCAGCCTCACAAAGTGCTGGGATTACAGGCTGAGCCGCCATGCCCGGCCCTGTATTTTTTCTTTAGTTGAGATGAGATTTTGCCATGTCGACCAGGCTGGTCTTGAACTCCTGGCCTCAAGTGATCTGGTTGCCTCAGCCTCCCAAAGTGCTGAAATTACAGGTAAGAGGCACTGTGCACGGCCCCAAGAGTTAGCATAATTCTTAAGGGCCCTAGGATATTCAGAATGGTCGATGATCATTGGCTTCAACTTGAAGTCACCAGGAGCATTAACCCCTAATAACAGATTCAGCCCGTCCTTTGAAGCTTTGAAATAGGCACTGATTTTTTCCTCTGTAGCCGTGAATGTCCTGCATGGCATCTTCTTCCAGTGCAAGGTGGTTTCATCTACACTGAAAATCTGTTGAGTGTAGTAGCCACCTGCACCAGTGATCTTAGCTAGATCTCCTGGATGACCTGCTGCAGCTTCTCCAGCAGCACTTGCTGTTTCACCTTGCACTTCTATGTTACGGAGACAGCGTCTTCCCTTAAACCTCACGAGCCAACCCCTGCTAGCTTCAGACTCTTCTTCAGCAGCTTCCCCACCTCTCTTAGCCTTCCCATAATTGAAGAGAGTTAGGGCCTTGCTGTGGATTAGGCTTTGGCTTAAGGGAATGTTGTGGCACTTTGATCTATCCAGACCACTCAGACTTTCTCCATATCAGCCGTAATGCTGTTTCACTTTCTTACCACTTTTGTTCACTGGGGTAGCACTTTTCATTTCCTTCAAGAACTTTTCTGCTGGGAGCGGTGGCTCACGCCTGTAATCCCAGCACTTTGGGAGGTAGAGGTGGGAGGATCACCTGAGGTCAGGGGTTCACGACCAGCCTGGCTAACATGGTGAAACCCTGTTTCTACTAAAAATACAAAAAATTAGTCGGGTGTGGTGGCGTGCACCTGTAATCCCAGCTACTTGGGAGACTGAGGCAGGAGCATCACTTGAACCTGGGAGGCGGAGGTTGCATGCAGTGAGCCAAGCTGAGATGGCACCATTGCATTCCAGCTTGGGCAACAAGAATGGAATGCCATCTCAAAAGAAAAAAAAAAAGAACTTTTCCTTTGCATTCACAACTTGCCTGTTTGGTACGACAGGCCTAGCTTTTGGCTTACCTCAGCTTTCGACATGCCTTCCTCATGAAGCTTTAATCATTTCTAGCTTTAGATTTAAATAAGAGATGTGGCTGGGTGTGGCAGCTTATGCCTGTGATCCCAGTGCTTTGGAGGCCAAGGTGGGAGGATTGCTTGAGGCCAGGAGTTTGAGACCAGCCTAGATAACACAGTGAGGCCCCAAGTCTACAAAAATCAAAAAATCGGGCCAGACACAGTGGCTCACACCTGGAATCCCAGCACTTTGGGAGGCTGAGGTAGGAGGATCACTTGAGGTTAGGAGTCTGAGACCAGTTTGGCCAACATGGTGAAACCCTGTCTCTGCTAAAAATACAAAAATTAGCTTGGTGTGGTGCCAGGCACCTGTAATCCCAGCTGCTCAGGAGGCTGAGGCAGGAGAATCGCTTGAACCTGGGGGGCAGAAGTTGCAGTGAGCCAAGATCCTGTCTCTGCACTCCAGCCTGGGTGACAGAGCGAGGGGGAAAAAAAAATTGGCTGGGTGTGGTGGCATGAACCTGTAATTCCATCTACTAGACAGGCTGAGATGGGAGGATCACTTGAGCCTGGGAAGTTGAGGTTGCAGTGAGCCGTGATTGCGCCACTGCATTCTAGCCTGGGCAACAGAGCGAGACCCTGTCTCGGTAAAGAAAGAAAGATGCGCAACTTTTCCTTTCAGTTGAACACTTAGAGACCACTATAGGATTACTAATTGATCAAATTTCAATACTGTTGTATCTGAGGGCATAGGAAGGCTCAAGGAGAGGAGAGAAACCAAAGAATAGCCAGTAAGTGGAGCCATGAGACTCCACAGCATCTATTGAGTTCATATCTTATACAGGTGCAGTTTGCGGTGCCCCCAAACAATGAAAATAATTGTTGTAGTGGAAGATACATAGAAAATCATGGGTCACAGACTACCATAACAGATGCAAAAATAATGATAAAGTTTGAAATATTGCGAGAATTACTAAAACGTGACAGAGATATGAAGTGAGCACATGCTATTGGGAAAATGGCACCAATAGACTTGCTGAAGACAGGATTGCAACAAACCTTCAATTTGTTAAAAAAAAATTGCAATATTTGCAAAGTGCACTAAAGCAAAGCACGATTAAAAGGAGGTGTGCCTGTGCATGTTTATTTTTGGCTGGTTGATTGTTCTTCGGTTGATACACTGTCTATTATTTTGTACCAACCAAAGAGGCCTGGGAATGCTTGAAGCCATAGGTCCAATTCCAAGGTTTTCTGAGCCCAGGATGATCATCATCCAATAGCATTTAGAACACAGTAACCAAATAGTCTGATGACCGGTTTCACTGGAATGACAGAAGCCTAGGGATGCATCCAGGATAAACTTTCTTCCACACCGAGCTTTCAGTGGTAGGTCCCAGCTGCTACCCCTTTAGGCTGTCCTACCTCCCTTCCAACGATCCTGGTGGTTCCAAGTCCAGAACTGGCTCATACCTGAGGGAATGTGCCAAAATTGCCTCCTTTAGGTGCTCTCAATCCCTCCTCAGGCCCCTGCTGGCCATTGATTAGAGGTTTCGAATCCAGAAGACAGGTCAGTCTAGGTGCCCTGTCCCATCTACACTTAACCAAAAGCCCTGATTTTTCAGAGGAACGAGGAGAAAGATGACCCTTCCCGCTGAAGCCTTATACACTTGGCAATAAATAAAGCAGTAGGAAAATACTTTCAAATTTATTTTTTGTTAATAAACATAGGTGACAATTTTGTTGTTGTTGTTGAGACAAAGTCTCTCTCTGTTACCCAGGCTGGAGTACATTGGTGTGATCACAGCTCCCTGCAGCCTCGAACTCCTGGGCTCAAGTGATCCTTCCACCTCAGCCTCCTAAGTAGCTGGGACTACAGGTGCATGTCATGGTGCCTAGTGAATTTTTAAATTTTTTTTTGTGGAGATGGAGTCTTGCTTTGTTGCCCAGGCTAGTCTCAAACTCCTGGCTTCAAGTGATTCCCCTACCTCAGCCTTCCGAAGTGTTGGGATAACAGGCATGAGCCACCGCACTGGCCCCAAAATCTTTCTCTACAACCTAGAGCGCCTCCTTAACCTTCAGACCTAGGTAGCCAATGACCCGATAGTTACTTGAATGTCTTACAGGCTCCTCAATACAAGATATTCAGAACTAATCTCTTCTTCCCCTTAAGCCTCTTATTTCTGTTTCCAATTTCAGTTAATAGCAAACACTTTCCCCTCAGTGATCTTGGAACACAAACTCAGGAGGCATCCCGGACCCTCCCTGTCCCTCATCCCCAATCACAAGCCCTACTAACACACCCTCTATTATTAGACCTTCAGTCGAAACGTCCATCAGTGAACCGTGTCACCTTTATCTCCAAAATGTGTTAATCCATCCGTTAAAAAATTTTTGTACAATTTGTTGAAAATGTATCAATTAAAAATAAGAATTTTGCTGGATGCAGTGGCTCGCGCCTGTAATCCCAGCACTTTGGGAGGCCAAGGTGGGCAGATCACGAGATCAGGAGTTTGAGACCAGCCTGACCAACACGGTGAAACACTGTCTCTACTAAAAACACAAAAATTAGCTGGGTGTGGTGGCACGCGCCTATAATGCCAGCTACTGAGGAGGCTGAGGCAGGAGAATTGCTTGAACCCGGGAGGCAGAGGTTGCAGTGAGCTGAGATTGTGCCACTGCCCTCCAGTCTGGGCGACAGAGCAAGACTCTGTCTCAAAAACAAACAAACAACCTTTTTTTTCACCATTCACTACTAAAATCCCATTCAATGCTATATCACTGACCTGGTCTACTGCAGTAGCCTTGTTACTGGCTTGCTTATTCATTGCCTCTTTAGCAATATTGTCCCTGATGACTCAAGTCCCACTCTATCACACTTTTCTATTTTCCTTACAGCCCTTACTGCTTTCTGAAATAGTCTTGTTTTTGTTGGTAACAGAGTTCTTTAGTGATGAAATAGTCACCCCGGGCTAGGCTCAGCGGCTCACACCTGTAATCCCAGCATTTTGGGAGGCTAACGTGGGTGGATCATTTGAGGTCAGGAGTTCGAGACCAGCCTGGCCAACATGGTGAAATCCTGTCTCTACTAAAAATACAAAAAAAATGAGCTGGGCGTGGTGGCACATGCCTATAATCCCAGCTACTCGGGAGGCTGAGGCATGAGAATCATTTGAACCCAGGAGGCAGAGGGTTCAGTGAGCCGAGGTTGGATCACTGCACTCCAGCCTGGGTGAGAGAGTGGACCCTGTCTCAAAACAAAACAAAACAAAAGGCAAAATGCTGGACAAAGTGGCTCCCAAAAGAAGATATGTGAAGCACATGGGACAGAAGGAATTTTAATCTTTCTAAAAATATATATTTTTCCTTTTTTTTTTTCATTGTCATAATTCCCCAAAGAACTTTAATCCTGGACTTCTCTCTTCCTAGGTGTTCTGGCTTGCGGGCTCCCTGCTCATCATTGGCTTGGCCTCTGTGATCATCCCCACCATCGGGTGGCGCTGGCTCATTCGCGTCGCCTCCATCCCGGGCATCATCCTCATCGTGGCCTTCAAGGTGGGGAAGCACTTGTGGCTCCTTCCTGTCCCCTCCTCCTGCTGGTCCAGTGGCCTTCATGCCCCACAAATATCTTTTATTTTCCCCCTCGAGACAGAGTCTCTCTTTGTTGTCCAGGCTGCAGTGCAGAGGTGCAATCTCGGCTCACTGCAGCCTCTGCCTCCCAGGTTCAGGTGATTCTCCTGCCTCAGCCTCCCGAGTAGCTGGGATTACAGTCATGTGCCACCATACCCAGCTAATTTTTTTTTTTGAGATGGAGTCTCCCCAGGCTGGAGTGCAGTGCCGCGACCTCGGCTGGAGTGCAGTGGCGCTGGAGTGCAGCGTCCCCCAGGCTGGAGTGCAGTGGCGCGACCTCGGCTCACTGCAAGCTCCGCCTCCCGGGTTCACGCCATTCTCCTGCCTCAGACTCCTGAGTAGCTGGGACTACAGGCGCCCACCACCGCGCCTGACTAATTTTTTTTTTTTTTTTTTTTTTTTTGGATTTTTAGTAGAGACAGTGTTTCACCGTGGTCTCGATCTCCTGACCTCATGATCCACCCGCCTCGGCCTCCCAAAGTGCTATTATTAGCAGAGAAGGGGTTTCATCACATTGGACAGGCTGATCTTGAACTCCTGGCCTAAAGTGATCCGCCCATCTTGGCACAAAGTGCTGGGATTACAGGCATGAGCCACCGCGCCAGGCCATCTTTCTCACATCCTATTACCTTTATTGAGGAGTCTGTCTCAACCAGCGGGCAGCCCTCACCTCCCTTAGCCTGCCTCGTTGCCCCTCTTCCTAGAAGTTTTGTCTGACGGCTCCGTCCTGTTTTTGCTGACTCCACTCTCTCCTTCAGCACCACCTGTTGGATGCTGTTGACATACTCCCAGGCCACCACAGGCTTCTCTCCCACTCATCTGTAGGTTGTTCAACTGTAGAATCATCATCTTCCTTAGTTTGCAGTACAATTCTACTCATTCAAAGACAAGATTGACCACTCAGCAGAACCGGGGTTTTAGTTTGATGTCACCTACCCTATGGAATCAAAGAATGTCAGAATTCAGAAAGGTCCTTGATGGCCATTCATTCTAAACCTCGACTCAATACAGGCATCCCATGTAGAAGCAGGTCTCTGCCAGAAAGCTGCTAGCTTCAGGCATGTGACTATTTTTTTTTTTTTTTTTTTTGAAACGGAGTCTTACTCTATTGCCCAGGCTGGAGTGCAATGGCACAATCTCGGCTCACTGCAACCTCCACCTCCCATGTTCAAGTGATTCTCCTGCCTCAGCCTCCTGAGTACCTGGGGTTGCAGGCTTGCACCACCACGCCCGACTAATTTTTGTATTTTAGTAGAGATGGGGTTTCACCATGTTGGCCAGGCTGGTCTTGAACTCCTGACTTAGTGATCCACCCGCCTCAGCCTCCCAAAGGGCTGGGATTACAGGTGTGAGCCACCACACCCGGCCAGACATGTGACTACTTTATAGATTTCAACAGTATATCCCATCTCCAGGCACCCCTAGCTGTTAAAGTCTTTCCTATGTTGAGCAGAATTTTCTCCCTATAAATTTACCTGCAGGTCCTACTCTGTCTCTCAGGAAGACCATAGAGCTATCTTCTCGCCATGTCATCTTTTTTTCATTTTTCTTTTTTGAGATGGCGTTTCACTCTTGTTGCCCAGGCTGGAGTGCAATGGTGCGATCTCAGCTCTTCGCAACCTCTGCCTCCCGGGTTCAAGCAATTCTCCTGCCTCAGCCTCCAGAGTAGCTGGGACTATAGGTGCCAGGTGCGTGCCACCACACCCAGCTAATTTTTGTATTTTTAGTAGAGATGGGGTTTCACCATGTTGGCCAGGCTGGTCTCAACCTCCTGACCTCGTGATCTGCCCACCTCGGCCTCCCAAAGTGCTGGGATTGCAGGTGTGAGCCACTGCGCCCGGCCATCATCCTCTTAAATATGTATGAATCTATGGCCCCTAAGCCTTTCCTTCTCTAAGCAATGTCATTACCTTCAAGTCTTCCTCATGACAGCTGGCCCCAGAGCCATGTCCATTTTCTTCTGGACAAGCCCAGTTGGCCAGTGCCTTCTATGCAGTGCACTTTTGCTGAGAATCACACACAGGCCCCAGGTGCTCGGGGACCAGTGAGCTTAGTAAGCCACTTGCTTCCTGTGGGCAGATTGTCTGCCTCTGTTGGTGTAGTCTAAGACTTTCTGCTGGCCAGACATGGTGGCTCATGTTTGTAATCCCAGCACTTTAGAAAACCAAGGCAGGAGGATCGCTTGAGCCCAGGAGTTCAAGACCAGCCCGGGCAACATGGCAGAACCCCATCTCTATTAAAAATAAAAATTTTAGCTGGGTGTTGTGGTCCGTGCCTGTGGTCCCAGCTACTCAGGAGGCTGAGATGGGAGGGTTGCTCGGGCCTGGTTGGTCAAGGCTGCAGTCAGCTATGATTGCGCCACTGCCTTCTAGACTGGGCAACAGAGCAAGACTCTGTCTCTCAAAAAAACAAAAAACCAACAACAACAAAAACCAACACAAAGGGCTTCCTTTTGACCAGAACTGCCATCTTCCAGTAAGTCACCAAAATGACCTACACAAAGGGAAAGAGGAGAGGTCACCAGACCTCTTAGACAACATGGAGTTGTTCCTTTGGCCACATACCTATGAATCTGTAAGAAGGTGATATTGTAGACATCAAGGGGATGGGCGCTGTTTAAAAGGAATGCCCCCAGGTGTTACTGTGGCAGAACTGGAGGAGTCTATGATGCTACGCAGCTTGCTGTTGGCATTGTTGTAAACAAACAGGTTATGGGCCAGATTCTTGTCAAGGGAATTGATGCGCATATTGAGTACACTAAGCACTCTAGGAGCCGAGATAGCTTCCTGAAACTCGTGCAGAAAATGATCAGAAAAACAAGCCAGCCGGGCGCGGTAGCTCACGCCTGTAATCCCAGCACTTTGGGAGGCTGAGGTGGGTGGATCACTAGGTCAGGAGTTCGAGACCAGCCTGGCCAACATGGTGAAACCCCATCTCTACTAAAAATACAAAAATTAGCCAGGCGTGGTGGTGCGTGCCTGTAATCCCAACTACTCAGGAGGCTGAGGCAGGAGAATTGCTTGAACCCGGGAGGTGGAGGTTGCAGTGAGCTGAGATTGCACCACTGCACTCAGCTTGGGCGACAGAGCGAGACTCCATCTCAAAAAACAAAACAAAACGAAACAAAAAAACAAGGAAGCCGAAGGGAAGTATACCTGGGTTCGGCTGAAGCACCAGTCCTGTTCCACCCAGAGAGGCACATTTGTGAGAACCATGGCGGGGAGCCTGAGCTGCTGGAATCTTCTCCCTATGAATTCGTGGCATATTAACTGCAAAAAATAAAAAGATCTCTGGACTGTTTTAAAGGGATTGTGGAGGTGTTGAAGGAGGTGACTTCTGATTGTGGAAGAGATTATGTGCTAGGAAGCTGGCATATTGCTGTGGAGGCTGGGCATGAGGCAAGAGGAAAAAGGCTGGAAAATCAAGTGTCAGAATAACCAACAGGGGGACCCAAACTGCCCTCTGGCCATGGGAATGTGGGGCCAGGTGCTGCTGTGGAGGTGCTTTTCTGAGGAAGAGCCAACAGCCTTGATTGCGTGAGGCGTGAGAGACGGGAGGTGGTCAGAGTTGATTCTCGAGCTTCAGTGGAAGTCCATAATGTTTTCTGCGTGCGATGTTCAAAATATTCAGTATTCAGTGGGTTGAGAGCCTTCACAATCAGAACTGATTCCTCCACCGTGTGGGTGCTGGAGCCCCCTGTTCCTGTCACCCTTTGGTGGTTGCATGGTGGGGAGGTCCTGGGGTTCCTGGAGAGGGGGAGGGGGTGGAGAGGGGTGCCCGCAGCAGTGGCTATTTAACAATTGAAAGTGAGAATTTCATTATGTCAACAACTAGGTTGGGCCCTATTGGTGCAAAACTGAGTATCAGCCTGCCGTCATCCTGGAAGGGACTATGATAAGGAGAACATGACCTTTTTTGTTCCAAATCAACTTTGAATCCAACAGAATACCTGCTACATTGCATGCCTTTAAGCTGGTTACATACTTTTCCTATCTTGGGAAACTAGGACTGTAGTGTATAGAGCAATAATAGCTGTACCCCTGGGTTCTATAGCAGTGGCCACTCTGATGTTCTTTGTAATCTCTACCCAGTTTATTCCTGAATCTGCCCGGTTCAATGTCTCCACTGGGAACACTCGGGCTGCCCTGGCCACTCTGGAGCGCGTTGCCAAGATGAACCGCTCGGTCATGCCGGAGGGGAAGCTGGTGGAGCCCGTCCTGGTGAGTGCTGGCCCCCGAGGTCTTCTCCTATCACCAGTGGCCACTGGGAAATCCCCTCAGTTGTGGAAGGCTGGAGGGAGGGGGGACCCTTGTTCTCTAGTCCTGTCTGAGAGGCAGGGCGATGGCCAGGAAAGATGTGAGGCTACATTCATTTTCACTGTGAGCCATGGGAGCCTAGTGAGTTACCTATCTTTGTTTTTCTTATCAATAAAATGGGAATAATAACACCCACCTTGCAGAGCTAATAACATGATTTGGCATCATTGTCAATAGATGGGAGATTGTTTTCTTTTTTGTACTGGCCTTGTTTTATTTTGTTAGGAAGGTTATAAACCTCATTACATGACTTTTTTCATATCTCTGAAATAGTTTCTATAAGGTAGGTGTTAACCTCTTTGAACATTTGGTGAAATTGGCTCTAGAGTAGTTTGACCTGATATCTATTTTGAGTGGTTGGAGAATAGCAAGACATCGTTGAGCAGAGAGTTCCTTTTTTTTTTTTTTTTTTTTTTTTTTTTTGATGGAGTCTTGCTCTGTCACCAGGCTGGAGTGCAGTGGCACGATCTCAGCTCACTGCAACCTCTACCTCCCGGGTTCAAGTGATTCTCCTGTGTCAGCCTCCCGAGTAGCTGGGACTACAGGTGCCCGCCACTATGCCCAGCTATTTTTGTGTTTTTAGTAGAGACAGGGTTTCACCATGTTGGCCAGGATGGTCTTGATCTCTTGACCTCGTGATCCACCTGCCTCGGCCTCCCAAAGTGCTGGGATTATAGGCGTGTCTAAATTGTGGTAAAATATACATAACATATAATTTATTATCTTAACAGTTTTTAAATGTACAGTTCAGTGATATTAAGTACATTTGTATTGTCATGAAACCATAACCACCATCCATCTCCAGAACTCTTCATCTTAACAAAGCTGAAATTCTATACTCATTAAACAAAAACTTTGTTCCCCCTCCCCCACCCTCTAAAAACCACTATCCTATTGTTTGTCTCTATAAAATTGACTATTCTAGATCCCTCACACGTAGAATCATACAGTGTTTGTCTTTTTGTGACTGGTTCATTTCATTTCGCATAATGTCCTTAAGGTTCATCCATGTAGCATAGGTCAGAATTTTCTTCCTTGTTAAGGCTGAATAATATTTCATTGTATGGATAGGCCACGTTTTGCTTATGTGTTTGTTGATGAACACTTCTACTGTTCAGCTATTGACTGATGCTACTATGAACACGGGTGACCAGGTAGCTCTTCAAGGCCTCACTTTCTTTTTTTTTTTTTTTTTTTTGAGATGGAGTCTCACTCTTGCCCAGGCTGGAGTGCAGTGGCGTGATCTTGGCTCACTGCAACTTCCGACTCCCTGGTTCAAGCAATTCTCCTGCCTCAGCCTCCCAAGTAGCTGGGACTACAGGCGCCTGCCACCATGCCCAGCTAATTTTTGTATTTTTAGTAGAGACGGGGTTTCACCATGTTGACCAGGATGGTCTCGATTTCCTGACCTCGTGATCCGCCCTCCTCGGCCTCCCAAAGTGCTGGGATTACAGGCGTGAGCCACCGCACCTGGCCAAGGCCTCACTTTCAATTCTTCTGGATATATACCCAGATGTGGAATTGCTGGATCCTGTGATAATTCTATGTTTAATTTTTTTGAGGAATCACCATACTGTGTTCTACAGCAGCTGAACCATTTTACATTCCCACCAACAGTGCACAAGGGATCCAGTTTCACTACATCCTGGGCAGAGGAGTTTTTAAAAAACTACGATTCAATTTATTTAAAGGTTACAGTCTACTTTTGTTTATACTTTTGATTGAGTCAATTTTGGTTATATATATTATTATTAAAAATTTTGTTTCTTCTTTTTTTTTTTTTTTTTTTGGAGGTAGGAGTCTCGCTCTATCGTCCAGGCTGGAGTGTAGTAGCGTGATCTCGGCTTACTGCAACCTCTGCCTCCTGGGTTCAAGTGATCCTCCTGCCTCAGCCTCCTGAGTAGCTAGGACTATCAGTGCGAGCCACCAACACCCGGCTAATTTTTTGTGTTTTTTGTAGAGACAGTGTTTCCACCATGTTGCCCAGGCTGATCTTGAACTCCCGAGCTCAAGAGATCTGCCCACCTCAGGCTCCCAAAGTGCTAGGATTACAGGTGTGAGCCACCGTGCCCAGCCTTGGTTATATATATTTTAAAGAAAATTATTTAATTTATCTGGGTTTTCAAATTTATTGATATAATGTTTTCAGTGTTCTGAATTTTAAAAATCTATGCGATAATGTGCCCTTTTTATTTTTAATACTGTTTATTTGTGCTTTCTCTCTTTTCTTGGTCCAGCTTACTAGAAGTTTGTGTATTTCATTAGACTTCAAACAACAAGCTTTTGCGGGGGCGGGGTCCATTCTCTTTATTGATTTTTTTTTTTTTTTTTTTGGCTAATTTCCGTTTTATTTTCTTTGACTTTTTTTGTTCTAGCTTGTTGAGTTCAATACTTAGATGATCATTTATTTTCAGTGTTTTTTATTTTTAATAAACAATTAGCTACATTCATGTCTCAAGAGTAAATGTATTTCTATTTCTCAAGATTTATTTTTTAAACCACTGAATTATCTGTTAGCTATGTTATTATAATGTAACTGTATTTTGGTTAAGAGGATGTTGTTATTTGGAATTTATTGAAACTTTCTATTTGTCCTCTATATAGGGACTTCTTGTTAATGTCACAAGAGTGTTTAAAAAGAATCTGTGTTCTCCTTGAGTATATATGTACGTGTGTGTGTGTGTGTGTGTGTGTATACACATACATATATACTCATTGACTGTATATACCCATTGACTATATATACATACACACTCATTGACTATATATATGTTATATATATATGTTATATATATATATATATATAACATATATATATTTGATACGTCTAGATTTTTGCCTCTTGAGTTAACAGTTTTTCAAAAAGACAATGACTTTCTCCATTTCTCCTTATAGGCCTAATAGGGTATATTTCATAAATTTTGAGGTTATCTTTTTTTTTTTTTTTTTGAGATGGAGTTTCGCTCTTGTCATCCAGGCTGGAGTGTAGTGGCATGATCTTGGCTCACTGCAACCTCTGCCTCCTGGGTTCAAGCGATTCTCCAGTCTCAGCTTCCTGAGGAGCTGGGATTACAGGCGCCTGCCATCATGGCTGGCTAATATTTGTGTTTTTAGTAGAGATGGGGTTTCGCCATGTTGGTCAGGCTGGTCTCAAACTCCTGACCTCAGGTGATCCGCCCTCCTCGGCCTCCCAAAGTGCTGGGATTACAGGCGTGAGGCCCCGCGCCCAGCTGAGGCTGTCTTTTCATTGCATTCTAGCATATGATTGATTTTTGTCCATGCATTAGTCTTATTACTTGAAGTATTTCTTTATCCTTATATGGCTTTGGACCTTACATTTTTTTTTTTGTTGTAGTTGTCTAAACTGAATTTAAGTTTTTTTTTTTTTTTTAATAATTTCAGCTTTTATTGAGTTATTTTTTGTGATGGGGTCTCACTCTGTCACCTCGGTTGGAGTGCAGTAGTACTGTCATAGCTCACTGTAGCCTTGACCTTCCAGGCTCGATCCTCCTACCTCAGCCTCCAGAATAGCTAGGACCATAGGTGTGCGCCATCATACCCAGCTAATTTTTAAATTTCTTGTAAACATGGAGTCTTGCTTTGTTGCTCAGGCCAGTCTTGAACTCCTGGGGTCAAGCAGTCCTCCCTCCTTGGCCTCCCAAATTTATGGGATTACAGGTGTGAACCACTGTAACCCAGTCAACTCTTATTTTAGATTCAGGGGGTACATGTGTGGGTTTGTTACATGGGTCTATTGCATGATGCTGAGGTTTGGGGTATGATTGATCCTGTCATCCAGGCAGTGAGCATAGTACCCAATAGTTAGTTTCTCAGCCCTTGCCCTTTCCCTCCCCACTCTAGTAGTCTGCAGTGTCTATTGCTGTCCTCTTTATGTCCATGAGTACCCAATGTTGAGCTCCCACTTAAAGGTGAGAACATATGGTATTTGGCTTTCTGTTCCTGCATTAATTTTCTTAGGATAATGGACTCCAGCTGCATCCATGTTGTTGTAAAGGACATGATTTCATTCTTATTTGTGGCTGCCTTAATCTGTTTAAAAATTTTTTAAAAAGCTGGGTGCAGTGGCTCACGCCTGTAATCCCAGCACTTTGAGAGACTGAGGTGGGTGGATTACCTGAGGTCGGGAGTTACACCTGAGGTTGGGAGTTTCAGACCAGCCTGACCAACACAGAGAAACCCTGACTCTAGTAAAAATATAAAATTAGCCAGGCATGGTGGCACATGCCTGTAATCCCAGCTACTCGGGAGGCTGAGGCAGTAGAAATGCTTGAACCCGGGAGGCAGAGATTGCGGTGAGCCGAGATGGCACCATTGCACTCCAGTTGGGGCAACAAGAGCGAAACTCCATCTCAAAACATAAATAAATATAAAAAAAAAAGTTAAAAAAAAATCATTGTCTTTGAGAATGAAGAGCCTTAAATTCTATTTTCTCTCATGTTAACATGTTGAAAGTAGCTTTGGTTAGTATTTTCCATGTGCATCTTTTTTCAGCTCTTTATTTTTAGTCTTTCTACACTGCTTTGCTTTAAATGTATTTCTTGAGTCCGGGTGTGAGATAGCTCAGGCCTGTAATCCCAGCACTTTGGGAGGCTGAAATGAGAAGATCACTTGAGGCCAAGATTTTGAGACCAGCCTGGGCATCAAAACAGGACCCCTTTTTACCGCTCCCCGCTAAAAAAAAAAAACAGGCATAGTGGCGCACACCTGTAGTCCCAACTAGCTATTTCAGAGGTTGAGGCAGGAGGGTTGCTTGAGTCCAGGAGGTTGAGGCTACAGTGAGCTATGGAGGCTTGAGCCTAGGATGTCAAGGCTGCAGTGAGCTATGATCGCACTGCTGTACTGGACCCTGTATTTTAGTAGCCCGGACAACAGGGCGAGACCCTGTCTCAAAGTATCTCTTGTAAAGCTATAGGTGATTTTTTTCCCCCTTCCTTTTCCTTTCCTTCCCATTCTTTTCTCTTCTTTTCTTTTTTTTTTTTTGAGACGGAGTCTCCCTCTGTCGCCCAGGCTGTAGTGCAGAGGCACAGTCTCTGCAACCTCTGCCTCCCAGGTTCAAGCGATTCTCCTGCCTCGGCCTCCCAAGTAGCTGGGATTACAGGCACCCGCCACCACGCCCAAATAACTTTCGTTTTTTTAATAGAGACAGGGTTTCACAATGTTGGCCAGGCTGGTCTTGAACTCCTGACCTCATGTGGCCCACCCACCTCAGCCTCCCAAAGTGCTGGGATTACAGGCATGAGCCACTGTGCCCAGCCGATATTCTTTTAATAATGAGTTGGACCCACTTACTTCTCCTGGCATATGTGGGCTTCTTTCATTTATTTTTATTTATTTATATATTTTTTGAGACAGAATCTTGCTCTGTTGCCCAGGCTGGAGTGCAGTGATGGGATCTCAGCTCACTGCAACCTTCGCCTCCTAGGTTCAAGCAATTCTCCTGCCTCAGCCCCCCAAGTAGCTGGGACTACAGGCATATGCCACCATGCCCAGTTAATTTTTGTATTTTTTTAGTAGAGGTGGGGTTTTGCCATTTTGGCCAGGCTGGTCTTGAGCTCCTGACCTCAGGTGATCCACCTGCCTCAGCCTTCCAAAGTGTTGGGATTACAGGCATGAGCCACTGTGCCTGGCCTGTTATTTATTTTGTATTTCTTCTTATTTGTGTGCACAGTTTCAGGAAGATATTTTGTGTTTCTTCTGAATCATGTCTTTCCTTGTCTCCTTGACTAACTTCTATTAGATTGAGTTTGCCTTTCCCTCCCCTGCACTTCCTTTTATTAACTTGGAATTAATGTACTTTCTTTTATTCTAGAGGTAGCCCTTAGCTATTGGAAACACACATTTGCAATATTTAATATTATTTGCTACCTTTACCTTTATCTGGTAACTGGTTTTTTCTTTCTCCTCTCTCATTTATATGGCTTTGGACCTTAAATTCTATTTTTTTTTCTTTGAACTTAAGTTTATTTTGTTTTTTTATAATTTCAACTTTTATTTTAGCTGTTTTTTGTGATGGGGTCTCACCCTGTCACCCAGCGGGAGTGCAGTGGTGCAATCATAGTTCACTGCAATCTTGACCTCGCAAGCTAGACAATACAAGGACGCTAAATATGATCTTGCCAATTATTGTCTTCCAAATCTTGTTTGCCCAGGATTTCAGTTACACTTTGTTCATAAGTTTTTCTAAATTGTCATTATTTTGGAGCCAGTATTTATTTAGATTTATTAACATTTTTATTGACTTTTGCAGTTTTTATTACTAATGAGTTTTTTGCATCTCCTTTCTATTGTGTTAATTTGGTTTTATACTTTTTTTTTTTTTTTTTTTTTGAGGTGGAGTCTCAATCTGCTGCCCAGGCTAGAGTACAGTGGCGCCATCTCGGCACACTGAAACCTCCCCTTCCTGGGTCCAAGCGATTCTCCTGCTTTAGCCCCTCAAGTAGCTGGGATTACAGGCAAGGGCCACCACACCCACTTAATTTTTATATTTTAGTAGAGATGGGGTTTCACCATGTTAGCCAGGCTGTTCTCAAACTCCTGACCTCAAGTGATCCACCTGCATTTACCTTGGAAAATGCTGAGATTACAGGTGTGAGCCACAACACCCGGCCAATTTGTTTTATTTTTTATTTATTTTATTTTTTATTTTTTGAGATGGAGGCTCGCTCTCTTGGCCAGGCTGGAGTGCAGTGGCACGATCTTGGCTCACTGCAACCTCTGCCTCCTGGGTTCAAGCGATTCTCCTGCATCAGCCTCCTGAGTAGCTGGGATTACAGGTGCCCGCCACCATGCCTGGCTAGTTTTTGTATTTTTAGTAGAGATGGCGTTTCACCATGTTGGCCAGGTTGGTCTCGAACTCCTGACCTCAAGTGATCTGCCTGCCTTGGCCTCCCAAAGTGCTGGAATTACAGGCATGAGCCACTACGTCTGGCCGATTTGGTTTTATTCTTAATATTTAAATGTTAGATCTCTGTGGGTTTAATTGGGTACAAGAAACACAGTACAGATTTAGCTTTGTTATATCCACATGACTAACCAGTTGCTCTGGGGGGTGTGTGTGTGTATGTATGTAGGTGTGTGTATCTATCTATCTATATATATATATATATATCTATCTATATCTATATCTATATCTATATATATATATCTATCTATCTATCTATATATATATATATGAGATGGAGTCTTGCTCTGTCACCTAGGCTGGCATGCAGTGGAGTGATCTTGGCTCACTGCAACCTCTGCCTCCTGAGTTCAAGTGTTTTTCATGCTTCAGCCTCCTGAGTAGCTGGGATTACAGGCTTGTACCACCACACCTAACTAATTTTTGTATTTTTAGTAGAGTTGGGGTTTCACCATGTTGGGCAGGCTGGCCTCGAATTCCTGGCCTCAAGTGATACACCCACCTCAACTTCCCAAAGTGCTGAGATTACATGCATCCACCACGCCCAGCCCATGATGTATATATTTTGAATAATCCATTCATTATATATTTGAATCTATTTTTGAACAATCTGTTCTAATGATAGATTTGTAGATTCAAGTATATATGGGGATTTATTATATGATAAAGAGAATGTTTCAAGTTGTCAAGAAAAGGATAGACAGGTCTGTTATTGGTATGATATGACACTGTTTTAATTATAGTATTTTATAATATACTTTTCATTTCTGATAGGGTAAATTCCCCTGGTCAAACATCTTTTTCAGAATTTTCCAAGCTATATTTTCAGGCTTATTTTACTAGAAAAATTTTGGAGCCACTTTATTAAGATCTACTCCCACCTTCCCCTCAAAATAAATAAATTAGTTAATTAAAATAAAATAAAATCCGCCGGGTGTGGTGGCTCACATCTGTAATCCCAGTACTTTGGGAGGCCGAGGTGGGTGGGTCACCTGAGGCCAAGAGTTCGAGACCAGCCTGGCCAACATGATGAAACTCTGTCTTTACTAAAAATACAAAAACTAGCCAGGCTTCGTGGCAGACACCTGTAATCCCAGCTACTTGGGAGGCCGAGGCACGAGAATCACTTGAACCCAGGAGGTGGAGGTTGCAGTGAGCCAAGATCACACCACTTTACTCCAGCCTGGGCAACATAATGAAACTCTGTCTCAAAAAAAAAAAAGAAAAATCCTATGAGAGTTTGAGATTTTGTTGACATTATAGGCTAATAATGTAGAGAGAATCAGTATCTTTGTAATACTGAGTATTCTTGCCCTGCTTTAAGTGTATTTCCCAATTTATTTCTTTTTATTTTTCTCAGCAACATTTTATAACTAATGTCAGTACTGCACATTTCTTATAAAATGTATTCCTATCCACTTTGTTTTTAAAAATTATTTTATAAACAGAATTTTAAAAATTATTATTTTTCAGCCGGGCCCAGTGGCTCATGCCTGTAATCCCAGCACTTTGGGAGGCTGAGGCAGGTGAATCACTGGGTCAGGAGTTCAAGACCAGCCTGACCAACATGGTGAAACCTCATCTCTACTAAAAATACAAAAAATTAGCTGGGTGTAGTGGTGTGCGCCTGTAGTCCCAGCTACTCCCAGCTGCTTGGGAGGCTGAGGCAGGAGAATCACTTGCATCTGGGAGGAGGAGGTTGCAGTAAGCTGAGATTGCGCCACTGTGACAGAGTAAGACTGTTTCAAAAAAATGTATATATATTTTTCTATCAGATTCATCACTTTTATTTTCTATGTTGTGTGGCTCACTTACTTTTGTGGTTGTTCTCTGAAGTATTTTTATAGCTTTATAACCCTCTTAACAGCAATTGCCAATTTCTTGATTGCTAAATGGCACCCATTTTGATAGGATTCCTTATGAATTGGTTGAAGAAGCCATTTCCCTGGAGAACAGCAAGAAGCATCTTTAACATGAGTATCAGGCACATTTGGGCATGCATGTGACCTAAACTAACTGCAAGACTTCACCATCTCCACGTGTTCATCCCTGGCTCCTGCCTACATCCCAGCTCCTTACCTTTCTCTCTCCACAGGACATTTATTCTTGGAGTTGACAAGTGTGTAAATCTCATATTTATCAAGTTTAAAACAAAACTCCTGGCTGGGTGTGGTGGTTCGCACCTGTAATCCCATTCCTTTGGAAGGCTGGGGCAGGAGGGTTGCTTGAGACCAGGAGTTCGAGACCAGCCTGGGCAATATAGTGAGACCCCCACCCCCATCTCTATTTAAAAAAAAAAAAAAGTAAAATAAAGCAGAACTCCTCATTTTCCTCCTCCAACCAGCTTTGTTTCCCCCTTTTGAGTCTTTTTATTGTGGCAAAATATACATAACAAGCAATTTACCATATTAACTTTTTTTTTTTTTTTGAGACAGTTTTGCTCTTGTCGCCCAGGCTGGAGTGCAATGGTGCAATCTTGGCTCACTGCAACCACTGCTTCATGGGTTCAAGCGATTTTCCTGCCTCAGCCTCCCAAGTAGCTGGGATTATAGGCATGTGCCACCACACCCAGCTAATTTTGTGTTTTTAGTAGAGATGGGGTTTCTCCATGTTGGTCAGGCTGGTCTCGAACTCCCGACCTCAGGTGATCCATCTGCCTTGGCCTCCCTCCCAAAGTGCTGGGATTACAGGCATGAGCCACTGCGCCCGGCCCATATTAACCTTTTAAAATTTCTGAGACAGGTTCTCGCTCTGTCACCCAGACTGCAGTGCAGTGGTGTGATCTTGGCTCACTGCAGCCTTGACCTCCTGGGCTCAAGCAATCCTCCTGCCTAAGCTCCTGAGTAGCTAGAACTACAGGTGTATGCCACCATGCCTGGCTATTTTTGTACAGTTTTTTGAGAAGACAGGGTTTTGACATGTTGCCCAAGCTGGTCTTGAACTCCTGGGCTCAAGCAATCCTCCCATCTCAGCCTCCAAAGTAGTTGGAATTGCAGGCATGTGCCACCATGCCTGGCTAATTTTTTTGTTTTTATTTACTTGATTTTTTAAAAGACAGGGTCTCGTTCTGTCATCCAAGCTGGAGTGCAGTGGTGTGACCTTGGCTCACTGCAGCCTCAACCTGCTGAGCTCAAGTGATCCTCCTGCCTCTGCCTCCTGAATAGCTGGGACTATAGGTGCACACCACCACACCTGGCTAATTTTTTTTTTTTTTTCTTATTTTGTAGCGACGGGGTCTCACTGGCCCAGGCTGGTCTTAAATTTCTGGCCCCAGGTGATCCTTCCACCTTGGCCTCCCAAAGTGCTGGAATTACAGGCGTGAGCCACCGTGCCTGCCTTAATTTTCTTATTTTTTCATAGAGATGAGGTCTTGCTATGTTGCTCAGGCTGGTCTCAAATCCTGGCCTCAAGCAGTCCTCTCATCTCTGCCTCCTAAAGTGCTGGGATAATAGGTGTGTGCTACTGCACCAGATCCTCAGTGCAGACTTTGATAGGATGAGGAAGAACAGGATCCAAGGATAATAGACATCTGGCAGAATGAGATGGCATCACCGCCAAGGCAGGGAATGAATGCATAACAGGGAGACCAGGAGGTACAGAGAAAAGCTGCTAGTACACAACCTTGCTAGGGCTGGCAGGATCATGGGAAAGGCTCTTCTGACCTCAGCTCATGCTCTGTGTCTGAGATGGGTCCATACCAGCAGTGCTACCCATGCCCTGAATCCTTGCTTTCTTGGGATCCTGTAGCCACCACGGGATGAGTTGATGTCTGAGTGTCCTACACACAGGCAAGAGGTGGGCTTCCCTGGGTGTTCCTGATTTGTTGCCGAGGACATCACTGATGACAAAAGTCTTGAATCCCACTACCATCTGGCCTACATTGTAAGTGTGAGGTGGCATGTACTCCATAGTAATGCAAATATCGTGAGCATTCAGTATGCTGAACCTTCCCCATATTCATCATTGTATTTTGGTAAGGTATTCTCACTTTCTTCTGTGGAGTGTTACCGCCATTATTATATGTATCTCAAAACCTATTATAACTGGAGCAGTGTGTCTGTTCGTTTTGCATTGCTATAAAGGAATACCTGAGACTGGGTGACTGTTAAAAGAGATTTATTTGGCTCATGGTTCTGCAGACTGTACAATCACGGCACCAGCATCTGCGTGGCTTCTGGTGAGGCCTCAGGAAGCCTCTACTCATGACAGAAAGTGAACAGGGAGCAGGCATGTTACATGGTGAGAGAAGGAGCGAGAGAGGTGCGAGGCTCTTTTAAACCAGCTGTCACATGAACTGGTAGAGTGAGAACTCACTCGTTACTGCAGGGAGGGCACCAAGCCCTTCATGAGGGATCCACCCCCACGACCCAAACACCTCCCATAAGCCTCCACCCCCGACACTGGGGATCACATTTCAACATGAGACTTGGAGGGGACAAATATCCAAACTATATTAAACAAGAAACCCGAACTTTCTTCCAAAGGATTCAGAATGATTCCATTATTCTAGTTTATTTTTTAAACATTGGAAATACACTCTCATGGGTTTGGAGTTCAGAAAGCTACTATAACAGCGTCAGCTCACTTCTTCCTTCCTACTGAGATACTGACAATCACATCTTATCGAGCAAAGCAGGGTGGGAGGATGAACTAGTTGCTAGGCAACTATGATTAAAAGAAGAAAGCTATTATGGTTTATAGAGACTACAACATAATCTTTAGGTGGCTGTAAAATTCTGATTGTCAATAGTGTAAACAGTAAAAACAGTTGCAAAAAGAAAAAGTCTTAACAGAGATAATTAACTCAAAACCACGGATAGCTGTAAGATTATAAGATAGCTGAGTACAACCGTTTTTGGCATGTGCTTTGTGAATTGAATGCAGTAGTTGCAACTCCAGGACTGAGGAGCACTGAGGTCAGAAATAAGCTCTCTCTCCTCTTTCCTCCTCCTTTTTCCTCCCGCCCCCATCCTCCCTCCACAACCCCCTGTCTCCCATCTTCCCTGCACATTCTCCATCCTCCCTTTCCACCCTGGCTCCCCTGTCTGGCCTCCTCCCTCCACATCCTACTTCCTCTGCTT
This sequence comes from Homo sapiens, assembly GCF_000001405.40. Taxonomy (NCBI): domain Eukaryota; kingdom Metazoa; phylum Chordata; class Mammalia; order Primates; family Hominidae; genus Homo; species Homo sapiens. The sequence continues at coordinate 138,632,617 of NC_000007.14, read as the reverse complement.
TTCCTCTCCTACCTCACCTCTCCCTCCACCTTCTCCATCCCCCATTCTTCACCTTCCCTCTTCATCCTTCTGTTCCCACTTCCTCCTCCTCCCCACTTTCCTTCTCAAGCCTTCAGCTTGCGGCCCCCATCCATCATGCCCATTAAGTGATCTTCTTCACAGTCATCTGTCTGTTTATTTTTTGAGATGGAGTCTTGCTCTTGTCACCCAGGCTGGAGTGCAGTGGCATGATTGCAGTTCACTGCAACCTCCACCTCCCAGGTTCAAGCGAGTCTCCTGCCTCAGCCTCCAGAGCAGCTGGGATTACAGGTGCGTGCCATCACGCCTGGCTAAATGTTTTGTATTTTTAGTAGAGATGAGGTTTTACCATGTTGGCCAGGCTGGTCTTGAACCCCTGACCTCAGGTGATCTGCCAGCCTCAGCCTCCCAAAGTTCTGGGATCACAGGCATGAACCACCGTGTCTGGCCCTCCACAGACATCTCTTGAGCAAGGCCCAGAGCTACTGGCAGTAGACCCTGCCTTCATTCTGGTCACAGTCTTACAATCTGGTTAATGAAATGAGCATCACATATGAAGGAATAAAAAACAGAGCCCAGATGCTTAGAACCAGGTGGGGTGTAGGGGTGTGTGTATGTGTGTGTGTGTGTGTGTGTGTGATATCAGAGCAGAAGGGACTGAGCCATGGCAGTCTGAGCCACTTCAGGGGGATAAATGGGACATAAATTGAACACTAAAAGGAGAGTGAGCCTGCCGGGCATGGTGGCACATGCCTGTAATCTAAGCACTTTGGGAGGCCAAGGCGGGTGGATCACTTGAAGTCAGGAGTTTGAGACCAGCCTGGGCAACATGGTAAAACCCCGTCTCTACTAAAATTACAAAAATTAGCTGGACGATTTGATGTACACCTGTACTCCCAGCTACTCGGGAAGCCGAAGCACAAGGATTGCTTGAACCTGGGAGGCAGGGGTTGCAGTGAGCCAAGATCACGCCATTGCACTCTAGTGTGGGTGACAGAGCGAGACTCCTTCCCAAAAAAAAAGCTTTGGGGAGGGGAGAGGACACTGCAGGCCCCAGGAGATGTGCAGTGAGACCAGATGTGGGAATGTGCCGTGGGTCTTGGTCAGATTGGGAAGAATAGTGGAAGGATGGGGGGAGGTGGGGATGGTTAATGTGTACCAGAAAAAATAGAATAAGACTTACTATTTGATAGCAAAACAGTGGCTATAGTTAATAACTTACTCATACATTTTAGAATAACTTAAGGTGTGTAATTGGATTGTTCGTAACTTGAAGGATAGATGGTTGAGGGGATGGATACCCCATTTTCCATGATGTGCTTATTTCATGAGGTTTATCAAAACAGCTCATGTACCCCCATAAATAGACATACCTACTACGTGCCCCACAAAAATTAAAAATTAACCATTGGAGCAAAAGACCTCTAAGTTCCCTTCAAACTCTAGCTTTCTGTGACAACAAAATCTAGGACACCCAGGACCACATTCCCAGTGTCTCTAGAAACAGCCTGTAATCCCAGGTCTATTTCTGAGAAAAGAGCTGTTGGTTTTCAATGGCGTGCCCTCATCTGAAGCATTCCCAGCTTTACATAAAAATCCATTTCTGTGCCATCATGTAACTCTTCCTTGCTTTTTTTTTTTTTTTTTTCTTTTTTTGAGATGGAGTTTCACTCTCGTTGCCCAGGCTGCAGTGCAATGGTGTGATCTCGGCTCACTGCAACCTCCATCTCCTGGGTTCAAGTGATTCTCCTGCCTCAGCCTCCTGAGTAGCTGGGATTACAGGCATGCTCCACCATGTCCGGCTAATTTTTGTATTTTTGGTAGAGACGGGCTTTCGCCATGTTGGTCAGGCTGGTCTCAAGCTCCTGACCTCAGGTGATCCGCCCACCTCGGCCTCCCAAAGTGCTGGGATTACAGGCGTGAGCCCCCACACCCAGCCCATTCTTACTTGTTTTTATCCAAAGTTATTCAATAGGTACTATGGACAAGAACTTTTGCTAACTACCCCCCTTAGAGACAGAAAAAGAAATTAGGCGTTCTCTCCTTTTTCAACTTTATGCCGTTGTTTTCTTAACAAGTCTCATACTCTTTTTTAATATAAGAGTTTTTGTTTTAATGTTAATTTTAGAAGAATCTCTCATCAGTTTCACAGTCACTTTTCATGTTTCCTCCTACCATCCCCACCCCCGCGCCAGTGCTGGTGGGCAGAGGAAGAGCAAAAGGTTAGGATCTTAAGTTCAGTGAGCTTTGGTACCTGTCAATGATGAGAAAAAGCCAAAAGACAGATCTGGCTGAGACAGATGTGTTTAAAACAATTATCTCTGGGTTTGTGTCAGCTGTACTCATAGGAGCTGAGTGGTTATCGCAGGCCACCATGCTCCAATATGATTCTCATCTTCTATGATCGAAAACAGTGGAAACATCTCCGTTCATCCTTAAGCTGCTGAGTATGTTCTGTCTCCTTTTCATTACCCCAGGAAAAAAGAGGAAGATTTGCAGACCTATTGGATGCTAAATATTTACGGACCACATTACAGATCTGGGTCATATGGTAAGAGTGTAATGATTTCAAAGCTAGTTTTAAATAGAGGCATTGGGAGGAAGCCTATTTAAGTAAATCTATGTGAGTGCCACTGGGGAGAAAAACATAAGACTAACTCCAAATACTACAAAGACAAGCAATGTTTTGTCTTTCTACAAACACCACCACTACTAAATAAATAAGTAAATGGATACATAGACAGAGGAAAATTCCCTAATTGTCTTCAACCAGTTCTTAAATTTTTCTTGTGAGCATATGAGTTCACTTCCTAACTTTTGCAGCCTGGTCTTTTTCTCACCACATGACAGAAACTGGTCCTTTGAAGTCACCAATCATCGAGTCCAGTGGCACAGACTCTTGTGGTACCCTCTGTGATTCATTTCTCTGCAGCATGACCTTGAGTAAGCAAAGATTTTCTAAACAGGACTAAAACATGCTAACTATAAAGGAAAAGATTGATGAGTTTTAATACATTAAATTAGGAACTTAGGAACTGTGTCAAGGTATCATGAAGAAGGCCGGGTACGGTGGCTCACGCCTATAATCCCAGCACTTTGAGCACTTTGGGAGGCCGAGACAGGCGGATCACCTGAGGTCAGGAGTTCGAGACCAGCCTGGCCAACATGGTGAAACCCTGTTTCCACTAAAAATACAAAAAAATTAGCTGGGCATGGTGGTGGGTGCCTGTAATCCCAGCTACTTGGGAGGCTGAGGCAGGAGAATCTCTTGAACCCAGGAGGTGGAGGTTGCAGTGAGCCGAGATTGCACCACTGCACTCAAGCCTGGGTGACAGCATGAAACTGTCTCAAAAAAAAAAAAATCATGAAGAGCCTGAAAGGTAAGCCATCCATGGGGAGGAGAAATTTGCCATGTATATTTCCAGCAAATTATATATACATATATACACACACACACACACACACACACACATATATAAAACATGCTTATATATTAGACATATCATTTTTTCAACAGGAAAAAATAACCCAGTTTTTTAAGTTTTTAAAAATTTTTGAAGTTTTAAAATTTATTTATTTTATTTTGCACTTGTAGAGATGGGTTTTGCTTTGTTGCCCAGGCTGGTCTCAAACTCCTGGCCTCAAGCAATCTTCCTGCCTTAGCCTCCCAAAGTGCTGGGATGACAGGCATGAGCCACCATGTTCGGCCAACAGCCCAATTTAGAAATAGGCAAGAGACTTGAACAGGCGCCTCACCAAAAACATATACCAGATAAACACATCAAAACATGCTCAACCTTAAAGTCACCAGAGAAATGCAAATTAAAACCCAACAAGATACCATTACAAATCCGCCAGTCCATGAGAATGGCTAAAATGAAAGACTGACAATACCAAGGGTTGAGAAGGAGGCAAAGTAACTGGAACTTTCATACACAGCTGACTGGAGTTCAAATTAGTACAGCCACTTTGAAAAACTGGAGGTATCTATCACAGCTGGAAATATGTGTATACTATGGCCCGGCAATTCTGCTCCTAGGTTTACACCCGACAGGCATGTGTACATCTGTATGATGTGTAAGAGACACTTCCACGAATGCTCTGTGTGGCGTCTGAGCCTGGCTTTCTGCTCTCTTTGCTTTCCACATGCTACACGTTCCACTTGGTATCCCCTCCCCACTCATCCTTCAGGTCTGGTGTCAGCGTTGGCTAGTGACTTTGTTTTCTCTCTTCCAGGCTTGGAATCTCTTTTGCCTACTATGGGGTTATCCTGGCCAGTGCTGAGCTGCTGGAGCGGGACTTGGTCTGTGGTTCAAAGTCAGACTCTGCGGTGGTGGTGACTGGGGGGGACTCAGGGGAGAGCCAGAGCCCCTGCTACTGCCACATGTTTGCACCCTCTGACTATCGGACCATGATCATCAGCACCATCGGTGAAATTGCTTGTAAGTGTCCCTCTGCGTGTTGGGTCTCTCTGTCTTGGGTGGTCTATGTGCACTTGAGTCTTAGCTGAGAGAAGTGTGACCCTGTGACACCGCTCCTGCCTAGCAGAACTGAATAAGTTGCCAAGTAGTGCTGAAAAATCTCCAGTTTGGATTGGTGTTGGCAAGAGAGGTCTGGAGGAGTAGACCTTTGAAGTGCTGTATTCTATCAATTGTAAGGTGTTTTTTTCACCCTTACATTTTAACATCTCTGAAATTGGCATGTGGCTTACAATGGCTTGTTAGATAGCAATTGACAGCATTATTTCTATTTTAGTAGACATAAAATGATGGTACTTAAAAATCAATGGCTGAATGTTAAACTGAGCTGATGAAAAAAAATCAATGGCACCTTGAATTTGATGAAAACATATAAAACACTTAAAATACAGGCCTAGCAACTGGCAATCTACAATAGACCTGTATGATATAATAAGTATTCTGGGCACCAGTGCTTATCATTCCTGGACCCACGTGGGTAAAGTATATGTAAAAAGTCTTGAAATTGATGACAACGTGACTGGATTTTGGCTGGAATACTCGTGAGGTTTGGATGAAGTTGCTTCTTTCTGAAACGACAAGGATGAATCCATGCCAGTGTTGCAATATGCCACTTGCCTTCCAAGGTTCCAGAAATTATCTTTACTGTTTGCTTTCTAGTGAATCCTTTAAATATACTGGGCATCAATTTCCTGGGAAGACGGCTGAGCCTTTCTATTACCATGGGATGCACGGCTTTATTCTTCCTTCTCCTCAACATTTGCACTTCAAGGTATTTTCTGTTTAATTGCTTCAGATTTTGTGCAGTGGTTTCTAAATGGAGTCTCCTGACCCATGGTGTTCAGTAGTTTCAGGGACAAGTCACTTTCACCCAGGAGAGTAGAGAATGGGCTGCTTGCTTGACTAGAATGGTCTTGCCTGTTCCCTACTATCCCCGCTTCCCTCTTCCTACAGACCCCATCTTCCTCCAGCTATCACAGGATTATGGGTGCCAATGATGGTGTACTCACTTTACCTACCAAAATATTGAGGATCATTATGTAATGCTTCCTGGAGAATCGGGACTCTGGTTGTTTATTACATTATTTGAACCAGTGCCAAGAAAGTTTAGTAATACAGACAGTGTGCTTATTTGTGCCTTCTGCTCATTTCACTCCTAAATTGCAGTCCTGGAGTGGCCTGAGCTCTGATATGTATCATTTGTTCTACAAGCTCTCTGCACTATTTTCCAGGGGATGGTAGCAGCAGGTGTGCTAATTTTTTTTTTTTTCTTTGAGACAGGTTCTCTCACCTTGTCACCCAGGCGGGAATGCAGTGGTGCGATCTCAGCTCACTGCAGCCTCTAACTCCTGGGCTCAAGCCATCCTCCTGCCTCAGCCTCTTGAATAGCTAGGACTACAGGCACACACCACCATGCTGGGCCAATTGAAAAAAAATTTGGTGACTCACACCAGTAATCCCAGAACTTTGGGAGGCTGAGGCAGGTGGATCATTTGAGCCCAGGAGTTCAAGATCAGCTTGGACAACATGGCAAAACCCCATCTCTACAACAAATACAAAAATTAGCTGAGTGTGGTTGTGGATGTCTATAGTCCCAGCTACCCAAGAGGCTGAGGTGGGAGGATCACTTGAGCCTGAGAGGCTGAGGCTGCAGTGAGCCATGATTGTGCCACTGCACCCAAGGCTGGGTAACAGAGCCAGACTCTGTCTTAAAAAAAGTCTTACTATGTTGCTGAGGCTAGTCTTGAACTCCTGGCCTCAAGCGATCTAGCTGCCTCGGCCTCCCAAACTGCAGGGATTACAGGTGTGAGCCACTGTGCCCAGCAGTTATGCTAATGTGAGGGGCCAGGGTGAATGGCAGCGTTGGGGAATGGAGAAGGCAGTGGGAGTAAGATTGGAAGGAGGTTTGCTTAAGGACCCCACAATCAGGCCAGCTGAGAAGCAGCACCTCCCTCGGGTTCTGAGTTATCTGTGATTGTATCTCAGCATCCACAGTGCACTCGAAGCTGGGCCACTGGAGGTGGTCCTCCATGCTGCCTTTTATAATTTCTCTCCGCTTCCTGTTTTCTAGTGCCGGCCTGATTGGCTTCCTCTTCATGCTGAGGGCTCTGGTAGCTGCAAACTTCAACACCGTCTACATTTACACAGCTGAGGTGAGTTTTCATGCAAGGCTTGCTTACAAAGGGTGTGTAAGGTGAGCTACTTAGGATGTCCATCCAAAGGTAATGCATGCCTGGCTTCTGTTGACTTTTGATGATTTTCTAAAAACAATCTGTTAAAAAGACACCAGAAGTTTATTTGATATGAATTTCCCCTTCCCCACTCAGTCTATTGAAAGCCAATCTCTGGAAGATAGGATCTTTTTCCTTTCTTTAAATAGCATGCATGTAAAAAACACCTCCTTGCCCTAGCACTAGGCTTCCAGAAGTAATAGGTAGCAACATGTTGCATTCAAATGTAGAATTTCCTTTCTCTCTTTTTGAAATTAGAATACACTTTTCACTTTTACTCTTTTGGAAGATCCCTTTCCTTCCATCTGTTATTTGCTGCATGTAGCTTAAATTTAAATATAATCTTGATTTATTCTTTATTAATTTATTGAATTAATACATCTATATGCAAGGTACTGCCTGAGGTAGCTGGAGTATTTCCTCATAAACCTCCCACTTTAAACAACTAATATTCCTAGAAATGAAACAATATTTGAATAGGGAACTTAACAGTATTTTAACTGGTTTTGTCATTCGTTGAGCTACAGGAAACAGTACTTTAGATACTGATAAAGCTGCCTTTCAGGTTCATGGCAGGAAGTGGGGAAGTCTATTGCGATTAAAGATTTGGCATGTCAAAAACCATTAAACCCGCAGAGAAAAGTACTTTTTCTCCCACACAGAGATAAAAATAGAAAGCTATGAGATGTTTGAATTATACATAATACTTCATTTAGTTCCATTAACAAAATCTAAAGTTGATTTATAGGCAGGTACAAAAAAATCAATCCTCTTTTGCAATCCAGAACTCATTGTTCAGTATAAGTTTTGCTACAAATAAGAAGGGGTATTATGATGCCTGAGACACTTTAAAATGATTGGAGTATTGATAACCATAAACGTTGGTTCCAGGCTGGGCGCAGTGGCTCATGCCTGCAATCCTTGAATTTGGGAGGCTGAGGTGGGAGAATCACCTGAAGCCAGGAGTTCAAGACCAGCCTGGCAAGGAAACCAAAATGCCATCTCCACAAAAATTAAAAATTAGCCAGGGATGGGGGCATGTACCTGTAATTGTAGCTACTTAGGAAGGGGAGGCTGAGGCAGGAGGATTGCTTGAGTGCAGGAGTTGGAGGCTGCAGTGAGTTCTGATGGCACCACTGCACTCCAGCCTGGGCAGCAAAGTAAGACCATGTCTCTAAATTAAAAAAAAAAAAAAAAGTTTGGTTCTAGGGCTATAGAATAGAGAATTTAAAAGCATAATATATGAGGAAAATCTCAGCTATCTCAATTTTGTATTCCAATTTCGTGTTGACTTGATATATCAAGATGACTTTTTGTTTTAAAGGCTTTTATCTTCAGAACATGATGTCTGGGGTTAAATGTATTGACATATTCCACAGGTCTGTACTGTTCTTGAGCTGTGATAGCTTAGGAATGAATATGATTTGAACTCAAGCATATTTACAGATGGCATCAAATGGAGAACAAGGCAGATCCACCTACTCCAAAAATGACCCTAAAGTAAATTGGTTTAAGAAATTAGATCCCAAAGATTTCTGGTGAATTTTGAAGACTTCATCAGTATATCCATATTAAAAGGAGATGAAAGAAGCCAAAATAAAAGAATTATGGGCTGACAGGACAACTGGATTAAGCATCAGTTCTATTAAAAAGGGCTAACTTGAAGATTTTTTGACAATAAATTTTACTCCAGCTCTGTAGGGGAACTAAGGTGAACTTGATGGACAGTGGAAGGAATTACAACATGAAATTCCTGGAATAAAAATTAATCGGCTGGGTGCAGTGGCTCACGCCTGTAATCCTAGCACTTTGGGAGGCCGCGGCAGGTGGATCCCTTGAGGTCAGGAGTTTGAGACCAGCCTGGCCAACATGGTGAAACCCCGTCTCTATTAAAAATGCAAAAATTATCCAGGCGTGGTGGCAGGTGCCTGTAATCCCAGCTACTTGGGAGGCTGAGGCAGGAGAATCGTGTGAACCTGGGGGGCAAAGGTTGCGGTGAGTCGAAACCGAGCCACTGCACTGCAGCCCGGTGACAGAGAGACTCCGTCTCAAAAAGAAAAAAAAAATTATTGACTTTAAATAATTTTGCATAGTTAAGAAAATAATTTTGCATAATTAAAAACAAAAACAAATCTAAAGTTATTTTGTAAATTTATAAACCAAAAAAATCTATGCGTAACATGGTGTACTTCTAGAACTGCATTTGGGATGTACAGTCAAACATATTGTGGAATTTGCTCATTTTGAGGGTCATTTCTAAGTATTTTATTTGATTTTATTTTTTTTGTTTTGAGACAGAGTCTTGTTCTGTCGCCCAGGCTGGAGTGCAGTGGCGCGATCTCGGCTCACTGCAAGCTCCACCTCCCGGGTTCACGCCATTCTCCTGCCTCAGCCTCCTGAGTAGCTGGGACTACAGGTGCCCGCCACCACGCCCGGCTAATTTTTTGTATTTTTAGTAAAGATGGGGTTTTACCTTGTTAGCCAGGATGGTCTCAATCTTCTGACCTCATGATCCGCCCGCCTCGGCCTCCCAAAGTGCTCGGATTACAGGCGTGAGCCACCGTGCCCAGCCAGTATTTTATTTTTTATATTGTTTTTTAAAAGAGGTGTGTAACTAAAAATGATAGTTTTCTGTTATTCCATCTTCCAGATGACTCACAATGTGAAAAAAGACTTTATCAGTATTATAGCAAAGAAGCCATCATCTGAATTCATTATTTTCAGTCAGAGCAACCTCATTTTTCAGAAAATAATAAAGTTCCCCATAAAGATATTCCACCCCCAGACCTTCTCCTGTAAATATAGCAGTGTCCTGTGAGGCGGAAAGCATCTTGCTTTTTGCATTTGACAGATGGTGGCAAAGATGTGGGCAACTAAAGGGGGCTATATGCTTTGCCTTAGAGAGTTGATAAAACTGTTTTGCCAGTATTTTATAGCACTAAGAAAATGTTCCAACATTTTGAGAAACCATTCTTTCCTAGAAAGTATTCTCCCTACAATTCTATTTATTCAGGAAGACTTGCTGACTTATTAAACTTCTAGTTCCTTTAAGAATTCTGAATCAATGAAAAACCAATTAATTAGATTTTACTATAAATATCAAAAAGTTGCAGCAAGAAAGTAGAATATGGCTGGGCATGGTGGCTCATACCTGTAATCCCAGCACTTTGGGAGGCTGAGGCAGGAAGATCACCTGAGCCCAGGAGTTTGATACCAGTCTGGGCAACATAGCGAGGTCTTGTTTCTGTAAAATAAAAATAAAAATTTAATAAAATGTTAAAAAGGGCTGGGCATGGTGGCTCACGCCTGTAATCCCCACACTTTGGGAGGCTGAGGCAGGCAGATCACCTGAGGTCAGGAGTTCGAGACCAACCCGGCCAACTTGGAGAGACCCCCCGCCCGCCGCTGCCTCCACTAAAAATACAAAAATTAGCCAGGCACGGTGGTGCATGCCTGTAATCCCAGCTACTTGGGAGGCTGAGGCAGGTGAATCGGTTGAACCCAGAAGGTGGATGATGCAGTGAGCCAAAATTGCACCATTGTGCTCCAGCCTGGGCGAAAGAGTGAGACTCTGTCGATAGATAGATAGATAGATAGATAGATAGATAGATAGATAGATACATAGATAGATAGATACATAGATAGATAGATAGATACATAGATAGATACATAGATAGATAGATAGATACATAGATAGATAGATAGATACATAGACAGATAGATACATAGACAGATAGATACATAGATAGATACATAGATAGATAGATACATAGATAGATAGATAGATAGATAGATAGATACATAGATAGATAGATAGATACATAGATAGATAGATACATAGATAGATAGATACATAGATAGATAGATAGATACATAGATAGATACATAGATAGATAGATACATAGATAGATAGATACATAGATAGATACATAGATAGATAGATACATAGATAGATAGATACATAGATAGATACATAGATAGATACATAGATAGATAGATAGATAGATAGATAGATAGATAGATAGATAGATAGATAGATAGATACATAGATAGATAGATACATAGATACATAGATACATAGATAGATACATAGATAGATAGATAGATAGAATATGCTGTTAAGATTCTGCAACAGCAAAGAGGCTAGGGAATTTAACAAGAACACAGGGGCCAGGTATGGTGGCTCATGCCTCTAATCCCAGCACTTTGGGAGGTTGAGGTGGGTGGATTGCTTGAGGCCAGATGTTCAAGACCAGCATGGCCAACATAGTAAGATCCCATCCCTAATTTTAGAAAAGAAGTAAAAATAAGAACACAGGGAATGGTGTGGCAAGTACCTGGCCCTCTAGTTAGTTCTCTTAGCTGTATTTGTATTGAAGACTTCATCAGATCTCTGGGGAGTATTTTCTTCCCGTTCAGTAGAATCACTTTTATATATTTATAGTTCTGAAGTGGCACTCTTCTCTCTGATTCCAGAGCTTGTCTTTCTAAAATTATATTTGGAATCTTCAGTGAAGCACATTTTTGGAATTTGCTCATTTAAAGGATAATTTTGAAGTGTTTATTTTTCGCTGATATTGTCCCAAAAATTCAAAGTTGTGTACCTGAGAAAATCAACACCTTCTATTCCATATTCTGTAACTGTGTTTGGTGCTCTATGCATTCCAAAACCTGACCTGGGGAGGAAGGGGAAGAGGAGGGCTCGGGGAAGGACGGACATTATCTGACTGGTACTTTCCGTGCCTCTCCCTGCAGGTCTACCCCACCACGATGCGCGCTTTGGGGATGGGAACCAGCGGCTCCCTGTGTCGCATTGGTGCAATGGTGGCACCATTTATATCCCAGGTACAGCCAAGGACCCTGCAGGGAGAGAGAGAGTCTGAGAGAGGGGGTAAGAGGAACCCAGGGACCTTCAGATTAAAGGCAGAACGGAGGATTTCTGTTGACTTCATGAGTTTTCTGGAGGTGCCGTTTCCCTGCTGTTTGGTGGATTTAGGTAGAGAGAGAGGCTAAATCTGCTACCAGGCTTTCAGCCTTCCAGTCGGTAGTAGGCATTGCATTGCGTTCAGGGTTTGCTCCATTTTAAAATGGGTATTACTGGGGGAAGATGGAAAACAATGGTTAACACGAGAAGCTTGGGCAGTTGAATGACAGTGGGCACTAACCCTGAGTTAGAATTGTTGTCTGGTCAGTTGTCCAGGTGGCAACTGTAAAACAGAGCCCGAGAGTAAGGGCAGGTTCAGCTGAGGGGCAGGGAGGTGGTGTGGGGCACAGGTGAGCCAGGCTTAGGCTGGGATAAAATCCAGGGTGACTTGGAGCCGTGGATGGAGGCTTGTTTCAGGAGAAACAACAGAGGCAGGTATGGCGACCCTGGGGGTCGTGGTTCCTCAGAGGGCTATGGAGCTTGCTGCTTTGCACTTGTCAGTCTTTTTTTTTTTTTTTTTTTGGCTGCAAAGAAACAGAAATCCAGACTGGGGTGCGGTAGCTCATGCCTATAATCTCAGCACTTTGGGAGGCTGAGGTGGGTGGATCACCTGAGGTAAGGAGTTTGAGACCAGGCTGGGCAGCATGGTGAAACCCCATCTCTACTAAAAATACAAAAATGAGCTGGGCATGGTGGTGCTCTCCTGTAGTCCCAGCTACTCAGGAGGCTGAGGCACGAGAATCACTCGAACCCGGGAGGCAGAGGTTGCAGTGAGCCGAGATCGCGTCACTGCACTCTAGGCTGGGCGAGAGTGAGACTCTATCTCAAAAAAAAAAAAAAAACAAAACAGAAAAAAAACAAAAAAGAAAAAAAAAACAGAAATCCACATGACCTGGCTGTAGCAAAAAAAGGCAGGAATGAGGCCGAGCCCAGTCTGGGAGTGGGGGCACTGACAGGGGCCCAGGCTCTGTCCTCTTTCTCTGTCTGGTGCCTGTGGTCACTCATTTCCACCTGAGCATGCAGGCTTTCCTCCTCCCTGAGAACCAGGGTGCTGTGCTTGCCTGTGCATGTGGCAGCTCCACAAATCCCGAACACAAACCCTTCGCTCTGGCCTCTGGAAGACACTGATTAGCTCTCTCTGAATCCCGAGATAGAGACCCCCATTGGTCCAGTTGTCCATGCTTGAGCTAACTCAGTTGTGGCCCACAGTCAGGGTTATACATAAATGCAGCTGGCAGAGGTGAAATGACAGAGAGCGGGAGTTGGGATGGGCTGAGCAGACTTTATCAGGTATTTCCCACAATTTAACACAGGGATTTTGCTATCATGAATTTTTTAAAACTATCTTGGGAATGTTTTCCCCACCTGTCTTTTTCACTTTTTTTTTTTTTTTTTTTTTTTTTTTAACATCTGAGAAACCAAGCTAATCCCCACCTGTCTTAAAGAAAAATGGGGATGCCTTTTGTCTGGTGCTTTTACTTTTCAAAATTCCTTAATACTTATTTCATCATTTTCAGAAAAGAACCTAGAGATGAAAAAAGTTGTCATTTTTTTTTTCTTTTTCCAGAGACAGGGTCTCGCTCTGTCGCCCAGGCTGGGGTACAGTCATGGCTCACTGCAGCCTCAATCCCCCCAGGTCCAAGGGATCCTCCCACCTGAGCCTCCCCAGTAGCTGGGACTACAGGCATGCACCACCATGCCTGACTATTTATTTATTTATTTTTAGAGATGGAGTCTCACTATGTTGCTCAGGCTGGCCTCCAACTTCTGGGTTTAGGCCATCCTCCTGCCTTGTCCTTCCAAAGTGTTGGGATTACAGGTGTGAGCCACTGCACCCTGCCAGTAGTAAAACATTAACCCTATTTCTGGATGACTGAACTGAGGCTTAGTTCATTTTCCAAGCTTTCATTAGGAATTGAGTTCTTGACCACCTGGAACATTTTCCCTGGGCATTTGTGGGTATTTATCCCAGAGGCTATGCTGCTGTTGGTGGGTTTGTGGTTTAGGAAAGAACCCAGCTGGGACCAGGTCTCCTGGGGCCGTAATGCCCTGCTCTGTTTAGCCTCCTGTAGCCCACCTGGATTCTTAACTCCTTGTAATTCTCAGTTATATTTTTCTGCTACCCTCCCTTCATTTATTTTCATTTTCATTTTCTTTTTGTTTTCTTTTCCTATCTTTCTGTTTCCTTCCTTCCTTCTTTTTCTTTTTTCTTTCTTTCCTTTTCTTTTTCCTTCCTTCCTTCCTCTCTCTCTCTCTCGCGCGTGTGCACGCGTGCTCTCATTCTCTCTCACTCTTGCGTGCTCTCTCTCTCTCTGTCTCGCTCTGTCACCCAGGCTGGAGTGCAGTGGTATGATCTTGGTTCACTGCAACCTCCGCCTCCTGGGTTCAAGCAATTCTCCTGTCTTAGCCTCCCGAATAGCTGGAATTACAGGCACCCACCACCGCTCTTGGCTGATTTTTTGTATTTTTAGTAGAGACGGGGTTTCGCGATGTTGGCCAGGCTGGTCTCAAACTCCTGACCTCAGGTGATCGGCCCGCCTCGCCTCCCAAAGTGCTGGGATTACAGGTGTGAGCCACCGTGCCCAGCCTGCTACCCTCCTTTCTAAAGTGGAGATAAAGAATAGCACCTACTACAGAGTTTTGCTCTAAGGATGAAATGAGATGAATAAATGTAAAGCAATTAACCCAATGTTTGACATACAGTAAGCACTCGGTAAATGTGAGCTAATATTATCATGATGATCAATAACGGTCAAGGTGAAACGCTATTCCAATGGATACTTCTCAATAATTTAACTTTGGAAAGTATTGTTGTATCAATTTCTGTGCAATCGAGATGCTCTGCTTTCCTTAACAGGTTTAGATTGGGGAGGTTTCGAATCTGGGAAGCTTTGTGCCAGCTCCTAGGATATTTGCCTCGGTTTAGGGTGGTGTGAGCTGCTCCAAGTAGACAGTAGGGTTTGGTGTCACTTTCATGAGCTAATTAGTCACTTTCCTGAAAGGTAGTTCTCAAACTTTAGTGCTTCTCAGAATTACTAGGGTAACTTGATCACAGATCCTTGGATTCCACTCACAGATGCCGATTGTGTAGATGGGATCAGTTACCTACTTTCCTCCCCACCTCCACCTTAAAGATAAGGTCTCACTGTGTCACCCAGGCTGGAGTACAGTGGCATGATCAGGGCTCACTACAGCCTCAACTTCCTGGGCTCAAGTAATCCTCCCACCTCAGCCCCACAAGTAGCTGGGACTACAGGCATGTGCCACCATGCCTGGCTAATTTTTTTGAATTTTAGTAGAGATGAGGTCTCACTGTGTTGCTCAGCCTGGCCTTCCAAGATCCTCCTACCTTGGCCTTTCAAAGTGCTGGGATTACAGGTGTGAACCGCTGAGCCTGGCCTCAGTTACTTATATTTTTAAGTATCCCCAGCAAATCTGATGCAGCTGATGGCGGGCCACCCTCTGGGGAGGCACAGCTATCAATAGGGAGGACTGGGAGATGAGTTCTTCCTTTCACTTAATTCTTCCTCTTGTTCTTCCACTTTTTCTTTTTCCTTCTTCTTGCTCCTCCTTCTTATTTTTTTGCCTAAAACATGCTGTTAAACCAGTTAAACTAAAAATTTTAATCAGTAATATGTTTACATATCCTAATGACTATAAGCTTAATACAAAAGTCTCTTTTAAAATGAATGTTTCAGGCTGGGCACAGTAACTCACACCTGTAATCCCAGCACTTTGGGAGGCCAAGGTGGACAGATCACATGAGGCCAGGAGTTAGAGACCAGCCTGGCCAACACGGTGAAACCTCGTCTCTACTAAAAATATAAGAATTAGGCCAGGCGTGGTGGAGGGTGCCTGTAATCCCAGATAGTTGGGAGGCTGAGGCATAAGAATCGCTTGAACCTGGGAGATGGAGGTTGCACTGAGCCAAGATTGTGCCACTGCACGGCAGCCTGGATGACAAAGCGAGACTCTGTCTCAGAATAAATAAATAAATTAATTAATTGAATGTTCCAGCCAGGCATGATGGCATGCACCTATAGTCCCAGCTACTCAGGAGGCTGAAGTGTGAGACTTGGTTGAGCCTGGGAGTTCGAGGCTGTGATGAGCTATGTTTGCACCACTGCACTCTAGCCTGG
The DNA here is from genome assembly GCF_000001405.40 of Homo sapiens. Taxonomy (NCBI): domain Eukaryota; kingdom Metazoa; phylum Chordata; class Mammalia; order Primates; family Hominidae; genus Homo; species Homo sapiens. Next base: position 138,616,827 of record NC_000007.14, on the reverse strand, counting down.
ACAACAGAGTAAGACTCTGTCATAAATAAACAAATTAATTAATAATAATTCACCCACTGAAAAACTTTAAGAACATTTTAAGATATTTAGTTGTTAGAAACTAATGATAGTAAAAAATAATAGTAGTCATGAGTATGTAGTCCAAGAAAACAATAAAGGAAAATTTTGCAACAAAAGTATTTAAAGATTCAGGGCCAGGTGTGGTGGCTCATGTCTGTAATCCCAGCACTTTGGGCGGCTGAGGCCGGTGGATTACCTGAGGTCAGGAGCTCGAGACCAGCCTGACCAACATGGAGAAACCCTGTCTCTACTAAAAATATAAAATTAGCTGGGTTTGTTGATGCGCGCCTGTAATCCCAGCTATTCGGGAGGCTCAGGCAGGAGAATTGCTTGAACCTGGGAGGCGGAGTTTGTGGTGAGTCAAGATCATGCCATTGCACTCCAGCCTGGTCAACAAGAGCAAAACTCCATCTCAAAAAAAAAAAAAGTATTAAAGATTCACTGAAACACAGAAGGGACCAGTGCAAGGCCTCTGCCAATAGGTCAAGGGCTGCCTCCGCACTTATTCTGGGAAACTTCAAGAGATCAGTCACTTTAGCCCTAGCTAGGTGTCTTAGTTCAGGCTGCTATAGCATGTACCACAGACTCTGGGTGGCTTATAAAAACAGAAACTTATTTCTCATAGTTCTGGAGGCTTGAAGTTCAAGATCGGGCACCCACATGTTTGGGTTCTAGTGAGGGCTCTCTTCTCGGCTTGGAGACAGCTACCTTCTTGTGTCCTCACATCCAGAAAGAGGGGAAAGAGTTTTTTCTGGTCTCTTTTATTTTTATTTTATTTAAAAATTTTTTTCCTTTCTTAAACTGGGTCTAGTGAGGGCTCTCTTCTCGGCTTGGAGACAGCTACCTTCTTGTGTCCTCACATCCAGAAAGAGGGGAAAGAGTTTTTTCTGGTCTTTTATTTTTGTTTTATTTTTTAAAAAATTTTTCCTTTCTTAAACTGGGTGGTACATCTGTGATCTTTTTTTTCCTCCCCCAGACGGAGTCTCACTCTGTCGCCCAGGCTGGAGTGCAGTGGTGTGATGTCGGCTCACTGCAACCTCCGCCTCCCAGGTTCAAACAGTTCTCCTGCCTCAGCCTTCCAAGTAGCTGAGACTACAGGCACCTGCCACCATGCCTAGCTAATTTTTGTATTTTTAGTAGAGATGGGATTTTACCATGTTGGCCAGGCTGGTCTCAAACTTTTTTTTTTTTTTTTTTTTTTTTTTTTGGAGACGGAGTCTCGCTCTGTCACCCAGGCAGGATGGAGTGCAGTGGCACGATCTTGGCTCACTGCAAGCTCTGCCTCCTGATTCACGCCATTCTCCTGCCTCAGCCTCCCGAGTAGCTGGGACTACAGGCGCCCGCCACCACGCCCGGCTAATTTTTTGTATTTTTAGTAGAGACCGGGTTTCACTGTGTTAGCCAGGATGGTCTTGATCTCCTGACTTCGTGATCTGCCCATCTCGGCCTCCCAAAGTGCTGGGATTACAGGCGTGAGCCATCGTGCCCAGCCTTGTGATCTCTTTTTTTAAGGACACTAATTCCATTCATGAGTGCTCCACCATCATGACCTGATCATCCCCAAAGGCCCCACATCCAACTGTGATACCATCATATTGAGGATTCCACCTATGAATTTTGGAGGGACAAAAGCACCCAGTCCATAACACCAGGCATTCCTTGGTTCAGTGACGTGTGCACTGCTGGAACCTACTATGGATGTTAAAGTCCTTTCAGCATGTCCATGGCTTTGGGATTTACCCTAGGCTTGCAGCACAGGCCCTGACAGCCTCACGGTGTGCGGCTGTGATTTGGGTAATGCAACCAAGACCTCTCCCTGTGGCCAGACTTCACATGGTGTTTTCATCAAATGAGATGGTCCAGCATCCAAAAAAAGCATTGAAAAGCATTTAAAATCTCTATAAAATCTCCTCAAAGAGATGTCAGTGGAAAAGCCCATTTGTGACTCGAGCAAAACTTTTAAACAGCCTCTTTGCCTGACTCACTTCCGTTGTCGTCAGTCGCATAGCTGTCATCCCCAAATCTCCAGCCTCGTCCCTTCAACCTTATCACCCCTTTGAAGTTCAAATGCCAGCCGGGCGTGGTGGTCCACACCTGTAATCCTAACACTTTGGGAGGCTGAGGTGGGTGGATCATTTGAGGTCAGGAGTTCAAGACCAGCCTGGCCAATATGGTGAAACCCCATCTCTACTAAAAATACAAAAATTAGCCAGGTATGGTGGCACACGTCTGCAATCCCAGCTACTCAGGAGGCTGAGGCGGGAGAGTCACTTGAACCCAGGAGGCGGAGGTTGCAGTGAGCTGAGATCGCGCCATTGCACTCCAGCCTGGGCAACAGAGTGACACTCTGTCTCAAAAAAAAAAAAAAAAAAAAAGTTGAAATGCTGCCAAAATTCAGCGGAACTAGCCTTGTACAAACTCTGATATATTTGCTTGTCTTCTCTGCTTTTTCTAGCTGAAATCATTCAGCCTTTCAGGCTTCAGAAGAGAGCAAAGTAGACAAACAGAGACTCTGTTAGGAGGAAGGAGAATTCCTTAATTCAGGGTCCTATTTTGGTGACCATTCAGTAAGTTCTTTCTGGAGTAATTCTCTACAAGTTTTAGAGGACTTCTTATGTAGTTTGGCAGTTAGAGCACCAAAAGAGACTCAATTAGCTGCAGTCTATTTGTTAGCATAGAATCAAGAATTATTTTATCCCAACTGAATGTTCAAAACATTTATTGAACTTGTCCTCTGTGCCTGCCATTGTTCTAGTTCTATTTATTTGCAGTAATCAATAAGCCAGATGAGGTGCCAGTGGTGTGCTGGAGCTGGCCTGGACTCACTTTTGAAAGCCGATGGTTAAATTTTCAGGAAAAATCGCAAACTGGTTAATGTCACATTGTTGAAATTAGTCATGGTGCTAGTGTGTACACTGTGGAAATTGACAAATGATGTAAGTCAGGGCCTTGGGTTTTTTGAGAACCTGTTGTTGAACATTTGACAGCACACCACCACAAGGTTCCTGCCCTCAAGAGGCTTACATTCAAGTTGGGTACTTTATCAATATGCAATTAATGTAAAATAATTCCAGATTGTGATTAGTGCTTTGGAGGTACTATGGTAATGAGTAAAAGGGGTGACAGGCTTTTTTAGGTAGTCCTCTCTGGGAAGGTGATACTGAAGTTGAGATCTGAAATATGAGAAGTTGAATGCTGTGTAAAGGGAAACAGCATTTCAAGTAGAATGACTGCTGGTTTGAGGGCCTCGAGGTGGGACAGACATCAGTGTGTTCCAGGAATAGGAAATAGCCATGGTGAGCCAAATGGAGAGAAGTGCAGGGGCAGAATGTGCCTTCCAGGCATATTAAGGACTTTAGATTTTTACCTTAGGAGCAGTGGGGAAAACTTTAAGGGTTTTAAGCAGGTGAGGGATATGATCAGTTTTGTTTTTTAAAAAGATCACTCTGGCCTGTCACGGTGGCTCATGCCTGTAATCTCAGCACTTTGGGAGGCCGAGGCGGGTGGATCACCTGAAGTCAGGGGTTCGAGACCAGCCTGGCCAACATGGTGAAACCCCATCTCTACTAAAAATACAAAAATTAGCCAGGCGTGGTGGCACGCGTCTGTAGTCCCAGCTAGTTGGGAGGCTGAGGCAGGAGAATCGCTGGAACCCTGGGGACAGAGGTGACAGTGAGCCAGGATTGTGCCGCTGCACTCCAGCCTGGCTGACAGAGTGAGACTCTGTCTCAAAAAAATAAAAAGATAATAAAAAGATCACTCTGGTTGCTTGCAGAGAGTAAATTGGAGGAGGGAAAGGGTAGAGTAAGCTTATAAGACAACTCTCAGTTCACATTGCCATGTATTATTGCCATGAAAGAGGAGATTTCAGAATTCTGGAAAACCCTTTCTATTATAGTATAAAGATATAGGAAAACATGGTAAACCTGACTGCGTAAAAAATTTACATTTCTGGCCAGGCGCGGTGGCTCATGCCTGTAATCCCAGCACTTTGGGAGGCCGAGGCTGATTGATCATCTGAGGTCAGGAGTTCGAGACCAGCCTGGCCAACATGGTGAAAACCAGTTTCTACTAAAAATACAATATTAGCTGGGCATGGTGGCAGGCACCTGTAATCCCAGCTACTCAGGAGGCTGAGGCAGGAGAATCCCTTAGAACCTGGGAGGCGGAGGTGCAGTGAGCTAAGATCACACCACTATACTCCAGCCTGGGCGATAGAGCGAGACTTTCTCTCTCTCACCAAAAAAAAAAAAAAAAAATTAAGTCTGGCTTGGATAAGGATGAAAGATAAAGTCTTATCTTTCTTTTTTTTTTTTTTTTATTTTTTTTTTATTTTTTATTTTATTTTTTTTTTTTTTTTTTAATTTATTTTTTTATTGATAATTCTTGGGTGTTTCTCACAGAGGGGGATTTGGCAGGGTCATGGGACAATAGTGGAGGGAAGGTCAGCAGATAAACAAGTGAACAAAGGTCTCTGGTTTTCCTAGGCAGAGGACCCTGCGGCCTTCCGCAGTGTTTGTGTCCCTGATTACTTGAGATTAGGGATTGGTGATGACTCTTAACGAGCATGCTGCCTTCAATCATCTGTTTAACAAAGCACATCTTGCACCGCCCTTAATCCATTTAACCCTGAGTGGACACAGCACATGTTTCAGAGAGCACAGGGTTGGGGGTAAGGTCACAGATCAACAGGATCCCAAGACAGAGGAATTTTTCTTAGTGCAGAACAAAATGAAAAGTCTCCCATGTCTACCTCTTTCTACACAGACCCGGCAACCATCCGATTTCCCAATCCTTTCCCCGCCTTTCCCGCCTTTCTATTCCACAAAGCCGCCATTGTCATCCTGGCCCGTTCTCAATGAGCTGTTGGGCACACCTCCCAGACGGGGTGGCGGCCGGGCAGAGGCTGCAATCTCGGCACTTTGGGAGGCCAAGGCAGGCGGCTGGGAGGTGTAGGTTGTCGAAGCTATATATTATTAACTATTGTCATACCATAATGGTATAGAGCATTAGAACTTATTCCTCCTATCTAGCTTTAATTTTCAATCTTTTAACCAAAGTCTTATCTTTCAAGGGTCACAAAAAAACCCTAATTTAATGGTTACAGCCGAAAGATGATCTTTTTGTCCTATATAAATGCCTGATGTTCTCTTGAAGCATGGGGAAAAAAAATCAGCTCGTAAGATGACAGAGAACTTCACAAGTTAATGGGAATCAAATTACATCCATTTAATTTTTTCAGAAGTGATTTCCAATAAGCCATGAACTTATTGAGAAACTGTACGTTGTCAAAGATCAACAGAGCTGGGCACTAGTTAAAGGGGTAAGGATTGGTTTGGTTTTTGTTTTGTTTTGTTTTGTTTTGTTTTGTTTTGGGGTTGGGGGTTTTTGAGACAGAGTCTTGCTCTGTCGCCTAGGCTGGAGTGCAATGGTGCGATCTCAGCCCACTACAACCTCTGCCTCCTGGGTTCAAGCAATTCTCATGCCTCAGCGTCCCGAGTAGCTAGGACTACAGGCGCACACCACCATGCCCCACTAATTTTTTTATTTTTAATAGAGACGAGGGTTTGCCATGTTGGCAGGGCTGGTCTAAAACTCCTAACCTCAAGTGATCTGTCCACCTTGGCTTCCGAAAAGTGCTGGGATTACAGGCGTGAGCCACTGTGCCCGGCCAAGGTTTTAATCAGTAATAACTATTGCAAAAGAGAAGAGTCCACGGTGAACTGAACTCAGCCTCCATTTGTACAGAGGTGACTGGGTGTTTCAAAGGGAGAGTGGCAGCGGTCTTAGGAGGGTGGCAGGGGCTTGAGCACAGTCAGTGAAGTGAAACATTACAAATACCTGTAAGTGGGTGTCAGTCTGTGTAAATCCCACCTGGATTTGCTAAGTGGCGCTCTTTAAAGTTAGGCTCTGTCAAGGCTGGGAACCTGGGGCCCTATCTTCAGATGTCAGCTAGAACAAATAGATTCTTGGGCAGCCTTGAGTTTTCTCAGGGAGGCCCTTCAAGGGTGGCTGGAGCCTCATAAGGGTGTGTCCTTGAGCTCTTAGAAACTACGTTAGTGTTTAAGTGTCAGGGCAAGGTCAAGGCCTAGTGGAGAAGAGGGCTCATAGGAGCTGGGCTAGGGTTCGGTCAAGGAGAGGATCTTAGCCTCTAATTTATAAATATGTTTGTGTGTGCTGTATTTTGAGTGATTTAAGAGTTTTCCCAAGGGCAATTTTGACCACGTGATTTTTTTTCTTCCATCCTGAAAACACAAAAACCTACAAAGTAGAATTGAAACTTTACTAATATCTCACCATTTAATGATAACAAAGATAAACATTTTAATGAGGCTTTTAAAATATATTTTTCTATGTGTGTGTGTATAAATATGCATATACATTGTTAGTGATGTAGGCTCAAATAAAAAAAAAAAGAGTATAAATTTCACCCAAATATCATAGTACTTTTTATAGCCTGCTCTTTTACTCTCTCTCTCTTTTTCTTTTTTTATGTATGGACAGAGGAGAGGGAGGGGAGAAAGAAAAGAAAAGGAAGGAAGGAAAGGAAAAGGAAGAAAAAGATCTTTTGTTCGTATGTTGTAGACATTTTTCATGTCCATAAATATAAAAAATAGGCATTAAGCTGAAAAATATTTCATTGTATGTATATCCCAGAAGTTACTTTTCAGTTAGTTCTGTATTATTGAACATCTCAACTATTTCAGAAAGATTTTAATATAAACCACAATAATAAGGCTAGGCATGCTGGCTCACATCTATAATCCCAGAATTTTGGGAGGCTGAGGCAGGCATCGGATCATTTGCGGTCAGGAGTTAGAAACCAGCCTGGCCAACATGGCAAAACCCCGTCTCTACTAAACAAAAATTATCTGAGTGTGGTGGCGGGTGCCTTTAATCCCAGCTACTCTGGAGGCTGAAGCAGGAGAATCGATTGAAACTGGGAGGTGGAGGTTGCAGTGAGCTGAGATCACGCCACTGCATTCCATCCTGGGCAGCAGAACGAGACTCTATCCCTCTCCCCACCCCCAACGCCCCCACCCCCCCCAAAAAAAAAACAGTAATGAGCATCCTTGTGCTTGCTTTTGTTTTTTGTTTTGTTTTGTTTTAAGACAGGGTCTCACTCTGTTGCCCAGGCTGACAGGCAGTGGTGCGATCACAGCTTATTGCCACCTCAACTTCCTGGGCTCACATGATCCTCCTATCTCAGTCTCCTGAGTAGCTGGGACTGCAGGTGCTCACCACCACACCCTGCTATTTTTTTTTTTTTTTTTTTTTGTAGAGGTGGTGTCTTGCCATGTTGCCCAGGTTGGAGGCTGGGCTTGAACTCCTGGGCTCAAGCAATCCTCCCACTTTGGCTCCTAAAGTGCTGGGATTACAGGCGTGAGCCATCGGGCCCAGCTGTGCTTACATTTTTATCCAATTGTGCAATTATCTCCTTAGGGTGAATCCCTAGAAATTGGATTGGTAGGTGAAGGGGTCTGCTCGCTTTCATTTTGGTACATTGTGCTCAAGTCCTCTTGGGCGAGCTTGTCCCAGTGCCTGAGAGCCTTGTTGCTTCACATATCGGCCACAGATGTTAGTCTTTCATCTTTGCCAATCTCACTGGCAATAAATGATACCTCTTTATTATTGTAATTAGTGTTTCTTTTATTAGGAATGGTACTGAATGTTCTTATTCATATTTTAATTGGGTAATTTATCTTTTTTAGCTTGCCCACTCAGGTACTTGCCCATTTTTCAATTCAGTCTTTAAAGCATGGATCTGTAAGAGCCTTTCATAAATATGTGTGTATATATATGTGTGGGTGGGTGGGTTTGTCTATAAAGGATTTTTAGCAGTTTTTCTGACATATTACAAATATTCCGTATTTGGCAATTACGTTGCAGAGATTTGTTATTTGTCTTTCATTCTTGTTCGTGTTCTCCTTTTTCTGTGCGGGGTTCATAGACACTCAAATGTATCAGTATTTCTCTGTATATTTCTCGAGTCTGCAACTAGGATTATAAAAAACACACACCTCTTTTCTTCCAGGCCTTCTATGGCATTTTCTTTTTTGAGAGGGCAAGGGGGGGGAGTGTACACTTTTGATTGAAGTATAACATACACGTGGAAGTGCCCACATCGTACATGTCCAACTTACTCACATTTCACAGAGTGAATGCAACCCAGATTCTGACCCAGACATCCCTGCTGTGCCCTCTTCCAGGCCGTGGGCGTCTGTTGAGGCGTGAGGTCCAATGCCGGAAACAGCTGTACAATTTCCCCCAGTGGCAAGCCGGCTGTCTCAACACGACGTATTGAAAATCCATTTTTTACTCATAGGTTAGAAATGTCTGTTTGCTTATGTTCCCGCAATTGGCCTATTTCTAGCTCGCTATTTTAGTCCATTGATCTGTCTGCTTTTGTCACTGACATGTTCTTTTTATTACTCTAATGAGATTTATAGCACGTTTTTTAAACTGGCTGTTCTAAACCCACTTCATTGCTCTTTTTCAGAATCACTTAGTAACATTCCACCCAAATCCTATTAACATTTTAATTGTTAATGTGTTCAATGTAACAGCTAATAGAGGAAAAATTGACTTTTTTTCTGATAGCGTTGTCTATGTATCCAAGAACAAGGTTTGTCTCTTTCTTTGTCCAATCTTTCCTCCTATGGCCCTTGCTGGGATTTTATTGTCTTCTTCAAATAGATCCTATGTGTCTTGCTATGTTTATTCCTAGGCATCTTATGGCATTTTGTTGTTATTAGGAATGGATTGTTTTCTTTCATTATAACTTCTATTTTAACATTCCAAGTAGTTATCTATATTTAGAAGGCTATTGATTTTTTTAATATTGATTTTTAAACAACCAGCTTACTGAATGCATTCCTAATACTTTCTCATTTGAGTCTCTTGAGTTTTTCAGGTTTATAATTGTAGCCCTTCTGCGATTTCTATTTATCCCTTGATGCTGAATGCTTCCAATCAGCATTTAATATGCTTCGGGTTCCACAGCTTCCAAGCTGTAAAATCAACCTTGTTCACTACTGCTTTTCTCCTCTTTCCAGCTAACCTCCTTAAAAGAGTTCTCTTCCTGCTTCATTTCCTGCCTTCCACTCATTCCTTCACCTCCTCCAAGCTGGCTGCAGCCATCTCTACTCCACCAAAATCATTCTTGGTAAGGTCTCCAGTGACCTCTGTGTCTCTAGGTTCAAAGGTCGTTTTAACCCCTCATCTCACCTGACCTTTGACCTGCGTTAAGGACTGCTGGCCGTGCTCTCCCTCCGGCATCCCGTGTTCCCTTCTGGTGGCTCCATCACTTGCACTCTGTGGGTTTCCTCCGACCTCTGTGGCCGCTGCTTCCCCATGTCTTTGTGACTTGTCTTCCTCTACTCTTTCTTTGGTTGTGGATTTCTTATTGCTCAATATTAGACCCTTATAGTTTCTTATTTCACTCTCCATTGAGATGGTATCATCCATTTTATGACTTTAGTTACCAGTGACTTCCTCATGAACCCCAAACTTCTATCTCTAGACGAGGCCTTGCTTCTCGCTCCAGATTCATCCACCTGATTATCTCCCCAGCATTTTCGCCTGGATGTCTCAAAAGCATCTTAAATCTAGCATGTTTGAAATTAAACTCCTGACATCTCTCCCCAAACCCGTCTGGCCTCCCTGCTGTGAGCTCTTATGGCACCTTGAGCTTTTCCTTCATATCACTTATTGTATTGAGAGAGGAGAATGAAAAAAAAAACAAAAAACAGTTAAGCAGACAGTTAGGGCAAGTCCTCCATAGAATTCTTTTTTTGTTTTGTTTTGTTTTCTTGAGACAGAGTCTAGCTCTGTCACCCAGGCTGGAGTGCAATGGTATGATCCCAGCACACTGCAACCTCTGCCTCCTGGGTTCAAGCAATTCTCCTGCCTCAGCCTCCTGAGTAGCTGGGATAACAGGCATGCGCCACCACGCCCGGCTCATTTTTGTATTTTTAGTAAAGATGGGGTTTCACCATGTTGGCCAGGCTGGTCTTGAACTCCTGACCTCAGGTGATCCACCTGCCTCCGCCTCCCAAAGTGCTGGGATTACAGGTGACAGCCACTGTGCCTGGCCTGTAGAATTCTTTTAAACAGAGGAACAGCCTAAAAAATCAAGCTGTAGCTGCACAGAGAAGGGAGCAAGGCCCAATGTGGAGATGCCTTTGTTTTTTGTGTAATGAGCGGGCTCCTTGGGAAAAAATTTCCTCCCCTTTCAGACATGTCCACAGTGGGCTCTGTGGGAACTTGCATAGAAGGGAGGCTTGCCTGAGACATACCCACAGCTGCACAGATAAGGGCAGTTACACAAGTAACTACGCAGATAAGGGAAGTTACACAGGTAGGGAAGTTTCTTATAAAAGCTTTTGTATTCAACTGAAAAATGGCAACCCTCTTCTGGGTCCCCTCTCCACAGTGGAGAGCTTTCCTCTTCTGCTTAATAACTTTCTCTCCAACCTCACCCCTGGTGTCCACATTCCTTAATTTTCTTGGTCGTGAGACAAGAACTCCAGGTAATACCTCAGACAACAAGACTGCAACAATATTGTAATTGCCCATTTATTTTCCAGGCTATTTAAAATCAATCTCTTCCAATAGACTTTACTCGCCATGAGGACCAGGACGTGTGCATAGATGGCTAATTTTTGTGTTCCCGGCTCCTACCGTAGTAACTCTTACTTGAGTGACCTGGTGCTCAAAACATTTTATGAATGATTTCTAACTGGCTTTTTTTTTTTAAATAGAAAAAAACAATTTAAAAAAAAATTTATTTGTATTCAACTATTTTACTGAAATATGAATTTGAGTCCTTGGAGAAACAGATGCCAACATGGAATTGCACATGCAAGAGGTTGATTGGAAAACACCCGAAGGCTGCTGGAGTGGGGAGGGAGAGCCCTGGACCGCAATGCTGGGTGGCCAGCGAGGACTCCCTCTCAGCCAGAGCCTTTGCCTCAGCTGGTGAACTATTGAGATTTATTTGACAGTATTTGTCATTTTTGAATCAATTCTCATAAATGGATGGTGACTGGGACTGTTTGTGGTTATGTGTTTTATCTTGTTAGTTTCCAGAATGACTGTCATTCTATTTTTTTTTTTTTTTTTTTTGCCCAGGTTAGAGTGCAGTGGTATGATCTCGGGTCACTGCAACTTCTGCCTCCCAGGTTCAAGCGATTCTCCTGCCTCAGCCTCCCAAGTAGCTGGGATTATAGGCGCCTGCCACCACGCTCAGCTAATTTTTGTATTTTTAGTAGAGACCGGGTTTCGCTGTGTTGGCCAGGCTGATCTCAAGCTCCTGACCTTGGGTGATCCATCTGCCTCGGCCTCCCAAAGTGCTAGGATTACAGGCGTGAGCCACTGCACCCGGCCTTCATTCTAGTCTTATTAAAAAGACATGGGAAAATTTTCTTTTCTCTCTAGACTCTGTTCCTTGGAGATTTGAAAGAGCTACCTGTGAAAGAGGGAGTCCTGGCACTTTTGAGGATGTTGTTCTTTGGTCATTCTCCGTTTCTTCTCTGGTTGTTTCTCTTAGTTTTATCCTTTTTTTTTTTTTTTTTAAATAAATGTCAGGAAACATTTTTATTGAATGCTTCATTCAAATTTATTAGCATTGAACTGTGGGGAGAATTCTCTTGTGGTTCTTTTCATTTCCTCTACATTAGCGATTATTTTCTCTTTCACATTTTTTTCTCTTTTTTAGAGCTCAGGGCTCATTGTGTTGCCCAGGCCAGTCTTGAACTCCTGGCTTCAGGTGACCCTCCCATCTCAGCCTCCCAAAGTGCTGGGATTACAGTTATGCACCACTACACCCAACCTTCTTTCACATTCTTAATGCCATGATTTTTTACTTTAATTTCTAACTAGGTTTATTTTTTCGTAAAATAAAATATTTCATGCATCAATTTATCAACCCCATTTGTTTCTATTTTCCAGTGTATTCACTTAAGCTTTTGTTTTTATTTCCATTGCACTAATTTCTTAGGTTTATTAACTTTAACTTCTTGAATTGGAAGAATAGTTCATTGTTTCCATTATTTCTTATATTAACTTTTTTTTTTTTTTTTTTTTTTTGAGATAAAGTTTTGCTCTGTTGCCCAGGTTGGAGTGTAATGGCACAATTTTGGCTCACTGCAACCTCTGCCTCCCAGGTTCAAGAGACTCTCCTGCCTCAGCCTCCCAAGTAGCTGGGATTTACAGGTGCCTGCCACCACGCCTGGCTAGCTTTTTTTGTGTTTTTAATAGAGACGGGGTTTTGGCATGTTAGCCAGGCTGGTCTTGAACTTCTGACCTCAGGTGATCCTCCCGCCTTGGCCTCCCAATGTGCTGGGATTACAGGCGTAAGCCACCATGCCCAGCCCACTATATTAACATATTTTATATTAACAAGATTTACAGTCATTTACATTGTTTTCTTAATATAAAAATATGCTTGTTGTAAAGCTTCATAGAAGTATGTAACTGAATATCATCAAAATTAAGGCTGTTGACCAGGCATGGTGGCTTACGCCTGTACTCTCAGTGCTTTAGGAGGTCAAAGTGGGAGGATTGCTTCATCCTGGGAGTCTGAGACCAGCCTGAGCAACACAGTGGGACCCCATGTCTACAAAAAATAAAAAAACTAGCTGGGTGTGGTGGCATATGTCTGTAGTCCCAGCTACTTGAGAGGCTGAGCTGAGAGGATCACTTGAGCCCAGGAGGTCGACACTGCAGTGAGTCGTGACCACACCACTGCACTCAGCTTGGGCAACAGAGTGAGACGCTGTCTCAATGAAAAAAAAAAAAAAAAAAAAAAAGAATAAATTAAGGTTTTTGAGACAGAAATAATTTTGTAAAGGTTTATCGAAAGCCAAATGTGATGACCACAAAGTTGGGAGTGTTCTGGAGTCTGTCACAAGGAGAAAGGTTTTTATAAGAAAGTTTAAAAGAAGAGAAGGAGGTCTTTCATGTCAGAGTTTTCCTCTTTTCATTGGAGGGTATAATACAGAGGTTACATTCATTAGCTGCAGATTACAACATACAGGCTACAAAGGTCTATGTGCAAGATAGTAAAATTTCATGCTTCATCTAATCTGTTTTTTAGACAGAGTCTCACTCTGTCGCCCAGGCTGAAGTGCAGTGGTGCAATCTCCGCTCACTGCAACCTCTGCCTGCCGGGTTCAAGCAATTCTTGTGCCTCAGCCTCCTGAGTAGCTGGGACCCCAGGTGCATGCCCAGCTAATTTTTTATTAGTAGAGAAGGGGTTTCACTGTGTTGGCCAGGCTGGTCTCAAACTCCTGGCCTGAATTGATCCACCTGCCTCAGCCTTCCAAAGTGCTGGGATTACAGGCATGAGCCACCGCACCCGGCCTGCTTTAGCTGATCTTAAAATACATCCACACCCTATTCAGTGTCAGCAGGTTATACATTGATCAGTACATCAACAATGTGAGGAATTTACCATAGGTTTCTTTACTTGGAGACAGAATGTCACCATCAAATCACAAGACCTCCCCAAAATGGATTAATTTGGAAGCCTGCTTGTTTCTAAAGTAAACTGTCAAATGTGACCTGTAAGTTATAAGGGAAAATTATCTGTAATTTATTGCCAGAGATAATCACTGTAGTTCTTCCAGATGCTTTCATATACATATGTTTTGTCTCTCTGGGCATGTCTGTGTGTGTTCCAGTCATATTTGTATATATGTGGATGTGTATGTATATATAGATGTGTGTTTTATATACATGTTATATGTATTATATACAGATGCATGTGTATCTGTAGATAGAGTTACTTCCATGAATATCTGTATATCTATCTAGATATATCTGTGTTATGGTGACCTGCAGAGGCAGATGGATAACCCCCTTTTCAAAGTTTGGTTCACTTGTTGAGACTGATGACACGAACACACACCAAGAGGGCATAAAAAGGTTTCTTACCTTACTTTACAAAATTGAGGTCCTGGGAGAGCAGGACAGACCTCTCAAGCAGGTCAGAAATGGCCTGAGAGAGCAAGAGAAGGGGACTGTGGTTAGGGGTGGAAATGGGGTTGAGGGTGCCTATGCAAGGGCAGGGGCTTTTGTGGTTTAAGCCTCCTGCTGGCACCAAAGGAAGGAGCACTCAGGCTTTCTCATAAGCTTGTCCAGATGTGGAACACAAAAGGAAGGGGGAGGAGTGAGGCTTAAAGGCCATCAGCAAATGTCGGATGGAGTCAGACACCTCTTTACAGCATATAGCTACATCTGTGTGAATATATATGTAGACATGTCTGTGTATAAACACACACATCTACATATATATATATATATATATATATATATATATATAGCAACTGCCTTTTCTCACTAATAATCTTATGTCAGTACATGTAGATTACCCTCATTCTTTTAAGTAGGTGCATAGATTTCTGTGGCATGTATGTGCCATAATTAGATAGCCATCACCTTGTCAATGAATACATTGTTTGCATTTTATTTTTTTCTGCTATTTACAAGCAATGGGAAACTGAACATTATGCACAACACGCCTTTGTCCACATGTGAGTATTTTTTTTCAAGAGATGGGATCTTGCTTTGTTGCCCAGGCTGCAGAGGCTATTCACAGGAGTGATCATGGATCACTGTAGCCTCAAACTTTGGGCTCAAGTGATCCTCCCACCTCAGCCTTCGAATATTTGGGACTATAAGCATGCACCACCATGCCCAGCTTATGTGCAACTATTTTAATCATTTAACATACAGTTATTGAGCCCTTTTATGTTCCACACACTTTAAAATAGTCAAGGTCTGATTCTTTGAAGTTACATACTAGTGGAGAACGGACAAGGGATGAACAGTCAGTTAATACATCAGATAATGATTAATGCTATGAAAACATAAAACAGGCAAAGGAGCTAGTGATGAGGTGGTTAGAGAGAGCTTCTACAATAGGGCAGAGACACGTGGGAAGTAAGGCAGGGACTCAGGAGCATGTTGGAGGGAAAAGCAGAATTCTGTAGAAAAAGTCTATTGAATAATTTCTAGGTCCAAAGAGTGTACATTTAAAAGTGGATGACCAATCTTATCAAATTATGTTTTATATTTTTTAAAAGTATGCACTTCTCAGTATAATAATTTATTAGAAACTTTCTTTTTTTCTCCCCTACATCTTCCCATTTCCCCCTACCCCTGGTAATCACCGTTTTATTCTATGTATCTGATTTTTTTTTTCTTTTTTAGATTCCACATATAAGAGAGAGCATGCAGTATTTGTCTTTTTGTGCCTGGCTTCTTATTATTAGTTTTTAGCATAATGTCCTCTAGGCTCATTCATGTTGTTGCAAATGGCATTTCCTCCTTTTTCAAGGCGGACTCTTCTTTCATTGTATGTATATATCACACTTTATTCATCTGTTGGTGGACACTTGACTTGTTTCCATATTTTGACTGCTGTGAATAATGCTGCAATGAGCATTTGTGGTAGGAGTGCAGATATCTTTACAAGGTGGTGATTTTCTTTTCTTTTTTTTTTTTTTTTTTGAGATGGAATCTCGCTCTGTCGCCCAGGCTAGAGTGCAGTGGCACGATCTTGGCTCACTGCAAGCTCCGCCTCCCGAATTCACGCCATTCTCCTACCTCAGCCTCCCAAGTAGCTGGGACTACAGGTGCCTGCCACCACGCCCGGCTAATTTTTTGTATTTTTTAGTAGAGACAGGGTTTCACCATGTTAGCCAGGATGGTCTCGATCTCCTGACCTTGTGATCCACCCGCCTCAGCCTCCCAAAGTGCTGGGATTACAGGTGTGAGCCACCGCGCCCGGCCTATTTTCTTAGGGTGTGTATCCAGCAGAGGGATTGCTGAATCCTCTGGTAGTACTACTTTTAACTTCCTTAGGAATATCCACAGGATTTTCCATAGTGGCTTTACCACTGACAGTCAGTTTCCTTTCTCTACATTCTCGCCAAAGCTTATCTCGTGTTTGTGATAGACATGTGAGGTGATGTATCTTACTGTGGTTTTGATTTTCATTTTCCTGATGATCAGTGAGGTTGAGCACATTTTCATATACCTCTTGGCCATTTGTATGGCTTCTTTGGAGAAATGTCTATTCAGGTCTATAAACACATTGTTAAACAAGCATCCGTTTCTTTTCATCATCACCAAAAGGGATAGCATTTTTTTTTTCTTTTGAGACACTGTCTCGCTCTGTCACCGAGACTGGAATGCAATGGCACAATCATGGCTCATTGCAGCTTCAAACTCCTGGGCTCCAGCGATCCTTCCACCTCAGCCTTCTGAGTAGCTGGGAGTACAGGCGTGTGCTGCTGTGTCTGACTAATTTTTTTATTATTTGTAGAGACAGGGTCTCCCTCTGTTGCCCAGGATGGTCATGAACTCCTGGGCTCTAGCTAGAGATCCTCCCAGCTCAGCTGCCCAAAGCTCTACAGTTACAGATGTGAGCCACTGTGCCTGGCCAGGGATAGCAAGTTTTTAAACCCTTTTCAATCTGGTGAACGATAAATTATATCTTGTCTTAATTTGCACTTTGTTCATTATTAATCAATTTGAGCAGCTTTCATTTACTATCGTCATATTTTATTAAATTTTTAATGTAATTTGCAATTTTTCTACAGGCTATTAGCCATGTATCATCATACTACAGATGTTTTTACATTGTTTCTAATTTGGTTTTACTATCAAGTTTTTTGGCAAACAAAATATTAAATTTGTATATAGTCAGTTTACCAATTATTTTCACTTAAGGTGTTTGTTTTCCATCAGGCTTAAATGGCCTTCATCACTTGTTCATATTTCTGCAAATATTTATAAAAATGAAAGTTCAGAGGCTTTCAGTGTTACATGTAACTTTAAATTGATTTTTTTTCCTTTTTTTTTTTTTTTTTGAGACGGAGTCTCGCTCCATCGTCCAGGCTGGAGTGCAGTGGTGTGTCCTCAGCTCACTGCAACCTCTGCCTCCTGGGTTCAAGCAATTCTCCTGTCTCAGCCTCCCGAGTAGCTGGGACCACAGGTGCACACCACCACGCCCTGCTAATTTTTCTACTTTTAGTAGAGACGGGGTTTCACCTTGTTGGTCAGGCTGGTCTTGAACTCCTGACCTCAGGTGATCCACCTGCCTTGGCCTCCCAAAGTGCTGGGATTACAGGCATGAGCCACCACGCCTGGCAAATTGATTTTTTCATAATTTATTTATACATAGGCCTGAAGTAAGGATCTAGCTCTAAAAAGCAACAAAACAATGAAAAAGCAACAAAACAATGCCTAGCTGGCTGTTCCTAGGCCATCAATCATCCTTGTGTGTCACCCCTCAAATGATTAAACATTTCCCTGTTATAATAAACCAAATGTCCATAGATACTTGGATCTATTTTGTGACTCATTGCTTTACTGATCTCTTTATTCCAGCACCAACACTACACTGCTAATGATTGCAACTTTAATTCCTCCTAGGCAAATAACCTCTCTGACTCCCTATACCCCCACATTTTCAGAAGTTGCCTAATTTTTTTATGTGTTAATTCTTTCAAATTAACTTTACTACATAAAGAATCCAGTTTATTTAAAAAGTTTGTTGTAATTTGTCTTTTGACATTTCTGTATTTCTTTTTTTTTTGGTTTTTTTTTTTTTTTTGGAGACGGATCTCACTATGTTGCCCAGGTTGGAGTACAATTATAGGGACTATTCTCAGGTGCAATTATAGAACACTGCAGCCTCTAACTCCTGGCCTTAAGTGATCCTCCTGCCTTAACCTCCCAAGTATCTGGGACTACAGGTGCATGCTACTCTGCCCAGCCAACTTAACTTTAGAATTAGTTTTTTCTCAAAATCCTGCTGGGATTTTAATTTCTATTAGAATTACAGATTGTTTTGGTGAAGATTATATTTTTACAAGATTGTATTTGCCTAAGAACTGAAGTAGATTTTTTAATGTACTTAATAGAGTTATAATTTTCTTATACATTTCTTGTTTATTCCTAAGTATTCTATTTTTGTTCCTATTAGTTGTGTCCTATAAATTTAACATGTTGTGTTTTCATTCCATTCCATGTATTTTTAATTTTTCTTGAGACTTCTTTAGTGCATGGATTACATAGAAGTGTTTGGATATTTTGCTGTTACCTGTTCTTAGCTTGACATCCTTTTAGGACTAGAACACACTCTATGATTTCAATTCTTTTAAATCTCTTGAGGATCCTTTTAGGGCCCTGGATATGGTTTATCTTGGTGAATGTTAAGTGGGCACCTGAACAGAAGATGTATTCTGTTATTGGGTGGCCTGTCCTACAAGTGTCAGTTAGATCCCATTGCTTGATGGTGTCATAAAATTCTATGCTGATTTGCTGTCTAATAGTCCTATCAATTGTTGAGGTAGGAGTATTAAAGTCTCCAACTATTTGTGGATGTCTATTTTTCCTTTTATTTCTAACAGTTTTGCTAAATGTATTTTGAAGCTCTTTTATTTGATGTATAACCTTCAGTATAGCTACGTCTTCTTGGTGGATTGACCCTTGTGTCATCATGTAATGTCTCTCTATTCCTGGTCTGGGCTGCTTTTTAGAAGAAGAGATTAACAACAGATCTTTTTCCTTTTGATACAGTAAATCTGGAGTGGTCTCCAAAAATCTGCATTTTAACAAATTTCCAAAATGATTTTTATAATCAGGTATTACTCAGAGTTCTTGCTTACAGACAACAGAAACTGACTTTAGTAAACTTAGGTAGAATTTATTGGAAAAATACCCAGTAACATCTACTGGATTGTGGAGTCTTGTTACGAAGCTTCAGGGAAGGCAAAAAGCCTAGGCAGTTACTCTCCCTGACCCTGGCTGCTGGAGCACAGTTAGGTGACCCAAACAAACTCAACCCATCCGGGTCTCACACCACCCAGGACTTTAAATGTGGTGTAAAGGATGTAAAATGGGGACAGTTTAGGATTCATTCTGGTGGTGGCGAGAATTCTGGTGTCCAGTAATAGAAGTGGCAATAATGACAGAATCTAGACACATGCCTAATTATGGCATGATCTGATCTTAGTTTAGACTGCCTGGCCTTTTGGTTTCTATCCCTTTTCTGAGCTTGCTTCCAAGATTTCCAGCAGTAAAACACACACACACACACACACACACACACGCAGACGTTATACAAACTCCTGTTTGGGGAAAATTGTAATTATTTTGGGAGACAAAATCAGCATTAGTACCTGTCACTTGCTAGGTCAATTGCAAAATAATTAGTGAGATCAATGTTGTGGGTTCTGTTTGCACGGTGAGTGGAATTATTTAGTGTTTTGGAAAGCAGCAGCCCTGAAACACAGGAGGTACGCTCCCAAATTGTGTATCATAAGAGAAGCTAAGTGGTGGTGGTAACACTAGGCTGTGTGTCAGGATCTGTATGTGACTTTGGACAAGTAATTACTGAGACTAGTCACTTAGTCTAGGCTCATCTGTAAAGGGAAGAAATTGTATTCAGCCAGATAGTTTCTAGGTCTTTCTAAATTATAATACATTATTCTGTGATTCTAGAGAGCTTTGCTGTTGGTTAACCACTTCATACTTTACTGTCGTTGTGAGATTAATGGAGAACTATCAAGAACACAGACCAAGAGAAACTAAAGTATGAGATGGAGTATCTGAATTACCAGTATCTGCGTGAAAAGATCCAGGCCAAAGCATGTGTACAGATGGACAGAAACCCAGTTACTGTGGAAAAATTGACACCAAAGAGTTTTGGTGTCACACAACTCCATAACCGGAGACAAGACACATTAGCAATCCTTTCAGAGACTCTGAGATAACACCTCTTCCAAAAAAAACTTTCACCTGTTTCATGCTGTCAGGACTGAAGAGATAATGGATATTTGGCAGACAGAGGATATAGCATGAAGTGAGAGTTAGAAGTTAAGCAAGCTGAAATGGTATGAGAAAGGGGGTGGGGAAACGGG
The DNA here is from genome assembly GCF_000001405.40 of Homo sapiens. Lineage (NCBI taxonomy): Eukaryota > Metazoa > Chordata > Mammalia > Primates > Hominidae > Homo > Homo sapiens. The sequence continues at coordinate 138,596,830 of NC_000007.14, read as the reverse complement.
CAGATCCCCCATCTTTTCCATATATCAAAACTTGGCTCTGGAGATGCCTGACAGGTGGATGCCAAGAGAGGTCTTACCTGGCCAATGCGTGTTAATACCAGTTCCTGTTCTTGGACTAATCACACAAAATGACTACACCAGATTGGCTCAGATAAATCAATTTGTCAGGAAGGTACAACCTGTAGAATGGCTGCAAAGGACCATCTTAGTGAAGTGAATCTGTATTTTCTCTTTCACATAAAGAACAGTTTAGAGGTAACTGGAGCATAATAAATTGAGTAATTCTCTTGTGACTTGCAGGTTCTTATGAGTGCATCAATACTGGGGGCCCTGTGTCTCTTCTCATCTGTCTGTGTTGTATGCGCCATTTCTGCATTCACTCTCCCCATCGAAACCAAAGGACGGGCCCTCCAGGTGAGTGATGCAGGGAACTCTGAAGTCTTTTCAACTACCACTTTTGCCCAGAGCAAATGAACTTGGTATATGGGCATCATTGTAGTTAAAATAACTAATAATTCATATCAGATTTCTTTCTGTAAAGTTGTAGTTTGAATAACAAGGACTTTGTTTTTCTAGTAACAGTTGTAGAGGCCTGAGGATTCTATCCTTCCCACTTTTCTTTCTTTTTTTTTTTTTTTTTTTAAGACAGAGTCTGACTCTGTTGCCCAGGCTGGAGTGCAGTGGTGTGATCTTGGCTCACTGCAACCTCCACCTCCTGGGTTTAAGTGCTTCTCCTGCCTCAGCCTCCCAAGTAGCTGGGACTACATGCACGTGCCACCATGCCTGGCTAATTTTTTGTATTTTTGGTAGAGACGAGGTTTCACCATGTTGGCCAGGCTGGTCTCGAACTCCTGACCTCAAATGATCCACCTGTCTTGGCCTCCTAAAGTGCTGGAATTACAGATGTGAGCCACCGTGCCCGGCCTAGTTTGCCTATCTTTAAGTCTAGTTTATTTTTAATGTAACAATGCATTTTAATCAGATTAGGTGATCTATTATGTAATTGTGAATGCAGGGCTTTGTTTAGGTTCCTTACTTGGAAAGGTGATCCAGTCATTGAGTGCTTAAAGCCAGAGACTTACATGATTCATGTGCTTCCTTTTAATTATAAGCAAAAGGATTATCAGATCCTTTATACAAATGAGGAAACTAAGACACAAGTCGAGCAACTTGTATAAAGGAGCACACTAATATTGTAGTGAGGCTAGAATTTAAACCAGACTGTAACACTAAGGGATAGGAATTTAGCGTCACTTAATTTTGCAAATAATGATACATATAAATGGAAACCTGACTCACCATCTAGAATCTCCTATTCAAGTCATATCCACCTAGAAGGCTTTTCCTCTTCTGTTGACTGGGACTTGGTTTTAGCACTATGGGGAAATGATTCTGCATGATTGTTTATAGCCTTTTAAACAAACAAGTAGGTTCAATACATACAATTGTCTGGGCTAACTGGCTACATGTCTTTGGGAAAAATCTTAAAATACACACCCACACCCACTCCCCCTACTTCAGTGTTGTGAGTGGTTACCATATGAAACCACCTGACTGACACCAATACAGCTTCTAGAAATGTTTATAAGAACATGGCAAAAATAGTAACTTCCTTCCAACAACACATACAGACAGCATCCTAATAATTTGGATGAACCAACCTGGTCAATAGTTTTAAAGTGGTGTTGATTCTGTGTTACAACTACTCTAAGAAACTCTGATTCGACAAGTCTGGTAAACTAAAAATCTAAAACACTATCTAGAAGGAGAATATTGGCCAGGTACAGTGGCTCACGTCTGTAATCCTAGCACTTTGGGAGGCTGAGGCAGGTGGATCACCTGAGGTCAGGAGTTTGAGACCAGCATGGCCAACATGGTGAAACCCTGTCTCTAAAAAAAAAAAAGTTATATATATACACAGACACACACGTGTATATATATGTATGTATGTATATATGTATACATATAAATGTATATATAATGTATGTATATGTATAAAACGTGAATTTTTCTAAATGACATCTGCATTATATTAGAATTAAAAAGTTAGCATTGTATCTTCAGATACACAAAGGTAAATGCTAGGATTTTCCCTCCTAATAATTTTTTATTAAAGAATCTTCTATTACTAAAATATCAGATAGCTCAGTATGAATGGACAAGACTTTTAAAAAGTCTATTACTGATCTATTAAATAACTTTCTTCCAGCAAATTAAATGAAGACCTGCAAAGCTATGTCTACCAGATGAGAAAAATGAATTCTATCTTCAGAACTGCGGTGCATTTTTTTAAAACTTGGTTTTACTTCTGTATGCTACTCGGTAATTAGTAAAGTGATTTTTTTTTTAAAGGCATATATGGGAATGGGGTAGGTAACTGTATATTGATCTCTTCCTTGAGGAACAATATATAAAGTACTTTTATAAAATATAATTTAAGCTTTCAAAGGGGTGTGAGAGGGAGATGGTGGGGGGGAAGATGGCTTTTCTTCATTGAAATCAAGTCTGTAAACCTTTATATGAATAAATACTAAATTTTAAACTTACATTTGATATTCTCCCATGAGGTTTGTAGCTAAACTTGGACTGAAATTTTGTAGCTAAGGCAAGAACCTGGGATGATATCATTTCAAAACTACTAGAATAGCCATCAAGTTCAAATCCAAATTTGCCTATGTAACTTACAGCCTCCATAGTTTGATGAAAATTGCTTATTCATAAAATGCTTAAATTAGAGTGAGTATTACACATAATCACCAAGAAGCAGGGAATAAACCAATTTTCCCCCTTACATTCCCTATCTCTAATTTTATTTCTTTATAGGGGGAATCTTTGATTCTCATGATAAAGATTAAAGAATGCAGCAAGCTTTCCGCCATCATGTAATTACAGGCCTGCCCTATTTTATTGTGCTTCCATATATTGCACTGTTACAAACAGCATGTGCTCACTTTGTCTCTGTGTTATATTTTGGTAATCTGTTATGGTGATTGGTGACCTTTGACATTACTATTGCAATTGTTTTGAGAGTGCCACTAACCACACTCATGTAAGAAGGCAAACTTAATACATGTGTGTTCTGACTGCTCTGCCTACTGGATGATCCCCCTTCTCTCTCCTTTTCCTTAGGCCTTCCTATCCCCTGAGACTCAGTAATATTGAACTTAGGCCAAATAACCCTACAATAGCCTGTAAATGTTCAAGTGAAAGGAAGACTCGCACATTTCTCATTTTAAATCAAAAGCTAGAAATGATTAAGCTTAGTGAGGAGGGTATGTTGAAAGTTACAGGCTCAAAGCTAGGCCTCTTATGCCAAACAGCCAAGTTGTGAATGCACAGGGAGAGTTCTTGAAGGGACTACTTTAGTAAAATGCACGAATGATAAGAAAGCACAACAGCCTTATTGCTAATGTGGAGAAAGTTTGGTCTGGATAGATCAAACTATCCACAACATTCCCTTAAGCCAAAACCTAATCTAGAGCAAGAGCCTACCTCTCTGTGAAGGCAAGTGCAAGGTGAAGCAGCAAGTGCTAATGGAGACACTACAGCAAGTTATACAGATTTAGCTAAAATCACTGATGGTAGTTACACTAAACAGATTTTCATGTCGATAAAATCGTCTTCTATTGGAAGAAGAAGCCAACTAGGACTTTATAGTTACAAGTCAATGCTTGGTTTCAAAGAATAGGCTGACTTTCTTGTTAGGGACTAATGCAGCTGGTGAAGCCAATGCTCATTGACTGTTCTCAAAATTCGAGGGCCCTTAAGAATTATGCTAAATCTACTCTGCCTGTACTTTATAAATGGAACAATGCTTATGACAGAATTATCTTTTTATGGCATGGTTAATTTTTTAACCCCATTTTTTGAGACCTACTGCTGAAAAAAAGGACTTCATCTAAAACATTACTGCTCACTGACAATGCACCTAGTCACCTAAGATCTTGATAATTTAATGTCTGTTAACAAAACATCCATTCTGCAGACCATAGATCAAGAAGGAATTCTGACTTTCAAGTCTTATTATTTAATAAATATATTTCATAAAGCTATAGCTGCCACAGATAGTGATACCTCTGATGAATCTGGGCAAAGTAAATAGAAAACCTTCTGGAAACAATTCACCATTCTAGATGCCATTAAGAATATTTGTGATTCACAGGAAGAGTCAGAATAACTCAGGAGTGAGAAAGACATTGATTCGAACCTTCACAAATGACTTTTAGGGGTTCAAGATTTCAGTGACGAAAGGTACCGCAGATGAGACGGAAATACCAAGAGAACTAGAAGTGGAGCCTGAAGATGTGACTGAATTGCTGTCATCTCAAACTTGAACAGATGAGGACTTGCTTCTTGTGGATGAGCCAAGAAAGTGGTTTCTTGAGGTAGAGTCTACTCCTGGTGAAGATGCTGTGACCATTGTTGAAATGACAACAAAGGATTTAGAATATTATATGAACTTAGTTGAAGCAGTGGCAGAGTTTGAGAAGATTGACTCTAATTCTGAAAGATGTTCTACTATGGGTCGAATACTATCAAACAGCATCATGTGCTACAGAGAAATCTTTCATAAAAGAGTCAATTGATGCAGCAAACTTCATTAAGGAATTGCCACAGCCACCCCAGCCTTCAGCAACTGCCACTCTGAACAGTCAGCAGCCATCAGTATTGAGGCTAGACCCTCCATCAGCAAAAGATTGACCCACCGAAGGCTTAGATGATCATTGCACTTTTCCGTAATGAATTATTTCAAAATTAAGATATGTGAGAAGCTATTTGGTGAAAGAAAATTAAGGTATGTACAGTTTTTAGATATAATGTTATTGCACACTTAATAGGCTACAGTATAAACATAACTTTTATAAGCACTGGGAAACCAAACTATTTGTGACCATTTTTAATGTGATATTCGCTTTATTGCAATGGTCTGGAACTGAAACCGCAATCGTTGTCGTATGCCTCTACTTATATGCTATTTGTTTTGAAACCGTTCCATGCATGCAAGACATCACACCTGTGCACACTGAACTCTTAAGGTTATATATGCTGTAGAAAGAAAGCAACTAAGGTTTATGCATTTATGCATAGGTTATGCATTTATGTTTTGTCTCTTAATTGCCGTTCAGCTGTGTAGTCTTTTTTTTTTTTTTTTTTTTTTTTTTGAGACGGAGTCTCCCTCTGTTGCCCAGGCTGGTGTGCAGTGGTGCAGTCTCAGGTCACTGCAAGCTCCGCCTCCTGGGTTCACACCATGCTCCTGCCTCAGCCTCCTGAGTAGCTGGGACTATAGGCACCCGCCACCATGCCTGGCTAATTTTTTTTTTTTTTTTTGTATTTTTAGTAGAGACGGGGTTTCACCATGTTAGCCAGGATGGTCTCAATCTCCTGACCTCGTGATCCGCCCGCCTCAGCCTCCCAAAGTGCTGGGATTACAGGCGTGAGCCACCGTACCTGGCCTCAGTAGTGTAGTCTCTTTAAAGCAGTCTTTAATGGCTTGTAAGTTGTATTCCTAGGTATTTTATTCTCTTTGTAGCAATTGTGAATGGGAGTTCACTCATTTGGTGCTCTGTTTGTCGTTATTGGTGTATAGGAATGCTTGTGATTTCTGCACATTGATTTTGTATCCTGAGACTTTGCTGAAGTTGCTTATCAGCTTAAGGAGATTTTGGGCTGAGACGATGGGGTTTTTCTAAATATACAATCATGTCATCTGCAAACAGACAATTTGACTTACTCTTTTCCTAACTGAATACCCTTTATTTCTTTCTCCTGCCTGATTGCCTGATTCCACTACTATGTTGAATAGGAGTGGTGAGAGAGGGCATCCTTGTCTTGTGCCAGTTTTCAAAGGGAATGCTTCCAGTTTTTGCCCATTCAGTATATTGGCTGTGGGTTTGTCATAAATAGCTCTTATTATTTTGAGATATGTTTCAATACCTAGAGTTTTTAGCATGAAGAGTTGTTGAATTTTGTCAAAGACCTTTTCTGCATCTGTTGAGATAATCATGTGGTTTTTGTCATTGGTTCTGTTTATGTGATAGATTATGTTTATTGATTTGCGTATGTTGAACCAGCCTTGCATCCCAGGGATGAAGCCAACTTGATCGTAGTGGATAAGCTTTTTGATGTGCTGCTGCACTCGGTTTGCCAGTGTTTCACTTGAGGATTTTCGCATTGATGTTCATTAGGGATATTGGCCTGAGATTTTGCAAAAACTACTATTATAATATGAATGCCAAAATATTTATTTTGGACTGTTTGTACCTCGGGTTTTCTTAACATACAACCTCATTAGTGAATCCCTAAAAGGAGCAGTCAGATAACCAGCATCACCATCAAAGTTTGGCACTTGGTTGCCTAGTTTGTTGTTCCTTCTTGTTAAGAACACCCTGGGCTGAATGTGGTGGCTCATGCCTGTAATCCCAGCACTTTGGAAGGCTGAGGCAGGAGGATTGCTAAAACCCAGGAGATGGAGGCTGCAATGAGCCATGATGGTGCCACTGCACTTCCGCCTGGATGACAGAGGGAGACCTGCCTAAAAAAAAAAAAAAAAAAAGAGAACACCCTGATTTTCCCTTGGAGAAATGCCACTTCTCAGGTCAGTACATTTTCATTTAAAAGGTGAGGAGGGCTTAACTCTGGTTGATCTGTATATTCTATCCTCTCCCCCAAAGCAATGGCAACTGGCATTCAGTCATTTGCAATGGAAAGATTCCTGACTGACTTTTTTCTGGTTCAGTTGTCTTGGGGTTAAAGGCATTAGTACATAGGCAAAGAATCCACCTTCCCAAGTATCTCGCAGGGAATGTTAAAACAGCCTTTATTCCATACCACATGTGAAAACGTGGGAAAATAATTTTATTAAATGTTTAACTTGCAACTAACAAGGAAAGATTTTTTTAGGACTCAAATTAGGACTTAATTTGAAAATTAAGGAAGCAAATAGGTTGGCCCCATGAAAGATCTGTTAAATATCCAATAGTAAATTTAAAACATAGTAATTCTCAGAAATTACAAGAATCAAAACCTTTCAAACTTTACAAGTGGAATTAACATAGCTAAATTTTTAAAATGACTTCCAAAGGTCCCCACTCTGTGTCTTTCCCCCCTTCCCCAAATAACTTCCAGACAACTAGAAGTCTTCATGGCATCTTTGGTCCTCCTACTTTGGGAGTGGCTGGTATGAGGCAGAATAATCCAAGATACTTACCACCCGCTTTCCTTCCTGTCAGATTTTTTTTTAAATCTTTTAAGGCTGGTGAAATACACGTGTTAGAATTTTAAAAAACTGTTTTCCTATTACAGCTATTTATGGACTAGTAGCTTGCCCCTATATGGATCAATGTTACAGCTAGGGGAACAACAGTAGTAGTAATGGAGACTCAAAGTAGATAGAACTCTGCTGAAGTAACATTCAGTAATTTTTCTATTAAAAAATCCTTGTGGTAAAATATTGACAGTAAAAATCCATCAAAGTTAGTTTTTATTAAAACCAAAGCACCAATCTGCCCCCAAAAATTAAAGACGAAGACTACTGCCTCAGATGTCCCTCTCAATAAGTAAAACCTTCATGGAGAAAAATCTGTGATCTGACTGACTAGCATTATTCTCACTCAGAAACATGACACCAGTATGTGAATTACAACAGTAAATTCACATTCAAGATGAATATGCAATAAACATTTATAAAAAGACATCAACTATTAATTTACATAGGGCTATAAAATACTTTTAAAAATATGTACATGGTTATTCAAAAGGAGGAGCTCAATTTCAGTAAGAAATTATATGGTTGAACGCATGGTCACCATTTTTTTTTTTTTTTGAGACAGAGTTTTGCTCTTGTTGCCCAGGCTGGAGTGCAATGGTGCAATCTCGACTCACTGCAACCTCCACCTCCTGGGTTCAAGCTATTCTCCTGCCTCAGCATCCCAAAGTAGCTGAGATTACAGGCACCCGCCACCACACCCAGCTAATTTTTTTGTATATTCTGTTGAGGTGGGGTTTCACCATGTTGGCCAGGCTGGTCTTGAGCTCCTGACTTCAGGTGATCCACCCACCTCGGCCTCCCAAAGTGCTGGGATTACAGGTGTGAGCCACCGCGCCCGGCCATTCCCCATAATTTTTCTTTTTGTGACAGAGTCTTGCTCTGACACCCAGGCTGGACTACAGTGGTGCGATCTCAGCTCACTGCAACCTCTGCCTCCTGGGTTCAAGCCGATTCTCCTGCCTCAGCCTCCCGAGTAGCTAGGATTACAGGCATGGGCCACCACACCCTGGTGATTTTGGTATTTTTAGTAGAGATGGGGTTTCACCATGTTGGTCAGGCTGGTCTCAAACTCCTGACCTCAGGTATCTACCCACCTCGGCCTCCCAAAGTGCTGGGATTACAGGCGTGAGCCACTGCGCCCGACCCATTCACCATAATTTTAATGGCCAATCAGATCACTCAATTTCTCTCATTCACAACAAATACATATAAAATGAATGTATCTTCAATTTAAACCTAAAACCTGTTGTTCATATGCAGCAATTTACTTTGGGGATTCACATTAATTTGGACCAGAGCTCAGCAAAAGGAGTTCCTCTTCTCACTCTCTCTCCTTGGAACTCAAACGTAAGGAAGTGTCTAAGCACAGTAACAGCATAGCATATTGAAATGCAGTTTCATAAATGCAACAATCAGCTGTATACTCCCCCTTTTTTTGACTATGGAGGTAACCTTTTTGAAAGCATTCCTAAGCAAGTTATACTACATCTACACTACTATGTGGTAGTAAAATATAGCAGTAGTAAAGCCAGTTCTTTAGCTTAGAAAAGAAACTAAAACTACATTTTCCTTTTTAGTACCTTCCACTTTCCTACCCTTCCATTCAGAAAAGACAAGCAGGGCATGTTAATTCAAAAGACAAAATGATTACAATGCCAGATACCGATCTAAAATGTATTCTGCGTTGAATATGGTCTACATCCATCCATTTATACTTTTGCCATGGCCATATATATCACTGGTCAAGTACTTGGGCTTCCTTACACAGGAAAAGTCAGTTGCTTGGCACCTAGAAAAGCTGTCAGTGAGGTGGAACTGAGTAAATCCTAGCTCCTACGTGGTCTGCTCATCCATAAGCCCTAGCCAGAAGTGTGATAAACATTCAGCAATGGGGCCCTACTGGGCTCCTGATCCCAAATCCAGAGGGAAATCTCCCAGAGTTTATGGTCAAAGATGTACACCGGAGTGTACAAGTTTAGGTCAAGGTTACCTGAATCGCACTGAACTTTTGGGGGAATGCTTGATAAGTGAGTGTGGGTTATAGTTAGGCTCATTTTATGGTTTATTTCTATTTGAACAGAATTTAAGGATGACTTAGCTGAGATCCACCTGGGCACACAGGTACTTATTAATAAAGTCAAAGGATATTAATCTAAAGACCATTACACAAAGGCTATTTACAGAGAGAAACCCAAGACCTTTACTTTTTGTTTTTGAGACTGAGTCTCTGTCACTCAGGCTGGAGTGCAATGGTGAGATCTTGGCTCACTGCAACTTCTGCCTCCTGCGTTCAAGTGATTCTCCTGTCTCAGCCTCCTGAGTAGTTGGGATTACAGTTGCACGCCACCATGTCCGGCTAATTTTTGTATTTTTTGTAGAGGCGGGGTTTCACAATGTTGGCCAGGCTGATCTCGAACTCTTGACTTTGTGATCCGCCCACCTTGGCCTCCCAAAGTGCTGGTGGGATTGCAGGTGTGAGCCACTGCGCCCAGCCCCGATCTTTACTTTTAATATAATTATATTATGTATGACCAAAAGATGGTTCTCAACTGCCTTTCATTCAGCCAAAGATGGTTAGGGTGAAACAAATACTGTTTTGAAAGATAAATATGGCACTGAATGTAATAGTGACAGTTTGGGGTTCATTAGTCACATTTAGGAAATTATAGTTTTAGTCTCACAAGTTCTAACTCCCTTTTGTGATGATTCTCAAAATAATTTATCTGTTTTGCTCTGTTTTAACTTGGGAGACAAGTATGGAAGAATAAACTGTCAGACGAACAGTATTCTAAGATACCAACAATAAAATTATCAGCAAAAGCTCCACAGCTGCTGTGCTAAAAATAAAATGCTGGAGCAAAAAAAGACAAAAGGTGTATGCACTGTTATCAAAATCTGTTCAAACACTCTTTGGAGAACAAATGTCAAATGCAACTTTAAAACAACAATGACAAACATTACCATGTAACACATATTTGAAAAGTGAGTAGGACTTTTTAACAATACATAATTGACATATTATGAACAAGACCTATATATATAAACAATGGGGATCTATTGCTAACAAGTTATTTTCTCCCTGTATTTTATCTTTAGCAGTACCTGAAAACCCAATGAATTAGCCACAGGATATTTTCCACTTTAAGAAGTAAAGCCATGTAGATAAAACCAAGTCTTCTATGTTAAATTTATGGCAGGTGATATAATGCAAATAATAGCCTTCTTTCAAGTGAGCTCTTTTTATTCTATCATCCTAAGGAGAAAAATTTACTCCAGTTAATGTTTTATAAATACAGATTAACTTCGGCAAACCATTTAGATATTGTGTCAAATGCTGGATTAATGTATGGCACAGCAATTTTCTTCTATCTATCTATCTATCTATATCAGCTGAACCGGGTAGGTCTGGCACATTAAGAATATGCTTGTCCTCAGAAGATAAGTCTTTTGTACCTCTATCAATCAATCAGAAGAATAAAATCAGAAGTCAGATCAAAGATTAAGTTTGATGTTCTGACTCTCAAAAGAAAAACATGAGATAGATGCTTCAGGAAAAAAAAAAAATCACTATTAATTCCCCCCAGCTGCCTGCTCCCAAAATCCTACAACACATTTTCATTCCAAATTATAGACAGATGAAAACCACAAAAACGAGTCCCTTTCAGAGGAACTTATATTTAATGCCCAGTAGGGTATATGATGAAGAACCCTCACATCAAATACAGTGCACGCTGCTGTATTTATATTTTGGGTAGTTCCACTAAAAGCTATACTGCAAACAATGAGGCTTGTTGTAAAAGGATCACCTGTACAATTAAACCTCACATAGACACACAGCAAACCCAAATGTATATACTTCCCTCAGTGGAAGAAGTTGAAAATCTAGATCTAGAAATGTATAAAAAATGGCCTTGAAAACCTGCTATACCAAAATACCTCTACAGACAAGATAAAAACAAAAACAAAAATCAAACATTTGTTTTCCGGATTTTTCTTTAATACAGTTGCCATCTTACATGATGTACTATTAAGTGCCTTCTTAATAGCATCTAACCTACCCTTCTGTTGCACCGTTTGGCCTCCTGGGATGGAACTCTTGTTACCACCCATGTTTGTGGAGTACTGTTCTTCAGTACAGTACACCTAATTCATATTGTCAGGCCATATAATTCACGGGTAGTGGTATTAATTTCTAAAGCTGAATTAAAGCACACATCCAAACCACATATATTTTTTACTTTTCAACTTAAAGAGTTCATACAAAGTCTATTTCCTTTCTACAGTAGCTATCACTCCAGACTGTGGTTTAAAAATCCAAGAAGTGGGAAGAATGTCTTTGTTTTCAATGCTTCTTTCTTCCATCCTTTTTCTATCCTCCTTTTTTCCTTCTTTCCATTTTCTTTCTTCTATTCATCTCCTTCTTTCCTTTCTTTCTTAGTGATAAGAGGTTAACAGAAATGGGCTATTAAGGAAATCAAAGTCTAGTAAACGTCCAAAACAGAGATGAGAATAGTCACAAACTCTTCTTTTTGTAGTGATGTTAAATTACTGACAAATGTTTTTTTGAAAACAAAAAAATCTAAAAACCAGCACAAGCTAGTGGTGCTGCATATTATTTAAGCAACTGGCGTTCTTCAATGCTTTTGAGGCGTTTCTTCCGGGGCTGTACAAAGTCATCATCTGAATCATCACTAAATTTATTATCTTCTGATTCATTCCTGAATTCTGGTTTGGGAAACCTTTTTTCTGGATAGAGGTTCTTTAGAAGTTCTTCAAAATAATTTTCAAGTTTTATACCAGCATTGGCTACTTCTGAATCAGGCTGTGGAGTAAAAATAAAAATGAGTAAAAAAAGGACACACTTTTGACTTCTGAGATTATATATATTAATGAGCTGTTTTGAAAAGTGTTCATGCATAGTCATTGAAATAATAGTTTAGGACTAGACAAAGTCTCTGTACAGAAGGCCAGCTAAAATAAAAGATTCAGAAGTGTGGAAAAAAGATAAAAGTAAAAGCCTGGATTATTCTAAAAGAAGGTGGTAATGGTAGGACTATATTGCCAAACACATATCAGTTAGGATTCCATAACCATAGGATCATGAACCAGGTATTTTTAGAACAAATTAAATGTAGTACTATTAGAATGAGTAACAGAGAACAAACCACCAGCAGCAAAAGGTTCTAAGTCTGACTGATGTGTAGATGAACTGACAGATGAGAAATTTTTAAATTAGAGCTATTTGGCCCACATCCTTAATATTTCAAGATCAACATAAAAATAAGAAATACAGGTGGGAATGATAAAGAATATGTCTAGGTCAGAGAAAAACATTTTGTCTTTCAGTTATCAGCTGTAATTTGCATTTCCATCACCATCTAATAAACCTTTGAATATAAATGTGGACAGAGTTATCTGAATTATCTCTTGCATTCCCTGATCTGAAAAGTTGGAAATTTATTCTAACTCAGACATCTTGGTCTCCTATGTTGACAAGGTGTTTAGTAATAAAATGATTTTCACACTGCTGTTCCTTCCTGCCCCCTTCCCTCCCCTAGCCTCACCTCATTGAATTCAGCACAGTTTTGAAAGATCAATCTAAAATCAGCTACAAAATCTTCAGGTTTTGAGTACATGGAATAATCTTCTTGTAGTCTTTTCTTGATGGTTGACAAATCCATTGGATTTTTAATTATTTTGTAATAATCAGGCACCTATTAAAAAAATGAGATGTTATAATACAAATAGCTAAATTCCACCTTGTCCTAAATATATTCTATGAGATGTGCTCTAAAATTCAGAATGTTCTCATTGCTTTTCTCTGTGCTATTTGCCATTAGTAAAGAAACCCATTTAACAGTGTTTACAAGTGCCCACTGCCTTCCACACACACTGGTAAAGGTTTGTGTGACTTTTTCCAAAAGTTTAACCAATTATTATTTTTGAGACAGGGTCTTGCTCTGTCACCCAGGCTGGAGTGCAGTGACACAATCTCGGCTCACTGCAAACTTTGCCTCCTGGGCTTAAGTGATCCTCTCACCTCAGCCTCTCGCGTAGCTGGGGTTACAGGCATGCGCTAACATAGCCGGCTAATTTTTGTATTTTTTGTAGAGATGGGGTTTTGCCATGTTGCCCAGGCTGGTCTCAAACTCCTGGGTTCAAGCAATCTGCCTGCCTCAGCCTCCCAAAATGTTGGGATTACAGGCGTGAGCCACTGCACCCAGCCCCAATTATTTTTAATGAAAAAACTTGTCTTCACATATTTCCTCTTAATCATCTAGATTTTTTTCTTCATTATTAAACAAAAAGCAATTACTAGGAAGAATATCATTTCTAGTAGAATCTGACATGTTTTTGCTGCATGTATTATACAAGAGGAAGAAGGACTTTGAATCTGGGTTTAATCCCCAGCTCTGCTGCTCAGTGTCATGGTCCTGGGTAAGCTACTTAACCTCAGTTTCTTCATATTTCAAATAGGGATAATCCTGCCAAACTCACAGCATTTTGTACAGACTAAATGAGATGATATTTATTAAGAAAAAGGGGGCTACTTTGTCATTGTTGGTATTAATAACGTAACTGTAAGCCAGGATAATAAAAAGTACAATTCAAGGTTACATTTTCAAGTTGGTAATGTTGTTACAAGCCTCTCGACTTCTTTACCCTGCCTCTTTTGGGTACAAAAGACCCTTCTCCCTGGAGGTATTTATTTCCTATATCAAGTTCTCAAAACCTGTTCTTAAGAGAGAAGCTGACTGTATTTACTAAGCTGATTTTCTTCTCAACTTTGTATTAATTTGAGATTTATCAAACTGTAGAACAAATGAAAAAAAATTTTTTTTTTGGGACAGAGTTTTGCTCTTGTTGCCCAGGCTGGAGAGCAATGGCGCAATCTCGGCTCACTGCAACCTCCGCCTCCGGGGTTCAGACATTAGAAGAATACTCTTTTGGGGTACCAGGCCCTTTCCAGCACTCTAAAATTATGCGTTAAAGTCACATCAAACTTTTTTTTTTTTTTTTTTGAGACGGAGTCTTGCTCTTTTGCCCAGGCTGGAGTGCAGTGGCATGATCTCGGCTCACTGCAAGCTCCGCCTCCCAGGTTCACGCCACTCTCCTGCCTCAGCCTCCCGAGTAGCTGGGACTACAGGCGCCTGCCACCACACCTGGCTAATTTTTTGTATTTTTAGTAGAGACGGGGTTTCACCGTGTTAGCCAGGATGGTCTCTATCTCCTGACCTCGTGATCCGCCCGCCTCGGCCTCCCAAAGTGCTGGGATTATAGGCGTGAGCCACCGCGCCCGGCCACAGTCACATCAAACTTTCAATATGAACCTTTCTGAAGTCAATAGCACCTGCGCACATACTTCCTCAACTTTTTTTGTATTGGTAACGTCTACTTATTTACTTGAAGTCTGGACCTATAAAGAAAAATAAGTACGGAAAATGTAGCAGGGAGAGATGTCTTTATTTCAAAGTTTTTTTTCCAACAGCTTCGGAAACATGCCTAAAACTCCTGAAATACAGAAAATTAACAGAAATCACCCTAAACATCCCAGTGGTAAGTAAAATAGATGAGAAAAGAAAGAAGAAAGAATACCTGAGAAATGAACAGAAGTTTTGGGCCACTTACTAAAATGTACCTACATAGGATCAAAGCATTCAGTATGTATTATTAAGATTTAAGGTTTAGATATTAAAAAGTACTGAAAAATGGTAATATAAGCTAGATTCTCATAAAATTCCAGAAAAGCATTCCACTGTGTAAACATGCAGAAAATGACATTAATACTTACAGTTAGAGGAACAGGGTCTTGAAAAGCCAGGCTCATTTCATGGCAGTAAAGAAATAAAAGTAGGCGCTCACACTTCTAAGCAAAAATAAATAAAAACTGAGATAAAATATTATAAAACAATGAATTCACAGCTTATTTTAAATAACAATCTCAGAGGTCCCAAAGTGTCAGACTAAAAATTAAAACCCAGATGAATACAAAAAAATTACTGATTCTCGGAGTTTTGCTCTCCTTCCCAATATTTGGGAACAGGCCCTGTAATTGAATGAACTAAGACAATCACTAGAAAACCATTTGAAGTTTTCTAACAATAAATTTGCACTTATTGCTCCAGTCTGTGTATTATAAATTAGTAATAGTCTATAAAGGAAGAACGTACGTCTCTTAGGAGAACTGGAGGTGGACCTTCTCAATATGCATCCAGACCTAAGGCACCTTTCTGCATGCCGAAGGTCCAACCATGTGCTCTGCTATTCATATACTTCCCTGCTTTATGGGTTTATCCCAGTAACCACTGAGTAGTACTGGCAGTGAATGGGCACGTCCCCTCTTGCATGACAACTTTCATATTGACTGTTCTACTTAATAATTTAGCAAAGGAGTTTTTTTGGTAACAAAGTGTTGACTTGGTAGCTTTAAATGTTATTTACAGTTAAATATATCAGTTGGCTTTGATGCATAAGTCTAGTCCCATTCAGTGAAAAAAAAGGAATTATTTCCAGGAAGAGTAAAGAAAAAACCCAGCTCCTTGGTGGCAGTTCTAAGGAAAAATCTTATCTATAGTAGGAAATAAAACAAAATAGAAATTTACTTAAGGTAGATTAAAAGTCTAGGGTACATATTCCATCTTGTTCAGGTACAATAAGCTTCTATAAAATACATGCATTAATTCTGTGATTTTTTTAATTTAAAGAAAGTTACAGTCTTTAAGATTCATGTACCTTTGTAAACAAAAAAAAATACTCTTAAATAAAAAGGATCAGTATAAAATCTGGATGGATATACACCTCTTTGACAAAAGGTACCACAGTACAATATTGCACTACAATACAATAATGCATCTTACCAAAGACTTACCCTTTTATCTATAGGTGTTAACTTAACAAGGCCTTCAGTTTTCTTTTTTTCTGAGTTGTGACTGGGAGCATCACAATCATATTCAACTTCTGGTTTAGATAAGTCTCGGCAGAAAGTGCAAATCCACTCTCCACTGTTAGGGGACAATGTACTTTTGAATTCCTAATGCATCATTTCCTCTCTTCACTATTTCCCTTTCCCACCTCCTCCATGACATCTATGATACAGAATTGTTCATTTGGCATGAATTTTAATCACTGAGCATTTACCACATACCACTAGGTATACTGCACCATGCTGAGAGGAAACAGCAGAAATATAATGCAAGGGCCTAACAAACATCAAAATCTAGTTAAGAAGGTGTGAGATACATATATTGAAAAAAAAGAAACACCTAAACAAATTTAATCTAGGGCTCACATATCTAGGGCATAATTGAATTTTTTTCCTCCAAAGGATTCAGGAACTAGAAAAGCTCTTTGTACTATTCTTGTTACTCTTAAGTTTATAAAATTAAATTTTCAAAAGTATGGCCTTCCAAGAACTGAGAGATCAACCCAATGGCTCTTAACCATCTTGGTCATGATGATGATCATCATCCCCATAGGGTATGAGAATTTACTTGAAATACTTGTAAAAGATACAGTTCGATGCCTGGCAAAAAGACATAATAAACTGTGGTAGCTGTTATGCATAGGGACATTGTTCCTTATGATGATCCCTTGTGATAATTTAAAGGGCCTGTTATTTTTTTTTCTTTTTGTAATGACTAGGGAGAGGGTCTTGCTCTGTTGCCCAGTCTGGGGTGCAGTGGTGCAAGCACAGCTTACTGCAGCCTTGACCTCTCAGGCTCAACCAATCCTCCCACCTCAGCCTCCTGAGTAGCTGGGACTACAGGCATGCACTACCATACCCGGCTAATTTTTTATTTTGTACAGACAGACAGGGTCTCCCTGTGTTGCTCAGGCTGAATGATTAGTTTTTTGAAAGAAGCACAAAGAATAAGCGGAAGGGTATGGGAAAACCTAGACTATTCATTGGGATTTTGGAGTATACACTTGTGCCAAGTGGAATTTCATTTAAGTTTTTTCAAAGGCTTTCTGTTAAAATAATCTTCAAAAGTTTACAGTAAAAGAATGTGGGAAGGGAAGTACTATCTTACCTTGGAAAATTTGTCAATGTGGGCACATGACAAGAAAGATGGAATACTTTGGGGCACTTTTCACAGCAGAGGAGTTCCCCTCCGTTTTGACAAACTGCACACCAGTCCTCATTGGGGTCATCCTCTTTCCTTGTCTCTCCAACATGAAGAGGTGACTTCTGGGAAGGATCCAACCATTCAGACTTTCCATTTGAGGAATTGTCCTGGTGAAGTCCAGGTTGATCTCCTGTACTATCAGGGGCATCTGATCTTAGCACAGTCTCCTCAGAAGTAGAGCTCTGACTGCTATTTAAGAGCAGGGAGGTGAGTATGCTTCTTGGATAATTGGCCTGTAGTAGAAAAAAAATATATTTAACTGGCTTTAAAAAAAATTTTATCACTAATGCAATTCTGAACTGTAGACCACTCTCTGGTGAGCACCTGGCTGCTTCAAAGGAATCTTCAGGAGAAGGGTATATGTTTATTGCTAACTGGCTTAGAAGACATGAACCTCTACTAAAAAATACCAAAATAAATAGAGAAAAAATCTAAGTCTGGGGATGGCTACAGAAATTAGAGAATGGGTTGGGTAGAGTGGAAGTCAACCACATGACCTATATATATATATATATACCTCACTGGAGCTGTTCATTCAAATTATACCTAAGATACAAAAATTATAAGATGAATCTAAACTTTCTGTTGAAGCCCAGGATGGTGAAAATTTCAAATCAATAACAAAAACAATCTCCTTCAAATGTTTTCAAAAATTTCAAAGTAATAAATGTAGATATAGTTAAAAGCACTTATTCCTTGGAAGAACTATTTTCAAACCTAGCTTTTTCTTCTGCTGTTTACCTCCATATTTCTAAATAAAATGATTGTTAAAAATTGCAATACATCTATAATCCTTACTAGTGAAGATCAGGAGATTAGGTTTTTACATTCTGATTCTCCAACCCCGTCCTGCTTCCATTCGTGCGTGCGCGCACACACACACACACACACACACACACACACAAAACCACCACCACCACCATTCACCCCATCCCTTTAACTTAGTTTTGATTAAGCATTGATTGTTTTAGTTGGTAGGTACTGGTATAACTGTTTATTGCCAGTATCTATTCTAACTGATCAGTATTTGTCTTGTACTGGTTAAGTATTCTGAAAATCACAATTTTTGGTTAAGTGCATATTCAGGTTATATCCTGATTGCATCACAGTTTTTAGTTACATTCGTACTCAGGTGTTTGTTTACATCATTATTATTATTATTTAAATATTGTTCACTGCAGACCCACAAAATGTACTAAGACATTTTTTGTACAACTTTTTGTTTTTACTAAGACTCTGTAATTACCTTATATTTTCAGTTGCTTATCTTTCTAGGTACCTATTTCTATGTTATTCTCACAATCTCCAACAGGAGATTCTCAATACTGTTGAAGCATTTTTCTCCCTTGGGAGTCCTATGTCTTCCTGCTACAGACTACTGCACAAGCTGCTGCTGCTGCTGTACTGGGGGTTGCCTTTTTCTTCTGTGTCAGATTCCATTTTTGGAATCTTATGTCTTCTTTCTTGTTTTACTATATTTTTGATGATTCATATTATCAAGTATCTTCCTGAGAATGAGTACATAAGAATTATTTTGAGAACTTGCACGAAAATGTTTAGTTAATCTTCAAGTCAATCTGATTGATAATTTGCCTGGGTATAAAACTCTGATTAAAGAAAGAATATCTCCTTTTAACTGCCCAGCCTCCATATCTGAGCCTCTGATTTTTAAAAACTTTCCTGTTTTTCCATCTTTGTCTTTTTGTTTAATTTACTGAGAGATTCCCTCAAATTGTCTTTAAATCCTTTTAAATATAACATTAAAAAAAAACTCCTAAGAGCTATTTAAAAGATTCTCTCACCCTACCCACCATGCATAGGAATAGCATTGCAAGCATTCATAATTACATTTTGAGGCCTAGATTCTTCATCTGATTCTTGCTTCACTATAACAACAGGGAAATCATAATTTTCCGGTGGTCCACTGTTTTCTTGTTTTATTCGAATTGGCTCCAGCATGACCACTGGGACTTTGTGTGTAGAGTCAGCTCCTGCTGGTTTGCTGGAAGAGCCAGAGCTGTAAGTATGAGAGAGAAGAAAAAGCAATCTAAGAATGTTAAGCTAAATACCTCATAAAAAGTATAACAACAACTTTCTAAAATACTGTATCTTCACAACAATAAGTATGTTAACATCAGCAATTAATGATGCATAACAAATGAAACTGGTGTATGCAAGTTTCATTTATGATAAAAATGTTTTACATATTAACCTATCTAAATAGTTATATATCTAGAAAGATGTTTCAATAAACCTAAACTTTTAAAAACCTGAGGCTTTACAATTAGGCAACCAGATTTAGTATCTTAGAACTGGCATCTGATTTTAGGCTTTCTCATTTCCTTCTCTAGTCAGTAGCAAAGTGAATACTTTGGTGAAGACAATGAAATAATCATGTATTTACACAATACTATTTAAAGAAGGTAGTGGGTCAAAAAGCTTTTACAGAGATTCACTATGTTCTCATGGGATTAAAGGCAAACTTTTCTCCCTCAGACAATTCTTCCATATGATAAAGTAAGAACTGGGTTCACTAGCTAGGAGGAATTTTCAGGCATAATGCAGGGAAGAGGAGAGCAGTTGCTTAAAATATAGAATTTCAATAACTGTATATTTATTTTAAAGTAGAATCAACATTTAGTCATTAGAGATCAAATTAGCATAAAATTTTATCTTTTCTCTAAATTTGTGTTTCTATATAGTGTACTGTGTTATGCCTATTCATTTTTATGTTTTCTTTGCTATTATATGAATATCCAACATTTCTTATTTTCAACATATTGACAAATATTCTTCTATCTTCAAAGGTAAATTTGTACTTTTGTTAATCCCTTAACTAATTCATTAAAATATATAGTAGTTATTAAAATTTTAATTAAAAATAAAGGAAATTGTTCAAAATATATTGAGTATCAAAACATGTTGAACACTGGCAAAAGAAATCTAATTAGAGATTTTTATATACTAGAAAATATGGTTTAGTCAGTTTACCTTCCTCGGCTTCCAACGCTGGAGGCACTAGGTGAACGTATTGGGGGGTGTACACTAGTCATAGTAACAGGTCCTGAGGAGGGGGAAACCATACATTCATAAAACGAATGAATAATTATGCATTGAAGTCCTGTTGAATGTGTTCACTTAGCACTACATTGAAACTGGGAACCATGATGAAATTCTATGAAACAGTAAGTAGTTGCTGAATTTTCAGCAGTCTGTTACAGCCTGTTACACCGGCAGGGTTTTTCAGCCTCTGCACTATTGACTTTTGGGCCAGATAATTCCTTGTTGTGGAGGAATGTCTCTGCATTTCAGGATGTTTAGCAACATCCCTGGCCTCCACCAATTATTAGATACCAGTGGCATCTCTCTATACTTCCCAGCTTGGGGTGTGACAATCAAAAACATCTCCAAACATTGCCAAGTCTTTCTGTGTTAGAGTAACAGGGGTAAGATCTCAGTGAGACCCTAGTGCCAGTGGAAGCTACAGAAGACAACGAAAGGTGGTACGGGCTGATAGAAAAGGAGTTCAAAAAAGAAAACCAAGTAAACAAAATTAAACCAACTAATGGAAGACACAGAAAGATCAATGGGTTCAGACTTAAGGCAATAAACAAAAGAGGGATTCTGGACTACTGCCCTAAAAAGATTAAGAAGCTATGCTCTGGTGGTAGTGTAGACTGGAACAAGGAAGATCTAATTAAAAGCAGCCAAGAAAGAAGGAAAACTGTTGCAAATAATTGATTTGAACTGATGAAGGCCCAAACTAAACAGTAACAAGTAGGAATACAATGAAAGTGGGAAGTAGAAAAAAAATTCCGAATTGACAGAAGTTCTAAAAGGTTTGATGAACAACAGGATGTGGCTGATAAAATGAAGATTATCATTTCATTGGTTTGTAAACTCTGGAGAATTTAATTTAAAAATAAAAGGCCTGGACAACAAAGACCCGTCTCTAACCAAAAAAAAAAAAAAAAAAATTAGCCAGGCCTGGTGGCACCTACCTGTAGTCCCCACTACTGGGAAGGCTAAAGCAGGAGGATCACTAGAGCCCAAGCGTATGAGGCTGCAGTGAACCATGATTGCTACACCCTGGGCAACAGAGTGAGACCCTGCCTCAAAATCAATCAAAACAATGGCTATTTATAATCTCCTGATAATATAAGAATACATGCTTCATTTTAGAATAGTTGAAAACTATAAAAATATATAACATTTAAGTAGCCCATAACTTCTCCATCCATATATAAACACTGCTAAGGTTGATTGATATATCTCTTTCCAGTTTTAAACATACTTTTACATCTTTTATATGGTTCTGTATACTTGTTTTCACTAAACAGTAGTCCATGAGCATGCCATTAAAAACTCTACATAAGCATTGTCTGAATAGGTAAATAATCTGTTTACAAGTGAGCACATTCTAATTTATTTTTATCCTCATATTTGGGCACTGCTTCAAAATTTTAACTACTGCAAATAATGCCTTAATAGTAATATAAATATTAATAAATACGATCTGCCTATCCAGTTCCTAATTATTTCCTTATAATTGGCATATTAAAATGGAAATTACTAGGTTCAAGGGTACATACATTTTCCAAGCCCCTTGAAGCAAATATCCTACTAGGTAATACATATAAGGTACTTTGCCCACAGTACAATATTGGATAAATGTAAACTTTAGTAATATTGCTATGATGGTTTCCAGGAATGTTTTGCCAACTCATACCCCTTCCACCTATGTATGAGAGTACCTCTCATCACATTCTCAATGACTATTTTTATTATTTAAGTCTTAGCTAATTCAGTAACTTAGAAATTCTATCTTGTTTGATTTTTCTTATGACCACTAGTAAGAATGAATTTTTGTCTCATCTGCTATATTGGATAAATGTATTTCCTCTTTAGGGAATTATCTACTTATCATGTCCTTTGGCAATACCACATGTGTTCCTTATTTGTATAAACTTGTCATATGATAAACAGTTTCTCTGCTATATTTTGTCATAAGTTTGTTTAAAACGGGCATCCCCATTTAAATTGTGTTCATGTGACTGTTGAGTGACTTAAATTCTCTTTTCATATTTTGGTTTAAGGTACCTACGTCCTCAGAAGTAATATTAGCGTTTTTCTCTCAGAGGAAATGAGTAGGTATGTCAAGATTCACAAACACAATTAAACACCAAACAAATCACCAGAAGAGTGATTGCTACTTATTGTCACTAATACATTTTGACCCTAGGCAAATTACATCTTAAAGACCACATCACAGGCAACTTATCAACAAGAAAGAATATAACACCAATTTCCCCCTGGAAGTACTATAATGGTGAGAAGTTCTGTTGAAATTGAAAAGGTAAAGAAGGCCTAGTATGATGGCTCATGCCTGTAATCCCAAAGCTTTGGGAGGCTAAGGCAGAAAGGATTGCTTAAGGCCAGAAGTTCAAGACTGTCTCTACCAAAAAATATTAGCCACGTTTGGTAGAGCAGCATACTTACAGTCCCAGCTACTCAGGAGGCTGAGGTGGGAGATCGCTTGAGCTCAGGAGTGAGTCTGCAGTGAGCTATGATCGCACCACTGCACTCTAGCCTGGCAACAGAGCGAGACTGTGACTCAAAAGAAAGAAAGGATAAAGAAATTTAACCTTTGTTTTCTCTGAAAGCATACTAATTTTAAATAGTGAAAAACTCAGATTAAGCATTCAACAAAAAAGGAGAAGAGGGGTAATTTTTTATTCCAAGTAAAGTGAAAACTAGAAAAACTTTCACAAAAATCAAAAGAAGCCCACTTTACCTGCAAGGCCTGGAGATGGCACTGATGAATTTGGTGACTGGACCGTTCTGTTTGAGGGTGGTCTTGGCTGGCCATGATCTATATTAGTATCTTTCCTCACAATATTGTCCAGCATAATAGTACTTGAACAGTCAATCTTACAAGAAAAGAAATTATTTCAGGGCATTCTGATTTTGCAAGTTAAAAGCTACTTTTAAATTTATAAGAAAGCTTCAATAACTTAATAATTATTATCGAATAACAAAACATAGATACCACATTTGAGAAGTTCTAACAGATATTTTCCCCATAAACAACCTTGAATAAAGGTTTTCACTATCTTAGTGTTTCACCTTAGTAAAATATTGAGGACGCTATTTCAAAAACAGGAGTCAAAAGGAATATCATGTCATTCACACTCTTAAAAATTGAAAAAATTCTTATAAACGACAAAAGCTTGCCATATGAAAAACATAAACTTGGTGAGAAGACTATCACAATTTTACATTTCTTGCGAATCTCTTTAATGTCTCCCTAAACAGCATTCAATCTATTGTGGTATATGGTTTTGCTTGAAAAATATGAAGAAAATCTAGCCTCACACAGATAGATAGGACCTAGTGGATCCTCTGAAAGGGATACTTTAACAACTGATACTCTGGGTATGTGCTAAATAGACGAAGTCCATATATCTACAGCACTAACCTCACTGAATACATTACTGTTGTTTTGTAGGAGAAAAGGTGAACCCTAAAGATTCTTGCTTTAATATAACAGGAATACAAATAACACTTCTTTTCCTTATTCATTGCCAGGCAAAAATATTTACAAATCCCTAATGAGTAAGAGTTTAATACTTTAGACACAAAAATTCTTTCATGCCTACATATACCAAATTTCCCACCAATGTCTTTGGGCTTAAAATCCAGTTCAATTCTTTAACATAGTTCTACTCTTGTTCAACCAGGATTCTATAAGATAATTAAGTCCTACAGCCATAGGGCACAGTTTGTATATAATGAATCAATTTCTTGCTTATGCACCTAGAATGGTACTAGTTATGAAGCACCTTTGGGAGGAATGAGAAAACAGTCACTCATTTCAGCTTATTCTGTAATTCCTAAGAGGAATTTCAGGTAAGAAAGCCTGGTGGAAAAAGGTTCACCTGTATGAGGACTGCAGAGGAAAAAGCAGAAAGAATTTTACTTTCTGTGGGTTCGGGGGCAGGGAAATCGGGCCAGGTGGTTAATATACAGGGTCATTTTTGTTTTAATATTCTTTTGGCAATACTTGGCCAATATTTTTCAAAGAGTACAAAAAGTACTAGAATGACTAAATTCATGAGAACTTAATACAAGGAAAGTTGTTTACTTTGTGGGATAATCCTAAAAGCCAAATAAAACTATGGGGATTAGATGTAAGTTTTCCTATGAACCATCCATGCATGAGAAAATATATGTATTCTACTCATTTAAAGTATACAAAACTATTTTAAAAATGGAATGACTCTGGTAAGATTAACAATGCAACTATTAGGAAATATTAATTGATCTCAACTTGAAAAACAAATAATGAAAATAAAAAAGTTATTTTCACAATCTTATAGGTAATTTGATCCAAGTAAAGAGTACAAGATATTTCCTAAAAGCTTCTTAACATTAGGTGCGTATGTATATGTGCACGACAGTAGGTTATCTAACTTTAGATTAAAAAAAGGATCAAACACAGAATCAACTTATATATGGAGATCTGTCTACAGAATGCAGACTTTCTGCCTTTGGAATAGTCATACTGGCTGGGTGTAGTGGCTCATGCCTGTAATCCCAGCACTTTAGGAGGCCAAGGCAGGAGGATCCCTTCAGCCCAGGAGTTCAAGACCAGCCTGGGTAACATAGGGCGTCTCCCCCATCTCTATTAAAAATAAAAATCATTTAAAAATATAATAAATAACAAAAAGTCATACTGACAAAGAGTTTGGAGAGTGAGTTAATTTACATGTAGTATAAACCAGAGGTAATTTTGCACTTGTCAGTATGATCTAACAGGATTTCTATTATTAAACTTGTCTTCATCTCTTCTGATGTCCAGCCATTCAACGTCCCAGCATATCTTTCCATGTCCTTACTTTTCTCCTTTCCCAGCTTAGATTCCATGATCCATCACCATAATCACTCATTTACAAACACCTTTAACTCCGGTGGCTTGAAAGACATTAGATTATGTGTCCAATGTTCATAATCTTTTTATTTTTACTACTGTTGTAATATTCTAAAGGATTAAAATTAACTTGTAAAAACAAACAACCTATAATCCAACAAATTCATGCCTTCTACCAGATCCAAATTCACTAACAATTTTCTTTCTTTGTTGAGACAGGGTCTCGCTCTGTTAGGCTAGAGTGCAGTGGCATGATCTCAGCTCACCACAGCCTCCGCCTCCCAAGTAGCTGGGATTACAGGCGTGTGCTATCATGCCTGGTTAATTTTTGTATTTTTTGGTAGAGACGGGGTTTCACCATGTTGGCCAGGCTAGTCTCGAACTCCTGACCTCAAGTAATCTGTCTGCCTCAGCCTCCCAAAGTGCTGGGATTACAGGAGTGAGCCACTGCACCCGGCCAACAGTTTTCAACAGAGGCTAGTATAAATTTTGTGTCTACTTACATCCGGAAGAGAGGGAAGATTATAAGACCCTCCCACTGGTGAGCTCAAATCGATCATAGGTGAACCAAAAGCCTTTCCATCATATCCTGCTGCACTAGTAATCGTGGGGCTGGAAGGAGTAGAGGATGTGCTGTTGGTAGTTGATGGGGTTCCCTGTCCACTGCTGATCTGCCACTACAGTAACAAGAAGAGAAGAACAAAGGCTATCAACAAGCTTATAAAATACAACATCTATGTAATCACTCACACAAAATGAAGTAGAAGAGTTCAACTGTAATTTACATGGAAGGAGAATGGGACAGCAAAAGACTGCACAAGTATATATAATTTTCATTAATCTTGTCAAAAAAAAAAAAAAACCAAAACAGTAAAAAGCACTGATTTTTACTGGAAGACAACAGTTAGTATATACCAGAAAATCACAGTACCCAATCTTGGCAGGTTTATACATATTGGAAAAAAAATGTAAATATATACATAGCAACTTCAAGGTAAAGATGGAGGGTTGAAAACATACATTTCTTCTATCCCTATCTGAAATACTTGAAAATACTAAGCTACAGACTGGTACTTTCAGGATTTTATATTCCTCTTCTCATATATGAACAGATAATTAGGCCTCGATAAATATCTGAGGAAAGTACTATCATTCCTGCTGAGATAAACACATTAAGATGATGATAGGCATGCTGAAGTATATAGAGGTGAAGCATGCTGCTGTCTGGAATTTACTCAAAACCTATTGAAAAACATGATGGGCTGGGCATGGTGGCTCATGCCTGTAATCGCAGCACTTTGGGAGCCCAAGGTGGGTGGATAACTTGAGGTCAAGAGTTCAAGACCACCCTGGCCAACATGGTGAAACTCCATCTCTACTAAAACACAAAAATTAACCGGGCGTGGTGGTGGGCACCTGTAATCCCAGCTACTTGGGAGGCTGTGGCAGGAGAATCACTGGAACCCAGGAGGCAGAGGTTGCAGTGAGCCAAGATTGCACCAGTGCACTCCAGCCTGGGCTACAGAGAGAGAGATTCTGCCTCAAAAAAAAAAAAAAAAAGGATGACTTGATGAATGGACAAAGGAATAGATAAACATGTAATAAGGCAAGTAGAACAAAATGTTCCCTATATAATTCTTTCAATTTTTATTATGTTTGAAAATTTTCATGCTGGAAGAAGGAAAGTAACTAAGTGTACTGCAAGATGCCGTATTTTCCAAACATGGTCATTCACAAATGAACAGCACTATATAAAATGTCTGAAACATTCCAATTTTGAAAAACCTAATTTATATATTCCATTGTAGAAACTACATACAGAAACATATGAAGTTGGACATGAATGTCTTCTTTACCACCTACTCCTCCCTCATATTCCCCACCTCTATGCCCCCTTTCCTCCTCCTCTACCAAGAACAATCAGTTGGTGGATCGTTTCAGGTTTTTTTCTATGTACATGATGAGGCTGGAGGAAAACACACATACAAATGAGATAACACCTCACAAAAATTCTATAACATGCTTTTCCTCACGTACTCAGAAAATCATATCTAGATTACTGCATTTTCTTAATATCTGAAAAGTATTCCACTGTATGAGTATACTCTAATTTGTTAAACTCATCTACTACTTAAAAGCAATTTCCCAGTAGATTTTTTCCTGGCTTGTTCCTTTACTTATTCATTCATGTTTACATTTTTGGTCAACAACCATTTTAAAAAAACATGCTTAGAGTATCTACTCATTAAAATACAATAAATAGGGAAGAGGTAAACATTTGAATACTGAGCATGTGCTAGGTGCTTGTATATACATTAGAATAAACTCTCAACATAACTCTGCAAGATACGCATTTTATAGCTGAGGCAAGGGAGATGCGAAAAGACTACGTAAGTGCCACAAAATTATTAGGAAAATAAGTAGAATTTAAGGCCAAACTGAAGCTTGGGTCCTTTTTACTTTCCTTCTAATGATGAAATAATAGGTATGAATTTTATTTTAAATAATTAAAATATTGTTTAAGAGAATTTGGTGATGATATAGCAAAGGCAAATTGATTATACGAAGATATGTATAGACACAGAGTGTACATACTTTTAGAATAAAATATTAAAATGATTTTATTAAAATGGATGTTATAGAATTATGAAAATTGCATCATCTTTATTTTGGTCTTGGAGAAACCAAAATCAGTCTACAATCAGCTAGACAGGCTGTTGTCATAGGAGCTTTGAGAAGAAAAAACACTGTGATAACTTTAAGATAATGTAAAACACAGAAAATATTTTTACCTGAAGACACTAAGTATATAAATAATACAGCCGGGTATGGTGGCCCACACCTGTAATCCCAGCACTTTGGGAGGCTGAGGCGGGCATATCACTTGAGGCCAGGAGTTCGAGACTAGCCTGGCCAACATGGTGAAACCCTGTCTCTACTAAAAATACAAAAATTAGCCAGGCATGGTAGTGGGCGCCTGTAATCCCAGCTACTCTGGAGGCTGAGGCAGGAAAATTGCTTGAACCCGGAAGGCAGAGGTTGCAGTGAGCTGAGATCATGCCACTGTACTCTAGCCTGAGTGACAGAGAGAGACTTTAAAAAAAAAAAAAAAAAAAAAAAAAAAAAAGGAGGCCAGGTACGGTGGCTTACGAGTTTAGGAGATTGAGACCATCCTGGCTAACACGGTGAAACCCAGTCTCTACTAAAAATACAAAAAAAATTAGCTGGGCGTGGTGGCGAGTACCTGTAGTCTCAGCTACTCAGGAGGCTGAGGCAGGAGAAATGGTGTGAACCCAGGAGGCAGAGTTTGCAGTTAGCCCAGATTGCGCCACTGCACTCCAGCCTAGGCAACAGAGAGAGACTCTGTCTCAAAAAAAATAAAAAAATAAAAATAAATAAGCTGTATCATATTAAATATGAATTAAATATTAAACTTCATCAGATATATATGTATTCCCTCTTGAAACTGTGCCATAATTTTGTTTCCAAGAAATCTTCTTGAGACGCTTCAAAGATTCATTTATTGTTCTATTTTGTGGAATGTAACTTGTATTTGTTAGAATACTTTTATCTTAGGAAATTTAATATACTCACCTAAAAGTTATCCATACCATATTATAAAAATTAATACCTATGGTCATTGATTATATTGGGCCATCACTTCTACATAAGTGGTTTAATTTCTCTTACTGATAAAAAGCATCAAACTTTGCAATTCACATTTATTTAAAAAATGAAAAAGAAGGCTTGCTCTTGGCTCTTTATAACCTGTTGCTTAATCTGTAAATTCTTTGTGATTTGAAAGTAGAAAGCAGCAGAAAAAGCAATTGAGAAAAGAAGGTAGATATATACCTGTTTTATGGCTTGTTGAGCCAAGAAAGCCATCTGTAGGGGGTTTGGCTTTATTGCTTGTCGTGGTATGTTCTGGTTTGGTGGATATCTCAGTTGTTGAGGATGAGGAGGAAGAACTGGTCCATTGGGTTTGGGGCTGTGATTCTGAAAGTTTATCAAACGTGGAGGCGGTTGCTAGAAAAAAGAAATTAAACCAATTTAGTAACAATCTTCTTCTGAAAAACAAATTATAAATCTCTATCTTATAAAACTTTTACAGAAAAATAGAACTCTGCCACAGATCAATCAATTATTAAGATTTACATAAGGGAATGAGGGGTGGGGGATGGGCAGACTTTCAGAATTTGTGTAAACAACTTTTTTAAAAGAACCTTACTAGGAAAGAACCTTGGGAGAGGGATTGCCACCTAGATTTTGTAAGTAGATTGTACCAGAATTGGACCTAGGCCATGTTGGGAAGTAAATAAAATGTGTCTTTGGTATCCTTCTAAGTCCTTCACAATTATCTTTCACAAAGAACTACCCTTTTGAAACCTCCTAAAAATAAAGTGATGGTAGAATAATAACTGCTAACACTTATTGAGCAGTTATTAAATGCCAGGTACTGCTTTAAATGCTTCACATGTATTCACTAATTTATTCTTAGCAATATTATTATAAAGCACAGATTATTTCTATTTTATAGATAAGAAAGCTAAAATAAAGCACAGAAAATTTAGTAACTTGCTCAAGATTAACAAAGACAATAAGGCATGGAGCTGGGATTTGAACAAGTAATCTGGCTCAGTGGGTGTACTCAAAATGAACAAATCGTTAATAATGAAAATAGTTGATATTAGTAACACTTAGTAAGTTTTAGATCTTATTGAGCCCTGGCAGGCATTTTACATATTATTATGTTATTGAGTCTTATGAAGTAGGTATTATTACCTTTGTTTTGCAAATTAGGAAACTAAAAGTTTGAAAACATAATTTGAAAAAAGTCACACAGCTAACACCAAGCAGCACACCAAGGCTTTAATCCAAATCTAGTCTGCCATATCATTACCAAAACATGTTCGGGTGCTTAGCTGGCTGTTAAGATACTGAGTAATTACAACTTAGAGGATGAGTCTCCATAGAAGAAAACATTTTCTGTTTTTTGTTTGTTTGTTTGTTTGTTTTTTGAGATGGAGTCTTGTTCCGATCTTGGCTCACTGCAACCTCTGCCTCCTGGGTTCAAGTGATTCTCCTGCCTCAGCCTCCCAAGTGGCTGGAATTACAGGAATGCCCCACCACACCTGGCTAATTTTTGTATTTTTAGTAGAGATGGGGTTTTGCCATGTTGGTCAGGCTGGTTTCGAACTCCTGACCTCAAGTGATCAGCCCACCTCAGCCTCCCAAAGTCCTGGGATTACAGGCTTGAGCCACTGTGCCTGGCCAGAAAACATATTTTCAAAGCAAAGTCTCCAAGAACAACCCTGGTTGATTACAGGAAGGCTGGGTGAAGGAATCACAAATGAGGCTGAAGCAGAAATAAAAAAGAGAAAAACAAGTTTCCCTGTACTTAGCTGACTCACTCCAAGGCCAGCAATATGCAGGGCCCTGGCAAAGCTTTGATAAAACTATCTGGAAAGCCAGAGCCCAAAGGAAGGAGCTCCAGAGACTCTCCCAACACCCCCTCAGAGCAAGCTTAAGCAAATCAAATTCCTTTACTATCTCCTCATCCCCCTTACCATTACTCAATTTCCAAGTTTTGTAAGTTCCTGTTTTTCCTTCAATGCAGCTGCAAGGTCACAAGCTATGCTAAGGATTATGAAACCTGTCACTGATTAACTGCCTTTGTTCTGCTTCTGTAAGCCTGCTTGCCTACACCATGAATTTCATGCCATTAGATTCCCACCACGCCATTTAAACTAGCCAACCCCCTTTCAGAAGTGTGTATAAAAGTCAAGCCCTGTCTTTGTTCAGGGCCTAGCCTTTGGATGTGAATCCGTTGGGCCAGTGGCCACTTAAATAAAATCCTCCTCTTCTACCTATTGGTCTCTCCAGTCCTCTGATTCCTGAAACATTTTCTGGGGGCTCGCCCGGGATTGGAGACGAAAGGTTTACTGTCTCTTCGCCTGTGAGACTGGAGCCCCAGGCCGGGAGAGACCTGTGACCCCAGGCGCCACTGGGAGAACTTCAACCCAGAGGGGTGATCAGCTCTCCCTTGACCCTACCTGACAGCACAATGGAACCTAAGCAGGAACAGGATGATTCCAGGAACAGTGCACTACAGGATTGTGGTAAGGTTTGAGCCCGAGGCAGGACCTGTCCCATAAGAATGGAAGGGGAGCCTGATCACCTCCCGGGGTGTAACTAGTGGTCAAACACAGGACGTGAGAGTGGCTTGCAAAGTCAGGGAAGCTCACAAGCTCACACCCCAACCAACCCAGGACATGAGAGTGGCTTGCAGAGTCAGTTGAGAAAGAGGAACTGGGAGCGGGGAAGTGTGTGAGTGCATGTGAAAGAGGCGGTTCCAGGAGGAACCAATGCGGGGAGTGATGTGTGGGGGCCGCAGTTCTCTTAGCGTAGACCATACACTCTGAGAGAACCATGGGACTGACCGGGACTAACAGTGTTCCACATATGGCTTAGGGAGGTGCCCCACAATTTAGTAATTGTGGGGGTCAAAACAGAGCCTCCAATGCTAAGTGGCATCTGAAATACTCCTGCGAGGGGGACGGTCTAATCGGTCCGAAGTGAAAGTGAGAGTGAGTGTGTTGCGCTGTAACTGGGAGGAAATGAGAGGGAAGTCGTCAAAACCCACCCCATTACAATGTATGTTAAAGAATTTTAAGAAAGGTTATGCAGGGGATTACGGGATGAAGTTGACCCCTCAGAGGTTGAGAACTCTGTGAAATAGAATGGCCCTCTTTTAGTGTCGGATGGCCAGCCAAAGGAACCACAGATAGGGAAACAATTGGCCATGTATTTAAGGTGGTGATTGGGGTCGAAGGACAGCCAGGGCACCCAGACCAATTCCCTTATATTGACTCATGGCTAAATGTAGTTCAAACTTGACCTGCATGGTTGCAGCCCTGCCTGGCAGCTTACTGCAAAATGCTTGTGGCTCAGACCGAGCCTAAAGTGAAAGTAAAATCAGCTTTGCTGGCAAATACGGAGACAAAGAAAAAGTCATGGGAAGGGCAAGAGAAACCAGTTTTGCAGGAACTGCCAGAGGAGATAGAAATTCCTCTTCCATATATTCCAATCTACCCCCATTTACTGAGGCCAACGGCCCCCAAGGAGTCAGATTCAGATGGTAACATGCTCCAAGACTCACCCCAAAAGGAAAGATCGGAGCCCCAGGAGGTCAGGGAAGAAAGATAAGATGATCAAGTGGGCTGCCTCCAATCTGGTCATGCTTGGGCTATGCAAATGCCTCTTAGGGAGACACGGGGACCCATCTATTATGATGAACAGGGTCAAGTCCAAGGGGGGCAACGGAACTTCATCTACCAGCCTTTTACAACCACTGATCTCCTAAACTGGAAACACCATACCCCCTCCTACATGGAGAAGACCCAGGCCCTCATAGATTTAATGCAATCCATCTTCCAGACACACAATCCTACGTGGCCAGACTGTAGGCAGCTCCTCTTGACACTGTTTAACACTGAGGAGTGCTGGAGGGTAATCCAGGCAGCTCTCTGCTGCCTAGAAGCCAGTGCACCTGAAGGCACACTTAACGTTCAGGCATACACTCAGGGCCAGTTTCCAGAAGCAGACCCCCACTGGGATTCAAATCATGCAGTCCAATTACAGTACCTACAGAGGTACCGAGAAGCACTCTTGCAAGGGCTAAAGGAAGGCAGGAAAAAGGCAATCAATATAGGAAATATCTCAGAAGTTCTTCAAGGAGCTGATGAGAGCCCTAGCCAGTTTTATGAGAGACTCTGTGAGGCATTCCAGCTTTACACTCCGTTTGACCCTGAGGCCTCTGAAAATCAGTGCACAGTGAACACGGCATTTGCAGGACAAGCCCAGGGTGACATCAGGTGGAAGATGCAAAAGCTAAAAAATTTCGCAGGCATGAATGCCACCCAACTTATAGGAGTGGCCACCAAGATGTATATTAACCGTGACCAAGAGGCAAAAAAGGAAGCAGATCGGAGGCTTAGGAAAAAGGCCAATATGTTAGCAGTGACCCTTACGGTAAGGGAAACTAGCATTGCAAGAGGGTGCGGATGTGGACACGGGCACAGACGGAGATGGGGCCAAACCAGACAGAGGCTCAAAAGCCGGCTGAGGTTAGATAAGCACCAATGTGCATGATGCTAAAAGGGACACTGGAAAAAATCAGTGTCCAGAGGGCAGTGAAGAAAATGGCGGAGGCTATGAAACAAAAATGCCACCAGTCAAAGGCTGCTGCACCCTGAAGGAACCAGATACCGACCTGATCGGGGTGGCAGGGACTGAAGAATATAAGGACAAGGACAGACCAGGCTCCTTCTCCTTAGGCCCCCAGGAGCCCATGGTCACATTAGAAGTGGGGGGCCAGCTAATGGACTTTATGGTGGACAATGGGGCTGAATAGCTGGTAGTAACCCGATCCATAGGACCACTATCCAAAAACTATACAACTATTGTAGGGGTCACCAGGGTCTCAGAGAAGAGGCCACTTTGTTGGCCAAGGAGGTTCGTTATAGGAGGACAAGAGGTCCAACATGAATTCCTGTACCTCCCAAATTGCCCAGTTCCCCTGCTGGGGAGAGACCTACTCTGAAAACTGCAAGCACAGATTGCTTTTGGGCTACAAGGGGATATGACTCTAAACCTGACTGACCCAAAGGCCATGGTGTTAACCCTTACCGTCCTGCAAACTGAGGAATGGAGGCTATACACAAAAAAGCCACCAGAACTGTCTCACAAACCAGGAATACTTGAATTATAGAGGCTACTTAATAAAATTCCTGGAGTATGGGCTGAAGATAACCCACCCGGGCTGGCTAAAGATTAGATGCCAGTGGTAGTAGAGCTAAAACCAGGGGCAACCCCAGTTTAGTTTGCCAGTACCTGGTTTTCCCGGAAGCCATATGAGGTGTTCACAAACACTTAGAGTGAGCGACTCTACTAACATGGAATCATGTTTGTAGTCAAATTCCAGTCACCCTGGAACATCCCACTCCTGCCAGTACAGAAGCCATCTGGAGAATACAGGCCAGTGCAGGACTTGTGTGCTGTGAACCACACTACAGTAAACATCCACCCGATAGTACCAAACCCATATACTTTGATGGGACTTATTCCAGCAAGTGCTGCCTGGTTTACTTGCCTAGACCTGAAAGATGCATTCTTCTGTCTTCACCTGGCACCAATTAGCCCATTTTGAGAGTCGCAAATGGGGCGAGTCGCAGTTCACCTGGACAAGACTCCCACAAGGATTCAAAAAATCTCCCACAATCTTTAAACCTCAAGGCCTACACCCCGCCAAATGACAACTGCACCTTGCTGCAATATATAGATGACCTTTTTTTGGCAGCCCCAACCCAAGAAGACTGCTTTCAAGGAACCCAAGACCTCCTCCATCTCCTGTATAAGGTGTCCAGGAAGAAGGCTCAAATCTGCTCCAGGAGAGTCCAATATTTAGGCTTTGAAGTAAGTCAAGGGGAACAATGGCTTGGCAGTGAGCGAAAGAAGGCTGTTTGTGCACTCCCCACTCCAAACACCCAGCGACAAATAAGAGAATTCCTAGGGGCAGCAGGGTTCTGCTGTATCTGGATCCCAAATTTCTCATTTATGGCCAAGCCATTATATGAAGCCACAAAAGAGGGGAGAAAAGGAGCCCCTCCTGTGGGAGGCTGACCAGGAGAAGGCATTTAAGCAGATCAAAGAAGCCCTAACTCAGGCCCCAGCCGTAGGATTGCCAGATCTAACTAAGCCTTTCTTTCTATATGTCCATGAGTGAAAAGGAATTGCTATAGGGGTCCTAATTCAGGTCATAGGATCATGGCATGGCCCGGTAGCATAATTATCCAAGCAACTGGATTCTGTGGCACTAGGATGGCCTCTGTGCCTCAAAGCACTAGCTGCCACAGCCCTATTAGCACAGGAAGCTGACCAACTGACTCTAGGGCAGCAACTGACCATCCAGGTACTGCACTCGGTTATAACTTTAATGGATCAGAGATGGCATCCTTGATTATCAAACCTAAGAATGACTCAATACCAAGGGCTCCTATGCAAAAATCCTCACATAAATACCCTAAACCTGGCTACCTTGCTCCCAACTGATTTGGAACCAGGAGGCCCCCTTCATTGCCGTGTAGATGGAGTAGGCGAGGTATCCTCAAGCCAGAAAGATCTTACACACCAACCCCTCAAGGACCCAGATGTTGAATACTTTACAGATGGAAGCAATTTTGTATTGGAAGGGGTCCGGCAGGCTGGGTATGCAGTAGTAACATTGGACTCAGTGGTAGAGGCTCAGTTTCTGCCCACAGAACATCAGCCCAAAAAGCAGACCTAATAGCCCTGACAAGAGCCCTTTTGCTAGCAAAAGACAAAAAAAGTCAATGTTTATACTGACTCCAAATATGCCTTTGCCACATTGCATGTTCATGGAGCTATATATAAGGAAAGAGGACCCTTAACTGCTGGGGGCAAAGAAATAAAGTACGAGGAAGAACTCCTACAGCTCTTAGATGCTGTATAGGCCCCAAAGAAAGTGGCTGTTATGCACTGCAAAGGCATCAAAAGGCAGGAACACTAGAGGCCAAAGGAAACAGAAAAGCAGACATGGAGGCAAAACAGGCAGGAATGACTACCCCGCATTGTAAAAAGGAAGCCCTAGCTTTGCCTCTCCTCCCAGAGGTCCCAAATTACTCTCCAAATGAAAGGGCCTGGTGTGCCAAACAGACTGGACATTACATTGAAGAACGATGGTGGAAATTCTCTGATGAGAGGCTAGCCATCCCTGAAATAGTGACCCCCAAATTTGTAAGACAATTCCATCAAGGAACTCATATAATAAGGAAAACGGCACTAGAAAGACTACTTGGACACCATTTCTATGTGCTGTGGCTCACTGCCATCACCCGAGCCGTTTGCAAACAATATCTAATTTGTGCCCAGAACAACCCACGGCAAGGGCCCACTCGGCCCCAGGAATACAGTAAATAGGAGCCACACCCTGTAAAAACCTACTAATGGACTTCACTGAGCTGCCCCGAGCCAGAGGCTATCCGTACATGTTAGTGCTTGTCTGCACCTTTTCAGGATGGGTCGAGACTTTCTCCACCAGAACAGAGAAAGCATGAGAAGTGACTAAAGTATTGTTAAGAGACATTATCACCAGATTTGGACTGCCCTTGACTCCAGGGTCAGACAATGGTCCAGCATTTGTAGCCGAAATAGCTCAAGATCTAGCAAGGCTGTTAAAAATAAAATGGAAGTTACACATAGCCTATAAGCCACAGAGTTCAGGAAAAGTGGAACACATGAATTGGACACTTATACAGCTACTGAAGAAATATTGGCAAAAAACTCATCTGAGATGGGATCAAGTCCTGCCCATGGTCCTCCTCTGAGTCAGGTGCACCCCCACCAAACAAACTGGCTATTTGCCCTATGAGATCTTGTTCGGTTGGCCATCCCCAATCATAGGTCAAATTAAAGGTGACCTCCATGAACTAGGGGAATTAACCTTAAGAAGGCAAATGCAGGCTTTAGGGATAAGCCATGCAAAGAATCCATGGCTGGGTACAGGAAAGAATGCCCATAAGCCTAACAGACCCATCACACCCTTTTAGACCTGGGGACTCTGTTTAGGTTAAGAAATGGAACCCAACCACTTTAGGACCCATATAGGATGGGCCCCATACTGTAATCTTGTCCACTCCCACTGCTGTTAAAGTTGCAGGAACTGTGCCTTGGATCCACCACAGTCAGCTGAAACCAGCAGCCCAAGACAAGTGGACCAGCCAACAGGACCCAGACCATCTGACCCAGCTGATCCTACGGTGGGACCAGGTTGCCAGTGAAGTCAACAGCCTTGCTCTGGTCACCCTGGAAGCTGACCAGTCTATGCACGGCTGAAGCTTGAGGAGACAACAGCCCGGCTCTAGTCACCCCAGAAGCTGACTAGTCTATGCACGGCTGAAGCGTGAGCACCATCAGGGAAGTAAATGTGGTTAGAATTCTTAGGTCCAATAGCTTTCCTTATAATACTAATTGTTTTACTATTATCCTGTCTCTTTATCCAACCTCCTCCTGGGGGCAAAGACCTCTTTTGTCCCTGCTGGGTATAAACATGCTACTCTTTACTTTGTTGCTACTCATCCCCATCATGGCACTCCTCATACCAGTGTCAGAAAATGGACTCATAGAAGGGTGCCCCCACTGCATACATACTACGCGGTCGGGGAGCACCATAACTAGGACTCTGCTGTACTATATTTATTATGAGTGCGCAGGGAGCCACTTAGGAACTTGTGCTCATAACCAGGTAACCTATTCAATCTGTGACCCAGGAAATAGCCAGCCCTACATATGTTAGGACCCTAAGTCCCCACCTATTGAGACTTGGTTTGAAGTTCATACTAAGGAAGGGGATCTTCCAAACCAAATCAAAGCCTCTTCCCCTTATGGGGAGGTCATATCCTTATACTTCAATGTTTGCCAGGAGGTAGCAATCCTGTAGTGGTCCATTATCATTGGCCCCACAGGGCACTATGGTACTTGTTCCAAGCAAAAATGTGTGCCCCGTTTGTTCCTCTAGGTCCCCGTTAATAGCCCGCTGGAGCTGCATGACTTGGTCCACTTATCAACAACCACCAAGGCAAGTCATACATATGAAACTACTGGAAAAACCAACTCATAAACCTAGCATTTGCTATCCTGCACATCTCACCATCTTAGAGCCAGGTCTGCCCATATGGACTACAGGCTATCCCAGGACACTGGGGTTCAAAGTCAAAGGTCAAAAAGTAAACTCAGAAGTCAGTCTGTATATTATAAAGAAAACCTGGACCGATTCAACCCAACAGTTCCGAGTTTTTGAGTCATTCTATGAGCACATCCACCAGGAGTTGCCTGAATCCTCTCCCTTGGCCAGCAACCTGTTTGCCCAACTGGCTGAAAACATAGTCAGTAGCCTACATGTCTCCTCATGCTATGCATGTGGAGGAACCATCATAGGGGATCAATGGCAGTAGGAAGCAAAGGAGCTAATGCCCCAAGGTAACTTTACTCTGACTGTCCTCTCCCCTGAACCAACATTCACAAGCTTGAGCGTCTGGCCCTTAAAAAATCTCTATTATCGGGAGATTCTGCATTGTTCGCTGGGGAAAGGCCTTTACCAACTGGGTAGGATAGAATTAACTTGCCTAGGACAGCAATATTACAATGAAACAACAGGAAAGACTTTATGGTGGGGCAGGATAAATAATTCCAAATCACCCCACCCTAGTCCATTCTCCTGTTTCCCCTCTTTACATCACTCTTGGTACCAGCTTGAAACTCCAAATGCCTGGCAGGCACCCTCTGGCCTCTACTGGATCTGTGGGTCATGGGCATATGGGCAGCTGCCAGAGGCCTGTGTACTAGGGACAATCAGACCATCCTTCTGCCTAATCCCTCTAAGGCAAGGAGAAGCCTTAGGATACCCTGTTTATGATGAAACAAAAAGGAGAAATAAAAGGGGCATAACCATAGGAATTAGAAAGATGATGAATGGCCCCCTGAGAGAATAATCCAATATTATGGGTCAGCCACCTGGGCGGAAGATGGAATGTATGGATACTGTACCTCTATTTACATGCTCAACTGCATCATAACGTTATAGGCAGTGCTTGAAATCATGACTAATGTCGCTGCAAGGGCCTTAAATCTACTGGCCTAACAAGCCACAAAAACGAGAAATGCTATTTCTCAAAATAGACTGGCTTTAGACTAGTCTCATAGCCCAGGAAGGTGGGGTATGCAGAAAGTTCAATGTAACTAATTGCTGCCTAGAAATTGATGACAATGGAAAGGTCATTGAAGATATAACTGCAAAAATCCAAAAATTAGCCCATGTTCCAGCCCAGACTTAGAAAGGATGGTCTCCAGATACCCTCTTCGGGGGCTGGTTTTCATCCCTCAGAGGATTTAAAACCTTAATAGGAATAGTCCTGGCCATACTAGGAGGTTGCTTAATACTCCCTTGTCTCTTACCCCTCCTTGTTAAAAACATCCAATCGGCCATAGAGACTCTTGTAACCAGGCAAACTACCACTCAGCTAATGGCTCTAACTAAATATCAACCTTTGTCAAAGGAAGAAACCTGCCTTTTCATGAAGAATTAAGTGATAGAGATGCTTTCCATTAAACTTCATTTACAGGGAGCATCAAAGGGGGGAATGAAGCCGAAATTAAAAAGAGGAAAACAAGTTTTCCTGTACTTAGCTGACTCACTCCAAGGCCAGCAATAGGCAGGGCCCTGACAAAGCCTTGAAAACACTATCTGGAAAGCCAGAGCCCAAAGGAAGGAGCTCCAGAGACTCTCCCAACACCCACTCAGAGCAAAGTTAAGAAAAACAAATTCCTTTACTATCTCCTCATGCCCCTTACCATTACTCAATTTCCAGGTTTTATAAGCTCCTGCTTTTCTTTCAATGCAGCTGCAAGGTCACAAGCTATGCTAAGGATTACAAAATCTGTCACTGTTTGATTCAAACTGCCTTTGTTCTGCCTCTGTAAGCCTCCTTGCCTGTACCACGAGTTTTGTGCCATTTAAATTAGCCAACACCCTTTCAGAAGTGTGTATAAAAGTCAAGCCCTGTCTTTGTTTGGGACCTAGCCTTTGGATGTGAATCTGTTGGGCCAGTGGCCACTTAAATAAAATCCTCCTGTTCCATCCATTGGTCTCTCTGGTCCTCTGATTCCTGCAACAAGGCAAAGGCTAGAAAGCAAGCCTGCTCTGTGGGCTCATAAATACTAGCCCTGGAAATTGAGACCAGTCCTAGAAGAAAAAGGTAACCTTATATGCCAGTCTCCTCTTGACTGATTCTCTACAGTTGGGAATGTATTGCAAAATAAATATTCTTTTTAGTATATCTTAACTGTATGATCACAACTTCTCAAAGAGGAGCCTATTTCCCCCTACATTCACAGGGGACAAATAAATAATCTTTTAAGGTTGAAGCAGCAACACCTGAAACTTTGACACTGTGAAGGCAGACAGCTATAAAGTACAGTCCTATCCTCTTTATTATTTTTATTCTTCCTATTTTTGGAATTTACTATCCTCACCTGGGTCAACTGCTTCTCTCTTAAAAATTAGTTGGCACTGGGTTTACCTCTCATTAACTTTCAAGAGTGGCCAGCAATTACAGACCCAGTGAAAAATACATTTAGAAGCTGATTCTAAGCAAGTGAAATTCTGTAGGTAAAGAGTAGAAAAATAATATTAGAGAAAAATAAGAAAATCTCGAAACTTTAAAAAAGTATAAACCTAAAAGCCATAGCAATGTTTTTATTTTTCTATGAAAATTTTATGAATTGAAGGGTTTTATATCATAGAAATACAAGCAGAACATACTTAGGAAATTACATGGAAAAGCTTTTAAATTTATCTAAGGGATAATTTTTCTTAGCCCAAAATGGTCCTTAAGGGAGAATAAAGGTAGTCATAGAAGTCTTTTGCCACCTTCATCCAGACTAATGTTTACATATTGACAACCAAAAAAATGACACTTAATGCCAGTGTAATGTGCTACGGTATGTAAGATGTCGACCATGCCATGAAGATGCTTATGGTCTGGTAAGATGTAAGGTGATTTCCGCCCCCCTCCTAAACTGTTATGGTTGATTGAGTTAGTGTCTAAGAATCCTGTGACAGGGGAAGCAACTTAAAAAATAAAATTAGGGGCTGGGCACAGTGGGTCATGCCTGTAATCCCAGCACTTTGGGAGGCTGAGGTGGGTGGATCACAAGGTCAGGAGATCGAGACCATCCTGGCTAACAAGGTGAAACCCCATCTCTACTAAAAATACAAAAAATTAGCCGGGTGTGGTGGCACATGCCTATAGTCCTAGCTACTTGGGAGGCTGAGGTGGGAGAATCGCTTGAACCCGGGAGGCAGAGGTTGTAGTGAGCTGAGATCGTGTCATTGCACTCCAGCCTGAGTGACAGAGTGAGACTCCATCTCAAAAAAAAAAAAAAAAAATTGGATTATAGTAAAAATAAGAACGGTAGACAGTATATTTGCTCAGAAATAAAGTTTGAAAAAGGTAGATTATAATGAATCACACTTCTGCCCTTTTCTATTTCACTCTGCCTTAATTTCTAAGATGCAATGTGGTTTACTGAACACTGCATCCTCAAAGAGGGCAGATTCTTAATGTATTCATCATTCTGAAGCACCAATATAGGAATTATAGGCACACAACTTTTCCCATCAATCACAGGCCTGGGTTATTTAGGAATACAAACATTTATCCTTCACTATAATTTAAAGACAATGAAGGGTAGATGAAAATAGATTTATCAACTCAATAAACCATTAAATCCTTTTTAAGTAGGGATTAAAAACTAGGCATTAAATCAGGGATCCTTAATGTGATAAATTTTTATAAATGCAGATATTTAGAGTATGGAAAATGGATGTCTTTGTTATTTTGAGCTGCTAAACACAATTATACTATAATTATCTAAGTGAGGACAGGCCTGCTTCCAAATTTACCTGATGAGAGATGGAAGGTTGCTGGATGGGCCCCTGCATTCTAGGGTTTGGTAAACCCACAGGTGCTGGCCTCCGTTGCACCTGTTGCCTCTGAGCCATTACCTGTTGCTGCATATGCTGGAGCCGTAATTGAGCTAGGCTGATCTGTGTTGGGAACTTGGATAACTGGTTTGATGATAAACCACTTGGTGGCTGTGAATTCTGTTCCACGACAGGATTCTGCTTAGGCATTTGTGGCTGGCTCTCTTTATCCTCGATTACTAAAGAACCTAATTAAAAAGAAAAGGTTAAGGGAAACAGTTTTTCAGATAGTTGGTGAAATATCACATTTTCTAAAGCTATTTTTGCAGAACTTCAAAATTGCCAAGAAATTCTCTGATCTCATGAGCCCTTTAACACTCTGAAAGAGAACCCCCAAACAGCTTTTGTTCATCTAACTTCTAGTCATCAACATTTATAATATTAGAAATTAAGAATAATTTTTAAAACTTTCTAATTCATTTAAGAATAAAACCATAACAACATGCTTTTATAAAACTATATTGTAAAATATTTGGTAAACATTTTTTGATATTTTAAAATACTGTTTGATGTTTTAAAAAATCTGTTTGAATGTCTGGCTTAATAGCTGAAATCACATTATCTGTTTCTGCACTATCTATCATAATATATTGTTAAGTTAAAATATATGAAAAAAATTTCAGTCTCACTGTATGGCAGACAGCACCTGACAGCAATAACTTAAGTGTACCCTGTGAGTGACCCTGTATGGCCTAAGAAGAATGTGTGTTTGGAGTTCTGCGTTAAGGAACCTAGGAGTGGCCAACCCGGAGATTATCATTCTTTATCAATGAAGAATATCTGAACCCCCAGCTCAGCCTGTGGAATCCAGGCCATATTGGGGATGGATGCCTTTTGCTTTGTGTTAAATGAAGGTTGCCACATGGAGGTTGCTAGCGGGAGGGTGCTAAGTGCTATATAAACTACTTGCTGGTGGTTCTCCTGTCCAGCCCACTTCCACTGGACTGTCCTGTATGTAAGTTCCCTAAATAAGCCCTGTGTCTCATTCACTGGCTCCAGGTCTCTTCTTGGGCCTCTCAAACATGGTCCTATCCCTACTGAAGTCAACAGAGGTCTGGCACAACACTCATCCAGACGTGTAGCTGGAAAAGGGTGGCCTTTGTGGTCCCCTGAAAGAGTACCAGACTATACTTTGAGAACTGCTGTCATATATCAAAACAAGCGAACCTAACATTGGCTCTAAAAACAATCCCAAAAAGTATTTCTGAATCTTTACTATTAACAAGTTGTGATCTCTCAAGTTTCCTATACCTTTACAATGCATACTATGTTAACTTTTTGATACAGAATACATTGACTGGCTTAAAACTAGTTTTAAGAGTTTAACGGTGCCCTTGAAAGGCCTGAATCAAGCTTGATTTCAACAGTAGAAACTTAAATGTTTATGATTTACCAATCATATGCATTCTAAAAATATACAGTTATTCATTAAATGTTTACTGTGTGTAATTCACTATGACAAGAAGGTATATGTGTATGTTTAGAAGAAACAATAACATTCTCTTTTACACATAAGGGATCTAAGGTTTAGAGAGGTTGTAAAACTTATCTAAAGTCACTCAAGACAGTAACAAAATATTCATCTAGATCAATATTTTCCCCTAGCGCTTTTATATGTTTCTCAGAAGCCATGGGTAACAAGTTTAGGAAACTTGTCTCCTTCTTTAGAGATTTACAATGCAAATCTCATTGTATATGAATTTACAGTGCTGTAAATGACAGCTCTAAGAAATCCTACAGTAAAATATATTAACTTCATTATGTCGGTTTCACAAACTATTAGACTAGGAGATCCTGTTTTTGTTTTGGCTAAACTAGATTTATCTGAAACTATATCCATTTATGTGTGTACAGTTTTAAATATAATTCTTAAATGTACTTATGTCTATATGTGGGTGTATTTACCTATTGTGATATAAGTACATAGCACATATGACCACTTGTTTGGATTTATATCTTGTGATGGGTTCAGAGTTCAGATGAATGTGTGGTGGTAGAGTCAGGTGTGGCAATAAGTTACTTATACACATGTTCTGTATTCTAAAGATGCTTTTTGGTAAAATGAGTGTGTAATAATTCCAGTTTCCTGCTATGTATCAATATACATATGTCTGTATCTAAACTAGTCTGCAGGGGTCTCCTTATCACCTTTGCTTCCGGGATTCTTTTTGTTCTTCCCTTATGGGTTAGATTGCCTATTTCCTCCTTTCCTGGTGAGTATGGGCTCTTTCTCCAGCCATTTTCTTTTCTTACCCAGAATCTAGTGTTGGGGATAAGAAACCATCTTTGATGACTCTGAAACAAATTCAACGAGCACCCCCCAACCCCCCACCAAAATCATCAAAGATAATATTGTTTGTTGATAAACAGACAATGTGTAGGGAATTCTTAAATTTGTTTGTATAGTTTCCCTGTGAGAAATTAAGAAAGAAGGCAAAAAGGTGTTTCTACTCAGCAAATAGTACAATAAAGAAGCTAAAGTAGTAACTTTCTGCTGAACTGCTTGCAAGGATACTTTTCTTCCTAATGTTACCAAAATGACAGTCTCTTTTTGTGATAATTCAGTGAGTTCTAATACAGTTATGTGTTGCTAAAGGATGGGGATATGTTCTGATAAATGTGTCATTTAGGTAATTTTATCTTTAGACAAACATCAGTTTACTTATGTAAACCTACACTGTATAGCCTACTACACACCTAGGTTATATGGCATAGCTTATTGCTAGGTAGAGTCTAGGCTACAAACCGGTATAGCATGCAATTGTACTGAATTATCTGGACAATACTGTAGGCAACTGTAAAC
Organism: Homo sapiens; assembly: GCF_000001405.40. Classification (NCBI taxonomy): domain Eukaryota; kingdom Metazoa; phylum Chordata; class Mammalia; order Primates; family Hominidae; genus Homo; species Homo sapiens. The sequence continues at coordinate 138,552,082 of NC_000007.14, read as the reverse complement.
GATGGTAAGTATCTGTGTATCTAAACATACGAAAGATAAAGTAAAAAAAAAAACTGTATTTATAAGTCATAGATGCAGTTAACTGATTGAGATATCATTATGCAGTACTTGATTGCTTAAGATCTGGGTACTTGTCAGTATGTATGTTTTACTTCAATTAGTAAGATATCTATATAACTATTACCTGATCAGGCAAAAGAAGAAAACTAAAAGTCTTCCCTAAGCAAGATAAAGGATTGAACCATTAAGTTCCTATTGAATAGTTGTAAAGATAAGCCAATAAAAATATAGTAGTTTAAAATAAAACTTTCAGGATATCAAAAATCCTTTATCAATGACAAGTCAAGTTAACCCATTCTGATAAATTTAGAGCTAAGAGAACAAACCAGATTTGGGGGGTTAAGGGAATAGGACAGGACAGGACACCTAAATCCCTAAGTCTAGACACCCTGTCAGTCAATGTTATAGAATGTTTTCTTATCAGCTATACATGTATGTGTGTTTATATTCATGTATATTTGTTACCATATACATACGTTAATGAAATACTATTAGAAACAACATGTCTTTTTAAAACAAAATAATGAAAACGTTTTCAAAGTGAGAGAACATATTTTCTTCGATCCTCCAGCATCAGCCTTCCAAGTAGCTGGGACTACAGGCATGTGCCACTACCCTTAGCTAACTTAGAAATCTTATGTGGAAATGGGCTCTCCCTATGTTGCTCAGGCTGGTCTTGAACTCCTGGGCTCAAGTGATCCTTGAGAGATCCCAAAGTGCTAGGATTACAGATGTGAGCCACCGTGCCCAGCCTAAGTGAACATATTTTCAGTAACATGTCATAATCATTGAGTTTTACAGACAAATGCCACTGAGAAATGTATGTAATGGTAATGGCCCACCTAAGTTGATGATATTTTGAGCCCAGAAACTAGGATCACAGTGAAATTGGATGGTGTTGTTGGTCACTGGGGATGCATCACACCTTGCACGAAGGAGGTGCCGTAACCGGTATGTAATCTAGAAGAAAAAGGAGAGATAACTAAATATTAGGCAAATAATTTATTAAGCGCCCAGTAAATATACAAAAACAGTCTCTGGTATGTACATCAATACACAATAAACAATCATATATAGGTTTGTTGGACATACAACACAATTTTCTTTCCAAAACAAGTTAAAAACTTTTGAGGCGTAACTCAGCTGCACTATTTAACCTATTTTGAAGTGACAGGTTAAAGTCAGTTTTTTGAATTATTAATAAAACTCTGCAGAATCACTAACTCAAATATTTGTAAAATAAAAATTATTAATGTATCTTAATGCTTTCATTTATTTTACTTACTCTCTTAGAAAAGGATTCAGAAGACTAGGGGCTAATGAGTTACAGGGAATACAAATTCGTCTGTTTAGGAAATGGAACTGGGCCTGTGAGTGAGGTGGTTCTCCTTGTTCCTTGTTACAGTTCTGTTCCTGCCATCGCCCTGAATACAACCAGCTTTGAATCTCATATCATCACACCACACCATCCACTTTCCTCCACGCTGCAGTCATCAATGAACATCTACTCATTCTCCCTCAATCCTTGAAGATTTTAGTTCTTGGTTCACTATTACCATCTCCAACATTAGTCCTGTGGCAATTTTTGATGATTTCAATATCCAACCAAATGATTCACTTCCTCTAGTGCCCAAATACCAATAATCCTACAAACCCACCAGGTCCTGTAAGACTTTGCACACACACACACACACACACACACACCATCAACTCCTCTTTCTCTCACTCAATTATGTATGCTCACTTCACTCTCCTCAACGTTTGCCCTAGATAAAACAACCTACCCTGGTTAAATCCCACATTCTGCCTGAATATAATTGAACTGATCTCACTTCAAACACATGACCACTTACTTCAGGTAGGCCATTAAGGCTGCTGACTGGCTAACATTAAGGCTGACTGGCTAACATATGACATTTCTCTAGTCCATTCACTTCCCTACTTTCTTAAATAACTATTTCCTACTTTCTTTTTTCTTTTTGAATCATCAGTATTTCCTCCCCCATTCTTAATCTTAGCTAATGTACTTGCTTAGCATTTCACTGAAAATTAGCAACAATCAAAGATCTTCCACAAACTTCCACCACTTTTCAGTCAATATCCCCTCCTGTTACAATGGATGATGAAACGTCCATGTTTCTAGTTAAAGCCAGCCTTCCACTTGTGCAGTAAAGCACACCCCGTCTTGCCTGCCCAGTAATTTTCATCCCTCTTCTGTTAACACCAATTTTCCCATTTTACTGGATCACACCCATCAACATATAAATATGCTTTGTTTTTCCAGCTAAAAACAAAACTCTTTACTCCTTTTCTCCCATCATCAACTACCCCATTTCTTTTGCAGCAAAACTCTTCAAAAGACTCCTCTAGGTTTACCGTCTCCTATTCTTCCCTGCCCATTCTTTCCTGAAACCATTATGTTCAGGCTTGTAGTAGCTCTTCACACAGGTGGTCAGTCTGCCTTCGTGGAAATGCTTTTTTTCATTTGGTTTCTAGCACGCTATAATCCCATGGTTTTCCCTTGTTTCACTAGCTGCTACTCTTTTGGAGCCACTGAGAATAGATTTAGGTTCCAATGCCAACCTGTTTTTGAACTCCCCAGTAAGGGCAGGGATTCCTCTGCTTCTTGGCAGTGCACAATCTCAGTCTCCATTGTTGGTGATTTCCTCTCTCCCACACCGCTATGTGCTGGAATGCCCAGGGCTCAGTTTTTTGACTTCTCCCTTCCTCTACATTCATATGTAGTCATGTACCACATAGCAATGTTTCAGTCAACAATGGACCACATGTACAACAGTGGTCCCATAAAATTAATGAAGCTGAATAATTCCCATTGCCTAATGATGCTGGAGCTGTTGTAACATCACAGCACCAGGCATTACTCAAGTGTTTATGGTGATACTGGTGTAAACAAACCTACAGTGCTGCCAGTTGCATAATGATAATAAATGACTATGTTACTGGTTTATGTATTTATTATATTATACTTTTTCTCATTATTTTAGAGTGTACTCCTATTACTTACTAAAAAAAGTGACCGCCTCAGCCAAGTCCTTCAAGAGATAGTCTCAGAAAAAGCATTATTATAATAGGAGATGAGAACTGAAGACTTTCCAGTGAGACAAAATGTGGAGGTGTAAGACAGTGATATTGATGATATGAACTTTGGATAGGCCTAGGCTAATGTGTATGTTTTTGTCCTGGTTTTTAACAAAAGGTTTTAAAATAAACAAATAAATACCTAAGCTTATGAATTAAAGATATAAGGAAGAATTTGTACAATGTGTTTGTGTTTTAAGCTAACTGGTTATTACAAAAATCAAAACATTTAAAAAATTAAAAAGTTTATAAAGTTAAAAAGTTACGGTAAGCTTTCCTTAAGTAAGCTAAAATTTATTATTGAAGAAAAAATATTTTCAAATAAATTTAATGTAGTCTAAAAGTAAGGTGCTTATAAAGTCCCCAGTAGTGTACAGTAATGTCCTACGCCTTCACAGTCATTCATCATTCTACTCACTTGCTCACCCAGAGCAACTTCCAGTCCTGCAAGCTCCATTCATGGTAAATGCCTTATACCTATACAGGTATACTGTTTTTTTTTTTTTGACTCTCACTCTGTCACCCAGGCTGGAGTGGAGTGGTGCGATCTCAGCTCGGCTCACTGCAACCTCCATGGTGTACCATTTTTAAATCCTTTGTATTGTATTTTGACTGTACTTTTTCTACATTTAAATATACAAACATTTACCATTATGTTACAACTGCCTACAGTATTCAGTACAGTGATATGCTGTACAGATCAGAGCAAAAGAGTAAACCATCTAGGTTTGTGTAAGTATATCCTATGATGTCACACAATGCCGAAATTACCATTTCTCAGAATGCATCCCCGTCATCAAGCAACACATGACTGTACTTTTTATCCTCAGGTGTACTCTTCCTATAACCTGCTCCATCTCAATTATTGGTAATACTGTTTTTCCCTACAACTTAAAGTCCTTGGCTCCTTTCTTTTTCTTACACCCTATATTCAACCTGTCGGCAAATCCCGTTGGCTATACTTTTAAAACATACGTATAGGCCAGGCACGGTGGCTCACACCTGTCATCCCAACACTTTGGGACGCCAAGGCGGGCAGATCACGAGGTCAGGAGTTCGAGGCTAGCCTGGCCAACATCATGAAACCCCGTCTCTACTAAAAATACAAAAAAATTAGCCAGGTGTGGTGGCATGCACCTGTAATCACAGATACTTGGGAGGCTGGGGCAGGAGAATCACTGGAACCTGGGAGGCAATCCAAGCCTGGGTGACAGAGGGAAGCTCCGTCTCTAAAAACATAAATAAATAAATAACTTATTTTGGGACTAGGTAGAATATGTAGCAAAGTGTTTACCAGGCAGCAGTCATGCTAACCATAAGAAATATTCTAAGAACTATGTTTTATCTAAAATTTAATAATTGTTTTATCTAAAATTTAATAATTTATTTTTAAAAAGCATTATTTTAATTGACCAATAAAAATTGAATATGTTTCTGTGTACAGCATGTTTTGAAATATACACTGTGAAATGGTTAAATTGAATTAATCTATGTATTACCTCATATACTTATTTTTTTGTGATGAGAACACTTAAAATCAATTCTCTTAGCAATTTTCAAGAATACAAACACAGTGTTATTAATTCTAGGTCTCATGTCGTATAATAGCTCTGGTGAACTTATTCCTCCTATCTAATTGAAATTTTGCAGCCTTTGATCAACATCCCTTCCAATACCCTGAATCCCTTCCAGCCCTTGGTAACCACCATTCTACTCTCTCTGAGTTTAACTTTTTTCCACGTATAAGTGAGATCATGAAGTAAATATAATGTCCTCCAGGTTCATCTATGTTGTTGCAAATGACAGGATTTCCTTCTTTTATAAAGCTTAATAGTATTCCATTGGGTATATGTACCACATTTTCTTTATCCATTTATCTGTTGAATACTTACACTGATTCCATTTTTTGGTTATTGTGAATAATGTTGCAATGAACCCAGGAGTACATACATCTATTCAAGATCTTGATTTCATTCCCTTTGAATATATACCCAAAAGTGAGATTGCTGGATCATGATACTTCTATATGTAATTTTTCAAGGAACTTCCATACTGTTTTCTATGGTTGTACTAATTTACATTCTCACCAACGGGATGCAAGCGTTCCCCTTTCTCCACATCCTCTCCAACACTTGTTACCTTTATCTTTTTGACAATAGCCATTTAATCATTTATTTTTAAATAATTTTGAAATCATAGAAACACTGCCAGAAAAGTAAAAGAACCCTACATTCCTTTCACCCAAATTCCCTGAGTGTTAAGTTATGACCACATTTGCTCCAGTGCCCACCCAACTGCTCCTACACACGTTATTAGTCTTTTTCCAAAACTTTTGAGAGCAAGCTACAGGAATGAGGTCCTGTCTTCCCTAAATACTGCAGTATGGATATCCTAAAACAAAGATCTTCTAACATAACCAAATCCCAGATTCCAAATTCATAAACCAACTGTTACAACACAGCCATCCAGTTTAAACACTTCATCCAAATGCCAACAGTTTCAGCAGTCTTTTCCATGATGCCATCAAGGATATAAGTTGCTTAGCTGCCTCATTTTTCAGTTGCTCAGTCTTTCCCTTTCGTTCATGTCCCTGATGTGTTTTGAAGATTTTATGCCTTACATTCCGCAGGATGACCTTTAACCTGGGTGATATTTCCTCCTGATCAGACTTAGTTACAGTATTCTTGGCAAGAATACCACACAAATGATGACGTGCCAGGAAACGTAGGATGTCAACTTGTCATACCACTGGTGATATTAATCTTGATCTATAATTCTGCTACTCAATTTCTTAACCTTAAAGTTGAAGAGGTATTCTGAGATTCTACTAATACTCTGTTCCCCATCAGTCCTCTACCCAGCATATTTACAGCCACTAATTAGTCCTCCCAAATTATCTCTATGATAGTGGTCAAATGTGCTTCTGTATACCCATTGTTCTTTCTATAACTTTTAGTTTTGTTATCAACTTCTCCCCCAAATAATCTACTGTTTACTGATTTATGTTATGAATTCATGTAATCTTATTTAATTCAGTGTGTTATAATTTATTATTACAGTGACTTATTTTGATCCTCAAATTTGTTCTTGGTTTTCCCAGTGGGAGCCCTTTTACACTGAATCCTGTTCCCTTTGACATGTCCCCATTATTCTCTGAGCATTTTGGTAGTTTTCTGGTATAACAACATGTTCTGGGCACAACTTTTACTTTCCCCCCCTTTCTTTGGTATTTTGAAACCAAGATCTGGAAGGAAGTGACCTCACTGCTATTGGGATGCAGCACACCAACAACGAATACATACACACATACAGATGGACATATACATCTATAATTATTGCTAGATCTGAGTCCAAGAATAAAAATAAAACTCTAAGTTCATACTTGTACTCTTAATTCCAATCCAACACATCTTTGGGCCCTTCCTAGCCTAACTTCTTTCTAAACACCTTCTCTGGAAACTTGGCTGCGATTACCTTCAATATATTTACTTACTTATTCAATCCATTTACTTATTTACTCAATGTAACCAAAATCCAAATGACACTGGCTAATTCTTCTTACCACTTCCGTATTCCTCCCTCACCACTTCACATCCGTGGCTGCCAGCTTCATGCCTGTTGCGGTTCCCCAACCCTCTCCAATGTGCAGTGACCTCAGTCACCATGCTGGTGCCTCCACGCCAGGAAGAGAAGGCAAGACAGTAAGATTCTTGATAGTTTTTATGTGAATATATAGATACACACACACACACACACACACGCAGATTTTATGTATTATGTATATTGATAATTAGATATCTTGGGGATACGGTCCAAGTCTAAACATGAAATTCATTTATGTTTCATATACTCAACACACATAGCCTGAAAGCAATTTTATACAATATTTCTAATAATTTTGTGCATGAATCCAAGGTGTGTTCAATTCTTATGTGTGTAATTTCCCATTTGTGGTGTCATGATGGTGCTCAAAAAGTTTTGAATTTTGGAGAATTTCAGATTTCCGTTGGGATGCTCAACTGGTATAAGAAACTCACACAACTCAATAGCAAAAACCCAAATAACGTGATTAAGAAATGGGCAAAGAGTTTGAATTTATATTTTTCCAAAGAAGACATAAAAATGTCCAATAGGCATATGAAAAGATGTTCCACATCACTGATCAATAGGAAAATTCAAATCAAGACCACAATGAGCTATCATCTCATACCTGTTAGGATCCAGCTAATATCAAAAAGACAAGGAAGACAAGTGTTGGCCAGGGTGCGGATAAAAGGAACCCTTTGTACACTTTAGGTGGGAATGCAGATTGGTGCAACCACTACGGATAACGATATGGAGGTTCTTCAAATAATTAAAAACAGAACTACTGTAGGTCCAGCAATCCCTCTGCTGGGTATATTACAACAGGAAATGAAATAGGACCTTGTAGAGATATCTACACTCCCATGTCATTGCAGCATTATTCACAATGGCCAAGATAGAAAAACAACCTGTATCCAATGATGCATGGACAAATAAATTGCAGTAGATATATACAATAGAATATTATCCAACCTTAAAAAAGGAAAGAAATCCTGCTATTTGTGATAACAAGGATGAACCTTGAGGACACTATGGTAAGTGAAATAAGCCAGATCCAGAAATGAAAATACTGTATAATCTCACTTATACATGGAATATTTTTAGAAAGTTGAAGACAAACTGGAATGGTGGTTACTAGGGGCTAGGTGGGTAGGAAATGTAGAGAAGTCAAAGGGTACAAATTTCCAGGTAGGTAGAATGAATAAGCATTGAGATTTAATGTACAGAGTAAGAACTACAGTTAATAACACTGTAATGCCAGCCAGATGTGGTGGCTCACACCTGTAGTTCAAGACAGCTGGGGTGACAGAACAAGACCTTGTCTCTACAAAAAAAAAAATCTGGACTATGGTGGCATGCACCTGTAGTCCCAGCTACTTGGGGAACTGAGGCAAAAGGCTCGCTTGAGCCTACAAGTTTGAGGCTGCAGGGAGCTATCATCATGTCACTGCACTCTAGCCTAGGCGATAGAGGGAGACCCTGTTTCAAACAACAACAACAAAAAAAACAGAAAACCAAAAGAATAAACCAAAAAAACCTCCATAATAACACTGTTATGTATATCAAAAATGTTATGGATTTTAGGTGTTCTTACCATACACATAGATACAAGGTAAGTAGGATAATGGATATTCATCTGTTTGACTGAAACAATAATTTCAATATGCATATATGTCAGAATATCATGTTGTACACTTTAAATATATAGTAAAATATAAATAAATTTTTTAAAATAGCAAGCCAAGCTTGAGGTTTCAGGGCTGCTAGGCATTTCGTTTCCATTTTTTAAGCACATAAAATCCATCACTTAAAGGATAACCTGAGTAAACATGGCTATATTTATAAAGCAGAACTCTGGAGAACAGAGTTATACAATATAATGATTTTCACATTTTCTGAAGTTAGAAAATCTTCTAAATGTTTAAAAATAATCATGAACCTCAGCTCTGCATGCATTACAGGCAAATTATTATCTACAGCTGCTACTAGAAATGCATCAGTGCTCACTTGGGTTCCACAGGATTTTAAAATTTAGTTAACCAAGAATATGGTAATACTGGTACTATATGATTCACTGCTCCTATTTTCTTCTATGTATCATATAGATGACTATCTCTTTCATTCCTATTTCAACAGTTCATTGTGTAAATTAATTTATCCCATCTATTTTTATTTTCTCCATAATACAATCAAACAAAATCAGAACACAATGAAAAACACATTTTTAAATTGATAAGGAGATTGACGGAATGCTTATCTGATTGCATGAATGTGTCTTACACATACATACTCATGATGGATTAAGTTGAAAAACACAATTCTCTATTCCCTCTATCCCTTTTCTATTTGACTTTCAAAAAAATGTAAGTAACAGAATACAGAAGGTATATAGTGTATAGATGTTTTCCATTAAAACTAATGAAAAAATAAGACTCAGGATGGAGACTATAGCACTGATAATTATGAAAGGAAAACAAATCCTAAGAATTAAATACAATTCATGATTAAGAAAAGTTATAGAACTCTGATGTCACTCAATATTTGAAGTTACTTTATAAAGTTTATCCAGAATCACATTTCCTTATTTTAAAATTGTATAGAAAATTTCTGGACTTCCATTTTTTGGAATAGGTGACAGAAAACTTCATTTAGAGGTAGTAATACAAGCATACCTCATTTTACTGAGCTTTGCTTTACTGCGCTTCGTAAGTACTGTAAATTTTACAAATTTAAGGTTTGTGACAACACCACATTGAGAAAATCAGCACCATTCTTCCAACAGCAAGCACATGCTCACGTGTCTCTGTCACATTTTGGTAATTCTTAACAATAATCTGTTATAGTGATTGTGGTCTTTCATGTTAATATTGTGACTGTTTTGGGACACCACAAACCACACCCATGTAAGAGCAAACATAAATAGTATATTCTGTTTGTGCCACCAATTTAGCCATTCTTTCTTCCTCTCCTCAGGCCTCCGTAGTCTCAGACACAACAATTTAATAACCCTACAATAGTCTCTAAGTGTTCAAGTGAAAGGAAGAGTTGCATGACTCTCACTAATCAAAAGTTAGAAATGAGTAAGCTTACTGAGGAAGGCAGGTCCAAAGCTGAGACAGGCTGAAAGCTAGGCCTCTCACACCAGTTAGCCAAGTTGTGAATGTAAAGGAAAAGTTCTTGAAGGAAATCGAAAGTGTTACTCCAGTGAACACATGAATGAAGAGAATGCCAAGCAGACTTATTGCTGATAGGAAGAAAGTTTTGTGGTCTTGATAGAAGATCAAGCCAGCTATAACATAACCTTAACCCAAGATCTAATTCAGAGAAAGGTCCTAAAACTCTTTTTAATTCAATGAAGGCTGTGAGAGGTGAGGAAGCTGCAAAAGAAAGTTTTAAGGTGGCAGAGGTTGGTCCATGAGATTTATGGAAAGAAACCATCCATTCTGCAGTATACACAATATAAAAGTACAAGGTGAAGCACCAAGTGCTAATGTAGAAGCTGCAGCAAGTTAATCAAAAGATACAGCTAAGATCATTGACGAAGGTGGCTATGCTAAACAACACATTTCAACGTAGATGACACAGACTTCTATTGGAAGATGATGCCATCTAGAAATTTCATAGAGAGAAGACAATGCATGGCTTCAAATCCTCAAAGGACAGACTGACTCTCGTTAGGGACTAATGTAGCTGATGACTTGAAATTGAAGCCAATGCTCATTGACCATTCCAAATATCCTAGGGCCCTCAAGAATTATCCTAAATCTACGCTGCTTTTGTGTTCTATAAGTGAAAACAAAGCCGGGATTACAGCACATCTACTTACAATATATTTTAGTTATTATTTTAAGCCCACTTTTGAGACCCACTGCTCAGAAAATAAAGGATTTTAAAATATTACTGCTCATTGACAAATACAACTGGTCACCCAAGAGCTCTCATGGAAATATATGAGATTAAGGTTGTTTTCATGCCCGCTAACACAACATCCATTCTGCAGCCCATGAATCAAGAAGTAATTCTGATTCTCATGTCTTTTTTTTTCTCCTTTTGGTAGCGACAGGGTCTCACCCTGTGGCGCAGGGTGGTCTCGAACTCCAAGCCTCAAGTGAGCCTCCTGCCTCAGCCTCTCAGTGTTGTATTATAGGTGCATGGCCTCAAGTATTATTTAAGAAATAATTATTAAGAAATACATTATGCGGCTGGGTGCAGTGGTTCATGCTGTAATCCCAGCACTTTGGGAGGCCAAGGCGGGTGGATCACTTGAGGTCAGGAGTTTCGAGACCAGCCTGGAAAACATAGGGAAACCCCATCTCTTATAAAAAATAGAAAAATTAGCTGGACATGGTGGCGCATGCCTACAGTCCCAGCTATTGGGAGGCTGAGGCAGGAGAATTGCTTGAACCTGGGAGCTAGAGGTTGCAGTGAGCTAAGATCACACCACTGCACTCCAGCCTAGGCAACAGAGTGAGACTCCATCTCAAAAACAAAAAAGAAATACGTTACATAAGGCTAGTATAATAGCCACCATACACAGTGATTCCTCTGATGGATCTGGGCAAAGTAAATTAAAAACCTTCTAGAAAGGATTCATTATTCTAGATGCCATTAAGAACCTTAGTGATTCATGGGAGGAGACAAAAATATCAACAATAACAGGAGTTAGGAATAAGTTGATTCCAACCTTTAGGGATGACCTGGAGGAGTTCAAGACTTCAGTGAAGAAGGAATTACAGATGTGGTAGAAACAGCAAGAGAACTGGAATAATAAGTAGAGCCTAAAGATGTGACTGAATTGCTGCAATCCTATGATCAAACTTGAATGGATGAATAGTTGCTTCTTATGGATGAGCACAGAAAAGTGGTTTTTTGAGATAGAAATTACTCCTGGTGAAGATGCTGTGATCATTGTTGAGATGACAACAAAGAATTTAGAATATTCCATAAACTTAGGTGATACCGCAGCTACTGGCTTTGAGAGGACTGACTCCAATTCTGAAAGAAGTTCTATTGTAGGTAAAATACTATCAAATTATCATTGTATGCTACGGAGAAATCTTCCACTAAAAAAGAGTCAATCAATGCAAACTTCATTGTCATCTTATTTTAAGATATTGACACAGCTATCCCAACCTTCAGCAACTACAACCCCAGTGGCCATCAACATCTCCACCAGCAAAAAGATTATGACTCTTGAAGGCTCAGATGATTAACATTTTTGGCAATAAAGTATTCTTTAAGCTGGGTGCAGTGGTTCACGCCTGTAATCCCAGAACTTTGGGAGGCGAAGGCGGGTGGATCACAAGCTCAGGAGATCGGGACCATCCTGGCTAACATGGTGAAACCCCGTCTCTACTAAAAATACAAAAAATTAGCCAGGCCTGGTGGCGGACGCCTGTAGTTCCAGCTACTCGGGAGGCTGAGGCAGAAGAATGGTGTGAACCGGCGAGGTGGAGCTTGCAGTGAGTGGAGATCACGCCACTGCACTCCAGCCTGGGCGACAGAGTGAGACTCTGTCTCAAAAAAAAAAAAAAAAAGATTACTTAATTGAGGTATATACACTGTTTTTTTAAAAAACATAATACTACTGCACAGTTACACTACAGTATTTATAATCAAAACTTTTATATGCACTGGAAAACTTAAAAAAACTGTATGGCTTGGCTTATTATGATATTTGCTTTACTGCGATAGTCTGGAACTGAACCTATGGTTTATAGTATACTTCGGAGTATAAATCTCTGTTGAATCTTTAATAAGATTAATGTAAAGCAGGAATTTTTAAGAATGTAGCTAAATGTCTTCTATATCTTTGTTACTCAAAGCACAGCCCACAGACCAAGCAGCATCAGAGTCACCTGAAGGCTTGTTAGAAATTCACAAGCCCCACCCCAGATCTCCTGACCAGAATCCTCAAGTGATGTGGTAGTCATATGTGAAGTAGTAAGGTTCTAGACCAATGTCAAATAGTTCACCAAATCACAGAGCTATTTTTCTGTGGCAAAAATATCCAGCACTACAGATTGCCGTGCAGCACCAAGAAGAAGAACACAGGCTCAGGTCATGTCTGAGATCATATTATAAACCCTGGCTATACCTCATATTGTGTGATGTTAGACATGTTACATAATCACATGCCTTAGTTTCATCATGTGTACAAGGGGGGTGAATAGGTATATCTCATAAGAATGAGGTAAAAGTTTAAATATTACATGGAAATTCTTAGAATTAGTACCTGGCACACTATAGATAATCAGAAAATGTTCACTATCATCCTTATTTTTGATATTAACTTCAATTGCTATGAAGACAGTGAATACTTGGAAAGAACAAAAAAAGGAATTAATGATAAATTAAAACTGAAATTACACCCAAATTATGCCAGGTAAAAATATTAAAACCAAAATATTTTGATAGATATTAGAAATAGGTAAAAAGCACTGATGCACAAGCAGAATAAATTTTAAGCATTACAATGGCTCCATTGTTTTACTGTGCATTTTTACAGTATATTAAATAGCATACTTTATCTTACCAGTCGTTTGCTATAAAGTAATGCTGTACTGCTGCCACTGGAAACTGCCCATTTAGAAAAATGCATGACATGCTCCAATTGTTTAGAGAGTCCAGCCACTTCCTGTTGTTGTTGCATAAGTTTCATGCGATGGTCCTTTGCAAGGCTCTGAAAACAAGAAAATAGTTTCAAAATTAGTATCAGCATGTAACATAGACTTTGATGGTCATTTCCAGGTAAACAAATTAGAATAACTACAATCTCTAATTACTCAATTTACTGAAACTAAAAATACTCTGTTTTCCCTATTAGTATAAAGGATCACTTTCACTATGGCAAAAAACTGCATCCCAATGTGGCCCCTCACTCCTCAAGGCCCTGGATCAGGTTTTACATATTCTGGGATTTAACTCTGTTCATGCATGTTACAATACACAAAAAAGGAAAGATTAGCTATAGTACAGTAAATGTCTATGAAATTCAACATTCACAAATAAAACAGATGTACTGTCCAGCAAACCTATAAAGTAACTCTATCACATAATTTACTCAATCATATGATTTCACCTTTTAGGGATTCTATTTAACAGTTGGAATTGCAAGTAGTTTGTGCAAAACAGAGTCATGCTGTGTTGTAGATGACACTTACCCTTTGTATGTGGTAATTTTCTTAAAAGGCATCATATTATTTGTCTATTGAGAATTAACATCGGAGCCAACAGATGCACTGAATGAGTGGGCCAATGCACTCTAACAAAAGCTACATAAAAGAATATAGATTTCTCTAAAGGAGGTATGTATGTGCTTTCCTTAGAGAAGATGGATAATCAAAAGTAGAGCACACTGAACTTGGGTTATTTTAAAGGTTCCTAACCAAAAACCTCATCCTAGACCTAGCAAGGAAAAAGGAGGAAAACAGGACTTTCTGCTGTCTCAGACAAATTAGAAATGTTTACAAGTAAAATTGCTATACTACAACATGGACTTACATTCTCAATAAAAAGCGAACCCAGATCCTAGCCCTAGTCAGTTCCAGATTTGGAAAATACACTTGAGCTACATTGAATTAAGGAGGAAATGGTAGTTGTCTGTTTGATGGACTACTAACAACATCCAACGGCTCTGCCATATCTAATTTAAGTTCAGAGAGACAGTAATTTGCCTAGTAGACTATTTTTGACCTCTGTAAAAATTTATTAAGTGTTTCTTTGGAAACATTCTAGTAGGAATAGAAATTGTTTACTTTGGAGAAGGTTGAGAATTAAGAATCAGAAGCCCTGGATTTTTGGTCCTCTATCCTAATATCTATTTCAGCCAATTTCTTATGAGTCTTAACAGATAAAAGGGGTTATTTTTATTTGCCTTTAAAAAAGGACTCCAACCAGCCTGGGCAACATAGTGAGACCACGTCTTTACAAAAAAAAAAAAAAAAAAAAAAAAAAAAACAAACAGGGGTGGCGGAGGAGTGGTTCCAAGATGGCCGAATAAGAACAGCTCCAGTCTACAGCTCCCAGCGTGAGTGACGCAGAAGATGGGTGATTTCTGCATTTCCAACTGAGGTACCGGGTTCATGTCACTGGGGCTTGTCGGACAGTGGGTGCAGGACCGTGGGTACAGTGCACCGAGTGTGAGCCGAAGCAGGGCAAGGTATCGCCTCACCCGGGAAGCACAAGGCGTCAGGGAATTCCCTTTCCTAACCAAGGGAAGCTGTGACAGACGGCACCTGGAAAATCGAGTCACTCCCACCCTAATACTGAGCTTTTCCAACGGACTTAGCAAACAGCACACCAGGAGATTATAACCCACGTCTGTCTCGGAGTGTCCCATACCCACGGAGCCTCGCTCATTGCTAGCACAGCAGTCTGAGATCGAACTGCAAGGCGGCAGCGAGGCTGGGGAAGGGGCGCCCACCATTGCTGAGGCTTGAGTAGGTAAACAAAGCGGCCAGGAAGCTCGAACTGGGTGGAGCCCGCTGCAGCTCAAGGAGGCCTGCGTGCCTCTGCAGACGCCACCTCTGGGGGCAGGGCATAGCCAAACAAAAGGCAGCAGAAACCTCTGCAGACTTAAATGTCCCTGTCTGACAGCTTTGAAGAGAGTAGTGGTTCTCCTAGCACGGAGTTTGAGATCTCAGAACGGACAGACTACCTCCTCAAGTGGGTCCCTAACCCCCAAGTAGCCTAATTGGGAGGCACCCCCAGTAGGGGCAGACTGACACCTCACACAGCCGGGTACCCCTCTGGGACAAAGCTTCCAGAGGAACGATCAGGCAGCAACATTTGCTGTTCAGCAATATTCGCTGCTCTGCAGCCTCCAATGCTGATACCCAGGCAAACAGGGTCTGGAGTGGACCTCCACCAAACTCCAACAGACCTGCAGCTGAGGGTCCTGACTGGTAGAAAGAAAACTAACAAACAGAAAGGACATCCACACCAAAACCCCATCTGTACATCACCATCATCAAAGACCAAAGGTAGATAAAACCACAAAGATGGGGAAAAAACAGAGCAGAAAAGCTGAAAATTCTAAAAATCAGAGCGCCTCTCCCCCTCCAAAGGAACGCAGCTCCTAGACAGCAACGGAACAAAGCTGGACAGAGAATGACCTTGATGAGTTGAGAGAAGAAGGCTTTAGACGATGAAACTCCTCCGAGCTAAAGGAGGAAGTTTGAACCCATTGCAAAGAAGCTAAAAACCTTGAAAAAAGATTAGATGAATGGCTAACTAGAATAACCAGTGTAGAGAAGTCCTAAAATGACCCGATGGAGCTGAAAACCATGGCACAAGAAGTACGTGACGAATGCACAAGCTTCAGTACCTGATTCAATCAACTGGAAGAAAGGGTATCAGTGATTGAAGATCAAATGAATGAAACGAAGCAAGAAGAGAAGTTTAGAGAAAAAAGAGTAAAAAGAAACGAACAAAGCCACCAAGAAATATGGGACTATGTGAAAAGACCAAATCTATGTCTGATTGGTGTACCTGAAAGTGACGGGGAGAATGGAACCAAGGTGGAAAATGCTCTGCAGGTTATTATCCAGGAGAACTTCGCCAACCTAGCAAGGCAGGCCAACATTCAAATTCAGGAAATACGGAGAATGCCACAAAGATACTCCTTGAGAAGAGCAACTCCAAGACACATAATTATCAGATTCACCAAAGTTGAAATGAAGGAAAAAATGTTAAGGGCAGCCAGAGAGAAAGATCGGTTTACCCACAAAGGGAAGCCCATCAGACTAACAGTGGATCTCTCGGCAGAAACTCTACAAGACAGAAGAGAGTAGGGGCCAATATTCAACAGCCTTAAAGAAAAGAATTTTCAACCCAGAATTTCATATCTAGCCAAACTAAGCTTCATAAGTGAAGGAAAAATAAAATCCGTTATAGACAAGCAAAGGCTGAGAGATTTTGTCACCACCAGGCCTGCCATACCAGAGCTCCTGAAGGAAGCACTAAACATGGAAAGGAACAACTGAGACCAGCCACTGCAAAAACATGCCAAATCATAAAGACCACTGATGCTAGGAAGAAACTGCATCAACTAAAGGGCAAAATAACCAGCTAACATCACAATGACAGGATCAAATTCACACATAACAATATTAACCTTAAATGTAAATGGGCTAAATGCTCCAATTAAAACACACAGACTGACAAATTGGATCAAGAGTCAAGACCCATCAGTGTCCTGTATTCAGGAGACCCATCTCATATGCAGAGACACACATAAGCTCAAAATAAAGGGATGGAGGAAGATCTACCAAGCAAATGGAAAACAAAAAAAGGCAGGGGTGGCAATCCTAGTCTCTGATAAAACAGACTTTAAACCAACAAACATCAAAAGAGACAAAGAAGGCCATTACATAATGGTAAAGGGATCAATTCAACAAGAAGAGCTAACTAACCTAAACATATATGCACCCAATACAGGAGCACCCAGATTCATAAAGCAAGTCCTTAGAGACCTACAAAGAGACTTTAGACTCCCAGACAATAATAATGGGAGACTTTAACACCCCACTGTCAACATCAGACAGATCAACAAGACAGAAAGTTAACAAGGATATCCAGGAATTGAACTCAGCTCTTCACCAAGCAGACCTAATAGATATCTACAGAACTCTCCACCCCAAATCAACAGAATATACATTCTTCTCAGCACCACATCACACTTATTCCAAAATTGACCACACAGTTGGAAGTAATGCACTCCTCAGCAAATGTAAAAGAACAGAAATTATAACAAACTGTCTGTCAGACTACAGTGCAATCAAACTAGAACTCAGGATTAAGAAACTCACTCAAAACCGCTCAACTACATGGAAACTGAACAACCTGCTCCTGAATGACTACTGGGTACATAACAAAATGAAGGCAGAAATAAAGATGTTCTTTGCAACCAATAAGAACAAAGACACAACGTACCTGGATCTCTGGGACACATTTAAAGCAATGTGTAGAGGGAAATTTATAGCACTAAATGCCCACAAGAGAAAGCAGGAAAGATCTAAAATTGACACCCTAACATCACAATTAAAAGAACTAGAGAAGCAAGAGCAAACAAATTCAAAAGCTAGCAGAAGGCAAGAAATAACTAAGATCAGAGCAGAACTGAAGGAGATAGAGACACAAAAAACCCTTCAAAAAAATTGATGAATCCAGGAGCTGGTTTTTTTGAAAAGATCAACAAAATAGACCGCTAGCAAGACTAATAAAGAAGAAAACAGAGAACAATCAAACAGACGCAATAAAAAATGTTAAAGGGGATATCACCACCGATCCCACAGAAATACAAACTACCATCAGAGAATACTATAAACACCTCTATGCAAATAAACTAGAAAATTTAGAAGAAATGGATAAATTCCTCGACATATACACCCACCCAAGACTAAACCAGGAAGAAGTTGAATCCCTGAATAGACCAATAACAGGCTCTGAAATTGAGGCAATAATTAATAGCCTACCAACCAAAAAAAGTCTAGGACCAGATGGATTCTCAGCCAAATTCTACCAGAGGTACAAGGAGGAGCTGGTACCATTCCTTCTGAAACTATTCCAACGAATAGAAAAACAGGGAATCCTCCCTAACTCATTTTATGAGGCCAGCATCATCCTGATACCAAAGCCTGGCAGAGACACAACAAAAAAAGAGAATTTTAGACCAATATCCCTGATGAACATTGATGTAAGAATCCTCAATAAAATACTGGCAAATCGAATCCAGCAGCACATCAAAAAGCTTATTCACCATGATCAAGTGGGCTTCATCCCTGGGATGCAAGGCTGGTTCAACACATGCAAATCAATAAATGTAATCCAGCATATAAACAGAACCAAAGACAAAAACTACATGATTATCTCAATAGATGCAGGAAAGGCCTTTGACAAAATTCAACAGCCCTTCATGCTAAAAACTCAATAAATTAGGTATTGATGGGACGTATCTCAAAATAATAAGAGCTATTTATGACAAACCCACAGTCAATATCATACTGAATGGGCAAAAACTGGAAGCATTCCCTTTGAAAACTGGCACAAGACAGGGATGCCCTCTCTCACCACTCCTACTATTCAACATAGTGCTGGAAGTTCTGGCCAGGGCAATCAGGCAAGAGAAAGAAATAAAGTGTATTCAATTAGGAAAAGAGGAAGTCAAATTGTCCCTGTTTGCAGATGACATGATTGTATATTTAGAAAACCCCATTGTCTCAGTCCAAAATCTCCTTAAGCTGATAAGCAACTTCAGCAAAGTCTCAGGATACAAAATCAATGTGCAAAAATCACAAGCATTCTTATACACCAATAACAGACAAACAGAGAGCCAAATCATGAGTGAACTCCCATTCACAATTGCTTCGAAGAGAATAAAATACCTAGGAATCCCACTTACAAGGGATGTGAAGGACCCCTTCATGGAGAACTACAAACCACTGCTCAACAAAATAAAAGAGGACACAAACAAATGGAAGAACATTCCATGCTCATGGATAGGAAGAATCAATATTGTGAAAATGGCCATACTGCCCAAGGTAATTTATAGATTCAATGCCATCCCCGTTGAGCTACCAATGACTTTCTTCACAGAATTGGAGAAAACTATTTTCAAGTTCATATGGAACCAAAAAAGAGCCCGCATTGCCAAGACAATCCTAAGTCAAAAGAACAAAGCTGGAGACATCACACTACCTGACTTCAAACTTTACTACAAGGCTACAGTAACCAAAACAGCATGGTACTGGTACCAAAACAGAGATATAGACCTTTGGAACAGAACAGAGCCCTCAGAAATAGCACACATCTACAACCATCTGATCTTTGACAAACCTGACAAAAACAAGCAATGGGGAAAGGATTCCCTATTCAATAAATGGTGCTGGGAAAACTGGCTAGCCATATGTAGAAAGCTGAAACTGGATCCCTTCCTTACACCTGATACAAAAATTAATTCAAGATGGATTAAAGACTTAAATGTTAGACCTAAAACCATAAAAACCCTAGAAGAAAACCTAGGCAATACCATTCAGGAAATAGGCATGGGCAAGGACTTCATGTCTAAAACACCAAAAGCAATGGCAACAAAAGCCAAAATTGACAAATGGGATCTAATTAAACTAAAGAGCTTCTACACAGCAAAAGAAACTACCATCAGAGTGAACAGGCAACCTACAGAATGGGAAAAAAGTTTTGCAATCTACTCATCTGACAAAGGGCTAATATCCAGAATCTACAATGAACTCAAACAAATTTACAAGAAAAAAACAAACAACCCCATCAAAAAGTGGGCAAAGGATATGAACAGACACTTCTCTAAAGACATTTATGCAGCCAACAGACACATGAAAAATTGCTCATCATCACTGGCCATCAGAGAAATGCAAATCAAAACCACAATGAGATACCAGCTCACACCAGTTAGAATGGCCATCATTAAAAAGTCAGGAAACAACAGGTGCTGGAGAAGATGTGGAGAAATAGGAACACTTTTACACTGTTGGTGAGACTGTAAACTAGTTCAACCACTGTGGAAGACAGCGTGGCGATTCCTCAAGGATCTAGAACTAGAAATACCATTTGACCCAGCCATTCCATTACTGGGTATATACCCAAAGGATTATAAATCATGCTGCTATAAAGACACATGCACACGTATGTTTATTACGGCACTATTCACAATAGCACAAACTTGGAACCAACCCAAATGTCCAACAATGATAGACTGGATTAAGAAAATGTGGCACATATACACCATGGAATACTATGCAGCCATAAAAAATGATGAGTTCATGTCCTTTGTAGAGACATGGATGAAACTGGAAACCATCATTCTCAGCAAACTATCGCAGGGACAAAAAACCAAACACCGCATGTTCTCATTCATAGGTGGGAATTGAACAATGAGAACACTTGGACACAGGAAGGGGAGCATCACACACCGGGGCCTGTTGTGGGGTTGGGGGAGGGGGGAGGGATAGCATTGGGAGATATACCTAATGTAAATAACGAGTTAATGGGTGCAGCACACGAACATGGCACATGTATACATATGTAACACATGTAAACATATGTAACATATGTAACATGTAACGTGTAACATGTATACGTATGTAACATACACGTATACATGTATACATGTATACATATACATATGTGCACGTTGTGCACATGTACCCTAGAACTTAAAGTATAATAATAATAATAATAAATTAGCCAGGAGTGGCAGCACACGCCCTGTAGTCCCAGCTTCTCAGTCAGGAGGATCGCTTGTAGTCCCAGTTTCCCAGGAGTTTGAGGCTGCAGTGAGCCAAGGCTATACCACTACACTCGAGCCTGGGTGACAGAGTGAGACCTTGTCTCTAAAAAGTAAAATAAGAAAATTCACTAGAGTGAGACTTCATCTCTACAAAAATAAAAAATTAGTCAGGTGTGGTTGCACAGCTACTCAGGAGACTGGGGTGGGAAGATTGCTTGAGCCTGGGAGGTCAAGGCTGCAGTGAAAACACCACTGCATTCAAGCTTGGACAACAAAGTAAAACACTGTCTCCAAAAAAAACAAAGGGGGGGCAAGGTGGGTAGCTCATACCTGTAATCTCAGTACTTTGGGAGGCTGAGGCAGACAGACTGCCTGAGCCCAGTAGTTCGAGACCAGCCTGAGCCAACGTGTCAAAACCCCCCCTCTTAAAAAAAAAAAAATATTAGCCAGGCATGGTGGCATACACTTGTAGTCCTAATTACTCGAGAGGCTGCAATGAGAAGATCACCTGAGACCAGGAGGTGGAGGCTGTAGTGAGCCGTGATTCACGCTATTGCACTTCTGTCTGGGCAACAGAGTGAGACCCTGTCTCAAAAAAAATTTTTTTTTAATTTTAAGAATGAACCTGGTCATCAGTAGATATACTGACCAGGTTCATTCCTACAGATTTGCAAGTCTGGTCATCTCCTTTGTAAAGCTCTTCAAGTGATTCTGATGTACAGTCAAGTTTGAAAACACAGACATAGTAATGTATGCACTACTAATATCTGGGAAAGCAAATCAAAGTGATATTTGATTTTAAGCAGTTTTGGAAACTTAAAATTGTACTTAAATTTTTTTTTTTTTTTAAAGTCACAGACCTTGAACAAATAGTTACTATAAATGGGGTCTGATTGTTCCTGCCCAGAATACTTCCTCACTAAATAACTACGTTTCCAAAAGAACAGAGAATTATTTTAGTCTTTGTTTCCTGTACAGCTGATAATACACAGGAATGACCATGCTTTCCCAGAAGGGATAGAACTTTCTGACAGAAACCTTTTAATTTGGTAAATTATGATATAAAAAGGATGACCTAAATTATTTCTAGAAGTCTTATTTTTCCTCAAATCTTCAAACATTAGGATTCTTTTTTTTCTCATTTGCTTCTTTACTGTATCAATATGCTTTCTATGTCAACGTACTAAAAGAATACCTAAAAATCATGCAATTAATATTATACATTAATGTACCATGTAGCTGTTATAACCTTATATGATTTGAAGTCAAACACCAAGTTTGGATCTTGACCTTCATGAGTTTTAAAAAGCTGAGGAAGATGGTAATGTTTTTCTTACCTGCAGTGAGAAACAACTAAGTGCCTTGGGCATATCTCCCTAAGTGCTGCTCTCGCAATTACAATTACAAAATGTTGAGGGCAGGGCTAGCCATATTCTTTTACCTAACTTCTCACAGGGTTAAATATATATATTTGAGAACTAAATCGAACAGTGTATCTTTCTAGAAAATTCTGCTCCACTAAACCACCTTGGTGATGCAAAATTTTCATTTCAGTGCATCTCGAAAATAACTCATCTGTTTAACATTCAGAGATCCTCCTACAAGCAAGG
Source organism: Homo sapiens (assembly GCF_000001405.40). Taxonomy (NCBI): domain Eukaryota; kingdom Metazoa; phylum Chordata; class Mammalia; order Primates; family Hominidae; genus Homo; species Homo sapiens. The sequence goes on along the minus strand of NC_000007.14, from coordinate 138,529,465 downwards.
CATTATAATTTGTGCTATAAAGAAAACAATCAGTCATCAGACATTCATAGCGTATTATAAAGCTTTAAATTGTCAGCTACAATACAAAACCCAGCAAAGGAAAACTTGGGAGTGGGAAAAAAAAATATTAAATCACAATGAAACAACTATATAAAAAGCACTATGATTTCTACTTCACAGTACTTTAGGAAATACTATGTTGAATCAATATACTATCCCATGGGCAGTCACTTACCTCTAACTGATGCAGTAGAGCTTTTCCTTTTTTATTTATTTCTACCATCAGTGTAAATATAGCAACTTTAATATCCTGTTCCACCTGCTTTTGATTTTGATTTACTTCAATAATTCTGAAAATTAAAACGGGGAAAAACATAAGGCAGTTTTTTTGTATAATATTTAAAATTGACGTTTTAATGTCTAAATTAGACCAAAATGTTTTCAGCCCTTAGAAGCTCTATTTCTGAGTCCTTCACTTTAAATTGACTGTCTTGAAGATGAGACAGCAGAAATATAATTCTTCTGAAAGATATCACCACTCAATCTTAAAATTAAGTCTTGAATCTTAAAAATATATATAAAATTAGAAGAGAATGAGTACATTTTAAGAAAATATGGTTTGGAAAAATTATGAGAACACCCAGGAAAATCAATGCTCTACCTAAAAGGATGGGGGGGGGGGTGGGGGTGGACCAAAAAGGATTTATAAACCATGATGATTCTGAACATGTTCTACTATATTAATTGCAACCGAAAGCTAGAAAAGTGTATATGTGACACTCTTTTCTTAGTATTCTTAACTGCTACAGTATTCATACACCTAAATAGAAAAAGACAAAAATAGTAGTTTGCTACTTAACCCATTCTTTGCAAAATTAGCAGCCAAATAACTATGTTTTATCAACCACATACTTCTCTTGAGGTGGGAAATTAAAGAAAAAAAAAGAAAAATAAAATTAAAAAGAGAAAAGCAAGTTTGAAAAACAAGCTTTCATGTATTAGGCTGACTTATCCCAGAGGCAGAAACAGGCACAGCCCAGACCCAGGAAAGTCTTGATAATATTATCTAAGAAGCTAGGGCTCAAAGGAATGTGCTCTGAAGACTCTCCCAGCACTCCCCCAACATGGGGAGAAGAAAAAAACAAATTTTCTTTATTTTTCTTTCTCCTATGGTATGAGTAAACTTATGAGTTTATAGATTCTTGTTTTCTATAACTAGTAACTTCAAGCATTGTTTTATCTAAGCAGCTCAGTGAAAGTCATGAGACATGCCTGGGCGGGCCTGGATTGTAGCCATCTAGACACCATAGTGAAGGTTATGAGATAAGCCAGCACAAGGCACTAGAGCAAGCCTAGATAACAGCCATCTAGGCCGCATAGCAAGAGTCATTGTAAGCCTGAGTTATGAACCTGTCAAAGTATGATTAACTGCCTTTGTTCTGCTTCTGTACCTGAGCTTTCACACCACTATGCTTCACGCCACTGTAAGCTTGTTTCAAACTAGCCCATCCCCTTTTAGAAGTGTGTATAAAAGCCAAGTCCAGTCTTTGTTCTAGGCCCAGCCTTTGTTCTAGGCCCAGTCTTTGTTCTAGGCCTGGTCTTTGGATATTAATCCGCTGGGTATGAGTGCACTCAATAAAATCCTCCTGTTTCACCTACTGGTCTCTCCAGTCTCCTGATTCCAGCAACACTCTTACAGAAAGAAAAACATACGGTACCACACCAGAATATCTTATAGAAAATAACAGAGCATCCACCAAACTTTGTGAGATTAAATTAAAAGCTTCATTTCTTCTGTAAGCTTCTCCCATAGTTACCCTCCAAAACTCAAGACCAAACTGGCAGAGACTTTATTTCCTGCTGGAAATTCTTCCAGATAATTGTTTGACATCAACATTACTACAGGATCAAGGGAACCAGATAAGCCTGAGAAGCAACCAATCTCAAAAAAGTCATTTAAATATTCATGATGGTAGAATAGGATGAGTAAGGGAAAAACAGTGCCATGGGGTCAAATGCATAAAAATGACTACCAGTTACTCTAATAAATGTACCCTTTTATAATCACATAGGCTATAAAGATATGTAAGCAATTTGCACTTAACAAAGATTGTTTAATTTTTTGCCTCAATTCAGAAATCAAAATTGTTACACACAATGTTATTATTTTGTAGAAGAAAAAAAGCACAAATCATTTATAAAAATAAAAGAAGAAATTTGAAAAACACTATGTTAAGACTTACTATAAAAAACTACAATGATCATGATCATGAAAGTGAAGTACTAGCAATGAGAAAAACACAATGGAACAGAATAATCCCACACATATATATGGTCTATAAAGGTGCTGAAAAACAATTCAACAGAAAGTTTTTTCAACAAATGATAGTGGAAAAAATTGACAGCGGTACATAAAAAAAAATGTAAACTTTGACCATAAATCAAACCATATACTCAGTGAAACAGTAAGAAAAAAGTCAAAGGGATAAATTTCATTAAGGGCAGATGTTTAATTTAAAATTAATTATTTTATGATTGCTACCTTTTGCCACTAGATGGTAGAAATGCCTATAATTATCTCTCTTCATTCATTCAATAAATATTCATTACAAATTTTCAATTACTCAGAATAAAAAAAGTTTAAACCCACCAATTATTCTACTTGGCAAAATATACTATTCTGATTAGAATATGGTAAATAAAGAAAATAGTATTTCATTAACTATAGTTGTGTCAAAGAGAAAAGTAAAAACAGGGCCAGGTATGGTGGCTCACGCCTGTAATCCCAGTGCTTTGGGAGGCTGAGGTGGCAGATCACCTGAGGTCACTAGTTCAAGACCAGGCTGGCCAACATGGTGAAAGCCCATCTCTACTAAAGATACAAAAACTAGCTGGGCACAGTGGTGGGCACCTGTAATCCCAGCTACCCAGGAGGCAGAGGTTGCAGTGAGCTGAGATCACACCACTGCACTCCAGCTTAAGTGACAGAGTGAGACTCCGTCTCAAAAAAAAACAAAAAACAAAAAACAAAAACAGAGGTAAAAACAAATGAGAGCTGATAACAAGAAAAACTAAAAGATACACAACATAATGCATAATAATAAACAGATATAAGAATGATGCTGGGGCATCAAGAAATGGTAAAACTATGTGTAAAAATCTCTTTTAAGGGAATCAGGTAATACAGGGATTTAATTACCTTAAAAAAATTCCCAAATGCTCCACCCCCAGCTATGTTCCAAAATGATAATAATAGATTGTGATGACTGCCTTAAAGTCTGACACAATTTATACATAGAAAAACATTTAAATTCTCTGTGAGGTCTCTTTTACGCTGGCTCATTCTAATAAACATTTCTTGACTTATTTAGGCAGTGACATTTCTTTTGTGTGTAAAACAACAGAAGAGGTCATGGGATTTCATAGGTGTGTAAATTAAATGTCAGTATGTGCCCTAAATGGGATTTTAAAAAGGGGTTAGACAACACCTCCAGCTGCCCCCGCTCCATGGAGGTTAGTGGTTCTCCCTAATCACTGATGTCTAAGACTTTGGACAGTTGATGATTTTCTTACCAGGGCAAAAGGCATAACAAGTAATTGTGTAAGTAAGCATTTTATCAGACAAGAAGTAAAAAGTGTGCGGAACAGTTTAACAATCCCTGTATCCTAGTGTCTTAAAATTTCCACCTGTTTGCAGTTTTAAAAAAATTGCAGCATAAGGCAGGCATCTCAAATTTCAGCAAACCTTAAAATAACAATTAAGGGTTTATTCAAGTGTTAAAATATTTTACAATACTGGCAAAAAAATGGTTGATTTGGCATTTAAATTTTGGTATTTCTTTAAAATTGGAAAATAAGTGATAATAAGTTATCAATACCTATTAGATAAATGAGCTATTAAAATACTAAGTGTAGTTTATTATTAGTTTTGAAATTTTACAGCAGAAAAGAATGCTTTCCAACTAAGTTTCTGGGAAAGTCTTATCAGTCATGTGTTATTGCAGTCATCTAACAACGTATTACTTAACTGTGACTTAAGGAAAATGTTCTAAAAGTGAATATACTTAACAAATTATATAAAAATGATTACATAATACCATAAAATTACCTGTTTTGGATCTGATTTCCTGTGAATTTTATGTATTTTGTTTTTTCCATCAGTTTGGTGATTAGTGTATCTATGATCACTTTCTGATTCTGAAAAGCTTCTTCTATAAATTGGTATCTGAAGAAATAAGCAAATTATTTCATATAAAAATATACAATGAGGAAAAAGTCCAAGAATAAAAAAAGACATAAAAACATAAAATAGGATTATAAAGAATTTATATAATAATCTTTTAAAACATCAAACGTATCCCTAATAAGGCAAGTTTCCCTCACCTCTCAAATTATCCCTCAAGAAAGATTATGGACACATAAATATTTTGAAAGTTTGAGAACCACATGCATCCATCATTCAGTTTTTATAAGCTTACAGAGTTCACTTTCACTTGGTGGACTTGGCAAAAAATAGTCAATTATACATAATCAGATTTATTAACTATTTTGTAATTTCTACATTATGCAAGCCTGCTGAAAATAAACATTTTAAAAGACCACTTTTAAATAATAGGTAGTTATGTTCTAGGGGCCACAAGATAAATCAGGATAAATACAGACAGAGAAGGGCAAAATTCTTGATGTTATGCCTTGTAATAAAACTTTTAAGCAACAGTATAATGAGATACAGCACTTTAAAAAGTTTCCAATTTGAAACTGAGGAAAGATGATTTACTTTGCCAGACTATGTTTGATAACTCAAGAGAAGTTCTAGAGAAGATAGAAAGGCAACGATATAGAAGATACATAACAAGAATTTTATTTAAGTTTTTCTATAAAATGTACAAAATACAGTATTTCTAAATTAACAATTTTATATAATGTGATTTTAAATGTTTACATGTAACTAAATAGGGTTGCCAGTTAGAAAAAGGGGATACCCAGTTAATAATTACATTGGATTTCCTTAGTATATAATCATATCTGTGAATTATAACATTTCAAATACTTTTATAGGCAACTCAAGTTTTTTTTACCTTAGTAAACTTTTTCTTTACTACCCTTATTTAATATAAGGTTACATGAAATGGTCAAAATGGTCACCCTTATGTTGTTCCTAATCTCAATGCAAAGACTTTCAATATTCCAATATTAAGTACGTTTTCTGCTTTCCATAAATAATCTTTATCAGGTTTAGGAAGTTCTTTTTTATTTCTAGTTTGCTAAGATGTTGTATCATGAATGTATATTTAATTTTTATGGAATGTTTCTACTGCTTCTATTGAGATAGGCATATACTTTTTCCTTTATTCTTTTAATATGACATGCAAGATTTTAGCATCAATGATTTTGGCATGTTAAATGAATTCTGTATCCCTAAGATGAGGCCAAATTGGTTGTGATTACACTGTCCCAAAATGACAATACTACGAGATTTAAGGCAAGTTTTCCCCTCCTCTCAAATCATCTGTTTCCTACTTATTTTCCGTTTCTTGGAATTTTTACATTCATTTCATGAGTGAGACTGGCCTGTAATTTTCCATTTCTATTCCTTGTCAGTTTTGGTGTAAAGGTTATGCTGGCTTCATATAACAAGTTGGAAAGAATTCATTTTTTTGCCATTCTCCAGACAAGTTTGTATAAGAAAGGGGCTTTTTTTTTTTTTTTTTTTTTGAGACGGAGTCTCGCTCTGTCGCCCAGGCTGGAGTGCAGTGGCCCCATCTCGGCTCACTGGAAGCTCTGCCTCCTGGGTTCACGCCATTCTCCTGCCTCAGCCTCCCGAGTAGCTGGGACTATACCCACCACCACGCCTGGCTAATTTTTTGTATGTTTAGTAGAGACGGGGTTTCACCATGTTAGCCAGGATGGTCTCAATCTCCTGACCTTGTGATCCGCCCGCCTCGGCCTCCCCAGGTGCTGGGATTACAGGCGTGAGCCACCTCGCCCGGCCAAAAGGGGCTATTTTTGCCTTAACTATATGGTACATTCATCTGTGTCATTTGCATGTGTAATTTTCTTTGTGGGAAGGTTTTAAATTATGAATGAACATTAAAAGACTATTCTGACTTTCTATTGTATTTAGCAAAAGTTTTGTTAAAAAGCTTCATTCTCTAAGTTTTCCAATATCATGTAAAAATTTTCATTATTATTGACAGATATCCTTTTTATCTTTGAAAATGCATTTGAAATATGGAGTAATGCCACCTTCCTACTCCTGGTAGTGGTTATTTGGGCCTGCTCTCTCAATCACTCATACAGAGAATTGTTGATTATTTACTAGTCTTTTGAAAGACTGAATTTTTGGCTTTGACTATTTCTACACTTGTCTTTATTATGTTTCTTTTAAAACCCACTTACTTTGGGTTTAATTACCTACTTTCCCTAAACTGCAATAAATGTTTAGTGAATTGACTTTATCCTCAACATATAACATATGCATTTAATAATATAAATTGTCCTCCAAATATGGCTTCAGTTATTAAAAAGAAAAACCTCAAGGCTTGATTGACTGATGTTTTTCACTATCATTCAGATGAAAATGTTTTCTACCATCTACTGGAATTTCTTCTTGATGATTTGAATGTATTAAACTGTTTATTTTAAAACAATTTCAAAGTTAAATTTGCAAGTATATAGAGATCATATATCTCCTTATACAGATTAATCAATTTTTAGTTTGCCTCCTCATAGCCCTTCAACCCCTTAATAATTCAGTGTGCATTTCCTAAAAAAAAGGATTTTCTTATGTGCCCATAGTACAGTTAAAAAAAAAATGACTTTGTTTACAGTACTTTAAACTATAGACCATGTTTCTTAATTATATCATTTGTCTCAATAATGTCTTCTAAATAATTTTTTCCTTTAATCTAGAATTCCAGGATTGTGTATCAGTAGACTTTAGTTATCACAAGAATTTCATTTCCAAATATATGGTATTTTTCAATATTTTCAAATTTAAGACTTTAGCATATGGTCAGTTAAAAATATTTTATTGTAAGAATGTATATTTTGGGGTACAGTGTTCCACAATGTCCATAAGACGTTATGTTAATTGTGGTATTCAATCTTATTTATCTTTTTTTTTTTTGAGATGGAGTTTTGCTGTTGTCGCCTCGGCCAGGGTGCAATGGTGCCATCTCAGCTCACTGCAACCTCCACCTCCTGGGTTCGAGTGATTCTCCTGCCTAAGCCTCCCGAGTAGCTGGGATTACAGGTGTGAGCCACTGCACCTGGCCCTTATTTCTCTATCTTTACTGATTTTTTAGTCTGCTTGTTTTGTTATTTATTTATTTACTTACTTACTTATTTTTTAGAGATAGGTCTTGCTATGCTGCCCAGGCTGAACTCAAACTCCTGGGCTTCAGCCATCCTCCCACCTGTGATTTCTCAGTTTCCCGAGTAGCTAGGTAGCTAGCACTTACAGGCACCTGCCACACTGCTCGGCTTCAATTATTGCATAAAGTGGTAAGATTTTCCACTGTGACTATGGAGTTTTCTATTAGTTTGAAATTCTGTCATTTTTTTGTAAGTTTATAACCTGTATAAATTTACAACTCATATCTTTCAGATGAAGAGAGACTTTCATCCTTACAAAGTGTCCCTCTTTACCTCAAATAATGGATTTTGTCTACTATACCATCTTGCCTTTGGTTAATATTTATATGGTGTGTCTTTTCCCATTAAGTATTTTATACATTGAGTTTTTAGATATTTCTCATAAAAAGAAAATAGCACATTTTTCTATTTTCCTTCTTATCCAGTCCGAAACCTGTCTTGTAATTTGGAACATTTTGTCTGTTCACACTTAGTATAATTATAGTATATTTGTAGATCTACCAACTTACCAAGGTCTCATTATATTCCATCTGTTCTTTATTTCTTTTTCTCATTTTTTTGGCCTTTGTTTATACTGATTAACTATTCCACATCCCCACAACTCTCCACACCTTGGTAATTATATGTACTTATTATTCTTTTAGTGACTACTCTAGACATTACAAGAACAGATTTTTACATATCATCTAATATTGGTACTTTTCACCCTCTTCCTAGACTATGCATGGACCTTAGAACATAAATTCCATACCCTTTTAGTACATTTGCTGCTATGTGATATACATATACGCACACCACATCAACAAGATATTATTGTTTCCTAAGTCAACATTCATTTAGATTTACTCATACCTATTGCTCCATTTTCCTTTCTGTATCTCCTATTATTTTTCTTCTACTAAGAGGTACTTTAAATGAGAGTTTAGCAGGGATATGCTCTCCCAGTTTATTTTGCCTGAAACGTTTTTCAACCACCTTCATATTTAAAGAATATGCTTACCAGGTACAGAATTTTAGATTTGAAAGTTACTTTCTTTTTGCACTTTAAAAATATTACTTTCTTAATTATCCTGCTAGAGGTTTGTGCAACTTCTTAAATATGGGCTGAATGCCTTTCGTCAGCTTCTGAAAGTTCTCAGCCATTACATTCTGTCTTCGAGTATTGCTTCCTTCCCATTCTCTGTACTTTCCATCCTTCTTGGACTGCAATTACATCCACATTAGATGTTTAATCTCTTCTACTTTTCATCCTCCTCTTGCTGATGATGCTTCTTTCTGGATATTTTCTTAATTTTCTTCTAGCTCATTAATTCTCGTTTCATGCTAGGCCAAATCTGTTCTTAAGCCCTTCTACTGAGTTAATTTCAGTTACTGTAATTTTTAGGGTTTTCTTTCTTTCTTTTTTAAAGACAGGGTCTCATTCTGTCACTTAGGCTGGAGTGCAGTGGCACTATCACTGCACCCTTGAACTCCTGGGCTCAAGCAATCCTCCCACCTCAGTCTCCCAAGTAGCTAGGAATACAAGCACACACCACTTTGCCCAGCTAATTTTTTGTGGGGATGGGGTCTCACTATGTTCGCATTGTCTAATCTCCTAACAAACCTGGTTATTTCTAATTCTGTGAATACTGTTTTTGCAAAATTCATTATTGAATAAGTTGGAGGCCTAGATGTTTTCTTTTTCTTTCTAGCAAGGATTTACATTTGATTCTACAAGGAAACTTGAGGAGCCAGCGATATGATTTCACTTTAATCCAATTTTAGTTGCTGAGCTTTAGTCCCTGTGAGGAACAACTTACTAGCTAATTTATCTTTACTATAATAGTGCAGACTTTCAGGGTCCCAACTCAAGACAAGGAGACACATTCACCATGCATGATCCTTGCACTCTAAGCTGTGATTTCTCAGCCCTGTGAGCCTATCAAAATTACTCCTCAATCTCTGGGCAAATACCTCAAGGGGAGAAAAAGGCCCCCACCATTCTTAGCCCCAACTCCAACCCAATCCTGTCCAATAATGCTTTACTATTTGCTCTAGCATTTCATATAGACAATTTCTGTATTTTGTGCAGGTTTTCTAGTCATTCTCACTGTTGATCCAAATTATCTAGTCTGCCATTATCGGGAGCCTAGACCATCATAAGCAATTATATTTGTATCAATCCGAATCTTACTGTCTAAATCATCTGTTGCTGACCTTTGAATGACTGTTGAGATCAGATTTAAAAGTGAGCTTTGCTAGGAACTATAATGAACTGGAAAAGGCATGCCTCAAATGTTGACATGAAGTATACAGACCCAGGGCTAGAACAGCTTCCGTTTTCTCAAAAAAGCCAGAAATCTAGATATTTAAAAAATGTAAAATCTCCCCATTTTACAATGCTGGCAACTAGTTCTATATATTTTAAAACAGTGTGTTGGCCAGTGTTCTCAACTCAGGATGATTTTGCTCCATAGGACGTTGCCAATGTCTGGAGCCACATTTTGTTGTCACAACTGGGGAGGGTTAGAGGGTTGCTACTGGTAACTAGTTGGTAGAGGTCAAGGATGCTGACCACCATATAATGCACAGATCAGTCCTCAACAATAAAGAATTACCTAGCCCAAAACATCAATAGTGTCAAAAGTGACAAACCCCAGTACAGGCCAGCATAGTGCTGGCCAAACAAAACCTATTTGCAGACTGCCATTTGATGAGGGTTGGCAGCAGTCCTTTAGTCCTCTAAAGCTGCATATGAATCTATATATATAACCAAAGATGCTGGTACCTATGCTCTTTATGTTCTAACAACTGACAGTCTCGACATGTCAGTTTGTCACATGTCTCACAGTACAGCTTCAGCTGCTCCTTTTTATGAAAAGGACAAAACACTGGTCGCTGGCTGGTGACACCAACTGCCTCTGCAGAAACAATGGGAGACAAAGAGAAGAAAATTAACATAATTGAATAGTAAATAATTATTAGATTGCTCATTTGAATTCACATCTATTGATATAAACACTACAGCTTCACCTATACTATACCATAACTTTCACTAAGAATTACAGATATTAAGATATCACATATTGTCAGCATTTCAGGAAAAAAAAAGTAAATAACCTTTTCATTTTCCAAGTAGAAATTAACATTAGTTCAGGAGTAAATGAAAGAACTAAGTGTGTAGTTAAAAATATGTTTTATTGCATTAAAAAGTCTTAAGACAGCCCTGGTAAATGAGTATGAACCACCTGGATGTCTTCTATCCCAAATATGGGAGGAGATTTTTTGAAAATGCAATTTGGAAAATCAAGCCTGGCACAGTGGCCCACGCTTGTAGTCACAGCTATTCAGGAAGCTGAGTTGAGAGGATCGCTTGCTTGAGCACCAAGAGTTTGAGTCCAGCCTGGGAACACTGTGAGACCTCACAGACAGAGACAGAGAGGCAGAGAAAGAGATGGAAAAAGAGGGAGGAAGAAAGAAAATATAATAAAAATGCCTAAAAGGAGTAGTCAAATAACCCACTTTTGTAAAAATCCTAACAGAGAATACCCATTAACACAGAAATAATAATGTTTTCATTATTACACTCTAGTTTTCCAGTGTGGGGATAAAACTGGAAAATGTTTATGTCATAATGTTAAGTGAAAAAATCAGAATATGAATAAATATGGTTAAATAGTAAACCGCAGTTATCTTACTAATAATTAAAGGCAAAATCCAAACATTTCAGAAATAATCTTACCTCCAGAGATAATTACTATTAATAACCTGGTGTGCACTCCTCTGGTTGTTTTTCTAAGTATGGAAGTACATATAGTATAGTGCAGTGTTACATTTTATAAAACAATAAATGGTAGTACATATATTGTCTTTTAAAGATTTTTTTTCTCACTTAACTCTACCTTAGATGACTTTCTGTATTAGTATATGTATCCATCTCATTCTTATTTATTAACTGTATAGTATTTCACGAAATAGATATACCACTATACCACCTGCTAAGGATATTTGAAAGTTTAATGCTGAAATAAACATATGAAAATTATAAATCATTTAAATGTTTCCATAAGGTAAATTCCTCGTGGTGGAATTGTTGAGTCAAAGGGTAATTCATACAGAAAAAAGCTAAATAATTGTGCCAATTTGTACTTCAACCAGTGTAGAGTGGCTATTAACTGTATTCACAGGGGGAACTCTCAAAATTTTTCACCTTTGACAATTTAATAAATGCGAGAGAGAAAGCAAGAGAGAAAGAGAGAAGACACATACTTTACTATCTTAGAATGCATTTCTTTAATAACTGAAATGAAACAATGCTCAGTAATCAGCCATTTGCATTTTTTTTTTATAATGCACAAATCAGTCCCCAACGATAAAGAATTATCTAGCTCAAAATGTCAATAGTGTCAAAATTGACAAACCAGTATGCTGGCCTATACCAGGCGTGGTGGCTCACATCTGTAATCCCAGCACTTTGGGAGCCCAAGGCGGGTGGATCACTTGAGGTCAGGAGTTCGAGACCAGCCTGGCCAACATGGTGAAACCCCGTCTCTACTAAAAATAGAAAAATTAGCCAGGCATGGTGGTACAGGGATTACATAATCCCAGCTACTTGGGAGGTTGAAGTAGGAGAATCGCTTGAACCCAGGAGGTGGCGCTTGCAGTGAGCTGAGATCGCACCACTGCACTCCAGTCTGGGTCATGGAGTGAGATTCTGTCTAAAAAAACAAAACAAAACAAAACAAAACACACACACACAAAAACCCTAAGGTAACCTGAGAGGAATTACAGATAAAATTAATGAACTAAAAAACTGATAATTAGATAAATACAAGAAATATTTCTGAAGATACAAATATATAAACATATAGAATTCAGAATGAAAATGAAAATAACCAGATAGAGAAAAATCAGCCAATATATCACAAGAATATTAAAAGCACAACACATCAAGATGAAATATGGAATTAACTCCAGCAACGCTAAGACGGTTTTTTTTTTTTTGGAGACAGGATCTCACACTGTCGCGCAGACGGAGTGTAATGGCAATTATCACAGGTCACTGCAGCTTCGAGCTCCCTGGTTCAAGTGGTCCTCCCACCATCTCACCTCCCAGGTTGTTGGGATTACAGGCATGTAACTATCACGCCCAGCTAATTTTTTTTTGTAGATAGGGTTTCACCATGTTGGCAAGGCTGGTCTAGAACTCCTGGGCTCAGGCAATCATCCCACTTCGGCCTCCCAAAGTGCTGGGATTACACCAAGTCTTTCACTAGTCTCAAAAAAAAAAAAAAAACAAAACGGTTTTGCTACATTTTGATACATGCTATTACATGGATGAATCCTTAAAATATTATGCTAAGTAAAATAAGTTAGATATCAAAGGACAAATACCATGTGATTCCACTTGCGTGAAGTATCTAGAATCAGCAAATTTATAGAGACAGAAAATAAAGGCTGGGTGCAGTGGTTCACGCTTGTAATCCCAGCAGTTTGGGAGGCCAAGGCTGGCGGATTACTTGAGGTCAGGAGTTCGAGACCAGCCTGGCCAACATGGTAAAACCCTGTGTCTACTAAAAATACAAAATTCAGCCACACATGGTGGCGCACACCTGTAATCCCAGTTACAGGCAGGAGAATAGCATGAACCCAGGTGGCAGAGGTTGCAGTGAGCTGAGATCGTGCCACTGCACTACGGCTAGCCTGGGTGACAAAGCAAGACTCACTCTCAACAAAAAGAAAATAGGTTAGAAGTTACTAGGAGCTAGGGGAAGAAAATTGGAGTTATTATTATTATTATTATTTTTTGAGACGGAGTCTCGCTCTGTCACACAGGCTGGAGTGCAGTGGTGCGATCTCGGCTCACCGCAAGCTCCGCCTCCCGGGTTCACGCCATTCTCCTGCCTCAGCCTCCCGAGTAGCTGGGACTACAGGTGCCCGCCACCACGCCCAGCTAATTTTTTTGTATGTTTTTAGTACAGACGGGGTTTCAACGTGTTAGCCAGGATGGTCTCGATCTCCTGATCTCATGATCCACCTGCCTCTGCCTCCCAAAGTGCTGGGATAACAGGCGTGAGCCACCGCGCCCGGCCAGAAAATTGGAGTTATTACTTAAAGGGTACAAAGATGCTGATTGGGGTGATAAAAAAGTTTTGAAAATAGTAGTGATGGTTGCACAATGTGTAAATGTAATAAATACCACTGAATTGTACATTTAGTAGTTAAAATGACAAATTTTATGTTGCATGTATTTTACCAAAATAAAAAACATATGAGTGAACTGTACATTAAAAACAAGACAATAATAATTACATAAAACTGGAAATAATAATTACATAAAAAAGCCTCTCTGGCTATCCACATATCAGACAAATATCATGATGCAGGTTTACAACAAGAATATCAAAAGGAAGAGTTATAAAATATTTAAGCCCACTCTTTGTTGTTATCTTAGAGATAAAAGAAAAATAAGAAAAAGCAATTTTTTTCTCCATTTGTTCTATATTCACACCAATTGAAGACATTTATAGAAGCAGGAGGACAGGCAGTATGAATGTAAAACAGGGTTCTACATCTATTCGTACTTTCCAAAATTTGTAAGTACTTAAATTTCGATAATATAAACCTCTTTTACTTAAAACAGTATATTTAATACTTATCAAAACAAATGTGTCAAAACAAGTCAATACAGGAAGGAAGAAAAGACGGGGAAAGATAGAAGGAAAAAAATGCAAAGATCTCATTTATTACCTGGAGATACTTCCTCTTTCTGTCTGACAGTGTGGTCTTTTGTGAACTTTACCCTCTGATGAGCTCTGATACACGTCTTGCAGAGCCATTCAACACACTCTACACAAAACCCATTGGCTTCTGCGTTGTCCTCACAGCTTGTACATACCTGACAAAAGAACCATGGCACGTAAATTTTTGAGAAAATGAAAAGGTGGTCCTATCTCGAGCTATGCGTACATGATACACCAATTGTACCAGGCTAAATCAGTTAGCCTCCTAATGGTGTTGGGAAATTTTAAACTGACCTTGTGTGTTACATTATACACATAAGAAATGAAAATACTGTGAAGAGACAAGAATATAAGTATATTTTCTCCTTAATTCAGCATCCCAAATATTTCAACTAGGTATTTCCCAAACATTATGCTAGGTGTGAGAACAGAACAGTCAGGAAAAGCAAACATGGTCGCTGCCCTTATGATAACTACAGTCTTGTACATAGTGCAGGTTAAAATCCCAGTTCCCTCACTTACTAGCTCAGTGGTCTTGGGCAGGTTACACAGAGTACTCATCTTTAATATGAGGGTAATAATACAGATATTACTGAGTAGTTGTGAAGATTAAATGTGCGGCAGATGTACATTATTAGAATAAGCACATCAATATATAATTACAAACTGAGAATTACCATAAAGGAAATCTATGGAAAGTTATAAGAGCATATGATGAAGAAATGGATCTCATTTTAGTGGGGTTGGAAGGCTGGGGAAAGCATGAGGAGGGATTACCCAGTGAAGGCTTTTACTTCTAGGAAGAGAGAACAGCATGTACAAAAAGTCCCAAGCAAGAAGAGCAGGCAGGTTCAAAGAACTGAACGAAGGTAAGTATGACTGAAGTGGTGCGATTCAGGGGAAGACTGGCAAAAGAAGCTAGGACAAGAGACAGGGGCCAGATTAAGCAGAGTCACAAGGCAATTTTGGTGTTTGTCCAAATAAGTCTATTAAAAGCTTTTAAGAAAGTGACACGGCCAGATTTGCATTTTTATGTCACAATGGCTACAATGTAGAGAACAAATTAGAAAAGGAGCAAGTGTTTCTGTATAATGACAAGCTAGGATTTTTCAGTGGCTTTGGTGAGGGTTGCTGGAAGTGGGATGTGGAGATGAGAACAGGTTTGACAGTAAAATTTTTTTCCACTTCACTCAGCAGTTGACACTAACCAAATTCCAAATACCTGATATGTCCATAAACCAAAATCTACCTTTTCTCTGCTCTTATCATCTTCAATCTTTCTAACATCACTTGATACCAGTGACTTCTGCTTCCTAGAAATCATGTGAATTCCTTAATACCTGCCAATCCTCCTATCTCACCTGATTGTCACTGTGGATCCCACCCTTCCTCCTCTGATTCTGTAGTTTTTGATTATAGGGATTGATCTCATCTACTTCCTTAGCCTCACACAGCATCTCTAAAAGGATGTAATCTAGAATGTAATCTCCACAGTAAGCTATAAAAAGAAATAAGTAATTTCTATTTACACCACTCAGGAGAGATTGTTAGTACATAAAATGAAATAAAACAGGAAAAGTGTGTGTGTGTAATGCTACTGCTTATTCAAGAAAGATGGTAATATGGTTTGGATCTGTGTGCCTGCCCAAATCTCATGCTGAACTGTAATCCCCAATGTTGGAGGTGGGGCCTGCTGGGAGGTAGGTGTATCATGGGGGTGATTTCCCCCTTGGTGCTGTTCTCATGATAGTGACTGAGTTCTCACGAGATCTAGTTGTTTAAGTGTGTGGCGCCTCCCCCCTCTCTTTTTGCCCCTGCTCCAGCCATGTGGATGAGCCTGCTCTTTTCACCTTCTGCCATGATCGTAAGCTGAGCAGATGCCAGGATCATGCTTCCTGTACAGCCTGAAGAACCATGGGCCAATTAAACCTCTTTTCTTTATAAGTTACCCAGTCTCAGATATTTCTTTATAGCAATGTGAGACCAGACTGATAACAGAAAATCGGTACTGAGGAGTGGGGCACTGCTCTAAAGATACCTTAAAATGTGGAAGCAGCTTTGCAACTGGGTAATGGGCAGAATTTCAAACAGTTTGGAGGGCACACAAGAAGGCAGGAAGGTGAGAAAAATTTTGGAACTTCCTAGAGATTTGTTAAATTGTTGGGACCAAAATGCTGATAGTAATATGACAATGAAGTCCAGGCTGAGGAGGTCACAGATGGAAATAAACTTATTGGGAAATGGAGCAACGGTCACCTTTGTTACACCTTGGCAAAGAGCTTGGTTGGACTGTGCCCCTGGCTTTAGGGATCTGTGGAACTCTGAATCTGAGAGATTATTTAGAGTATCTGGTTTCTAAGCAGCAGTGTTCAAGATGTGATCTGGCTGCTTCTAACAACCTATGCTCCTATGTATGAGCAAATAAGTGACCTGAAGTTGGAACTTAGATATTTCAAAGGGAAGCAGAGCATAAAAGTTTGGAAAGTTTGCAGCCTGGCCATGTGGTAGGAAAGAAAAGCCCATTTTCAAGGGAGGAATTCAAGCAGGCTGCAGAAACTGGGGGTAGGGGGAAGGCCTTGAAGGCATTTCAGAGACATTCTGAGGAGCCACTGTTGTCACAGGCCCAGAGGCCTAGAAGGACTGAATGGTTTTACAGGCCAGGCCAGGCTCAGGGGCTCACTCCCCTGAGAAGCCTCAGGACACTGCTCCCTGTGTCCCAGCCTCTCCAGTTCCAGCCATGGCTCAAAGAGGCCCAAATACAGCTCAGGCCACTGCTTCACAGGGTGCAAGGCATAAGCCTTGGCAGCTTCCATGTGCTGTTAAACCTGCAGATACACAGAATGCATGAGGTGAGATTTGGGAGCCTCTCTCTGCCTGGATTTCAGAAGATTTATGGAAAGGCCTGGATGTCCAAGCAGAAGCCTGCTGCAGGGGCAGAGCCTTCACGGAGAACCTCTACTCGCGCAGTACAGAGGAGAAATGTGGGGCTGGAGCACCCACACAGAGTCACCACTGGGGCCCTCCCAAGTGAGCTGTGAGAAGAAAGCCACTGTCCTCCAGAACCCAGGATGGTAGACCCACCAGCAGCTTGCACCTTTAGTCTGGAAAAGTCACAGATACTCAATGTCAACCCATGAGAGCAACCTATGAGAGCAGCTGTGGGGGCTGAACCCTGCAAAGCCACAGGGGTAGGTACAGCTGCCCAAGGCTTTGGGAGCCCACCCCTAGTACCAGTGTGTCCTGGATGACAGATGTGAAGTCAAAGGGGATTATTTTGGAGCTTTAAGATTTAATGACTGCACTGCTGGGTTTTGGACTTGCACAAGGCCTGCAGCCCCCTTCTTTTGGCCGATTTCTCCATTTTGGAATGGGAGTATTTACCCAATGCCTGTACCTACATTGTATCTTGGAAGTAACATGTTTTTGACTTTACAGGCTCATAGGGAGAAGAGACTTGTCTTGTCCTTCTCATCTCAAATATAAGACTTAGGACTTTTTGAGAGTTAATGCTGAAATGGTTAAGACTCTGGGGGACTGTTGGGAGGCATGATTGTGTTTTGAAAGTGAGAAGGACATTACATTTGGGAGGGGCTGGGGTGGAATGATATGGTTTGGATCTGTGTCCCTGACCAAATTTCATGTAGAATTGTAATCCCCAATGCTGGAGGTGGGACCTGATGGGAGGTGACTGGATCATGGGGGTGGATATCCTCCTTGGTGCTGTTCTCATGGTAGTGAGTTCACATGGAGATGTGTTCATTTAAAAGTGTGTGGCATGGCCAGGCGCAGTGGCTCACGCATATAATCCCAGCACTTTGGGAGGCTGAGGCGGGTGGATTACCTGAGGTCAGGAGTTCGAGACCAGCTTGGCTAACATGGTGAAATCCCGTTTCTACTAAAAATACAACAAATTAGCTGCACATCTGTAATCCCAGCTGCTCGGGAGGCTGAGGCAGGAGAATCGCTTGAACCTGGGAGGCAGAGGTTGCAGTGAGCCAAGACTGGCCATTGCACTCCTGCTTGGGCAACAAGAGTAAAACTCCATCTCAAAAAAAAAAAAAAGAAAGAAAGAAAAAAGTGTGTGGCACCTCCCACCCTCTTTTGGCTCCTGCTCCGGCCACATGTAAGACAAGCCTGCTGCCCCTTCACCTTCCACCATGATTGTAAGTTTCCTGAGGCCTCCCCAGAAGCTGAGCAGATGCCAGCATCAGGCTTCCTGTACAGCCAGTGAAACCGTGAGCCAATTAAACCTCTTTTCTTTATAAATTACCCAGTCTCAGGTATTTCTTTATAGCAATGCAAAAACAGAGTGATACAGATGGGATGGAGTGGGATGATTTATTTTTAAATTGTACATTAACATAATATTTAAAAAGGAAGGATAATCCATAAAGGACATTAAATAGTTACCTATGAGGTTGGGAAGAAATAAGGTAGATGGGTAGACAAGACAGGGATAGAAGTTTATAGATTTTATTTTCAAACAACATGAATGTTTTACATGTAGTTATACAATATTTTAAAAATTTAAATTCCTAAATGTCAAAAGCAAAATTTAATAAATGAACCTGCCTAATCAAGTGGGTGACTTAACTGCACAGAGAAGATTTATTTGTTTCAGGTAACTTTAAAACATGATTTGATTGGCTGGGCACAGTGGCTCACATCTGTAATCTTAGCACTTTGGGAGGCCAAGGCAGGTGGTATGCCTGAGCTCAGGAGTTCGAGACCAGCCTGGGCAACATGGTGAAACCCTGTCTCTACTAAAATACAAAAAATTAGCCAGATGTGGCAGTATGCGCCTGTAGTCCCAGCTACTCTGGAGGCTGAGGCAGAAGAATTGCTTGAACCCGGGAGGTGGAGGTTGCAGTGAGCCAAGATCGCGCCACTGCATTCCAGCCTGGGCAACAGAGTGAGACTCCTTCTCTTTAAAAACAAACAAACAAACAAACAAACAAAAAAAACCACACACACACATGATTTGATTGAATATCTCCAGTGCATACATATAACTGCTGTCTTTCTTGCTTTCTGTTTTGATACAAACATTCTACAACTTCTATTTTCAGCTCCAACTCCACTCTAGTATAAACTCTTATTCTGCAAGCAACATTTATGCTTTACAAGCTGGTTTCACATTCGAGTCTAACAACGGGTAGTGCTGGAAGGAGAATGCAATGTCAGAAGAAGGCACTTGATTCTCATAGTCGGCTTCCTCTTTTCTTCCTACCTGCATGTAACTTCTGTGAGCATCACACTAGTGATGCTGCTTCATCCCAGGTGCAGCAGTTCCTTCCTACAATGGAGCTAGCTCTAGTTTGCAGTTTTTCCAATATCTGTAGAACCAGCTTTACTGTAATTCACTTCAGAGATGCCAGCACCACTACTTCTGCCCGTCAGAAGCCTGAGTCCCAAGCCAAACACCCAGACCCCATCACCAGCCAAGATGCACTTCCTTCTCAGGTGTTTAAGTTCCACGAGGCCCTTCCTCTGAGCTTTTATCTTTTAATAATTCCATCCTTTTGCATTTGTTCCCTCAGCTGCTTCTCAAAGTTGCTACCTCTGTGATACTTTAAGAATTGTATTTGTATCTTTTCAGAAAATCTTATATCTAGTCTATAATTCTTTTTTTCTTTTCTTTTTCCTTTTTTTTTTTTTTTTTTTTGAGACAGAGTCTCACTCTGTCATCCAGGCTAGAGTGCTGTGGTGCAATCTTGGCTCACTGCAACACCCACTCTGGGTTCAAGCAATTTTCCTGCCTCACCCTCCCAAGTAGCTGGGATTACATGCAGGTGCCACCATGCCCAGCTAATTTTTTTGTATTTTTAGTAGAGACGGGCTTTCACCATATTGGTCAGGCTGGTCTCAAACTCCTAATCTTGTGATCCGCCTGCCTCGGCCTCACAAAGTATTGGGATTACAGGCATAAGCCACCATGCCTGGCCTTATAATTCTTAATTTTAAGAATTAAAATGATTCCTAATTGCACCAAGACTGTATTATATATTACGCATATAAATTATGCATATAATATATTATATATATATTATACATATATATAAACTTTTTTTTCCTAGAGAAAACAAATTACATCAATGCAATTAAGAACCAACATTTCGGCTGGGTGCAGTGGCTCACACTTGTAATCCCAGCACTTCGGGAGGCTGAGGAGGGTGGATAACTTGAGGTTAGGAGTTTGAGATCAGCCTGGCCAACATGGAGAAACCCCGCTCTGCTAAAAATACAAAAAATTAGCTGGGTGTGGTGGCACAAGCCTGTAGTCCCAGCTACTCGGGAGGCTGAGGCAGGAAAATCGCTTGAACCTGGGAGGAGGAGGTTGCAGTGGGCGGAGATCACGCCACTGCACTCCAGCCTGGGCAACAGAGTGAGACTCTGTCTCTAAATAAATAAATAAAGTCTCTGTTAGATCATTCCCTGAAAGGCCTAGATAGGTGACCAACTCAATGATGATGAGCACCCACCGTACCATACTGTGGTCTCCAAATATTATTTCCCATGAAAAGGAATCAAGGCACCTAGGAGAAATGGCTGCTTCAAGGTCTAGAACAGAAAAAACAGCAAGGGAGACAGCAATGACTATTGCAGACTCAAACAGAGTGACACACACACACACACACACACACACGCACACACACACGCACACACGCGCGCGCACACACACACACACACACACACACACACACTCCTCTTATTAGTCACCTCTGAAGAATCCTAAGAAATTAACTTACTGCTCTAAAAATTGGCAACTAAAGGGAAGGAATCAAAATTGAACTGACCTTTCCTGGATGCACTATAGCTTAGGGTAATCAAAGAATTGATGAAGGAAGCTTTCTCTTTCTATTCCAGTTAAGAAATAAAGAGGAATAATAGAATAAAAATGTCACTATTTTTCAAAGCCCTAATGAAATACAGGATCTTGGCAGTGATCATTAATGGCCATTAACATCAGAAAAAAAGAAAGACAACCAGACACCATATGCTTCCTGATGAGCATACACATGGACATATGGATCAAAATATTCTTACCCTTCTCCCACAACGGAACCAGAACCTAAACAAGCCACTACATTTTTATTCAGTTTCACAAGATATATAATCAGCACGTTAAATGACTTTATGGAAATTATCAGCAAAATTCAGAATAAAGCTAACTCTATTGAATATGCAACTCAGTTTATGCAACAAAAACATTAAATAGGAAGAAAAGGAAAGCAAGTGAAGCAAAGGGGTAACTTGAGATTAATTAGGTTTGAGACAAATCAACCAAATGTACTGTGTAGGCCTTGTTGGATCCTTATAGAAACAAACCATTGTTTAAAAAAACCTATAATATTCAGATCCATTTGATTACTGCTTAGATATTTGATAATAATGAGATCATTAAGCATTTAAAAAAAAATTTTTTTTTTTTTGAGATAGGGTCTCACTCTGTCACCCAGGCTGGGGTGCAGTGGCATGATTATGGCTCACTGCAGCCTCCATCTTCTTGAGCACAGGTGATCCTGCAACCTCAGCCTCCCAACTAGCTGGGACTACAGGTGCACACCACCACACCCAGCTTGCTTGCTTTTCTTTCTTGTTCATTCATTCATTTATTCGCTCAGACAGGGTTTCACCATGTTGCCCAGGCTGGTCCTTTTATTTTTACATAGAAATTCATATGGTAGTTATGTTTACAGAAAAAATATTTTACTGAAGTACATACCAAAATATTTACAGATGAGGCCGGATGCAGTGGCTTATGCCTGTAATCCCAGCACTTTGGGAGGCTGAGGTGGGTGGACCACCTGAGGTCAGGAGTTTGCAACCAGTCTGGCGAACATGGTGAAACCTTGTCTCTGTATCAAAAATTAGCCAGGCGTGATGGTGGGCACCTGTAATCCCAGCTACTTGGGAGACTGAGGTTGCAGTGAGCCAAGACCTCACCATTGCACTCCAGCCTGGGCAACAAGAGCAAAACTCCATCTCAAAAAAAAAAAAAAAAAATTACAGATGAAATCATATAATGGCTGGAATAAACATCAATGTAATCTAGTGGTTGGTGGTGTAGTATCAGAGTATGCACAAAACAAGAGTTGATGGCTATTGATCTAGGCGATGGGTCCATGGGCGTTTGTTATGTCAACTGTTTCTTTAGTAATGCTTGAAATTATCTACAACAAAAAGTTTTTAAAACTTTTCAAAATCTCCAGCTATGAACTCTCTTTAGAGCACCACTCTAACCATGGATGACACCTCTACTTTACAGTCTCACAGGCAATGCAAACTCAATCCCATTCAAAACCAATTTATTATCTCTACCTAACTCCCACCCACTTTATCATGATGTCTGTGAAAGGCACCATCCAGGCAGTAAAACATCTCTCACCTTCCACACCCAATCAGGCATATCAAGTTCTCTCTGGGTGGTAACTTCCTTTCCTTATTGCTACCACGCTAATTCAGCTCCCACTACCTCTTGCTAAGTACTGCCTGGTTCAAATTCATCCCCCATATGACATCTCCAGTCTCCATCCTCACCAAATGCCCCCAGCAGCACCCTATTCTCATACCACATTTCCTACCCTAACCCATGCATGCCCAGTATCAACATTTAGGATGTCTAAATGTTGGACTCCATCTCTAGTTTAACTTCTTCCTACTATGTTTCTGTGACAGAAGCAGACTAAATAAACATAAACGTACTGAAAACTAATTGATCATACGGAGGTATAAAGCAGCCTCTTAAACTTGTCCTTTGGATTAGAATCCCTTTAACTCTCATGTCCTATTATCATCATTTTATGTCATAGGAATATCCCATCTGATTGACATTTATTTATGCTACTTTACATTTGAAGATTACTTATGCTACTGTATTTTTTAGTTTTCTGGATTGAGCATACACAGATACTACTATGAATATGACTAATGAATATCTAGAATAGCTATAATCACATGTAAAGCAAAGTGACATGATGCAATGGAAGACAGAAACAAAATCATTTGTATTTAGAAGAGAACTTTCAGAGGACTTAAGTGCTCAACACTGTAGCCTACATAAATATGTTTCTTTCTTTAAGGGTGGTTTCACAATTAAACAATTAGAAAGTTTATCTCCCACAGCAAGCGTGTCTGTTTTGGCCTTTGACAAGGTTCACATCAGGAAGAATTGTGGATACTTTCCAAACTACAAAAACAGGTATTTTAGTCAGTAGTAGCTATGTTCATTTAAAGTGAACCTTAAATTCCTGTAGTTCTACCAAGGAACAAAAAACTAAAAATTCAACAAAAAGTACAGAAATTAACCATGTGATTACTAGAGTCCTGAAAAACATAGCTAACAACTGCTTTTCCCTAACCAGATTTAGTTCTTTCCCAGATCTTCTGTTCCAAGTTAAGGGAACTGTTAGAGGAATCATCAATGAATCAAGATCCAAAAGTAGACTAACACACTATACTTAGCACAAACTGTAGAATTAATCTCAACATGGCTAACCCCCACTGGAGTACTATAGATTATGCATGATAGATTTGACATCTAGATTTAAGAAGCCAAAAGAGATGTTCTACATGTGGGTTATAGAAATTAGAAACAAACGAAAAACACCATTGGATCTCTAAATCCAACACCTTGGACAATGCTGCCAAGTAAGCCTTTAGTTAGTTGGGCATGGTGGCATAAAGCTGTAGTCCCAGTGACTCAGGAGGCTATGGTGGGAGAATCACTTGAGCCCAGGAGTTGGAGACTGCAGTGAGCTACGACTACATCACTGAACTCCAGACTGGGCAACAGAGTGAGACCCTGTCTCAACAACAACAACAACAACAACAACAACAACAACAACAACAACAACCACCACCCCCAAAAAACAAATGAAGCTTTCAAAGTAAGACCATGCAGAAAAGAAGGCTTTCTTAAAAATGTAAAAACCTTACTGATCAAAGACATGGTGTCTTTCACATGTATCATTATAGAGCTTATCATTAAAATAGAAAAAAAGTGAAAAACTGAGCTTGAAATAAAAATCTCATTGTCAATACACAGTAAAAGTACAAAGAAATGAAGTAATGTCAAATATAGAATAATGGTTTCTCTGGAGGAGACTGGAATGTGGGTATGCAATCAAGAGCTTCTGGACTGTCACTGTTTCACTGTTTTATTTCTTAAGGTGAATTATTCATTATTCTTTATATTCTTTTAAAATGTTATATAACTTTATAGATCAATTAACTAATGTTTGGCTCCTTTTATTTTAGAGATCTCCAGCATTTTAGGTTGCCTCATCAATAGTTGGCAAAAAGAGGCCAGGCACGGTGGCTCACGCCTATAATCCCAACACTTTGAGAGGCCGAGGCGGGTGGATTACTCAAGGTCAGGAGTTCGAGACCAGCCTGGCCAACATGGTGAAATGCCATGTCTACTAAAAATACAAAAATTAGCTGGGCATAGTGGCACACACCTGTAATCCCAGCTACTCATGAGGCTGAGATGAGAGAAGCACTCAAACCCAGGAGGAGGAGATGGAAGTGAGCCAAGATCGCACCACTGTACTCCAGCCTGGGCAACAACGCAAGACTCCATCTCAATTAAAAAAAAAAAAAGAGGCCAGGTGCGGTGGCTCACGCCTGTAATCCCAGCACTTTGGGAGGCTGAGATGGGCGGATCAAGAGGTCAGGAGATTGAGACCATCCTAGCTAACATGGTGAAACCCCGTCTCTACTAAAAATACAAAAAACTAGCCGGGCATGGTGACACGCCTGTGGTCCCAGCTACTCGGGAGGCTGAGGCAGGAGAATGGTGTGAACCTGTGGGGAGGAGCTTGCAGTGAACGGAGATTGCGCCACTTGTGAACTCCTGCCTGGGCAACAGAATGAATGAGACTCTGTCTCAAAAAAAAAAAAAAAAAAAAAAAAAAGAGCTGGCAGGCAAAAGGTTCAAGATGTAATACACTTACCTGATTTGACTTTTCTACTGTACTGCTGGGAACCTCAGTAGTGTCCTTCACAAAAAAGTTATCTATGATGTGTCTCTCTGCACATTCTTGGCTGCAAACTGGGCAACGAATGACTCCAACTGGGAAAAACAAAATTATATTCTAAGTTTTAATACAAATATACTGAGTACTTAACCAATACATCTCAAACTGTGACTTTGTTCTTTTTCAATGTCCATTCTTTTTAAATTCATACCTGCTGTCACTTAAAAACAATTGTCTATGTAAATATACTAATTTTATCTATACATCACACATGAAATATTAAATGATAAATAAATTTTTCATAATTTTAAATGAAATGCCTCCCTTCCCCCACATCATCATGGGCTAAATGCTTTTACTGTTTAGCAACTTCTCTAGCAGTGGTTTTCCAACAGAAACGTACAGAACCATATGGGAGATTTTCAAAAGAACAAGGAGCTCAGGTTTTCTCTAGATCTGCAAAATTAGGATTTCTGGAAGTAGAACACAGACATGCTCCTTTTGTTTAAAATCTCCACAGAGTGTAAAACACCATTTCCTTTTAACAAATGCAAATAGTATTCCTTTGAACAAAAAAGAATGGTCTTTCGTAGTGCTTGGTAAAAACAATAAATAAAAATAACAAACAAGTTAAAACTCTAATATAAATGACCAGTTAACGGGTGCAGCACACCAACATGGCACATGTATACATATGTAACAAACCTGCACGTTGTGCACATGTACCCTAAAACTTAAAGTATTAAAAAAAAAAAAAAACTCTAATATAAACTTGATGCCATATAATTTAAACTATGGAAGACTGCAATAAGGTTCCCAGATATATTTTTTAATGAAATGCATAAGAACAAATACAAAGTAATCCAAAGGCCAATTTCATATGTATAAACAAACAACAAACAAACATTTAATGAAAAAAAAATTTTTTTACAATAGCAACAAAAATATATTAAGTACTTAGAAATAAATTTTAAAAGATTGTGAAGGTCATTGTGCAGGAAAATATTAAGCTATATTTTAAAATATTTTAAAATATCTAAATCATGAAGAAAGCATGTTCATGATGGTAAAGATACCAATGCTCCCACAAACATATCTATAGATTCAAAGCACCTCTATTAACAATCCCAACAGAAATTTCCATAGAATTTTCACAAGCTGAGGGGACACGCCTCCCAACTAATAAAACCTACTATAAAGCTGTAACAATTAAAATGGTGTGATTTTTTTAAGGCTTACATAAATGCACACTTTATATATATCAGATGTTCACTAGAAATCAGTGGGAAAAGGGATGAACTTTTCATGTTGCTGCAACAACTATTGGGGGTGGGGAATGAAATTAGATCCCTACTTCATCTGATCTAAAAAAAAAACTACTTTAAGTAGATTAACAACTATAAAACTTTCACAAGAAAATGTAAGAGAATATCTTTGTGATCTTGGAATACAAATTTATTGGAATAAATTTTTAAGCAAGAAACAAAAAGCAAGAGCTATAAGGGAAAGATTAATATATTCACCTTTGTTACAGAACTACAGCTAGTGAAAATATTACCATGAACAAAATGAGAAGACAAGCCTCAAGATGGAAGATCTATCTAAACACACAGTACTGGCAAAGAATTAATACTTAAAATCTGGAAAGATGTCACAATGCATTTCAGAGAAGATGGAGTAAACGTAATTTTCATTATGCCTCCAGCTTCACACAGCTAAGAACTCTAGACATTCTTTATAAAACATTAAGTGTTACCCCCAATTTACAGATGAGGAAACTGGGTGCTACGACTGGCCCGTGGTCACATAACCACTAATGACATGTCATGTGCACACTCTACAATGTAAGTATTTAAATGGAGATATAGCATGGACTTTAAAACTGTTCAAGACCTAGATTAGCCCTCTTCATTGATTGCTCTGTAACTCCTAATCAATCTTTTTGAGCCTCTTTTTCATCTTCTATAAAAGAGTAATACATGATAATCATCATGATACTTAACCTATTGAGAACTTGCTGTGTTCTAGTTAGTGTGCTCAATATTCCACTTCCATTAGAACAACTCTGAGGCAGGATTGTTGTAACAATTTCACATGAGTAAATGCACAGAACAGGTCTAGCCTAGGCTGGTACCTGGTAAACCTGGGCAGTA
The DNA here is from genome assembly GCF_000001405.40 of Homo sapiens. NCBI lineage: Eukaryota > Metazoa > Chordata > Mammalia > Primates > Hominidae > Homo > Homo sapiens. Next base: position 138,502,231 of record NC_000007.14, on the reverse strand, counting down.
AGCCCTGTACCGTCCAGCTAAAATCAGATGACAATAGCTGGCTCTTTCTGAATCAGGTAGATGAGGACCAGCACAATCTCATCTATATTGACTCCCTCAAAGTATGACCTCTAAGGCTACAAATAAATTCTGAGTCATGGATATACCTCTACCTAATAAGGAACAAATTGAAACCAAATGTTAGTAAATCCTAAATTTACATCTCTACCAGAACTTCATTCCCAAGCCCCAGATGTACCTTTTTTTTCAGTACTAGAAAAACAAAGCACTACATATTACACAGTAAATACAATCATGAGCTGCATGACGGTTTTTTGTTGTTGTTGCTACTGGTTTTTTTTTTTGAGACGGAGTCTTGCCCTGTCTCCCAGGCTGGAGTGTAGTGACATGATCTCAGCTCACTGCAACCTCTGCCTCCCTGGTTCAAGTGATTCTCCTGCCTCAGCCTCCCAAGTAGCTGGGACTACAGGCAACGTGCCACCACAGCCGGCTAATTTTTTGTATTTTTAGTAGAGATGGGTTTTCAACATGTTAGCCAGGATGGTCTTGATCTCCTGACCTCGTGATCTGTCCACCTCAGCCTCCCAAAGTGCTGGGATTACAGGCGTGACCCACCACGCCTGGCCACTGCCTAACATTTTTTTAGCCAACAATGGATCGCATATATGTCAGTGGTATCATAAAATTATAATGAAGCTGAAGGCCGGGTGTGGTGGCTCACACCTGTAATCCTAGCAATTTGGGAAGCCAAGGTGGGCAGATCACTTGAGGTCAGGAGTTCAAGACCAGCCTGGTCAATATGGGGAAACCCCGTCTCTACTAAAAATACACAAATTGGCCGGGTGCAGTGGCATGTGCCTGTAGTCCCAGCTACTCAGGAGGCTGAGGCAGGAGAACTGCTTGAACCCCAGGAGGCAGAGGTTGCAATGAGCCGAGATCGTGCCACTGCACTCCAGCCTGGGTGACAGAGACTCCATCTCAAAAAAAATAAATAAATAAAAATAAAATGGAGCTGGAAAATTCCTATCACCTAGTGAAAGCTGTGGTAATATTGATAATACTGTGGTGCAATGCATTACTCATGTGTTTAGGGTGATGCTGGTGTAAACAAGCCTACTGAGCTGCCAGTCATATAAAAGTATATAATGTTCTAGGCCCCCTTCATATGCACTCATCACTCACTCCCTGACTCATTCAGAGCAAATTACAGTCCTGCAAGCACCACCATGATAACTGCTCTATACAGGTGTACCTTTTTTTTTTTATCTTTTACACTGTAGTTTTCTAGGTTTTAGATATGTTTAGATATACAAATACCATTGCGTTACAGATGAATACTACAGTATTTAGTACAGTAACATGCTGTGCAGATTTGTAGCCTAGGAGCAACAGGCTGTACCATATTCTCTTGGTGTGTAGTAGGCTAAACCACATAGGTTTGTGTAAGTACACCCTATCATACTTATACAACAAAATTGCCAAAACTGCACCACCATGCCTGGATAATTTTTTTTTTTTAATGTACAGACTGGGTCTCACTGTATTGCCCAGGCTGCTCTCAAACTCCTGGGCTCAAGGGATCCTCCTGCCTTGGCCTCCCAAAGTGCTGTGATTACAGGCATAAGCCATGGTGCCTGGCCTTATTCCTTTTTTTTTTTTTTTTTTTTTGAAACAAGGTCTCACTCTGGTTGCCCAAGCTGGAATGCAGCAGCATGATCTTGGCTCACTGTAGCCTCCACCTCTCGGGCTCAGGTGATTCTCCCACTTCAGCCTCCTGAGTAGCTGGGACTACAGGCCTGTGCCACCACACTCCACTAATTTTTTTTGTATTTTTAGTAGAGACAGGGTTTCACTATGTTGTCCAGGATGGTCTCAAACTCCTGGCCTCAAGCAATCCGCCTGTCTCAGCCTCCCAGAGTGCTGGGATTACAAGCATAACCCATCATACCTGGCCTCTTATTCCTTTTTTCTACAAATGAAATGTTTCAAGTTTTTGGGTTTTGAGATGTGAATATGATTTGTTATCTCCTTTCTGTGAAGTTTTAGTTTCTAAACCTAAGCATAATGCAGGGCTTATGTTTTGACATTATGTGCTAGGAATGGCTCGCACTTCTTTGACTGCCTAGCTCCACAAAAGAGATGTACATGGATTTAAAGTCTCTTATTACACATGGTAGATCACAACACAAGTGAGTTAAATGACAGGATCATGATATGGATCACCACCAATCCAGCAACTTTATTCCAACATCCATGACAGACAAGGGAGAGGATATATATAACGCAAAATAGTGTTGTCCGTGGTCCTGTCAATACCACTAATAGTACTGACTCTTACATACATAAATAACAAAAAACAAGTAAATACTATCTACAAGAAATCTACTTCAAATACATAGAGAGAGGTTAAAGGAAAAAAAAAAAACAGAATGCTAACAGATACACATTCAAATAATAAGCACATGTACAGGGCAGTGCTCCAGGTTGCCTTGAATCAAGCCAGTTCCCTGCCCTGCCCCACACCTTTGTGTAACTGTATAACATGCTGGGAATGAAGCATCCTGAGACAAGGAGGAGCTGGTTGGAAGAGCCTCCGTTTCTGTTCCTGTCATTCCCTCCACCCTCAGACAGGATGTCCTCCAATGCTTTAGCCCAGTGAAACATGTTGCTCCTGGGACATAAACCTTCTTTCCTGGGTCCCTTAGCTGCGATCCACAGACAAGAGACCATCTGCTCTGGGCAGCTTTCCCAAGCCTTGAGGGACCGATTTGCAATGAATGCTAAGCTTCTCCTGTCCCTTGCTGCCCATCTGTGGGTAATAAAACTGGACTTCATGTAACCTGTTGTGCTTATAAATGTTTTGACTCACTGGACTCAGGCAAGTAGTAAAAATACAGCCCAAGATATAGTGGGCTAAAATGGTAACCAGTACACAGTGAACATCCTTCATAATATGAAACCAGGAGGACTTAATAATACTCTCAGACAAAGCAGACTTTAGAACAAGGACTATTTACAAGAGATAAAGTGAGAACATGATAAAGGGGTTAACTCATCAAGACAGAATCCTAAATGCATATGCATCTAATTAACAGAGCTTCTGAAAATATAATGTAGAAATTGATACAGCTAAAAAAAAATTAAAAAAAAAGACAAATCCACATTACATTTGTTGATTTCAACTCTCCCCTCTCAGAAATCAATAGAGCAGTAGACAGAAAAATCAGTAAACATATAGAAGACTTGAACAAAAGAATCAAACCTGATCCAATTGACATTTAAAAAAACAATGTGAGCAGGCCAGGCATGGTGGCTCACACCTGTAATCCCAACACTTTGGGAGGCCAAGGCAGGAGGATCACCTGAGGTCACGAGTTGAAGACCAGCCTGGTCAACATGGTGAAACCCTGTCTCTACTAAAGGTACAAAATTAGCCAAGCATGGTGGTGCATGCCTATAATCCCAGCTACTCAGGAGGAGGAGGTAGCATTGCTTGAACCCAGGAGGCAGAGGTTGCAGTGAGCTGAGATCACACCACTGCACTCCAGCCTGGGCAAAACTCCGTCTCGGAAAAAAAAGAAAAAGAAAAAGAAAAAACAATGTGAGCAGAAGGCACATTCTTTAAGCATGCATGAGATATTCACCAAGATATAACATATACAGGAAAATAAAACGTGTAAATAAATTTATAGCTAAACCCACACAGGGGGCCAGGCACACTGGCCATGCCTGTAACCCCAGTACTTTGGGAGGCCAAAGTGGGAGGATCACTTGAGCTCAAGAGTTCAAGACCAGCCTGGCCAACATGGTGAAACCCTGTCTCTACTAAAAATACAAAAATTAGCCTGGTGTGATGGCAGGCGCCTGTAATCCCAGCTACTCGGGAGGCTGAGGCAGGAGGATGGCTTGAACCCAGGAGGGAGAGGCTGCAGTAAGCCAAGATTGCACCACTGCACTCCAACCTGGGTGACAGAGCGAGACTCTGTCTCGAAAAAAAATAAAAAATAAAATAAAAACAAAAATTAGCCAGGAGTGGTGGCATGTGATTGTGGTCCCAGTTACTCAAGTGAGTTGAATGACAGGATCAAGAGGCTGAAGTGGGAGGATGGCTTGAGCCTGGGAGGCAGAGGTTGCAGTGAGCTGAGATTGCGCCACTGCACCCCAGCCTAGGTGACAGAGTGAGACCCTGTCTCAAAAAATAAATAAATAAGTAAAAATAAAAATAAAAAAACCACACAGGGTCAGGCACGGAGGCTGATGCCTGTAATCCCAGCACTTTGGACAGCCGAGGCAGGCGGATCACTTGAGCTCAGAAGTTCAAGACCAGCATGGACAACATGGTGAAACCCCACCTCTACAAATAAAAATAAAAAATTGGCCAGGTATGGTGGCGTGTGCCTGTAGTCCCAGCTACTTGGGAGGCTGAGGTGGGAGGATGGCTTAAGCCCAGGAGGCAGAGGTTGCAGTGAGCTGAGATTGCACCACTGCACTCCAGCCTGGGTGACAGAGCCAGACCCTGTCTCAAAAACCAACAACAGGCTGGGCGCGGTGATTCACACTTGTAATTCTAGCACTTTGAGAGACCGAGGCGGACGGATCACCTGAGGTCAGGAGTTTGAGACCAGCCTGGCCAACATGGTGAAACCCTGTCTCTACTAAAAATACAAAAATTAGCTGTACATGGTGGTAGCTGCCTAATCCTAGCTACTTGGGAGGCTGAGGCAGGGAGATTGAACCCAGGAGGTGGAGGCTGCAGTGAGCCAAGATCAAGCTACTGCCCTCCAGCCTGGGAGACAGAGCGAGACTCTTTCTCAAAAAAAAAAAAAAAAAAAAAAAAAGAAATTGTAATTGAAACCTTCCCATCGGCCAGGCGCGGTGGCTCACACCTGTAATACTGGCACTTTGGAAGGCCAAGATGGGAGGATTGCTTGAGCCCAGGATTTCAAGACCAGCCTGGGGAACAAGGTGAAACTCCTTCTCTACAAAAAAGATCCAAACCAAACCAACCAAACAAAAAACCTTCCCACGAAGAAAAGTCTAGACACAAAGGGCTCCACTGGTGAATTCTATTCAATATTTAAAAAAGGTAAGACCATCCCTAAGCAAACTCTTTCAGAAAAGAAATAATTCCAACCTTATTTTATGAGGCCAGTATTACCCTGATACTAAAATTGGACAGTCATTACAAGAAGAGAAAATTACAGAACAATCTCTCTCATAAACAAAAAGTAACAAAAAATCATTAACAGAACACTAGAAAATCAAACCCAGAAATACATAAAAATACATATACATCATGATTAAGCAGGGTTTATTCCTGAAATACAAGGCTGGTTGAGCGTTCAAATAATTCATTATGTTAACAAAATAAGGGAGAAAAGCCTTCTTTGATCATCTCAATATATCTGGAAAAAAAAATCTGAAAAATTTTGGCTGGGCACAGAGGCTCATGCCTGAAATCCCAGTGCTTTGCGAGGCTGAGGCAGGAGGATCACTACAGGCCTGGAGTTCAAGACCAGCCTGGGCCACATAGTGAGATCTCATCTCTACTAAAGAAAATACAATTAAAAAAAGGAAAAAAAAATCTGAAAAATTCACCTATCCATAACAAACTTTCAAGAACCTAACAACAGATGGAAACTTCTTCAACCTGATAAAGACCATCTCTGAAAAACCTACAGCTAATATATATTTAATGATGAAATACAGAATCCTTTCTGCTGTCACCAGGAAGAAGGCAAGGATGTCCACTCTTAGCACTTCTGTTCGGAACTGTTTTAGTGAGTGCAAAAAGACACAATAAAAAATAAATAAATCCAGATTGGAAAGGAAGAAGTAAAACTATATTCACAGGTGATGTGATTGTATATGCAAAAAATCCTAAAGCATTCCCAAAAAAAGCTACATGAAATAGGGGTAATATTAACCAAAGATATGCAGGACATGTATAGTAAAAACCACAAAATGAAGATTAAAGAAGACCTAAATAGAGACATTAAAAACATTATTAGATTGGTAGACTCAACACAGTTGAGATTCCATGTCTCCAAACTGATCTAAAGATTCAATGCAATCCCAATTAAAATCCCAGCAGGGGATCATTTTGTAGTAACTAACAAACTGATCCTAAAATTTAATGAAAATGCAAAAGACAGAGAATAGCAATAACAATTCAAAAAATACCAAATTTGGAGGACTTATGCTACTTGATTTCAAGATTTACTATGGATAGAGCTACAGTAATCAGAGTGGTATTTGAGAAAGGAGAGAAATACAAACAATGAAACAGAATAGAGTCCAGAAACAGACATATACATATCGATTATATAACAAGTATTTAATCAGAGTCTCAAAAGGATGGACTGAGAGAAAATAAAATGGGCAAGAATTTCGTAGAAGTGAAGTAACAGAGCCTACAAGTTTCCCAAGTTCAATGACTCTCAAGTAGAATAAAAAGAAACTAACATCTAAATACATCACACTAGACTGGACATGGTGGCTCACACCTGTAATCCCAACATTTTGGGAGGCTGAAGCAGGAGGATTGCTTGAGGCCAGGAGTTTGAGACCAGCCTGGGCAAAACAATAAGATCCCATCCCTATAAAAAAAAGATAAAGAAAATAAATATACCATCCTAAAACTGCAGAAATCAAAGACAAAGAGAAGCCTTAAATACAAAGAAAAAAGGATGAATTATCATGAAAAAAGACAAAAGTAGGCCTGTTAGCCTACTTTTGTCAGCTACAATGTAAGTCAGAAGACAGTAGAAGGCTGTCTTCCAAGTGCAAAAATTGCCTAACCAGAATCCTAAATCCAGCAGAAATATTCTTAAAGACTAAGATGCATTAGTTGAAACAGACTGTCAGAATCAATAATAAAATCCCACAATATGCTGCTATGTTGCCAATTCGATACATTTTGTAGGTTCACTACTTTTAGAGTTTACTTTTAGTTTAGATATACACTTATTTTTGAATATGTACAACATTTACATTGGTTCAAAAGTCAAAAACTTATTAAAAAGTATAGCAAATTTCTCTTCCATCTTTATCACTCAATTCCATTTGCCCTACTTCACCTTCCCTATAAATAATCATTTTTATTAAGCCATGGTATGCGAATATTTCTTTTTCCTTTTTCCTAGAAGTTCTTTTTGCAAAAAACATTGTACTGCAGCTTTTTGTTGTTGTTGCTGTTGTTTTCACTTAACAATACATCCTGGTGATCACTCCATAACAGTGAATACAGATCTACCTGCATTCTTTTTTTCCTCACATGGTATGTACCTCAACCAGTCTTTTTTACAGCTTATTTCCCATTTTTTGCTATTACAATGATGACTCAATGAATAACTCTTGTCTACATGTCACTTTACTAGTGGCAGATGTACCCTTAAAATAAATTCTTAGAAGTGGGTTTGTGGGTCAAAGGATAAAAAAACCTGCAATTTTGTTAGAAACAACCAAATATACTCTTGTTGGGAATGTATAACAATATCCAGTTTCTCAAAGTCTCAAATAGAGTATGTTAACAAACATTTGGATTTTTGCCTGATAGGTGAAAAATAGCTATATTGGTATAGTTTTAGTTGACACACTCCTTATTGTAAGGTTTAACATCTTTCTTTTTGTTGTTGTTCCATCTTTTTTTCTTTTTTAAAACACAGAAGGGGTCTTGCTATGTTGCCCAGGCTGGTTTTGAACTCTTGCCATCAAGTGGTCCTCCTGCCTCAACCTCCCAAAGTGCTGGGATTACAGGCATGAGCCACCATTCATGTTAATCACAGAAGTAATTCCAGACTAACAGAAACATGGCCAGGTGTGGTGGCTCATGCCTGTAATCCTAACACTTTGGGAGGCCAAGGCGGGAGGGTCACTCGAGGCCAGCTGTTCAAGAGCAGCCTGGGCAACACAGTGAGACCCTGTCTCTATTTAAAAAATAATAACACCAGTCGCAGTGGCTCACGGCCCCCTGTAATCCCAGCACTTTGGGAGGTGGAGGTGGACAGATCACCTGAGGTCAGGAGTCTGAGACCAGACTGGCCAACATGGTGAAACCTCATCTCTACTAAAAATATAAAAATTAGCTGGGCATGGTGGCAGGTGCCTGTAATCCCAGCTACTTGGGAGGCTGAGGCGAGATAATCACTTGAACCCAGGAGGCGGAGGTTCCAGTGAGCTGAGATCGCGCCATTGCACTCCAGCCTGGGCAATAAGAGTGAAACTCCATCTCCAAAATAATAATAATAATAACAACAACAACAACAACAATAATAAAACAGATATAAAGGGCATTTTTGGGAAAAGGGGAAAAATGGAAGATGGACTTGTATTAGACTACTGGGAAATAATACCATTTTAGACAGCTGTGATAAGGTTATTGGTATTATCAAGGTGACTGTCTTACCTTTGGTAAGAGACTGGCATGCATAAACCAGCTACCATGACCCATTCCATAGTCCTGCTGCAACATGGGGACAGCGTTCCTAGAATGGCTCGCTGTTGCTATAGTGAACAGTAAAGACTTTGTGCTCTAAAATGCTGGAGTGTGATTTAATTGGTATGGCAGTTCCCTGAGGATCAGCAGAGATGGTTGGTTATATTTGACCCCCTTAGGCTTACAGCGGCTTCTCTGGTGACATCTATCAGAACACTTAAAAAGGATTACACACTATTTTTAAAAAATCCAGACATCTTAAAATATGAGAGGCTGCAAGCAGATACAGAGATAATGGGACAGAAACTTCAGTAACATACATAACAAGGAACAAAGACTTCGCAAAAATTTCTTGGAAAAGTCACTATACTAATAGACAACTTTAGACCTCAACAAACAACAAAATAAATCCCTGAGTAGAAGGAGAATCTGTTTTCCAGAGTTACCAACACATTGTAATACTTAAATTGTTTGGTTCTCAACAAACGAATTATAAATCATAGCACATAGCTGGTTCATAGGAAAAAAATAATTTCACAGAAAACTATCCCTGGGACAGCCCAGACAGTGAAACGACTAGTCAAAGATGTTAAATCAACTGTCTCAAATATGCTCAGTGAGATAAAAGAAACTATGCACAAAGAGCTAAAGGATATCAGAAGAGTATATGAACAAACAGGGAATGTCAGTAAAGAGACACACATTATAGAAAAGAACCAAAAAGAAATTCTGAAGCTGAAAAGCCCAAGAGCTAAAATGAAAAATTCATACAGCAGTACAATGGCAGATTTGAGCAGGAAGAAGAAACAGCAAACTTGAAGATAAAATAATTGAAATTATCCAGTCTGAAGATTAAAATGAAAAAATAAAGAAAAAATTAACAGAACCTAAGGCACCTGTGGAACACCATTGAACAAGTCCTAGAAGAGAAAGAGGCAAAAAACATATGGAATAATTAATACCTAAAAACTTCCTAAATTTGATGAAGAACATGAATCCATGCATGTAAGATGCTCAATAAGCTCCAAGCAGGATAAACTCAGATCTTGTTACTGCGGTAACTTTACAACTATAATTTTCCAACGTCTAAGGGATGGCTTATTTTTGCTTGTTGATGGCTGGCACAGTCCATTTGAGACTTTCCCCAAACTATTCTGCAAGAGCAGTAGCCTCTCCCTTCATCAAGCACTCCCCTGGCACCACAGACTGCAAGTTGATTCTGGTCATTTTTTCCAGTTTACTGGTTGTTTCAATGTAAGGATTAACTCCTAGAAATTCCTACTCTGCTACTTTGCAGGATGTCCCCTTCACCAAAATTAAAACTACAGTACATCAAAGGACATTATCAAGACGGTAAAAAAGACAACCGACAGAATGGGAGAATATATTTGCACATCATGTATCTTGTAAGTGCTTAGTATCCAGGATATATAAACTTTTACAACAAAAATTCAAAAATAGGTAAAGAACTTGAATAGACATTTATTTTCTTTCCCTTTTTTTTTTTTTTTTTTTTTTTTTGGAGACAGAGTATTATCCTGTTGCCCAGGCTAGAGGACAGTGATAACAATCACAGCTCACTGCAGCCTCCACCTCCTAGGCTCAAGTGTTCCTCTTGCCTCAGCCTCCTGAGTAGCTGGGACTACAGTCATGTACCACCATGCCTGGCTAAATTTTTTTACTTACATTGTTGTAGAGACAGGGTCTCCCTTTGTTGCTCAGTCTGGTCTCGAACTCCTGGGCTCAAGTGACCCTGCCACCACAGACTCCCAAATAGCTGGGATTATAAGTGTTCAGCCACTGTGCCTATCTGACATTTCTCCAAAGAAGATCAAAAAAAAAACAGCAACCAACAAGCACATGAAATGATTTTCAACATCATTTGGGAAATGCAAATCAAAACCACAATGAGATTACCACTTCACACCCACTAGGGATGGCTCTCATCCAAAAAATTAAATAAATAAAAGGAAAAATACATGTTGTCCAGGATGTGGAGAAGCTATAACTCTTGTGCACTGCTGACACGATGCAAAATGGTGGAGCTGCTGTGGTAACAGTTTTGTAGTTCACCAAAAAGCTAACAGCCATTCTACTCCTATACACCCAAAAAGAACTGAAGAACAGGGACTAACAGATATTTGGACACCAATGTTCGTAGCAGTATTATTCGTAAGAGCTAAAGAGTGGGCAGCCTAAATATCCACTAAAAGATCAATGTGTAAATAAAATGTGCTATACCCTTACAATGGAGTATTATTCACCCATAAGAAGTGATGTCTGATATGTGCTATGCTATGGATAAAACTTGAAAATACTATGCTAAAGGAAATAAGTCAGACCAGAAAAGGACAAATATTGCATAATTCTATTTTTATGAGGTTCTAGAATAGGCAAACTCCCAAGGACAGAAGGAAAGAGGAGCAGCACGATAGCAGTTGTCAAGAACAAGCACCTTATGAAAGGCAGCAAAGGGAGCCAAAAAGGTAGTTGATCCATTTTCTTAGAAAGATTGGTATGATGTGAAAGCTCCTGCTATGTCCAAGAAATATCAGAAAGACACTAATCACCAAAACCAAGGAACAAAAATTGCATCTGATGGTCTCAAGGGTTATGTGTTTGCAGTGAGTCTTTGTTGACTTGCAGAATGATGAAGTTGCATTTAGAAAATTCAAACTGATTATCAAAGATGTTCAGGGCAAAAATTGCCTGACTTAACTTCCATGGCATGGGTCTTACTCCAGGACAAAATGTGTTCCAGGGTGAAAAAATGGCACACCATGATTGAAGCTCATGTTGACATCAAGACTACTACTTATGATTACTTGTTTCATTTGTTCTGTATTGGTTTTACTAAAAAAACCAACAATCAGATACGGAAGATCTCTTATGCTCTGCACCAACAGGTCTGCCAAATCCAGAAGAAGATGCTGGAAATCATGACCTGACAGGTACAGACAAATGACTTGAAAGATGTGGTCAATACATTGATTCCGGATAGCACTGGAAAAGACATAGAAAAGGCTTGCCAATCTATTTCTCCTCTCCATGATGTTTTCAGTAGAAAAGTAAAAATGCTGAAGAAGCCCAGGTTTGAACTGGAAAAACTCATGGAGCTTCACAGTGAAGGTAGCAGTGCTGGAAAAGCAACTGGGGATGAGATACGTGCTAATGTTGAATGAGCTGTTGGATATGAACCACAGTCCAATAATCTGTTTTCTAATTGTGGCAAATAAAAAGTTCTATTTGTGAAAGCAGAAAAGAGGTTACCAGGGGCTAGGAGGAAGGGGCAATAGGGAGGAGTTCTTGCTTAATGGGTAAAGAAGTTCTGCTCAGAGAAAAGCTGAAAATTCTAAAAACCAGAGCGCCTCTTCTCCAAAAGATCGCAGCTCCTCGCCAGCAACGGAACAAAGCTGGACGGAGAATAACTTTGATGAGTTGACAGAAGTAGGCATCAGAAGGTTGGTAATAACAAACTTTTCCGAGCTAAAGGAGGATGTTCAAACCCATCACAAGGAAGCTAAAAACCTTGAAAAAAGATTAGACGAATGGCTAACGAGCATAAACAGTGTAGAGAAGACCTTAAATGACCTATGGAGCTGAAAACCATGGCATGAGAACTAGGTGATGCATGCACAAGCTTCAGTAGCCAACACGATCAAGTGGAAGAAAGGGTATCAGTGATTGAAGATCAAATGAATGAAATGAAGCGAGAAGAGAAGTTTAGAGAAAAAAGAGTAAAAAGAAATGAACAAAGCCTCCAAGGAATAAGGGACTTTGTGAAAAGACCAAATCTACGTCTGATCGGTATACCTGAAAGTGATGGGGAGAATGGAACCAAGCTGGAAAACACTCTTCGGGATATTATCCAGGAGAACTTCTCCAACCTAGCAAGGCAGGCCAACGTTCAAATTCAGGAAATACAGAGAACACCACAAAGATACTCCTCGAGAAGAGCAACTCCAAGACACATAATTGTCAGATTCACCAAAGTTGAAATGAAGGAAAAAACGTTAAGCGCGGCCAGAAAGAAAGGTCAGGTTACCTACCCACAAAGGGAAGCCCATCAGACTAACAGTGGATCTCTCGGCAGAAACTCTACAAGCCAAGAGAGTGAGGGCCAATATTCAACACTCTTAAAGAAAAGAATTTTCAACCCAGAATTTCACATCCAGTCAAACCAAGCTTGATAAGTGAAGGAGAAATAAAATCCTTTATAGACAAGAAAATGCTGAGAGATTTTTGTCACCACCAGGCCTGCCTTACAAGAGCTCCTAAAGGAAGCACTAAACATGGAAAGGAACAACTGAGACCAGCCACTGCAAAAACATGCCAAATTGTAAAGACCATCGATGCTAGGAAGAAACTGCATCAACTAACGGGCAAAATAACCGGCTAACATCATAATGACAGGATCAAATTCACACATAACAATATTAACCTTAAATGTAAATGGGCTAAATGCCCCAATTAAAAGACAAAGACTGGCAAATTGGATCGAGAGTCAAGACCCATCAGTGTGCTATATTCGGGAGACCCATCTCACGTGCACAGACACACATAGGCTCAAAATAAAGGGATGGAGGAAGATCTACCAAGCAAATGGAAAGCAAAAATAGCAGAGGTTGCAATCCTAGTCTCTGATAAAACAGACTTTAAACCAACAAAGATCAAAGGAGACAAAGAAGGCCAATACATAATGGCAAAGGGATCAATTCAACAAGAAAAGCTAACTAACCTGAATATATATGCACCCAATACAGGAGCACCCAGATTCATACAGCAAGTCCTTAGAGACCTACAAAGAGACTTAGACTCCCACACAATAATAATGGGAGACTTTAACACCCCACTGTCAACATTAGACAAATCAATGAGACAGAAGTTTAACAAGGATATCCAAGACTTGAACTCAGCTTTGCACCAAGCAGACCTAAGAGACATCTACAGAACTCTCCACCCCAAATCAACAGAATATACATTCTTCTCAGCACCACACTGCAGTTATTCCAAAACTGACCACATAGTTGGAAGTAAAGCACTCCTCAGTAAATGTAAAAGAACAGAAATCACAACAAACTGTCTCACAGACCACTGTGCAATCAAATTAGAACTCAGGACTAAGAAACTCACTTAAAACCGCACAACTACATGAAAACTGAACAACCTGCTCCTAAATGATTACTGGGTACATAACAAAATGAAGGCAGAAATAAAGATGTTCTTTGAAACCAATGAGAACAAAGACACAACGTACCAGAATCTCTGGGACACATTTAAAGCAGTGTGAGGAGGGAAATTTATAGCACTAAATGCCCACAAGAGAAAGCAGGAAAGATCTAAAACTGACACCCTAACATTACAATTAAAGGAACTAGAGATGCAAGAGCAAACAAATTCAAAAGCTAGCAGAAGGCAAGAAATAACTAAGATCAGAGCAGAACTGAAGGAGATAGAGACACAAAAAACCCCTTCAAAAAATTCATGAATTCAGGAGCTGTTTTTTTTTTGAAAAGATCAACAAAATAGATAGAACACTACCAAGACTAATAAAGAAGAAAAAAGAGAAGAATCAAATAGATGCAATAAAAAATGACAAAGGGGATATCACCACCGATCCCACAGAAATACAAACTACCATCAGAGAATACTATTAACACCTCTACAGAAATAAGCTAGAAAATCTAGAAGAAATGGATAAATTCCTGGACACATACACACTCCCAAGACTAAACCAGGAAGAAGTTGAATCCCTGAATAGACCAATAACAGTCTCTGAAATTGAGGCAATAATTAAGAGCCTACCAACGAAAAAAAGTCCAGGACCAGACATATTCACAGCCAATTCTACCAGAGGTAGAAAGAGGAGCTGGTACCATTCCTTTTGAAACTATTCCAATCAACAGAAAAACAGGGAATCCTCCCTATCTCATTTTATGAGGCCAGCATCATAAATCTGCCAACCCTGGCAGAGACACAACAAAAAAAGAGAATTTTAGACCAATATCCCTGATGAACATCGATGTGAAAATTCTCAATAAAATACTGGCAAACCAAATCCGGCAGCATATCAAAAAGCTTATTCACCAAGATCAAGTGGGCTTCATCCCTGGGATGCAAGGCTGGCTCAACATATGCATATTGAGAAACGTAATCCATCACATAAACAGAACCAAAGACAAAAACTACATGATTATTTCAATAGATGCAGAAAAGGCCTTTGACAAAATTCAACAGCCCTTCATGCTAAAAACTCTCAATAAACTAGGTATTGGTGGAACGTATCTCAAAATAATAAGAGCTATTTATGACAAACCCACAGTCAATATCATACTGAATGGGCAAAAACTGACCTTTGAAAAATTCCCTTTGAAAATTGGCACAAGACAGGGATGCCCTCTCTCACCACTCCTGTTCAACATAGTGTTGGAAGTTCTGGCCAGGGCAATCAGGCAAGAGAAAGAAATAAAGGGTATTCAATTAGCAAAAGAGGAAGTCAAATTGTCCCTGTTTGCAGATGACATGATTGTATATTTAGAAAACCCCATTGTCTCAGTCCAAAATCTCCTTAAGCTGATAAGCAACTTCAGCAAAGTCTCAGGATACAAAATCAAGGTGCAAAAATCACAAGCATTCTTATACGCCAATAACAGACAAACAGAGAGCCAAATCATGAGTGAACTCCCATTCACAATTGCTTCAAAGAGAATAAAATACCTAGGAATCCAACTTACAAGGGATGTGAAGGACCTCTTCAAGGAGAACTACAAACCACTGCTCAACAAAATAAAAGAGGACACAAACAAATGGAAGAACATTCCAGGCTCATGGATAGGAAGAATCAATATTGTGAAATTGGCCATACTGCCCAAGGTAGTTTATAGATTCAATGCCATCCCCATCAAGTTACCAATGACTGTCTTCACAGAACTGGAAAAAAACTACTTTAAAGTTCATATGGAACCATAAAAGAGCCCGCATTGCCAAGACAATCCTAAGCAAAAAGAACAAAGCTGGAGGCATCATGCTACCTGACTTCAAAGTACACTACAAGGCTACAGTAACCAAAACAGCATGGTACTGGGACCAAAACAGAGATACAGACCAGTAGGACAGAATACAGGCCTCAGAAATAACATCAGACATCTATAACCATCTGATCTTCGACAAACCTGACAAAAACAAGAAATGGGGAAAGGATTCCCTATTTAATAAATGGTTTTGGGAACACTGGCTAGCCATATGTAGAAAGCTGAAACCGGATCCCTTCCTTACACCTTATACAAAAATTAATTCAAGATGGATTAAAGACTTAAATGTTAGACCTAAAACCATAAAAACCCTAGAAGAAAACCTAGGCAATACCATTCAGGACATAGGCATGGGCAAGGACTTCATGACTAAAACACCAAAAGCAATGGCAACAAAAGCCAAAATAGACAAATGGGATCTAATTAAACTAAAGAACTTCTGCACAGCAAAAGAAACTGCCATTAGAGTGAACAGGCAACCTACAGAATGGGAAAAAATTTTTGCAATTTACCTATCTGACAAAGGGCTAATATCCAGAATCTACAAAGAATGTAAATTTACAAGAAAAAAATCAAACAACCCCATCAAAAAGTGGGCAAAGAATATGAACAGACACTTTTCAAAAGAAAACATGTATGCAGCCAACGGACACATGAAAAATGCTCATCATCACTGGTCATCAGAGAAATACAAATCAAAACCACAATGAGATACCATCTCACACCAGTTAGAATGGCGATCATTAAAAAGTCAGGAAACAACAGGTGCTGGAGAGGATGTGGAGAAATAGGAACACTTTTACACTGTTGGTGGGAGTGTAAACTGGTTTAACCATTGTGGAAGACAGTGTGGCGATTCCTCAAGGATCTAGAACTAGAAATACCATTTGACCCAGTGATCCCATTACTGGGTATATACCCAAAGGATTATAAATCATGCTACTATAAAGACATGCACATGTATGTTTATTGTGGCACTACTGACAACAGGAGAGACTTGGAACCAACCCAAATGTCCATCAGTGATAGACTGGATTAAGAAAATGTGGCGCATATACACCATGGAATACTATGCAGCCATAAAAAAGGATGAGTTCATGTCCTTTGTAGGGACATGGATGAAGCTGGAAACCATCATTCTGAGCAAACAGAAAACCAAATGCTGCATGTTCTCACTCATAGGTGGGAACTGAACAATGAGAACACTTGGACACAGGGCAGAGAACATCACACACCAGGGACTGTCATGGGGTGAGGGGATGGGGGAGGCACAGCATTAAGAGAAATACCTAATGTAAATGATGAGTTAATGGGTGCAGCAAACCAACATGGCACATGCATATATATGTAACAAACCTGCACATTGTGCACATGTACCCTAGAACTTAAAGTATAATTAAAAAAAAAAAAAGTTCTTCTCAGGATGATGAAAAAGTTCTGGAAATAGCAGTGAAAGTTACAGAACACTATGAATGTACTTAATGCCACAGAATTATATACTTGAATATGATTAAAGTAGTAAATTTTATGTTATGTATATTTTACTACTGTAAAAAAAAGTACTCAAAACATTGACAAGGCATAGTAAAATATTCCCAAATAAAAGGAAATTAATAAAATGAAACAGAACGATTAATGTATTTTTTCAAAGAAACCAATAAAATTGAAAATCCATATTGAGGAAAGAGAAAGAAATAGGGAAGGCCTATAAAATCAGCACTGGGAATGAAAAAGAAAATTCATAACGTTAGATGACACAGAGAAAGAATTACCAAGAGGTTATTATCAACTACCTATATCAATAAAATTGAAAATTTATATAAAATGTATAAATTCCTAGAAAAAAAGAAACTGTCTACCATAGTATCTCAAGTAGAATAGAGTCCTATAGATAAACCTTTACGAAAACTGAATCCAGAGTTAAAATCTTCCCACAAAGAAAGGCCCAGTCCCTGACTGCTACCATATATTCAAGAAATACTTTAATTCCAAACTTACACAGGGATTGTAAGTATCATGAAATTCCTTCAGGGAAATTAAATCAGTAGCACTCTGTAATTCATTTTATGAAGTTCGCCTAACTCTACAAAAAAATTCATAAGGGCAGTATTACAAAGAAAAACCACAGGCCAAGGTAATTCATAAACATAAAAGTAATAAACAAAGTATTAGCAAACCAAATCCTACAGCATGTGAAAAGAATAATATGCCATCACAAAGTAGACTTCTGCCTAGGAAAGTTTATTTTACTATTAGAAAATCAATTCTTAGAACTCACCACCTAACAGATTAAAGGAACAATTATGCTTTCACTAGATACATAAGAAAAAGTATATTAAAAAAAAAAAAATCTAAGGCCAGGCGTGGTGGCTCATGCCTATAATCCCAGTACTTTGGGAGGCCTAGGTGGGTGGATCACCTGAGGGTAAGAGTTCCAGACCAGTCTGACCAACATGGTGAAACACCATCTCTACTAAAAATACAAAATTAGCCAGGCATGGTGGCACATGCCTGTAATCCCAGCTACTCAGGAGGTTGAGGCAGGAGAATAACTTGAACCCGGGAGGCGGAGGTTGAGGTGAGACAAGATCGCGCCATTGCACTCCAGCCTGGGCAACAAGAGCGAAACTCCGTCTCAAAAAAAAAAAAAATCTATTTATGATCAAAAAGATACACTCACAGACACACATGCCTCTGTGAATATTAGAAAATAAATGGGGAGGTATATGGCCTAGAATTGAGGTTCAATATTATGTACTGCCTTGATTCTGGTAAAACCGGGAGGACTTTGAACAGCCTAACCACAAGTTCTCCTCCCCACTCTACTTCCACAGAGAGGGTCCCTTAACCAAATACTCTTTATCAAAGCGACCAGGCACAATTTCTGCTTATGCTTAAATATTGAGTTTCAGTTCCTTGCCAACCTATATAATTATTCAAACAAGCCAATCTCATCCTCCTGTGGGAACCAGGGGCACCCCACTTTCATGATACTACATAAAAAGGCTACCTCCCACAGTCCCTGTTTGTTTACTCCGTCCCAAGTGCAACCATCATGTGGCCCTGCCTGGCAATGTAGTGTCCTCCCCAGGGCTATACAAGTCTATGTGACTAATAAACTGTTGTCAATTTCATCTGCCCAGTGTCAGTTGTTATGTATTGGGCCAACCTCATAATCCTATGGCAGGAATCCCTCCCTCACCAATGGGAATATCTATATGCTTATAAAAGATCTATATAAAATCCTACAGCAAACTTCCTATTTAATGGTGTAATGTTGAAGCTTCCTTTCTGAGATCAGGAACAAGATAAATTTCCACTGGCTTGACTTTTATTCAACAATGGAGAATTTAGGCAGCATGATAAAGCAAGAAAAAGAAAAGGCATAAAGATTGGAAATAATAAACACTGTCATTATTCACAGATGATATGATTAGATACAAGAGAAGCCAAACAAAGCTACAGAGAACTTACTAGAATTAGAAAGATTTAACAAAGTTATTGAAAAAAAAATTTTTTAACATTTGGGTCCAGGCACAGTGGCTAATGCCTAGGATCCCAGCACTTTGGGAGGCCAAGGCCAGAGGAGTGTAGGCATTTGAGGCCAGAGGAGTGTAGGGATTTGACACCAGCCTGGGCAACAAAGTGAGACCCCCCCCGCTACAAAAATGAGGAAAAATTAGCTGAGCATGGTGGTACATGCCTGTAGTCCCAGCTACTCGAGAGGATGAGGTGGGAAGATGACTTGAGCCCAGGAGGCTGAGGCTGCAGTGATCCCTGACTGTGCCACTGCACTCCAGCCTGGGTGACAGAAGGAGACTGTGGCTCAAAAAAACAAAAACAAATTAAGACATAAAACATATTTGGGCCAGGCACAGTGGCCAAAAGCTCTCAGCATTTTGAGAGGCCAAAGTGAGAGGATCACTTGAGTCCAGGAGTTCAAGACCCACCTGGGCAACATAGTGAGACACCATCACTACAAAAAATAATAAAAAGGAAAAAAAACCCCACACATTTGTATTTATATTTACCAGGAACAAAAAGGTAGAATGAAGTTAAAATGGAATATCATTTACAGTAGCATCATAACCTATCAAGTACCTAGAAAAACTTTAAGAGAAGACTTGCAAAATCTCAATGGGAATAATTATACTTAACGAGTCGGTAAAGAAAGCATAAGATCCTTTTGTGGTTCATAAGCATGATGATCAGGTTTTCAGGCATATGTGTACGATGTGCCTCCTTCAAACTTTGTTAGGATGCTACCACGCTACCCATCTGACTTAAAGGAAAAAAATTAAGAAGCATAATAATATTCTCCCCAAAGTGATTTTTTTTATCAATTTCTCATAATCCCAATAGCCTATCATGTTTTTTTGTGAAACCTGACAGGTGGATTCTTATGTGATAATTCAAATAGCTAAAAAACAATTAGAAGATGCTTCTGAAAAATAATTACAGGTATTGGTAAGGGGTTACATAAGGACTTGCTTTGCCAGCTGTCAAAAACTACTGTAAAGAGAATGTGGGCCAAGCAGTGGTTCATGCCTGTAATCCCAAGACCAAGACAGGAGGACAATTTGAGGTCAGGAGTACGAGACCAAATTGGGCAACATAGCAAGACCCTTTTTTCTAAAAGGAAAAAAAAGTGTGGCCCTGGTGCAGGTAGTAACAAATAGATCAACAGATTAAAACTGCCTGAGAAAGAGAAATCAGACGCTAAGGAAGAAACAGACTCACGCATACATAATTATAAGCACGGCGGTGTAGAGCACTGGGAAAAGAATGGTACTATTTTCCGCTAATGGGGCTTGGATAGCAGGTAGAAAGTGAAACTGGACTGCAACCTCACCATACACATAAATCAACTGCAGATGAAACGAAAACCCAAATGTGAAGGAAAAATTATAGAGCTTTTAAAATAAAATATTTTCTTTTTTCTTTTTTTTTGGAGACAGGGTCTTGCTCTGTTACTCAGGCTGGAGTGCTGTGGTATGATGAAGGCTCACTGCAGCCCTGGGTCCTCCTGGGTCCAAGCAATCTTCCCACATTAGCCTCTCAAGTAGTTGAGATCACAGGCTTGTGCCACCATGCCTGGCTCGTTTTGTTTGTTTGTTTGTTTGTATTGAGATAAGGTCTCCCTATGTTGCCCACACTAGTCTCAAACTCCTGGGCTCGAGTGATCCTCCCACAGTACTGGGATTACAGGTGTGAGCTACAGCGCCCAGCCCAGAAAGATTCTTAAAACGAGAGTACTTACCACAGAGATTCATAAAATTCAAAAATTCAAATTCAAAAAATAAAAGACCCTATAAAAAAGGCAAACAGAATGGAAGAAGATAGCGAGAATATAAAATAACTCCTATTAAAATTAAAATAGCCAGACACGGTGGCGCATACTTGTCATCCCAGATATTTGGGAGGCTGAGGCAGAAGGATTGCTTGAGCCCAGGAGTTTGAGACCAGCCTGGACAACACAACAAGATCAAGTCTCATAAAAAAAATAATAACTTGGGAGGCCAAGGCAGGTGAATCACTGAGCTCGGGAGTTTGAGACCAGCCCGACCAACATGGAGAAACCCCATCTCTACTAAAAATACAAAATTAGCCGGGCGTAGTGGCGCATGCCTGTAATCCCTACTACTCGGGAGGCTGAGGCAGGAGAATCGCTTGAACCTGGGGGTCAGAGGTTGCAGCAAGCTGAGATCACACCATTGCACTCCAGCCTGAGCAACAAGAGTGAAACTCTGTCTTAAAAAATAATAATAATAATAACTTTTTAAAAAATGAAAAAAAAAGTTTAAATAACCCAACAAAAAGAAAAAATAGGAGAGACTCAAACAAGTGCTTCACAATAGCTGAAATCTAAATGATGGATATGGAAAGTGCTCAACCTAACTGGTACTTAGGAAAAGCTTCTCAGATCCCAATAAGTTAACAGGAAACACCCACGAGGTTGCCAAAAAATAAAAAGATTGATAATACAAAATGTTAGTGAACATCTACATCTGAGCCAACAGGAACATACATGAACTGCTAGTGGGTATATGAGAGTTGGTAAGTTAACTTGAGCGTTCACCTTCTCTATGATCAGGAATTCTGCCTTACCGTATTTAAAAAAACAAAACAAAACAAAAAAACACCCACACACCAAAACCTCAGGACTCACATATACGAACAGCAGGATATATTAACAAGAATGTTAATAGCTTCATTGCTTTAAAAAGAGCAAAAAACAGGCAACATTTCCAATACACAGCAATAACAGAATGGAAAATTTAATTGTGGTATATTTGTGCAAAGTATTATATAGCATTAAAAATGAATAAACTATAGCTATATGCAACAACATGGATGATCCCTTCAATGTTAAATGAAGATAGGAAGAAATAAAATACACCAGCACCATTCCTTTCACACAAAGTCCCAAAACAGACAAAGCTAGGTTACAGCATTCACCATTACGTAAATGAAGGAATTGTTAACATAAAAGTGGGGCAGGCCAAGTGCAGTGCCTCACGCCTGTATTCCCAGAACTTTGGGAGACTGAGGTGGTAGGACTGCTTGACCTCAGGAGTTCAAGACCAGCCTAGGTAAAAGTGAGACCTCGTCACTACAAAAAAAAATTTAAAAACTTAATTCATGGCCCGGGTGCGGTGGCTTACACCTGTAATCCCAGCACTTTGGGAGGCTGAAGCTAGTGGATCACCTGAGTTCAGGAGTTTGAGACCAGCCTGGCCAACATGGCGAAACCCTGTCTCTACTAAAAACACAAAAATTAGCCGGAGGTGTTGGCGCATGTCTGTAATCCCAGCTGCTTGGAAGGCTGAGGTGGGAGAATCGCTTGAACCCGGGGGCAGAAGCTGCAGTGAGCTGAGCTCGCACCATTGCACTCCAGTCTGGGCAACAAGAGCAAAACTCTGTCTCAAAAAAAAATAAAATTAAAAAATAAAATAAATGCCGGGCGCAGTGGCACGCCTGTAATCCCAGCACTTTGGGAGGCCAAGGCAGGCAGATCACCTGAGATCGGGAGTTCGAGACCAGCCTGACCAACATGGAGAAACCCCATATCTACTAAAAAATACAAAATTAGCCAGGCGTCACATGCCTGTAATCCCAGCTACTTGGGAGGCTGAGGCAGGAGAATTGCTTGAACCCAGGAGGCAGAGATTGCGGTGAGCCAACATCCCGCCACTGCACTCCAGCCTGGGCAACAAGAGCAAAACTCCGTCTCATTCAGGCATGGTGACACACGCCCAGCTACTCAGGAGTCTACGGCTGGAGGATCATTTGAACCTGGCAGATAAAGGCTGCAGTGATCCCTGATTGCACCACTACACTCTGGCCTAGGTGACAGAGCAAGACCCTGTCAAAAAGAAGAAGAAGAAGAAAAAAAAAAGGTTGGACAAACGGTTAACTTCTAAGGGAAAGGGAAGGAGTGATAAAAATATAGCAGACAAGGAACTTTTGGGGTTACTGGCTATGTGTGTTTCTTGATCTAAGTGGTGGTTATATAATTATTCACTTAATATGTTAATTGTACATGTGTTTCCCTCACACTTTTTGAAAAGCTTAAGCATCCTAAGTTTTCAGTTCATGGTGGGGAGACCTCTTCAACAAAAATGAGAAGGCACCCTCAGAGGTAGGAAGGACAATTAGGAAGCAGCTGAAATGACCTCAGGAAATGAAGATAAAAAGAAGGCAACCGATTTCTGAGATGTAGAAAGGAGAATTGACAGAATTTGTTAAGGGAAGATTAAGCTTTTTTAAAAAGTCAAGGATGGAGCCTTAACTTTTAGTCTTCTTAATCCCTATTAAAATAATGAATTGGAAGGCCACTATGCTGAGATGGCCACAGCACCTTGGGTTCCTATTTAAGCAAAAAGAAACCAAACTCAAAGTGAACTTAAGCTTAACTAATCAGAAACCACCAACTAACCTCTAGTGACTTTATGAATCAGAAACTGCCAACTAGCCTCTAACTAGGTACTTTCTACTGTCTTGATGCCAAGAACACCTTATCAAAGTTTCCCTCTCCTGCCCCTTCTTTGGAGCACTGAGCCACTTGCTCAACTGATACTGCCCATTCATGAATCCCTGAGTTCTAAAATAAACAAAAACTAGCTGGGTGTGGTAGCATGCACCTGTTGTCCCAGCTACTCAAGAGGCTAAGGTAGGAGGATCACTTCAGCCCAGGGGATAAAGGCTGAAGTAAGCTGTGTTTGCACTACTGCACTCTAGCCTGGGCCGCAGAGTAAGATGCTGCCTCAAAAATAAATAAATAAATAAAAAGACAGGGTTTTTGCTATGCTGCTCAGGCTGGTCTTGAATTAGTCTCAAGCGATCCTCCTGCCTCAGCCTTCCAGAGTGCTGGGATTACAGGCATGAACCACTGTGCCCAAAACAAAATAATTTACCCTGACCTATAATATTAATCAATATACTTCTCAGTTTCCTTTAATTATACTAGTACATAAACCAATTTCTTTTTAAATTACAACATTCCAAGATTTATAAACCACAAGGCTTACCTGTCCAGCCTTACAGTGGAAAATGTAGGTAAGACCCCATCAAAAAATCTTTCCCTCCTTATCCTCCTGACATTTATTTCTATTAGTTTTCCAACAAATTTATAATTTTAGTTGGAAATCTGATAAATAAAACATGTTTATATATTATAAACATTTAATAATATTCACAACTGAGGTGCAGAGCATAGTACAGTATTTCCTTTCTCAAGCAATTTCATTCTCGAATTATCAATTGCCTGCATTTTAAAAATCTGCTTAGTTTTTAAGTATTTATCACTAAATCAGCAGCAAACTTTCCGACAGAACTGCAAACCCTTTTCAATATGTTCAAATATATCAGCTAATCAAACAGTTTTACATTTGTGCCCTCAAATGTATCCTTCTCTGAAATATGAAGTCCTTCATCCAGCTCCAAACCTTTTCAAGCCTGCTGCAAGCTGCCATCCTGGAGCTTTCCTTCATCATTATCCTGAGAATTTCTATGCCTAATGATATTACCACAAGTATCTGCTTGCTTTACCTCACATGAAACCTGAATAGTTTCAAAATACCAACATAACCACTAAAAACACACCACTGAATGCAATATAAGTTTTTTTGTGCTTACAATATAGCATACTAGGAATGCACAATCAATATTGTGATTTAAAAATCAGTTTCAAAAATCCTTTACTATGTAGGTAAAACTATCTGGTTGATACAGAACAACGTTCATTTGTTTTGTTTGCTGGGGAAGCAGGGAGAGTTACTTATATTTGTTCAGTTTCATAAAACATTTACATAGTTCCAAAGTCAATACTGTGAACCAGTTACATTTACAGAGGTCTAATTTTCTTCTCTAATTCCTTCCCAACTTTTTCTTGCCTCGCTAGCAGTCATTTTTAATTATTTATTCTTCTGTTGTTTGTTTTTTGAGGTGGAGTCTCTGTTTGTCTCCCAGGCTGGAGTGCAGTGGCCTGATCTCCGCTCACTGCAACCTCTGCCTCCTGGGTTCAAGCAGTTCTCCTGCCTCAGCCTCCCAAAGTGTGGGATTACAGGTGTGAGCCACCATGCCTGGCCTCCGTTGTTTATTTGTAAATATAAGCACATATTTTCTCTTTTTCTTATTGTCATGGAGATACTGTTGCTTTAGATCCTTTTAGTGGATAGAGCTAAGAAACACACACACACACAGAGACACAAAGGGTAGCATATAATACTCATTCTTCTGCACCTTGATTTCTACTTAACAGTACATCATGGAATTCACTCCACAGCAGTATTCATATCTTTTTCATTCCTTTTTTACATCGGCACAGTAATATACCATAGTTTATTCCACCAGTCATTTATTGGTGGTCATATCAATCTTTTATTATTATCAACAGTGCTACAGACAAATAACACTGTGCACGCCTCACTTTATTATTTTGCATTTGTATCTCTGAGATACATTCCTAGAAGTGGAGATTGCCAGGTCAATGAGGAAATGCATTTGCATTTTACTAGATATTACCAAATTCCCTTCCAGTTTTAGCATTCTGCATTCCCACCGGCAATATAATGGATTATCTTCCTTTCCTCAGTTTCACCCAAAAAGTATAATGTCAAAGTATAATGCTGTACCTATTTTGGGGGAATTTCTTTTTTTTTTTTTTTTTGAGACGGAGCCTCGCTCTGTCGCCCAGGCTGGAGTGCAGTGGCATGATCTCAGCTCACTGCAACCTCCGCCTCCCAGGTTCAAGCATTTCTCCTGCCTCAGCCTCCTGAGTAACTGGGATTACAGGCGCACGCCACCATGCCCGGCTAATTTTTGTATTTTTAGTAGAGACAGGATTTCACCATGTTGGTCAGGCTGGTCTCGGACTCCTGACCTCATGATCCACCCACCTTGGCCTCCCAAAGTGCTGGGATTACAGGCGTGAGCCACCACGCCCGGCCTGGGAGAAATTTTTAAGAGTTTTCTTTGTACCTCAATAATCATCTTTCATGAGCATCCCATGCGCATTTACAAAAATGTATATTCTCTTATATGCAATAGATGACCCTAAGATCTACCTTTCAGTTGTGTTAATCTAGGTCCTCAATAGCCTTACTGAAGTTTTTGTCCAGTTGATCTATCTTGAACTGAGATGGATTTTAGGTCTTCTATTATTAATATGCTCCTAACTCTTAATGACTCTCCTGAAGCTTCTTTTTTTTAAATGAAAGCTGTCATGAATATCCATGCACCCAATAACGTATCTTCATTACAGACTGCAGCTTGTAGCATTATTTATAATGTGTCCTACCTCTTTAATGATTTCTGGCCTGAGTTTTACCTTGCGCAAAATAACTATAATAACCCCTTTTTATTATATTTGTCTGGCATATCTTTGCCCAACCTCCTAATCTTTGAGTTTTTCGATTTTGCAGATGTATCTTTTATATAAAAGACAGAGTTGGGCTAGGCACAGTGGCTCACGCCTGTAATTCCAACACTTTGGGATGCTGAGGTGGGTGGATCACTGAGGCCAGGTGTTCGAGACCAGCTTGGCCAACATGGCAAAACGTCATCTCTACCAAGAATACCAAAATTAGCTGGGTATGGTGCATCGCTCCTGTAGTCCCAGCTGCTTGGGAGGCTGAGGCAGGAGAATTGCCTGAACCCTGGAGGTTGCAGTGAGATCACACCACTGCACTATAGCCAGGGCGAGAGAGCAAGACTCAGACTCAAAACAGCAACGAAAGAAAACAAAACCACAGAGTTGGATTTTGCTATGTTAACCCAAAAATATTTTTTCTCTTAATAGGCCAGTTAAGCCCATTTACTAATATCACTATATGGTCTCAATTCTGTCACAGTGAGAATATATAATTTCATTGTATTTGTTTCTTTTGCTCTCCTTTCTGTACCCTTCCCACCACCTCCTTCCCCCTGCCAATACTTCTTTTGCTATCTAGAAAGGTTTGGGCTTTTGTCCTAATGGTTATCTTTATATAATATCCTTAAGTCCTCTCTTTGTTAGATACTATCTTTTGATTCCCTAGTATAAGCAACATAGAAATTAGCTCCATTCTTCCCCCCTCACCATTCCCATACCACAACACACAGCATCTATTTAAAGTAGTAATATCTCTTGATGCCCTGGTTAAGTTTTATAAAACAATCAATCAATGAGCCTATTAAACCATTTCTTGGCTGTCTGAAACTTAATTCTCTAACAGCTTCCTCAGGAAGTATTCACATAAATGATATCCCTTATACTCTTGAATAACTGTATTATACCTACATTGTTAGGGTGCATAACAAGTATATACTACTTTGTCACCCCTTTTCTCTGTCACTAAATTTAGTTCTACAGTTAGACACAAGGATTTCCTGCAGAACATCTTCCCTATTGTTTTCCTGACATAAGATCTCTTGGCTTTAATACAGACTCAACAGCATGATATTAGTGTAAAGATAAACAAAAAGACCAATGGAACAGAAGAGAGTCCAGAAATAAACACAGACATGCACGGACAACTGATTTTTGACAATGACAATGCAGTGGAGAAAGGACAGTCCTCTAACAACAATGCTAGAAAAACTGCATATCCATGTATAAAATGAACTTGGATCCATATCTCATACCACATACCAACATTAACTCAAAATGGATCATAGACCTAAATGTAAACCTCAAAACTATGGGACTTCCAAGAAGAAAACAGGATAAAATACCTGTGTTAGACAAAGATTTCTTAAATATGGCACAAAAGAATAATCCATAAAAGATAAACTGGATTTCACCAAAATAAGGAATTGGGGCTCCTTGGAGAGCTGGCATAGAAAAAGTACAAGATAGGCCGGGCGCGGTGGCTCACACCTGTAATCCCAGCACTTTGGGAGGCTGAGGCGGGTAGATCACGAGGTCAGGAGATAGAGACCATCCTGGCTAACATGGTGAAACCCCGTCTCTACTAAAAATACAAAAAATTAGCTGGGCGCAGTAGCGGACGCCTGTAGTCCCAGCTACTTGGGAGGCTGAGGCAGGAGAATGGCGTGAACCCGGGAGGCAGAGTTTGCAGTGAGCTGAGATAGCGCCACTGCACTCCAGCCTGGGTGATACAGCAAGACTCCGTCTCAAAAAAAAAAAAAAAGAAAAAGTACAAGATAAATCTAGAAATTCTTATTTTGCCAGGAAATAAAAAAGTGCTCAACTGGGTGCCATGGCTCATGCCTGTAATCCTAGCACTTTGGGAGGCCAAGGCAGGAGGATCACTTGAGCTCAGAAGTCCAAGACCAGACTGAGCAATGTAGGGAGATCCCGTCTCTACAATAAAAATAAAAATTAGCCAGGTATGGTGGTAGATTCCTGTGGTGCCAGCTACTTGGGAGGCTGAGGTGGGAGGATGGCTCAGGCCTGGAAGGTTAAGGCTGTAGTGAGCCATGACTGTCAACTTTAAGAGGTTTCTATTGTCCAAATTTGGGCAATTTGATTGTCAAAAGAAGTAAAGAAAGGAATGGCTATAACATACTGACTAAAATATTTCATAAGTCCATGATAGATAAATGGAAAAGAAAATGGTTATCCATACAGCAGACTATCAACTAGTAAGCATACAGTGATAGAAAAACCATTTTGTACTATCACAGTAATAGCTGATAAAGGCAAGAAATCAGTGGATGCCAATCTAAGTTTTTTTGGAACAGAATATTCACACAGACTCCAAAGTATCTCCTAAAAGGTTATTTGTTAATTACAAAAGGAGAGGAGGAGATAGCTTTAGAGTGGAGAAATCTGGCAGTCACCACCTTAAACAAGTGATCAAGGCCAACACTAACAACGGGACAGAAAGACAATCATGTGTTTCTTAATGTAAGGCATTGAAAAAGACAAATCACTGTTGCCCAAAATGATGCATCAGTCTGCATACAGTAAGTAGAGAGAAACCACACATTAATTTGAAATGAAGTTTAACTTAAGGAATTATTATTATCATTTTTTTGAGACAGAGTCTCGTTCTGTCACCCAGGCTGGAGTGCAGTGGCATGATCTAGGCTAACTGCAGCCTCCGCCTCCTGGGTTCAAGCAATTCTCCTGCCTCAGCCTCCCGAGTAGCTGGAACTACAGGCACATGCCACCACGCCTGGTTAATTTTTGTAATTTTAGTAGAGACAGGGTTTCACCATGTTGGCCAGACTGGTCTCGAACTCCTGACCTCAGGTAACCCGCCTGCCTCAGCCTCCCAAAGTGTTGGGATTACAGGCATGAGCCAACGCACCCAGCCAACATAAGGAATTATTAACCATCGTAAGGGATTGAATGGGAGGCCAAGGCAGGAGAACTGCTTGAGTCCAGGAGTTCAACCTGACTAACAAAGTGAGACCCTGTTTCTATTTAAAAAAAAAATTTTTTTAAGAGCTTGTGTCAGAATGTAAACCAACCAAGATCATTTAGTTCAGCTGACATTTAGTTCAGCTGGATGAAGGAAGCAGTACACTGGTCAACATTCTGTGGCAATGTCCTTATCTTGTTTCAGACCCTAATAGTTCGCAGCTCATGCCTTGAGTAGCACTGCCCTAAAATACCCTGCTTCAAAAAGGCACTAGATAGCACTATAAGAAGACAGATAGGTATCGTTGTTAATTCATGGTCTTTAGCACCAAACAAGCCTCAACACAACCTGCACTAACACTACATTTTATTGGTCAACTTCAAAACTCCCTTCTCAACCTTGTTCCACTCCTGTTACCCTCTCATTCTCAGCAGACGACCTCACTTTCTATTTAAGGGAGAAATCAGTGGGGGGCTCAGAATACAGAAATTCCACCCATTTTGAGGACACACACACCTGTATTTAGCACCTATTCTTACCTTCTCTCCTATTCACAAGAGAAAGTGTGTCTCCTATCCAAAGTCACCAATCTCTACCCATGCCTCAGATCAATGCCTTTCTGCTTTCTCAGAAGCCTCACCAAATCTTTTTTTTTTTTTATAAATTCAGTAGTTCTCGTGGATCCTTTCCATGTCCATTTAAATGTTTTTAAGCCTGATTTATATAAAAAGAAAGTGAGAAACCTTCCTCAACTTTTTATTTTTTTTCTCCCCTTAAGTATTACCTTATCCCATTCCTCCCCACTTCAGAGTTGTCTAAACTTTCCAACTATGTCTTTTCATCTCCCTCTCATTGTTTAACCTACCCCAATCTGGCTTTCACTATCTATCTCTCCACCTATATGCTTTTCCATGGTTGGTTTTTTTTCTTTTTTTAGTCTTCTCTTACTTGACCTTGCAGGAGGAGCATGACCCTGTAAAACACTGCTGCCTTTGGTAAGAGATATAAGGGAGACTCTTCACCTATAATCAAAATAAAATAAAGATCTTCTGGTAGTCAGGATTCCTAATTCCTATAGAAGACATTTTTCTTTTAAATGTATTATACCAGGCCGGGTGCGGTGGCTCATGCCTGTAATCCCAGCACTTTGAGAGGCTGAGGCAGGCGGATCACCTGAGGTGAGGAGTTTGAAACCAGCCTGGCCAACATGGCGAAACCCCATCTCTACTAAAAATACAAAAATTAGCCAACTGTGGTGGCGCGCACCTGTAATCCCAGCTGTTGGGGAGGCTGAGGCATGAGAATCACTTGAACCCAGGAGACAGAGGTTGCAGTGAGCCAAGATTGCACCACTGCACTCCAGCCTGGATGACAGAGTGAGACTCTGTCTCAAAATAAATAAATAAATAAATAAAATAAAAATAAATTTATTATACTATGAGATGAGAACCTATAGATTATTTATATTAGAAAAAAAATCAGAAGAAAGTCCTTTGAGAAATAAGGTGGTTTCATAATGTCAAAGAGGATATGGCATTTGAAAAAGGTTTTGAAAGACTAGATGAAAAGCAAAAATATTGAGGCAATTCAGATAATAGTTATGTTTATTTTAGACACAAATATTTGAACATGTACTGTACATATACTACAGTGCTAGTACATCCTATACATAATAAATCATATTAGCGTAAAACATATAAGGAATAAAATCAAGATGAAATAAATATTTTTAAATGTTTTGCTAATCAAGATAGCTTCACACTATTGTCAACTAATGCTTTCAGATGCAGTATACACTTAATGCATGGTCCATCATTTGTAATGGAGGATGTCAGTCAATTTCAAAGAGTAATCTTGTTAATTTTGAACTTTTAGGCCCACTTCTTGTTAGATCTGGTTAGATAATCAGTTGTTAACCTCACAATAAAACTGATAAGAGCCTATAAAGTGCCAGCTCTGCCACTTTAATGTTATTCTACCTGCAAAGGAGTACTATCTTTATCATAACTGAAAATAAGACTTCTAAGATTCAAATAATTTAAAGCTGGTGAAAAATTAAAGCTCCATCAACTCCACACACTGATAACATGAAACACAAAATTGAGACAGTAACAGCTACAGCTTTCTATAGGACAGGGATCTCCTTGCCAGCTAATCCCCTTGTCAGCTAATTGCATATTCAGGTCCCAAGAATGACAGGTATACATCCATCTATACAACACTGGTGAAGTTACAGACTTAAATGGAACTGTCTCTGTCGTTAATTGAAACAAGCGATCACTTTTTAAGGTTATTATACATGTACCCTATATCCTACAACTTAGGGACTTCCCAAACTGCTGAAATTAAGGGGCTTTTGTGAGCAGCCTCCATATGGGACTTCCCTAGGAAATGAGATTAAGGGTTTTATGCCAGAGGCCTGGTAATGGCCTACCATAATCTTCTATTTTTTGACAGACATTTAGTTAAAAACAGATATTAAAACCCATAAACCTATTTTTACAAGTACATATAAAATTATGTTACAAAGACTGGGCGCGATGGCTCGCATCTGTAATCCCAGCACTTTGGGAGGCCGAGGTGGGCAGATCAAGAGATTGAGACCATCCTGACCAACATAGTGAAACCCTGTCTCTACTAAAAACACAAAAACTAGCTGGGTGTGGTGGCACACGCCTATGCTCCCAGCTACTTGGGAGGCTGAGGCAGGAGGATCGCCTGAACCCAGGAGGCAGAGGTTGCAGTGAGCCAAGATCACACCACTGCACTCCAGCCTGGTGACAGAGAGAGACTCCATCTCAAAAAAAAAAAAAAAAAAAAAAAAAATTATACTTGTAGGAGGCAAAAACAAACAACAGAGTCTGCAGTATCGAAATCCCATGACCTCTAGGGCAGCTGTGTACAGTTAAGATAGGTTATACAGTACAAGGAACTGCCTGACTGGAGGGGAAATGTAGACTTACAGGCAAATGGGGGTCCACATTCCACTTCCTAAGGCACACATCCTTTGGTCCTGTATGTCAAGAGGACTCTTAATTTCTAACTCACACAAATACCATTTGGGCTTGAGGCAGCCTTAATCCCTTCTCTCAGGATACTCCATACAGCATATGTGAAATGTAGCCATTTGACATGCTTATTCATGTGACTGTGACAAACTATATATCAAGTACTTTAAAGCTCAATTTCTGAAAAGAAGTTCTAATGTCTTCCCTCACCTGAATGGATATTTTATTGCATATGTGGTGTGCCACACCACATTACAGAATAAAATATAATGGCACTTAGTCATGCCATTTTGGAGACTACTGGTCTAAGTGTGTATTCAAAATGCTGGAGTAAAATTAAGAAAGGGCTCGGCAGCTCACACCTGTAATCCCAGCACTTTGGGAGGCTGAGGCAGGTGGATTACCTGAGGTCAGCAGTTCAAGGCCAACAGGGTAAAATCCCGTCTGTACTAAAAATACAAAAAAATTAGCAAGGTGTGGTGGTGTGTGCCTGTAATCTCAGCTACTTGGGAGGCTGACGCAGGAGAATTGTTTGAACCGGGGAGGTGGAGGTTGCAGTGAGCCAAGATGGCCACTGCACGAGACACTGTCTCAAAAAAAAAAAAAAAAATTGAGAAAGGGGTCAAGGTTACATTGCAGAAAGAAATTTGAAAAACTTGTGCATCTAGTTGATAGTTTAACTTCTTGAAGAAAAATTAAACAGAGAAATCTAGAGACCTAAAAATGAAAGTTTACAAATTACCCACATTTGGGTATATTTAAAAAGGTACAATGAAATTAAAAAGCATTCTTCTGACATCAGTTTTCCACCAGGAATAGAGTAACTAGTACTGAGACAAGCTTTCCTGTCATTAATTACTGTATATTACCAGGACAGATACCTTAGGCAACTTTTCAGACAATGGACAAAAGGCAATGCAGTACTGTGATCCATGAGGAAAGAAAAGCTCAGGTGAATAAGCCCCCTAAATCTTGATTCCCTAACTGAGGACTATTTTGTGATCATGGTTCATGGAGCTACAGCCAATGCAGAACATAGCAAAGGAGCCAGAGAGATTCGGGGATTGTGAACCAGATGGAATATATAGGGCAAAGCACTTGGGAGAAGGGAGCTGAACAGAGAAAGGGTGCCAGTAGTCTATGTAAGGGTTTTGCCAAGTCCTTGGCTGAAGGCTACTACGCATGTGCAGAGCAAGTCCATGGGAAGTTTACCAGAGAGCAGCTGCTAAGGGATTGAGAGAGAAGCAAAGATACTGGAGGCCAAGCAGGAACAAAGAGAAAACAAATAAAAAGATGTCAGTCTTAAACCTTGCCATACCAACAATTACATAAAATATAAATGGATTAAACAAAAGCAAAAATTAAAAGCTGGGATAAAAAAGTAAGACAACTATACGCTATCTACGAGATACTTTAAAAAGCTAGAAGTAAAAGCATGGGAAAAATATACCATTCAAACACATAGATTAAAAAAACAATGGCATTAATATCAGGCAAAGTAGACCATAACATAGCATTATAGGAAGCAAAGAACATTTCACCTTAAAAAAGGGCAGGCAATTCATAAAAGCTTCAAAATACCTGTAGCAAAACCAAGTGAGGTATATCTCAAGAATGCAAGATTGATTTAACATCTAAAAATCAACGTAATTCATACATTAACAAAAAAAGGAGACAAATTGCATGACCATTTCAATAGACACAGGAAAAGTACATGGCAAAATTCATCACCCATTCATAATAAAAATTCTCAGCATATTAAAAATAGAAGGGAACTTCTTCATTTTGATAATGGGCATCTATAGAAAACAGCTAACATATTAATGGTGAAAAATTGAGTGTTTTCCTCCTAAGATGAGGAATAAGGTAAGGAAATCCTTTCTCATTTAATACTGAAATTCAACTTCTAGTCAATATTGTATTGGAGTCCTTGCTGGTGCAATAAGAAGACATAAATTATTAAGAATAGAAAGCAAGAAGTAAAGCTATCTCCCTGTAGACTACATAGAAAATCCTAAGGAGTCCTTGAAACAAAAAAAAAAGATACTTAATAATCGAATTTAGCAAGATAATGGGATGAAACCAATAATCGTATTTCAATATACTACCAACAGTTTGAAATGAAAATTTTAAAAATATCATATACGATATCATTTAACATTATAAAATGTTTAATATTTATACTATGTAAACAAAAATTGTACAAGAATGCTACAATGAAAACCACAAGACAGTGCCGAGAATTTAAGAGATAACACATATTCACAGATTGGAAGAACCAATATTGTTAAGAACATTATGGCTGGGTGCAGTGGCTCACGCCTGTCAATATCAGCACTTTGGGAGGCCGAGGCGGGCAGATCACCAGGTCAAGAGATCGAGACCATCCTGGCCAACATGGTGAAACCCCGTCTCTACTAAAAAATACAAAAATCAGCTGGGCGTAGTGGCGCATGCCTATAGTCCCAGCTACTCAGGAGGCTGAGGCAGGAGAATCACTTGAACCTGGGAGGCGGAGGTTGCAGTGAGCAGAGATCACATTACTGCACTCCAGCCTGGTAACAGAGCAAGACTCATCTCAAAAAAACAAAACAAAACAAAACAAAACAAAACACATTCCCCCTTACCCAAATTGATATCTAGATTCAATGTAATTCCAATCAAAACCATGACAGACTTTTGTGTAGAAACTGAAAAGCTGATTCTAAAATGTAAAGAAATGCAAATGACTTCAAAGAATCATAAGAATTTTGAAAAAGAACAAACTGTCAAATTTCAAAATTTGCTGAGAAGAGTACTGTAATCAAAAAACATTATGTATTAGCTGAATGGACAAATCAATAAAGAACAGACCACACACAGATGGCTGATTTTTGTATAAAAATGCCAAAATAATATAATGAAAAAGTACTGTCTTTAATAAATGGTGTTTTAACATACAGTTTTTAAAAAAATGAACCTCAACCTCACACAAAAAATAACTCACAAAATGGATTACAGGTTTATATTTTAAAGCTAAAACTATAAAAATGCTGGGTTAAAAAGTGGAGAAAATCTTAGTAAACTTGGGGTAGGCAAAAAATTGTTAGATAGGACACAAAAGTCATTAACCATAAAATAAATTGATAAACCAGACTTAATCAAAATTTAAACCTTTAGCTCTTCAAAAGACACCAAGAAAATGAGCATGCAAGCCAGAGTCAATACCTGCAATACATGTATCTGACAAAGGACCTAGATATAGAATATATATAAAGAACTTTACGTTTCAATAAAAAGGCAAACTCCCAGCCAGGCGTGGTGGCTCACGCCCATAATCCCAGCACTTTGGGAGACGAGATGGGTGATCACTTGAGCTCAGGAGTTGAGAGACCAGCCTGAGCAACATGGCGGAGGTTGCAGTGGGCTGAGATGGCGCCACTGCACTCCAGTATGGGCAACACAGTGAGATGCTGTCTCCAAAAAAAAAAAAAAAAAAGCAACTTAAGTTTTGAAATTTGCAAAAGACAAACCAAAATCTCACCAAAAAAGAATGACTACTAAGCACAAGAAAAGATGCTCATCATTATTCATCAGAGAAATGAAAACCAAAACCATGAGATAGCTTTTCTCACCTACTAGAATGGTTAAAATTTAACAGACTGACAGGCCAGGCACAGTGGCTCACGCCTGTAATCCCAGCACTTCGGGAGGCCGAGGCGGGTGGATCACCTGAGGTCAAGAGTTCAAGACCAGCCTGGCCAACATGGTGAAACCCTGTCTCTACTAAAAATACAAAAAAATTAGCCAGGTGTAGTGTAATCCCAGCTGCTTGGGAGGCTGAGGCAGGAGAATCGCCTGAACCCTGGAGGTGGAGGTTGCAGTGAGCCAAGATGGCACCACTGCACTCCAGCCTGGGCGACAGAGTGAGACTCCGTCTCAAAAACAAAAACAAAAAAAACTTTTAAAGACAATACCCAAAACTGGGGAGAGTGTGAACAAACTTTGGAGAGAACTGCTGGAGGGTCTATAAAGTAGTACAAGCAGTGTAAACATACATTTATCATAAAAACAAGAAATTCCAATTCTAAGTTATTTCCTCAGGGAAATGACAATGTATCCACACCAAGACTTTTCTACAAATACCTTTAAGTTTTATTCATAATAGCTCCAAACTAAAAAATACTGATACCTACTAACAGGTGAATAAAAATATGTATATTTTTATATATATAGGACTGACAGGTAACACAGATCATTCTTAAATATTAATCCTTTGCCATTAAAGATTGCACTCATGAGATGATTTATACTTTTTGCCAAGAAATCAGTCCCAGAATAGTTACGTATCTTGTATACTGCCAGTTAGTAAAGAAATCTTGGAAAAGGGATTTAGTCTTATATTTTAACCCTCTCTAGACAAATAATACCTTTCAAAAGTATGTTCTCAGTATTTGTTAAAAATAGCTCTTCAATATTGTCTTTTAGGTAGAGAGGAAAAAACTGCTCTCAAACTCCCAGTTTGCTACTCATTAGCTGAACAGTACGTTAACAACACAAAATACTACACAATATTATAACATTTCTCTAAGATCAGTTTGTTTTCTTAACATACGTAAAAGAAAATCCATTTCCTAAAGTTTTGCCTCTCTCCTAGATATAACTGCATACTAAGAAAATGACAGTCAAGACTGAAGGAGTCATCCAATTTTAACTTGTGGTCATTCACCCTCATTCCTTCCAACATGTAGCCTGAGAAAAAAGGACAGTTAAACCGAAGTTTTAAAACAAATGTTCTCAATGGGAGCTTGGTGGCCAGTGTAATTGTATCTGAGCATTTATAAATTATACTTTTCTGCTGTTATTTGCTTCATTTTATTTCTCCTTTAAAACAGTTCAAACATTATGTTTACTTTTGTAAGAAAAATGTGTTAGGATTTTTTTTCCCCATGAAATTCATTTAGGATGACAAAGAGAGCATGAAAAGTATTTTATAGAAAGGGAAACTAGATCTGAAACAGTTTTAGAATACTGCTTGCATTAAAGAAACAATTCTAGAGTGTAACTGTATTATACCCTAGCATTCTGCAACTACGCCAGATTAGGTAGAATCAGATTTTCAGGAGGGAGGGGCCTAAAAATCTAAATTTTTTTTAGGTGTTAAAGTTTAGTGGTGTTAAAGTTTGAAAATCTCCAGTTTTTGAAATCTAAAAAGTGTATGAAATATAACATATTTGGCCTCAACAAACCTATTGTTTGGCCTATAGCATGGGCCCATAAATTAATTGTGTGTGTGTATATATATTTATGTGTATAAATATTCACACATTTTTAATTAGTTGACAATATCTAATACTAGAAAAATTTTGTTCAAAAATCCAGATTCAGAATTTGCATTAAATAAATAAAAGATCCTTCAATACTTGCCCTGCACTCACATGACAAATTGCTATAGCTAAGAAGAGTCTGCCCCCCTGCTTGTACTCCCCATCATTTCCTACCATTTTACCCCAAGGCTCACACAGTTCTCCATCCCAACTACCTATTTAACCTTTGTGTAATAGATATTACTTGACTTGTGATGCCTGTACTCACAAATTCAGTAGGAAAATGAAGAACTGGTTTGATCAAATGAACCCGTTATTTAGTTAAGCAATGTCTAAATTTGGCTGGCTGCGGTGGCTCACACCTGTAATCCCAGCACTTCTGGGGGCCAAGGCAGGCGGATCACAAGGTCAGGAGATCGAGACCATCCTGGCTAACACGGTGAAACCCCGTCTCTACTAAAAAATATAAAAAAATTAGCCGGGCGTGGTGGCATGTTCCTGTAGTCCCAGCTACTCAGGAGGCTGAGGCAGGAGAATGGCCTGAACCCGGGAGGCAGAGCTAGCAGTGAGCCGAGATCGCACCACTGCACTCCAGCCCGGGCGACAGAGCGAGACTCCGTCTCAAAAAAAAAAAAAAAAAAAAAAAGTCTAAATTTTTGCTTCAGCTAGTATTAAAATAAGTATGCAAGGAGAGATAAAGGGACAAAATACCCAAGTCACTAAGACTCAGGATAGCATTTTTAATTTTTTAAAGATAACTTTAATTCTTTTTAGGTGTACTTTTAAGTACAATTTGTTAAAACGTTTTTCCTAGTATAAAAACAAAAACATCTTCCAATTTAAACGCTTTCTTTGAACTCTTGCGTACAATACAGCATAAAGATAAAAAATATTCAGATTGTAATTACACAGAACATTTTGAGAAGTATGGAATCACAAACTTGTCTCAGAATTGAGGATGATAACTTTACGACCCATGTTCTCATTAATTCAAGTCCATATGTCATGGCCAGGCAAACAATATGTCATAATTCTATAATCATGCACAATTCAGATCTTAATTGGCTACAAGCCTGTTTAACCATTTAAAATATAAATGGAAGAGGACGGGTGGGGTGGCTCACACCTGTAATCCCAGCACCTACAGAGGCTGTGGCAGGTGGATCACCTGAGGTCAGAAGTTCGAGACCAGCCTGGCCAACATGGCAAAACTCCGTCTCTACTAAAACAAAACACAAATTAGCCAGGTGTGGCGCCCAGCTGAGGCACAAGAATCGCTTGAACCAGGGAGGCAGAGGTTGCAGTGAGCTGAGATTGTGCCACTGCACTCCAGCCTGAACGACAAAGCGAGGTAGGAAGGTAAGAAGGTAGGAAGGTAAGAACGCAGGAAAGAAGGAAGGAAGGAAGGAAAAACCAACCTTAAACTGTGTCTAAGAAATAAGAACAGGCCAGGTGCGGTGGCTCACACTTGTAATCCCAGCACTTTGGGAAGCCAAGGTGGGCGGATCACCTGAGGTCGGGAGTTCAAGACCAGCCTGACCAACATGGAGTAACCCCGCCTC
This sequence comes from Homo sapiens, assembly GCF_000001405.40. Lineage (NCBI taxonomy): Eukaryota > Metazoa > Chordata > Mammalia > Primates > Hominidae > Homo > Homo sapiens. The sequence continues at coordinate 138,463,073 of NC_000007.14, read as the reverse complement.
TACCAAAAAAAAAAAAAAAAAAAAAAAAAACACAAAATTAGCCGGACGTGGTGGCGCATGCCTGTAATCCCAGCTACTCGGGAGGCTGAGACAGGACAATCGCTTGAACCTAGGAGGCAGAGGTTGCGGTGAGCCAAGATCGCACCACTGCACTCCAGCCTGGGCAAGAAGAGCGAGACTCCGTCTCAAAAAAAAAATAAATAAATAAATAAATAAGAACTAAGGTTTAAGCTTTCACCTGTTCGAACTTTCCAGTCGTGGGCCTCTTCAGAGCAAACTACTGCGAAGGATCTGAGAGTGTCCAACCTGCAAGCTAACAAATAACCTTACCAGTTTCATGGATGGTGACAGAAGACATTCAAGGGTCAGAGACACAGGGCAGTTTGTTTTTTACTCACAGGAACAGCATAAGCCAAAGCATCATCAAGATTTTTGGCCGGGCGCGGTGGCTCACGCCTGTAATCCCAGCACTTTGGGAGGCCGAGGCGGGCGGATCACGAGGTCAGGAGATCGAGACCATCCTGGCTAACACGGTGAAACCCCGTCTCTACTAAAAATACAAAAAATTAGCCGGGCGTGGTAGCGGGCGCCTGTAGTCCCAGCTACTCGGGAGGCTGAGGCAGGAGAATGGCGTGAACCCGGGAGGCGGAGCTTGCAGTGAGCCGAGATCGCGCCACTGCACTCCAGCCTGGGCGACAGAGCGAGACTCCGTCTCAAAAAAAAAAAAAAAAAAAAGATTTTTGCACTAGTTCTCAGAACTCCAGGTTCCCATTGGACAACGTAAAGAGAGCCAGTTGACATCTACACAGGCAGTTCCTTCTCTACAGGAGAGGAACCCTAAGCTTAGGGAACCCTAATCTTTTAAGATGGGCAGTAAGCATGCCTACCCTTTCGCTCCAGAGGGAGACGTTATTCTTATTATACTGGATAATATGTATCCCCGCCTTTTGCTCTGGTGGAAGACACTATCTCTATCTTCCAAGGCTGCTCTTTAGATAATATCCGTGAAAAAATAGAAACAAAGGGCAGTCAGTATCTCGCTGGCAAGGGTGCTGGCAAGAGTGAAGAAACGGAGACCCACGGAAAACTGTCTCCTACAAGTGGATACTGCTCCTAACATGCAGTCAAATAAATGAGTCTCAGCCCACAATCTATTTGAAGTATCCATTTCATACGCCCCTTGACCTAGCATAATTACTTAATTAGCATTTTATTTCAAACTAAATCAACTATTTCCTCTAAAAAGTATTAAAAATGCTTTTCCAGTTACACTGTATTTTTAAAAAGGAGGTGCTCAAATATTTGCAATAATAAAATTTAAAAACCGCCAAGTGTTCTACCCGAAACTGTACTCAAACTTACTTTAAATGTTTCAAACCTGTCAAAGTTAGCAATGGAACACCTGTCAAAAGTCTAATTTTACAGTAATAAACACCACAAAGAGAACAGTAACTTCCAGCTTTATCTATAAAATACCAGAAAACCCAAATCACTTTGTATTATTTCTCTTCGCCGTCTCAAAATAAAACCTTTGAAAGAGACACACAACAAAACAACGTCTCTTGGTTCCTTTGTCCCCAGCAGAGGAGAGGGAAGAGAACTGGGAACTCATTAAGGTAAAGAGCCCCAAACATGCAAGATAAGAAATAAATGACATCCGATCTGCAATCAATCATCAAAGAAAGTCACCATCACTTCATCTTCATCCCTCCCTTCTCCCCTGCAGCTCAAATAACGTGAGTATAGACGAGATGATCAGGATCATATGGACCTGGACAAAGCTTTGTGGAGGCAGCGGGCGGGTAGCAGTTAACTGGCTGCAGCCGGCAAAGAACCCGAGATTCCGGCTGCAGGAGACTCCGACAGAGGTCTGCAAAAGTGCGAGTGGCAGGGGCCGCCCGGCTGTTGAGAATGCGGAGCAGCGGCGGCGGCGGCGGCGCGGTCAAGTCCACAGCGCCCGGGGAAGTTGCTGGCCGAGCGCGACACGCCGCAGAGCGCGGGCCCTCCATGTCACCGTCGCCAGCACAGACCCTCCTGCTCGCCCCTCCCCCGCCGCGCACCCCGGGCGGCGGCGACATGACAGCGGGTCGCGCCGCACAAGGGCGCCCGCCCCCTCCTGGCCCTCTCCCCGGGCTCCCCAGCGGCCGCGGCCGGTTCTCACCTTGGGTGGCGAACGGCGACGAGCCGCTGACCGGCGAGCCGGGGGCAGGGACGGGTGGCGGGGTCTCGGCCGAGCCCAGCATGGGCGCGGGCAGCATGAGGTAGCGCTGGGGCGCGGGCAGGCAGCGCTGGCAGAAAGAGTGCAGGCAGGGCAGCAGCTTGGGCGCCCGGCTCTGGATGTTCTGGTGGCACACGGCGCAAGTGTCCAACAGGTTGAGCCGGGCCGCCTCGCCGCCGCGCTCCGAGTCCGGGCCCTGCCGACTCTCGGCCTCGTTCTCCCCGCTCGGCGCCGCCGAGGGCCCCCCGGAGGCCGCAGCCGAGGCCGCTGCCGCCGCCGCCACCGCCTTCTCCACCGCCACCTCCATTGTCCTGCCCTTGCCGCCGCCGGGGAAGCGAGAGCGCGGTCTCCGCCCGCCGCCCCCGACGACCTCCTCCTCCTCCTGCGGCTGCTCCTCAGAGGCCGCTCGGTGGACTCGCGGCAGCGCCAGCGAGGGAGGGAAAGCAAACCGGGCGGGGGAAGCCTCCTCAGGCCCACGGGATCCGCCTCCCGAGTGGCGCGGCCGGAAGGAGGGTATCTGTCAGCGGAGACCGTTCCTCGCACCGGGGAGGCTGCACCCCGTCCGCTTCGCCAACCGCCGAGGCGCTCGTGGAATACGCCCAGCCCGCCCTTGCCTCCCCGCCTTTCTCTTCATCCCCCTGGCCCACCTCAGGCCCCGCCCCCGCCCCCGCCCTCCCTCTCCCAGCAACTGAGGCTTCGGTGTGGAGCGCGCCGCCCAATAGCGGCCGCGCCTGGCGAGGGGGCGGGACCTGTTGGAGCCCGCGAGGCTCCGTCGGCCGCGGCGGGAGGTTGGGAAGTGGGAGGTGCTTGCCCAGCCCCGCCCCCTCCGGACGCCTGAAATCGCGGCTTCTGATTGGGCCTTTGTGTATGTTTCCTCCTCTGAAAAGATTAAGGGTTCATTTGTTAACGACCATCCGCCTGATTCGGTCCGCGGTGTTAGCTCCTCCTAGGGGGCGGGACCTCACTTGTCTACTCAATGCCGTTAATTAAGTAACTGCTTGGAAAACTGATTTCATTACTGGAGACCTGGTCTTGTAGGAGGAGTAAATATGGTCGGAGGGTCACAGGAGGAAGGAGTGGAGGTACTGAAGAGCAAACAAGGAAATAATTTTTTAAAATACTGTGTGAAAGAGGTACTCTGGAGGCAGCAGGGATATTGCAACCTAATTTTACTCATCTCTAGAATGAATGAGTATGAAGAATAAGGGGGGGAAGTTCTCGTGCAAGTTGGAAATTTTTAAAGGGTTTCCCCAATGAAAAAGGTGAAATTAATTTTTAAAGTCAGTGATTTGCTTTTTAAGTGACTAAAAGTGGTTCGTTTTCCCAGGAATTAATACAGATTGACAAATGTTTTTATTGCATAAATATAGCATCATTAAGCAAAAATAAACCTCAATACTGTTACCCAAATAATTCATAACTTCAGGATTCTTTTGTATTTCCTCCCTCCCTCTTATTTTATTCCCTCCCTCCCTCCCTCACCTCTCTACGCTGATATCAGAAGTTACGCACATTTTTCACTCAAAAAATGGCGCAGCTTTTAAGGAACTTGAAGAATAGAAACGGAATGAAGGAAACAAGATTTTGTAACACGTAACTTTAAGAAGTATTTACCTTTTTTTTTTTTTTTTGTCAATACTAATGAAGCGGTACTGGACTTTAGAGAAAGATGGAGTGGGTCATGAAAGGCTTTGCTAAAATCACAGTTTTCCTGGAGGACTATATGGGATGGCAATGGGGGAGGGCTAGGCAACGTAGCCTTCCTTCAAGACCTTGCCCTTAAACACAACCTCCGTAGGCCTCAAGTGAGAGGTTCTTTTACTTAATCACAAGACATTCAACAGCTCTTCCCGCCTCCCCCACCCATTGGTTCCTGTTTAAGCTTGGGATTTTTTGTTTGTTTGTTTTTTTGCATGGAAGTAGCTCTTAAACCTTAGTTTGCATAAGAATAACTTGAGAAGCTTAGTGAAAAACAGGTGCTTGGGCCACCTCCGTATTCAGTTATTCAATTTTGATAGCATCTCAAGTGATTCTGACCTGGGTGGGTCCAGAAACGGAAGTCTGTCCCACAGGTCTTCACCCACTCACAAATCTCTCCACGATTTCGTCCGTATATGCCTCTCAAGCTGAAGTCGCCGCGACTCTCATGCTTCATGCTGCAGCAATTGTAAGGCCACCCTGCTTTGTACACGCTGTTCCCTTTGTTTTAGTTCCTTCAAAATTCTGACTTATCTGTTATCCCCTAAAGCCACCCCAAAGTTGAACACTCCTTCCCCAGAATTCAAACCATATTGTATATTTTTGAAGCTACACCTTGAAAACATTCACATAATAGGAATGGAATTTTGTATTCAAAAATCAACTCCCTTAATATGCTAAAAATTCATTACATAGGTGGTATACAGGATTCAAGCCTACTAAAGACAAGTCCCTCTTATTCCCCAGATGATGGTGGTAGGGAAGGAAAACTGAGAAGTAAAATTGAATAGGCTGGTTTTGAAAGAATTCCATGTAATTTGATCAAACCCACTAGCTTAAAGTTTTTCAAATCACCATGGTTTTACAGAAAATGATCTTCCATCGTTTTAGCCTTCCTAATTTCACATGAGTAAAACAATCGTACATTGTACTTTGTTCACATATATGGAACTTCAAGTCCAGAAAATGAATTTACTGTTTGTTTTTCTTAATCATATGATTTCTTTATTTGGATATTGTTGCCCTACAAAGCGTGTTCAAATATATTTCACAAAGATCCACACTACCAATAGATTACTCTTCCTTAATTACAGCTCTCATCCTATGTCCCTCCCTTATCCCATAATTTTCTGTGGCTCTCCACTGCATCCAAAGCTCTCCACAATTTTATTCCCATCTGATCTTCTTGTCTGATGTTACTGCTTTCCCATATCCATCCTGTGCTTCCGCCTAATTGGATGATGCGCTGTTTCTTGTTTCTTAACTGCACCACTACCACCACCTATGAGAGAGGAGATCAAAGCTGTCTGAACTGGAAGAGAAGGGCATCAGCAAGGAGAATAAAAGCATCAGATGCTGGCCGGGCGCAGTGGCTCATGCCTGTAATCCCAGCACTTTGGGAGGCCAAGGCAGGCGGATCAGCTGAGGTCAGGAGTTCAAGACCAGCTTGACCAACATGGAGAAACCCTGTCTCTACTAAAAACATTAAATTAGCCCGGCATGGTGTTGCATGCCTGTAATCCCAGCTACTCGGGAGACTGAGGCAGGAGAACTGCTTGAACCTGGGAGGCAGAGGTTGCAGTGAGCCAAGATCGTGCCATTGCACTCCAGCCTGGGCAACAAGAGCTAAACTCCGTCTCAAAAAAAAAAAAAAGCATTAGATGCTAGTAAGATTTCTCATCCCACCCCTCAAAAGGTGCTAGTGGGTGGAAATTCTATAACTTCCAGGGACACTTAAGAAAATCATTTTTCGGCCAGGCACAGTGGCTTGCTTAGGCCTGTGATCCCAGCACTTTGGGAGGCCGAGGCGGGCGGATCACGAGGTCAGGAGATCGAGACCATCCTGGCTAACACAGTGAAACCCCGTCTCTAATAAAAATACAAAAAATTAGCCGGGCATGGTGGTGGGCGCCTGCAGTCCCAGCTACTCAGGAGGCTGAGGCAGGAGAATGGCGTGAACCCGGGAGATGGAGCTTGCAGTGAGCCGAGATCGCACCGCTGCACTCCAGCCTGGGTGACAGGCAAGACTCCGTCTCAAAAAAAAAAAAAGGAAAAGAAAATCATTTTTCGGGACTGGGTGCGGTGGCTCACGCCTGTAATCCCAGCACTTTGGAATGCCAAGGTGGGCAGATCACCTGAGGTCAGGAGTTCGAGACCAGCCTGACCAACATGGAGAAACCCCATCTCTACCAAAAATACAAAATTATCTGGGCTTGGTGGCACATGCCTGTAATCCCAGCTACTCAGGAGGCTGAGGCAAGATAATCACTTGAACCCAGGAGGTAGAGGTTGCGGTGACCTGAGATCGCGCCATTGCACTCCAGCCTGGGCAACAAGAGTGAAACTCCATCTCAAAAAAAAAAAAGAAAGAAAAAAGAAAATCATTTTTCAGTAGAACTCTGATTGTGAGGCGTGTTTAGACATACAGGGTCTGAACTAACCCCTTCACCCAATTTCTTATAGATTTAGAGGAAGAAGGAAAAGATTCTCAGACTTCCAGAAGTAGCTGAGAGGTCTGGATGACTTGAGTCAGGATAAGGAGAATGCAATGAGTAGGCACCAAAGGCCATCTCAGACTATCTCAGTGGGGTCCATGGGGAGGCCCACAGTCAAAAGCCAATGGAAACCAAGCACAAGGGTGCACTGCTGTAGTCCTCACTTCTCAGGAAGCTGAGGTGGGAGGATCACTTGAGACCAGGAGTCTCAGGCCACAGTGCACTATAACCATGCCTGTGAATAGTCACTGCACTCCAGCCTGGGCAACATAGCGAGATTCAGTCTCTAAAAAAACGAAAACAAAACCTGTATTGTTAACCGGGTAGGGTGACCCGTGCCTGCAATACCCCCTACTCAGGAGGCAGAGGAGGGATGATCACTTGATCTCAGGAGTTTGAGGTCTGCCTTGGCCACATAGCAAGACCCAGTTTCTTAAAAACAACAACAGAAAATATTTGCAGATGTTTTATTATGGGGGGGGGGCGGGAATGGAGGCAAGTCACACTCTACATATGCCACGGTAAACCAAGAATGCCTCCCAAAACCTAATGTGTTTCCCCACATATGCCATGGCCCTCTTAAACCCTTGGACCTTCAAATCAGCGATAGATAAAAGGGAGAATGAATATGGTAGTGATTGAGTTTAGAACTTAAATGACCAAAACCACAACAAACAAAAGCAAATTATCTCAAATATGACTACATCAAATTTTCTACCATCAGGAAGATTAAAAATTTAGATAATTTTTAAAAAATTTTGTAGTCAACATAACACACTTCTTGGATGTGCAATAAAGGGTTAACTTAGCAAGCTTAGGTTACTCAAATGGTGCACATTCCAAAGAGAGGATTGACCCTTGACTCGCTCCTGGGGGGTTACTGCTGCCCTTTTGGAATATCCTGCCTGATAAGAGGAGAGCTTGAGAGTTTGGGCCATACTGTATTAATTTGACCAGAGAGTTTATGCTCGGGATGTGACCTATGGCTCACACCTGTTTTATATACGTGAGGCCCTTGGCCACTATATGTCAGTTTGATCTCTGGGAAGCTGGAAAGTGAGTAGCCAAGACCAGTCACATAGGTGCTGCATGCCTACAGGATCTCCAATAAAAAACCTGGAATCCAAGGCTTGGGTGCATTTCCCTGGTTGGCAAGACTTCATATGTCTTGTTACACATTATTGCTGGGAGAATGAAGCACTGTCTGTGGGGCTGTGCCGGAGGGAGCAACTGGAAGCTCGCTCCTGGCTTCTCCTGGACTTGGTCTATGCACCTTTTCCCTTTTGCTAATTCTAACATGTATCCTTTTTCTTTTTCTTTTTGAGACAGAGTCTTGCTCTGTTGCCCAGGCTTTAGTGCAGTGGCGCGATCTTGGCTCGCTGCAACCTCCCCCTCCCGAGTTCAAGCAATACTCCTGCCTCAGCCTCCAGAATAGCCGGGGCTACAGGCATGCACCACCACACCCGGCTAATTTTTGTATTTTTAATGGAGACAGGTTTTCTGCCATGTTGGCCAGGCTGGTCCTGAACTCCTGGCCTCAAGTGATTCACCTGCCTCGGCCTCCCAAAGTGCTGGGATTATAGGCATGAGCCACCGTGCCTGGCTTCAGGTACAGTTTATTACAGCAAAAGGATATAGATTAGGCCTGGCGCAGTGGTTCACGCCTGTAATCCCAGCACTTTGGGAGGCCAAAGAGGATGGATTACCTGAAGTCAGGAGTTCAAGACCAGCTTGGCCAAAATGGTAGAAACCTCATTTCTACTGAAAATACAAAAATTAGCCAGGTGTGGTGGCAGGCGCCTGTAATCACAGCAACTCAGGAGGCTGAGGCAGGAGTATCACTTGAACCCAGAAGGTGGGGGTTGCAGTAAGCTGAGACCTCGCCATTGCACTCCAGCCTGGGTGACGAGCAAAACTCCATCTCAAAAACAACAACAACAACAACAACAACAACAAACTGTACCTGAGAGTATAGCAACTTTTCCTGAATCTTTTGAGTCCTTTTAGCAAATTGTGGAAACTAAGGATGATCCTGGGAACCCCCTACATAAAGGACATGTAGTTTCTCCTACTAGATTGTAATTCATTTAGACTAAGAATCATTTATGCTCCTATTTCTTTTTTTTTCTTTTGAGACAGAGTCCCGCTCTGTCGCCCAGGATGGAGTGTAGTGGCACTGTCTCTGCTCACTGCAAGCTCTGCCTCCCAGGTTCACGCTATTCTCCTGCCTCAGCCTCCCGAGTAGCTGGGACTACAGGCGCCTGCCACCGCACCCGGCTAATTTTTTGTATTTTTTTTTTTTTTTAGTAGGGATGGGGTTTCACTGTGTTAGCCAGGATGGTCTCGATCTCCTGACCTCGTGATCCACTTGCCTCGGCCTCCCAAAGTGCTGGGATTACAGGCGTGAGCCACCGCACCGGGCCTATTTCTTTAATATCTCAGAAATATCATGGAGACCAAACATCTATAACTTTCTTCCTCATGCTTTGGTCCTCTCACCCTCTGTGGTATTCTCAGTATTTGCCTCAATTATATCTCCTTTCCTCAAGTATTTAGCTTTTTTGAATCTTCTACTGAAATGGAAGAGCCAGGTGCAGTGGCTCACACCTGTAATCCCAAAACTTTGGGAGGCTGAGGCAGGCAGATCATTTGAGGTCAGGAATTCAAGACCAGGCTGGCCAATATGATGAAACCCGATCTCTACTAAAAATACAAAAATTAGTTGGGCGTGGTGGTGGGTGCCTGTAATCCCAGCTACTCGGGAGGCTGAGGCACGAGAATCGCTTGAACCTGGGAGGTGGAGATTGCAGTGAGCCGAGATCGTGCCATTGCGCTCCAATTTGGGAGACAGAGCAAGACTCTGTCTCAAAAAAAAAAAAAAAAGAGAGAGAGAGAGATGGAAGGCTCAGGACAGATAATTATAGGAGATATTTCTTTCCCTCACTGCTTCCCCTCCCCAGTCTTCCCCTCCCCAGGTAAATAATGTCTTCTGAACATTTAGTGTGGAGGAAAAGAGCCAGGGAGTGGCAGTGGGGGGTGGGGGTGGGAGTGGAGGTAGGGCAAGAGAGGGGCATAGCTATTCCCCTCTCTGAAGAACAGAAGTAATGGAGTGGTAAGCTGTAACTGAATATTGACTAATGGGATTCTGGTCAACTTACCGACTCTATGGATGGGCAATCACCAGAAGGGCTCGGGCTAGACTCAAGCAGCACTGTTCTGGGAATATCGGGGCAGAGTGAATCCCTACATGTTAATGTTCTGCCTTTTCTGTGGAAGCACTTTTTACCAGGTTTTATTATGAGGGTAGGGATTGCAGAGAGGAAAAAGAGGAAAAAGGCAATGGAAAACTCAATAAAGAGTAAGCCAATAAGAGGATCAAGAGAAGGAAAAGAGGGTGAGAATGAGGAAGACAATGAGAACAAATGAAGGAAAACAAATGGAGTAAAATAATGGTTGCAGATAACATAAGAAGAAATGAAAAAGAAAAACAGAGCAACTAGGAGCTGGAAAATGAGGACATGCATCACACTCTATGAGGGGCAAATAGTGAAGAGAGCCAGGAAGTGAGTTGGATGAGTGGACCAAAGTGGGAGATTGAAAGGACTCAATGAAAATGATGACATGGTTTATTCACAGGAAATAATTTGTAAGCCAAGTATCCTAGCACAACACAACAAAAAATGCAGCAATAGCAGAAGCAATTTCTCCTTTTAAAGAAATATTTTCCTTGGAGGTAGAATTCATTGTATGCATTTGTACTTTTGAAAGTGACATTCTTGGCCAGGCGAGGTGGCTCACGCCTGTAATCCCAGCACTTTGGGAGGCCAAGGCGGGTGGATCATCTGAGGTCAGGTGTTCGAGACCAGCCCGGCCAACATGATGAAACCCCGTCTCTACTAAAAATTCAAAAAAAATTAGCCAGGCTTAGTGGTGGGTGCCTGTAATCCCAGCTGCTCAGGAGGCTGAGGCAGGAGAATTGCTTGAGCCCAGAAGGGGTTGGTGGTGGGAGTGAGACAGAGTTTGCAGTGAGCCAAGATCACACCACTGCCCTCCAGCCTGGATGACAGAGCAAGACTCCATCTCAAAAAAAAAAAAAAAAAAAAAAAAAAGAAATGACATTCTTTTGGATTTTTGAAACATTTAAGTTTACTTATATGAGACAAATCTTCATTTGTTACATAACGTTTGTTTTCATGGTGGTGATATACAGCAACTTTTATTTTATTTTTATTTTTATTTATTTATTTTTTTAGATGGAGTCTTGCTGTGTCACCCAGGCTGGAGTGTAGTGGCCACGATCTCAGCTCACTGCAACCTCCGACTCCTGGGTTCAAGCGATTCTCAGGAGCCTCAGCCTCCTGAGTAGCTGGGATTACAGGCGTCTGCCACCATGCCTGGCTAATTTTTGTATTTTTAGTAGAGATGGGGTTTCACCATGTTGGCCAGGCTAGTCTTGAGCTCCTGAGCTCTAGCAATTCGCCCAAACTCTGGCTCCCAAAGTGCTGGGATTACAGGCGTGAGCCACCATGCCTGGCCTATCAACTTTTATTTATGCCTGCTTTTCTGCTTCTCTGTTCTATAATTTGTTCTTTTCCATTTTGAGACAGGGTCTTGCTCTGTTGCCCAGGATAGAATGCAGTGACACAATCACACTCACTGTAGCCTTGACTTCCCTGGTTAAGTGATCCTATTACCTCAGCCTCCCAAGTATCTGGGACTACATGCACTTGCCACCACACATAGCTATTTTTATTTTTTGCAGAGACAGGGTTTTGCTATGTTGCCCAGACTTGTCTTGAGCTCCTGGCCTCAAGCGATCCTCCCACCTCGGCCTCCGACAGTGGTGGGATTACAGGTGTGAGCCACCTCACCGGCCTATAACTTATTCTTAATGTAGACAACCGAGAGTCCCAAAGATGCCTGTCACTGCATCCCTAAATCTTACTACCACAGTTCATTGTTACTTGGGGAGCATCTTTTTAGAGTCTATGTAACTATACTCTATACATATACACCTGCAATACATCATTGGAATTACAATACATATAATTTTAGTAAGCTTTTAACCCAAAGGTTTGGACCAAATTGTGCCCATTCCCCCTCCCACCCACCACCACCAACACCACCACCAAATTTATATATAGAAGCCCTAATCCCCAATGCAACTGTATTTAGATCTTTAGGGGTAAAGTTAAATGAGGTCATCAGAGTGGGGCTGTAAAAGGAAACTACTTTTCTTCTATATTCACAACACTTCTGGGCACGAGATGTGTGGGTTTTCCACACCAAGGAATTCTCCAATTTTCTGCAAACACCAACTGGGTGTCTAAAGATTCAATTCAATTCTGGCATTAACTATCCAGAGTTAATGTCTGAATCCACAGGCTAAAGATTCAGTATGAAAAGACTGCCCCTCACTTTATTTTTTCTTTCTTTTTTTATTTTTAATAGAGATAGGCTCTCACTGTTTCCTAGGCTGGTCTCGAACTCCTGGCCTCAAGCCATCCTCCTGCTTCAGCCACCCAAAGAACTGGGATTACAGGCCACTGCACCCAGCCTGCCTCCCACTTTAGATGCCAAATGCGAGTCCCTGGTGTCTAGTGCTTCCAATCAACTTGGTTACAAATTGAGGGCTCTCACAGCCCCTTACTCAGGTTCGATAATTTGCTAGAACAGCTCACGGAACTCAGGAATGTACTTTACTTATGTTTATTGGTTTATCATAAAGGATAAAACTCAGGAACAGCCAAATGGGAGAGATGTGCTGTGTAGGGCAAGGGATGGGGGTGGGGAGGAGATGCAGAGAGTTTCCATGCCCTTCTGGGAGTACCACATTCCCAAGACCTCCATGTGTTCATCAACCTGGAAGCCCTCCAAATCCCGTCGTTTAGGGTTTTTATGGATGCCTCATTACACAGGCATAACTGATTAAATCATTGATTAGTGGTGATTAGGTCAATCTCCAGCCCCTCTCCCTTTCTCAGAGGTCAGGGTGTGGGGCTGCAAGTTCCATCTGTCCAGTCAAGTTGTTAAATATGAGTTATAAATTTCTCTTCAAATAATTAACATGTCAGTATATTCAATTCTTTGCCTTCTACTTTTAAATTTAACTTCCTGGTAAAGCAATCTTTCTGATTACCTACTCCACCCTGACTCATTCCGATTACCTGCTCTGTCAAAACCATTTTTCCCACCAAACCGCTCACCCCATCACTTTCTTTAAATTAGCCAATTGGGGCCAGTCGCAGTGGCTCACGCCTGTAATCCCAGCACTTTGGGAGGCCAAGGCGGGCGGATCACCAGATCAGGAGATCGAGACCATCCTGGCTAACACGGTGAAACCCCATCTCTACTAAAAACACAAAAAATTAGTTGGGCATGGTGGTGGTCGCCTGTAGTCCCAGCTACTCAGGAGGCTGAGGCAGGAGAATGGCATGAACCCAGGAGACGGAGCTTGCAGTGAGCCAAGATTGCGCCACTGCACTCCAGCCTGGGAGACAGAGCAAGACTCTGTCTCAAAAAAAACAAAAAAAAAAACAAACAAAAAAATATCCAATTGGAATTAGTTTAGCCTGTGCAGTCTAACTCTAGCCAATAGGGGAAGGACACCACAGCAGGGGCCATGTGCGTCAGGGATAAAAAATCCCTTCCCCTCCCTTGTCCAAGTGTGCGCTCACCATTGCTCCATCTGTAAGGGTGAACCCTTCTATGGATGTAACTTGCCTTGCTGAGAATTAAAAAGAAAATTTTATATTTGAGTTATATTTCTTTTTTGGCACCGAAACTTTATTTATAACAATTTGGGGGCTTGCCCATGATTACATTCCCCTCCGTGGGTGGTCTCTGGTTCTCTCTTGTGAGGAGGCACGCTCCGCCCCCTTGTGGCAGCCTGGGGGGTGACAAATCAAGACCCACCCAGTGTGAGGAATAACTCCAGCTCTCAGCAACGCGGAAAGAAACTGGCCAGCAACCTATCTTAAAGGATCCTCCATAATGACCATGCAAGTCTGTGCATGGACCAAGGAAAAGACACCATGGGAGCTGGTAAAGTATTTCCTTGGTGGTCAGGACCAAGGTAAGAAAGCTGCAAGGGGGTGGTGAAGTACTCCTTGGTCAGGGTGGCTTAGAGGTTAAAAAGAGGCAAGACATCCCCAGTTGGGGGGATTGCACCTCACACAAACCTCCAGTAGTAGAAAAGGCAACAAATTTCCAGTGGAGGAAATTGAGCCTCACCCCAAAAGGCAAGAAATTTCCAGTGGGGGAAATTGAGCCTCACCCAAAAGGCAAGATATTTCCAGTGCAGAAAATTGAGCCTCACCCAAAAGGCAAGAAATTTCCAGTAAGGGAAATCGAACCTTGAACCTTACCCCCAAACCATCAAGATGGGAAATACCCTAAGCAAGACAGGAAGCAAGGGGGATAAAGATGATAACAAAGATATCCCCACCGGATAGCCCCCTAGGTCTCATGCTAAAACACTGGAAGGATAATGAAAGGACTAAACGTAGGAAAAAGCAACAAATGATAAAATATTGCTGTTTTATTTGGACTCAGGGACCCATCCTCAAACCCTCAATCTTCTGGCCAAAGTTTGGGTCAAATGAGGATGTAATGTGTCAGCTGTTAATACAATATGTTAATGATAAAAGTCCAATGTCTCCAGAAGAACTAGGCTATGCCCTTTGTTGGAGGCAAGGACCTGCGCTCCTTTTCCCCTTAAAAACAAATAGGGAAGAACCCAATCTGGCACCTCAAAATGAAAAGTCAGAGGAGCCAACTCTCATGCCTGAAGACTCCAGCACATGGGATCCCCTAGACTATCTTTCCCCGTTCAGTGTCCCCAGTCTTTCCCCTCAGACAGCCACTGCCGCCTCAGATCCCGTTCCAAATCCTCACTCTACTCACGTTATCCTTCCTCCTTACAACTCTGACTCTTGGAAATTACCGTCCCACCAGCCTATTTCCTCCCAACTTAAATACCCCTCTCTAAAAGGACTTCAGCATGAGATAGAACAATGTAAAAAAGATATTCAGAATTTCCCATTTCCCTCTGTACCTAAGAGGTTGGCCCCAACCTTCTTCCCTTTGAAAGAGGTACCACAAGGAGTAGGGGGCCATTGGCTTTGTAAATGCTCCCTTAACCAGTTCAGAAAGTCGGAATTTTAAAAAGGAGCTTAAACTGCTACTAGATGACCCCTTATGGAGTGGCAGACCAAATTGACCAATTCTTAGGCCTCAGTTATACACTTGGGTCCAGTTAATGTCCATCATGGGCATCCTCTTTTCAGGGGAAGAAAGGAGTATGATTTGTAGGGCTGCTATGGTAATTTAGGAACGTGAGCACCCTCCCAGTGAAAACGTTCCTACAACGGACCAGAAATTCAGCACCTGAGACCCCCGGTGGGACAATAACAATGCAGATCACCGGGAAAATATGCAGGACCTAAGGGAGATGATAATAAAAGGAATTTGGGAATCAGTACCCCGAACCCAAAATCTTTCTAAAGCATTTGATATACAACTGGAAAAGGATGAAGGGCCTATGAGATTCCTAGACAGACTGAAGGAGCAAACGAGGCAGTATGCAGGCCTCAATTTGGATGATCCCCTTGGGCAAGGAATGTTGAAACTCCAATTTGTCACTAAAATTTGGCCAGACATTTCAAAAAAGTTACAAAAGATAGACAATTGGGAAGACCGTCCCCTAAGTGAGCTTCTTGGGGAAGCTCAGAAATTATACATGAAAAGGGACAAAGAAAAACAGAAACAAAAGACAAAACTTATGTTTTCCACCTTCCAACAGATGGCTCCAAACCCAGGTACTTCTAGACAAAGTTTCCAGGGAGCCAGAAACTATAAAGAGTCTGAACCCTCTTTTAAATGACCCCAGCCTCCATCTGGAGGACCAAGGTCCTCGTCTACCATGCCCCCTAAATAGTATGGGGGAGCAGGGTTAAAGAATCCCAGAACTAAGAGGGAGGAAGGACAAGATAGGTGCTACAGATGTGGAAGAACAGGCCACTTCAAGAGAGGATGTCCTGAACTAAGAAAGGAGAAAGAAGCCCTTCCACTCATGACTTTCGAGGAAGAATAGGGGGGTCAGGGGCTCTGTCTCTTTTATCTTGAGTCTCACCAGGAGCCCTTGATACATTTGGAGGTGGGGCCTAAACATGAGCTTATCACCTTTTTAGTCGATTCAGGGGCTGTTCGCTCCTCTGTTTGTTTCCCCCATCTAATCTTGTCTCCTCCTCAGAGGAACTTTTAGTCTCCAGGGTAAAAGGGGAAGGATTTAGAGCAAAAATTTTAGAAAGCACAGAAATTAGATACGAGGATTGCTCAGCTCATATTCAGTTCTTGTTAATCCCTGAAGCAGGAACTAATTTAATGTTAAGTTGGCCATAAGTCTACAAGTCAGCCCAAGAGGATTCCTCACCTCATTAAACCTACTCACCACCGCAGATGAAAAATATGTTAATCCAAATGTCTGGTCCAAAGACAGAAACTGAGGGAAACTCCAAGTGCCTCTAACCCACATCAAGCTAAAAACCCCGGGAGTAGTAAAAAGGAAGCAATACCCTATTCCTCTAGAAGGTAGGATAGGGTTGAAACCTATAATCAAAGGCCTCATTAAGGATGGGCTTCTCGAGCCCTGTATGTCACCTTATAACACCCCAATGCTGCCAGTCAAGAAATCAGGTGGGTCATACTGGCTAGTACAGGACCTTAGAGCTATCAACCAAATAGTCCAGACTACCCACCCTATTGTCCCCAATACTTTCACCATTCTTAGCAAGATTGCATATAATCATCAATGGTTTGCTGTAATAGATTTGAAGGATGCTTTTTGGGCATGTGCCCTGGCTGAAGATAGCCGAGATATATTTGCTTTTGAGTGGGAGGATCCCCACTCAGGGCGGAAACAACAATATCGATGGACAATCTTGCCCCAAGGGTTCACAGACTCCCCTAATCTTTTTGGCCAAATTTTAGAACAAGTACTAGAAAGAATTGTCATCCCAGAACAAATATGCCTTCTTCAGTATGTGGACGACATTCTTATATCTGGTGAAGATATAGAGAAGGTAACTGACTTCTCTACACATATTCCTAAACATCTGCAGTTTGAAGGGCTACAGTCTCAAAAAGAAAGCTTCAGTATGTAGAGCCTGAAGTTAAATATTTAGGCCACTTAATAAGTGCAGGCAAGTGAAGAATACGGCCCGAACGAATCGAGGGAATCGTGTACCAACCCTTGCCTCAAACTAAACAAGAACTCAGGAAATGTTTAGGGTTAGTCAGATACTGTCATTTATGGATTGACTCATACGCACTACACAGTAAACTGTTATATCAAAAACTTGCCCAGGAGAAGCCTAACCATCTCCTGTGGACTTCTGAGGAAGTTGATCAAGTCGAGAAGCTGAAGGAAAGGCTCATAACTGCCCCTGTTTTAGCTTTACCCTCCCTAGAAAAGCCATTTCACCTTTTTGTTAATGTGGACAGTGGGGTAGCTTTAGGAGTACTGACTCAAGAACACAGAGGCCATCGGCAGCCCGTAGCCTTCCTATCAAAGATCGTAGACCCAGTCACTCGTGGATGGCCCCAATGCATCCAGTCCATCGTGGCTACGGCAATACTAGTCGAGGAAAGCAGAAAGTTAACCTTTGGAGAAAATTGACAGTAAGCACGCCTCACGAAATTAGAACTATCTTAAACCATAGAGCAGGGGGATGGCTTACTGACTCGAGAATCTTAAAGTATGAGGCCATTCTGTTAGAAAAGGATGATTTAACATTGACCACTGATAATTCACTCCACCCAGCAGGTTTCCTAACAAGGAATTCAAATATAAGGAGGGAACACACATGTTTAGATTTAATTGATTACCATACAAAGGTTCGACCAGACCTAGGAGAAACCCCCTTCCAGACTGGATGGTACTTATTCATACATGGTTCTTCCCAGGTGATTGAGGAAAAAAGACATAATGTGTATTCAATGATTGTTGGAGAAACTCTTGCAGAAATAGAGTCAGGAAAATTGCCCAACAGTTGGTCTGCTCAAAAGTATGAGCTGTTTGCACCCAGCCAAGCCTTAAAGCACTTGCAGCACCAGGAAGGAACCATCTATAGTGATTCTAGATATGCCTTTGGAGTGGCCCATACGTTTGGGAAAATTTGGACTGAACGAGGTCTCATTCATAGTAAAGGTCAAGACCTTGTTCACAAGGAGCTGATCACCCAACTATTGAATAATCTTCCGTTGCCAGAAGAAATAGCTATTGTCCATGTTCCCGGACACCAGAAAAGCCTTTGTTTTGAAAGTCGAGGAAATAACCTAGAAGATCAGGTAGCCAAGCAGGCTGCTGTGTCTTCTGAAATGCGTATTTTTCACTTAACTCCCTGCCTCCCTCCTCCTACCATAATCCCCATTTTCTCTTCTGCTGAAAAAGAAAAACTAATAAAAATAGGCGCTAAAGAGAATTCAGAAGGAAAATGGATACTGCAAGACCAGAGAGCAGTTCTCAGAGTTTATGATTGCATAGGAATTTATACTCTGGCCAAACAGGTTACAGATAGTTGCTTAGTATTTAAGAAAACTAATTAACATACTATAAAAATATTACCTCTCGGGGGAAGGAATCCAGGCTTAAGGCCATTCCAAAGTATCCAAGTTGATTACACAGAAATGCCTCCAATAGATCATCTAAAATATTTACTAGTGATAGTAGACCACCCCACTCACTGGGTCGAAGCTATCCCCTTTCAAATGCAACAGCCAATAATGTAGTTAGGGCCCTAATTGAAAATATAGTACCCAGGTTTGGACTAATAGAAAATATTGACTCAGACAGTGGAACTCATTTCACTGCACACATTATTAAAAAGCTATCCCAAACATTAGACATTAGATGGGAACACCATACTCCCTGGCACACCCCCTCATCAGGGAGAGTAGAAAGGATGAATCAGACTCTAAAGAACCACTTAACCAAATTAGTCTTAGAGACTCGATTGCCATGGAACAAGTGTCTTCCTATTGCCCTGCTGAGAATTCAAACTGCACCACGGAAAGATATTGGTCTTTCTCCTTATGAGACGCTCTATGGATTACCTTATTTGCACTCCACTGCTGATATACCTACCTTTGAAACAGAAGATCAATTCCTTACAAATTATATAGTTGGTCTATCTTCTATTTTCTCTTATCTTAAAACTAAAGGTCTATTAGCACAGGTGCCGCCCTTGGAGTTCCCGGTGCATCAGCATCAGCCTGGGGATCACGTCCTCATCAAGAGCTGGAAAGAGGAGAAGCTCGAGCCAGCCTGGGGAGGTCCTTACTTAGTGCTCCTAACTACTGAAACCTCAGTCCGCACAGCAGAGAGAGGATGGACTCACCACACCAGTCAAGAAAGCACCGCCTGGGACTATGGTCCACGACCATAGTCGTGGGGGGAAACCCTACCAAACTAAAGCTAAGAAAAATGTAACTCTCTTTCATCTATTCTATTACTCTTTCTTCTTTCCTCGCTCTATCGCTGACCATCTAGTTATTAACATAACCAAGTCCATTTTGCCTCAAACTATTGCATTTGATGCTTGCCTTGTTATACCCTGTGGGGACTTGTTAAGTCAAAGACAGCCCTCTGCTTTAGAAAAGTGCCTGTGTGCCTCCTGGCTCTCCTCAGACTGGGCATTAGTGAATTGGGACCATTTAATCTGGGGAGATTTCGATAAAGACCCCAGTGGCAACCGGGAGTCTTGCCCCCCGATGTAGAGCTTTTATGCCGTAGTTGGTCCAATGTTCTGTGAACCACCAAAGAGCAAGGATGGAGTGCCCCAACCAGTTTCTGTAGTTTCCTAAAACCATACATTCATTTTACTAAAGGGACAGCACCCTCAACTGTCAGCTAAACCAGTGCAATCCTATACAGGTTATTATCTCAAGCCCCCAAAGTTCTTCCCCTTTTCTAAACCGGTTTCCTTCTTTAAGCCGGTTTTATGGTATGGAGGCTGAGGTTTCTGGAACAGACCCTATGGGATTCTTTGAAATGCGTTTCTTTGATCCCCCACTGCCTGCACCTTCCTCTAAGCCTTTTTCCAAAACCTCTCACAACGGAACCATTGTTCCTCCTCCATCTAACGACAAGGCCAAGATAGCGATGGTAGAAGTTAAAGACTTAAAACAAGCTTTGACAATTGAGATTGGATACCAAGATGTAAATGCCTGGTTGGAATGGATCAAATATTCCATCCACACGTTAAACAAAAGCAACTGTTATGCTTGTGCACGTGGCAGGCCAGAAGCCCAGATTGTCCCCTTTCCACTAGGGTGGTCCTCCAGTTGACTGGGCATGGGTTGCATGGTAGCTCTTTTCCAGGATTCTGCAGCCTGGGGTAACAAGTCATGCCAACCTCTCTCTCTGCTATATCCCAAAGTCTGATACCCTGCGGGTCAGCCCCTGAGGGCCATCCAGCTTCCGTTTCCCAACACCAAGTTCACTTCATGTCTCTCACAACAGGGAGGAAACTTAATGTTCCTTGGAGACCTGAAGGGATGCAGTGAGCTTAAGAATTTTCTTTCTTTCTTTTTTTCTTTTCTTTCTTTCTTTTTTCCTTTCTTTCTTTCTTTTTTCTTTTCTTTCTTTCTTTCTCTCTTTCTTTTATTCTTTCTTTTTCTTTCTTTCTCTTTCTTTCTTTCTTCCTTTCTTTCTTTCTATCTAGACCTGCTTGATTTATTCTGATTATTTAATACACAATGACACAACTGTGATCCCAAAGTGTGCAAAGTTAAAGCCTTCAACTGCAGCTGAGGAGAGGGCAGGAACGGTATACCTGGGGAGGGTGGTGAGTCAGAAATGACAGGCAAGCGGCCATGACCAGGGAAGCCTCCTCCCCAGGGACAGGGACAGGGAAGTGGCCTGAGGAGCAGGGCCCAAGGGTAGTCCAGGGCCAGGGAAGGGGGCAGAGACCTCCCCTTGGCCTAGGTCAGGAGCTCAGAAGTGCCACAGGCTGAGGGGGCAGCGGCCCAGGAAGGGCCAGAGGCAGGGCCAGGAGAGCACCATTTCCTGGGGGGCTGGGGGCAGGGAGGTGCCCTACAGGAGAAGCCAGGAGGGGCTACCTGCCCCTGGGGTGGGGGCCAGGCTGGAGCAGGCTGAAGCAAGAAAGGCCTGAGAGCCCGGCTGGCTAGGCTTGATGGGGCTCCCAGGGCAGTCTGGCCCAGGGAGCAGTCCTGACTCTGCAGGGGTGCCCAGCAAGGGGCCACGGACCCCTCTGGACCTCTCCTCCTCTCTCCCTGGAAAGGAGCTGGGGAACCCGTAGTGCAAATCTGTGGACCACTCAGTTATGGAGGAAGGCTGCGCCCGAAGGTGGACACTGGGGTGCACCCCCTCCACCACCTCGGCCTCCACCCCTGTCCTCAGTACAGCCTCTTCTTGTAAGAGTGCAGGCCTTGGACGCCACCCTTGATCTGGGCCAACATGGTCCACTTCTCAAACTTTCGCTCCCCTGAGTACATCATGGACAAAAGGACAGACAGGTTGCAGACCCCAGTATCCTGGCAGCCATGCTGGATGCCCGCTATGAGGTAGGACACGAACTTCTGAATGGACCCTTTGTCCTGGATGGAGCTGGAGACACCCTGCGCGATCTTCAACTTATCCCCCTCCATGAAGTATTGTTTCTGGCTGCCGCTGCTCTTCTCCAGGGCATCCAGTGAGCCCATACCCCGGTACTTCTTGAGCCACACCCCATCTGAGAAGAAGTACTTGCTGGGGACCTCCGTGGTGGCGGCCAGAAGGGAGCCCATCATCACTGTGGAGGCTCCAAGGGCCAGGGCCTTGACCATGTTCCCCATGGTCTGGATGCCGCCATTGGCTATGTAGGCACACCAAAGTGCCGGGCATACTCGGCCACCTTGTACACAGCAGTGCCCTGGGGCCAGCTGTAGGCCATCACTTCCTGGGTGATGCAGATGGAGCTGCAGCCCATGCCCACGTGCAGCCCTTCCACACCAGCGTCAATCAGGTTCTTCGCCTGGGCTGCTGTCACCATGTTCCCCCCAATCACCTGGAGGTGGGGGTACTTCTGTTTGATGTAATACACCATGGCCATCTGATACAATGAATTCCCTTGGGACAAGTCCAAGACTATGACGTCAACGCCCACCTGGGTGAGCAGGTCCAGGCGGTATTTGTCATCCTCACGGGTGCCCACAGCTGCCCCGCACAGCAGCTGCTTGTGGGAATCCTTGGAGGCCAGAGGGTAGTCTCAGTTCTTCTTCATGTTGGTGTGGGCGATGATGGCCACCAGCTCATTGCGATCATTGACGATAGGCAGCTTCCCTTTCTTGCTACGGCTGCAGGATCTCATTTGCCTCTTTCAACATCACACCTGCTGGAGCCACCACCAGCTCAATCCTTGGTGTCATCACCTCACTGAGGAGGGTGATGTGGTCCTTCTCAGCAAGAAAGTTGATGTCTCAGGAGGTGACGATGTCCACCAGCTTGCTGCCCATGGTGCCTGTCTCAGTGATGGGGATGCCCGAGAAGCCATGCTGCATCTTGGCCTCCAGCACATCACCCACAGTGTGTGAGGGGCTTAGTACCACGGGGTCCATGATAAAGCCCCGTTCAAACTTCTTGACCTTCCGCACCTCATTGGCCTGGAACTCTGGGGTGCAGTGGTGGTGAATGAAACCAATACCTCCCATCAGAGCCATTGCGATGGCCATGTCAGCTTCTGTCACAGCGTCCATGGGGGAGGAGATCAGTGGCATCTTCAGCGTGATCTTCCAAGTCAGGGCTGAGGTCAGGTCCACCTTATCAGCTATGAAGTCTATGAATCCTGGGAGAATCAGGAAATTGTTGTAGGTGAGGCGGTCGCGAGCTGCTGCACCAGTGAAGAGCTGCTGCGCTGTGAGCCCGTCCTCAGGCATGTAGCTGGTGCCGCCTCTGATCAGGTAGTCTGCCATGCTGCCGCGAGACCCCACGACCAGACATAAACACCTGCGTGGCTGCCAGCCACTGCTGCTGCCGCTGCTGCTGCTGACACTGCACCGTGTCCATGCTGTTGCCGCAGGCCGGGCAGGCTCGAGCTTAAGAATTTTCAAGAGCTTACCAATCAGTCAGCCCTTGTTCATCCCCGAGCGGATGTGTAGTAGTATTGTGGTGGACCTTTACTGGACACTGCCAAATAACTGGAGTGGCACTTGTGCTTTAGTCCAGTTGGGTATCCCTTTCACCCTGGCATTTCATCAACCAGAGGAAGGAAAAATAAGACATCGTAAAGTGAGAGAAGTCCCTTATGGGTCTTTCGACTCTCACATCTATTTAGACACAATTGAAGTCCCACGGGGAATACCAGATCAATTTAAAGCCCGAAATGAAATAGCTGCAGGATTTGATTCAATATTTTGGTGGGTGACAATTAATAAAAATGTAGATTGGATAAACTACATCTATTACAACCCACAGCGATTTATTAACTACACTAGAGATGCTGTTAAAGGAATAGCTGAGCAGTTAGGGGCTACTAGCCAGATGGCTTGAGAAAATAGGATAGCCTTAGACATGATATTAGCAAAAAGAGGAGGAGTTTACGTCATGATTAAAACTCAATGTTGCACCTTCAACACCGCCCCTAATGGAAGTATAACAAAGGCATTGAAAGGACTGACTGCTCTATCCAATGAATTAGCCAGCAACTCGGGGGTAAATGACCCCTTTACAGGATGGCTAGAAAAGTGGTTTGGTAAATGGAAAGGAGTAATAACCTCGATTCTTACCTCCCTCGTAGCCGTAATAGGTGTACTTAATCTTGTCGGGTGCTGTGTCATATCATGCATCCATGGGTTGGTGCCGAGGCTCACAGAAGTGGTACTTACTAAGATCTCCCTTAACTATTCTCCACCTTAACCAGAGAAGCTCCTTCTTTTGGAAAATCAGGCAGAACAACTAAGCCAAGACATGTTAAAGGAGTTAAAGAAAAAGCTATAAGGAAAAATGCAAGAGGAGGAAGTTATTAAATATGAGTTATAAATTTCTCTTCAAAGAATTAATATGTATGTTCAATTCTTTGCCTTCTGCTTTTAAACTTAACTTCCACGTAAAGCAACCTTTTCCGATTACCTACTCCACCCTGACTCTTCTCCACCCTGACTCACTCTGATTTCCTACTCTACCCTGACTCATTCTGATTATCTGCTCTGTCATAACCATTTTTCCCGCCAAACCACTCTCCCCATCACACTCTTTAAATTAGCCAATCAGAATTAGTTTAGCCTGTGCAGTCTAACCCCAGCCAATAGGGGAATGACACAGCAGCAGGGGCCACATGTGCCAGGGATAAGAACCCCTTCCCCTCCCTTGTCCAAGTGTGCGCTCACCATTGCTCCATCTGTAAGGGCTCACCCTTCTATAGAAGTAACTTGCCTTGCTGAGAATTAAAAAGAAAATTTTATATTCGAGTGCTATTTCTTTTGCAGCAACAAAACTTTATTTATAACAAAGTGTTGGTTGTTTTTTTTTTTTTTTTTTTTTTTTTTTTTGAGATGGAGTCTCGTTCTGTTGCTGTCGCCCAGGCTGGAGTGCAGTGGTGTGATCTCGACTCACTGCAACCTCCGCCTCCTGGGTTCAAGCAATTCTATGCCTCAGGCTCCCAAGTAGATGGGATTACAGGTGCCCACCATCATACCTGGCTCATTTTTGTATTTTTAGTAGAGACAGGGTTTCACCATCTTGGTCAGGCTGGTCTTGAACTCCTGACCTCCACCCGCCTCAGCCTCCCATAGTGCTGGGTTTACAGGCGTGAGCCACTGTGCCCGGCCAAGTGTTTGTCTTTCTGGTTACCAGATTCCACCTTGCAAGAGTCACATCATTACCACAAATCTTCTATGGTTAAAAGGTTCTTATTATGAATAACAAAAGGCACTGCCCATCCCCATTCCCCATCCCTGAAGAAACTCCAAGAGTTTTAGAAATTCTTGTGTCTGCAACCAGGGTCAAAGACCAAATATTAGAACAAAAGGTACTCCTAGCACACTTATCACTCAGGAAATTACAAGAACTTTAGGGGTTCTGTGTCAGAAACTGGGACAAAGATCAAATATATATTTATCTTATCACAAGCCCTGATCCGATAGAATTGGTATCCTCATAAGAACAGAAAGAGAGCTATGGTCTGTCTTCCACAGGCACACACTAAATAAATAAGTAAATAGATAAATAATAAGGCCATGTAAGAGCCTAGGGAGAAGACAGCTGTCTGCAAGCCAGGAACAGTGTCTTCCCCAGGAATGGAACTGGCTAGAACCTGGGACTTCCCAGCCTTCAGAACAGAGATATTTCTGTTGTTTAAGTCACCCAGTCTATGGTACTTTGTTATAGCACCGCAAGTAGATAAAGGAACCCAGTAATACATATGGACATCTATAGATTTATAAAATCTATTTGAATGCTGGTTTATTATTCTATAACATAACTGGTTGGAGAGGAGCTGTATTAAGAGACATTTGGCTGGTGCAGTGGCTCATGCCTCCAATCCCAGCACTTTGGGAGGCCGAGGCAAGTGGATCACCTGAGGCCAGGAGTTCGAGACCAGCCTGGCCAACATGACGAAACCTTTTCTCCACTAAAACTACAAAAATTAGCCAGGTGTGATGGCACACACCTGTAGTCCCAGCTACTCAGGAGGCTGAGTCATGAGAATCACTTGAACTCAGGAGTTGGAGGTTGCAATGAGCTGAGATTGCACCACTGCACTCCAACATGGGCCCCAGAATAAGACTCTCTCTCAAAAAAAAAAAAAAAAAAAAAAGAAGAAGAAGAGACATTTAAGCCTCTATTAGTTTAGTTATGAGTTAGAACGATATGACAATTTCCGTGGCTCAAATAATATCAAGTTTACTTCTCCGTCATATAACGTAGACCTGGGTGGGGCCACAGCTCCACTTCTCCATCATTCAAGGCAACCGGAACACCTCGCATACCCAGAGATTATACAAGTATTCATCTTGAAGATTTTCTAATGTATATATTTTAATAGGTAACACATTCTTACGGTTTAAAGATTAAAATACAACAAGAAAGCTAGACAGTGAAAAATCTTGCTACTTCCCATAGTCCCATCTATCTCATTAACTTCATGACCCTCTTTCTCTCCTGGAAAATCTACTGTAAACTCATTAAAGAATGGGAGGAAAATACAGATAACATATCAGTATTATTTTAAAAATAGTTTTGACCTCACAGACCCCCTGAAATGGCATCAGGGACCATTAGGGTTTCTCACACCACATTTTGAGAACCACTGCCCCACCCCAAGACTAGCAGGTAGAAAACTTTTCCAAAAACCTAGTTGAGAGCCAGGCAGGGTGACAGGTACCTGTTTGTTGATGTGGGAGGATCCCTTGAGCCCAGTAGTACTTGACCAGTCTAGGCAACATAGCAAAAACCTGCATCTTTAAGAAAAAACATTTTTTTACCCTTCAAAGCTACGACTTCTAGAAAATAAAAAGAAAAAAAAAAGGAAAAACATTTTTTAATTAAAAAAAGCCAATTGAACTGCTTGATTTATTAAATAACCATATATTTATTTAGAGATTTAGAATTTTTATAATACTTTCCGTGTGACTGTTTCACAGTATTATTTATTTTTAAATTTAACCACTATGGAAGCTTGGAATAAAGAATAATGGCTCCCAGCTGGGTGCGGTGGCTCATGCTTGTAATCACAGCACTTTGGGAGGTTGAGATGAGTGGATCTCCTGAAATCAGGAGTTCGAGACCAGCCTGGCTAACATGGTGAAACTCCGTTTCTACTAAAAATACAAAAATTAGCCAGGCATGGTGGTGCATGCCTGTAATCCCAGCTACTCGAGAGTCTGAGGCAGAAGAATCACTTGAACCAGGGAGGTGGAGGCTGCAGTGAGCCGAGATCATGCCATTGTACTCCAGCCTGGGCAACAAGAGCAAAACTCCGTCTAAAAAAAAAATAAATAATAATAATAATAATAATAATAATGGCTCCCACAGCTCTACCCACCTCTTACTCTCCTCCTTATGGTAACCATGGTAACAGTTGTTGTACATACTTCCAGGGTATTTTTCTCTGCATATGTATTCATATACACATGTGCACTTGGAGCCTGGGGTTTGTCTTCCCCAACCCAACACACACACACACACACACACACACACATAGAATTGTGCTATATATATTTTTTCTGTGACTTACCCCTTTTACTTTACAGTCTGAAGATTTCTTCATATTTTTGCACATAAATATACCTTATTCTTTTGCACAATCATGTAATATAATAACAACTCTGTGACATGAACATTTTATTATTTCCGAAGGTGGGGAAGGGAAGGAAAACCAAATTTGTTCTTACTTTCATATAGATGACTAGTGGTACCAACCACATTCATTAAATGGCTCATCTGTTTCTCTGTAATTTGAAATGCCACCTGTAGCTTATATCAGATTTCCATATATGCATGTGTCTCCCTTTTATTTATTGATTTGTCTATTCTTAAATACACTTCTAATTTATGCATCTTTATTATATAGTATTTCAGTCTAAGAGGCTACATCTACTCTGTTGTATTTCTCTTTTCAGATTATTTAGACTGGTCTTGAATGTTTACTATTCCAAATACACTTTGCAATTAGTTTTTCAAGTTCTATTTAAAAAACCTAATTGTGATTTTTAAAAATGAAATTGCATTTTTTTGAATAGAAATACATGGACTTAATGCAAAATTCTAAGTGTATACAAGCATACCATTGTTAGATATGAGTTCTAAATTTCTCTTCAGAGAATCAATGTCAGTATGTTCAATTCTTTGCCTTCTACTTTTAAACTTAACTTCCTCATAAAGCAACCTTTTTCGATCACGTGCTCTACCCTGACTCATTCCAATTACCTGCTTCACCCTGACTCATTCCGATTACCTGCTCATCCTCCAGCCCAACTCATTTCTATTTCCTGCTCTGCCATAACCATTTTTCCTGCCAAATCACTCACCCTGTCACCCTCTTTAAATTAGCCAATCGGAATTAGTTTAGCCTGTGCAGTCTAACCCTAGCCAATAGGGGAAGGACACAGCAGCAGAGGCCACGCACGTCAGGAATAAGACCCCCTTCCCCTCCCTTGTCCAGGCGTGCGCTCACCATTGCTCCATCTGTGAAGGCGCACCCTTCTATAGAAGAATATTGCCTTGCTGAGCAGAAAAATTTTATATTTGAGTGCTATTTCTTTTGCGGCAATGAAACTTTATTTATAACACCTGTTCACTGCATATGTGCATACTATTGAGAAAGCAGTCATGGCAGGTGGCATGCAGATGCTAATGGTTGCTAAAATATTAACTCATGATCTTTATGTCACTAGTCTGGGTCATCACCATTAATTCTACCTTTGAGGACCTCTAGAATTAGGTTGTAACTGTATTTTGACTCATTCTTATTTTTATTATAGTTAATTGTATATACAATTGTATCTCTCTCCCCAACACAAGTATGGGCTTCCCAGAGACAGCATTTGTGTTGATTTCTCTTTGTATTCTAGTGCCAAGGATGTAGACCAGAGCCTTGGGATGGTATTAAGGAGAGAAAAAGAGTTGGTTTTGATGTGTGAGAGGGTAACCTATATTAAGACTGGGCTCCACTGAGAGTAGACACTGAAAATAGAAAACAATTGTCATTTAAAATATGCAAACAAGTCTCGGCCTGCTAGAGGGAAAGCCTTGATTTACATGGAGGTCAACCATCTCTGAGTTCTAAGAAAACCATTCTCATTTTGCTTTAGTTGTGCAAATGTGAATGAAGACACTTTCTAAAGTGAAGGTGTGGTCTAAGGGCTAAAGTGCTCTTCAGGGTTCTATAACTTTTGTCTTAATGCAGACAGAATTGTATATCTAAATATTCTTCCCTTGAGACTCTCATGTAGAGAAATGCTTGTTTCCTAGACTCAGACTGCCCCATGCAATTGCTTCTGCTTACTCTTGGGCGTTGTCCATAGTTAAATCCTTTATTGTGTTGGTTACTCACAGAAAATCAGTGGCACCGAACATTGCTGAAATGATGTTCAGGCCTGGTCATCCCTTCATGCTGGAGGAAAAACTGCCAAAAAAGCACTACACTTGTCACCGGTGGCAGGTGTCCAGGTTCTTGGTGTCTTGAACAAAGAATTGGACAAACTCACAAACGAAGCAAGGAAGGAATGAAGGGATTTAATGAATATGAAAGTACACTCCACAGTGTGGGAGTGGGTCAAGCATAGGGGCTCAAGCGTCTTGTTACAGAATTTTTGGAGTTTATATACCCTGTACTTGGAATATGCCTTATGTAAATGAAGAGAATGACAAAGTTATTTACTCAGCCTACACCCTATGGAGAGGATATTTCCTGTCATAGCTGAAGTGGGAATTGGCCTTATATTTCCTGCCTCCAGACGCTATTTTCCTGCCTCACACTGATCGTGCTACATGACATAGACTGGATTGTTGACAGCACATCATTTAATTCAAGACTGAATATCCCATATTTGATAACAACAACAAAAAGATTAGAGTCAAGTGAACTTGGTAATAATTTCTTCTTTCTTTAGATTGAAACTAGAGGAAGCTCTTTTTGGGGATATGATCCATTTCCCACAATATATAACGAATTCAGAATCAATCCTTCCTTCCCTTCTTCCCTCCCTCTCTCCCTCCTTCCCTTCCTCCCTCCCTCTCTCCCTCCTTCCCTTCTTCCCTTCCTTCCTCCCTCCCTTCCTCCCTTTCTTCTTTCTTTCCTCCCTCCCTCCCTTCCTCCCTTCCTTCCTTTCTTTTTTTGAGATAGTGTCTCACTCTGTCGCCCAGGCTGGGGTGCAATGGTTGAATAACGACTCACTGTAGCCTTGACTTCCCCTGCCCCAGGCAATCCTTCCACCTGAGTAGCTGGGACCACAGGCATGTGCCACCATGCCCAGCAAATTTTTGGTGTTTGTTTTGTTTTGTTTTGTTTTTGTTTTTTTTGGTTTTTGTTTGTTTGTTTGTTTGTTTGTTTTGTAGAGATGGGGTTTCACCAAGTTGCCCAGGCTGTTCTCCAACTTTTGGGATCAGGCAGTCCTTTCACCTTGGCCTCCCAAAATGCTGGGATTACATGCTCATTGTGAGCCACTGTGCCGGTCCCAGAATTTTTCTTTCTCTTCTTGTAATTTTCAAAAACTATCATACACACTACAGTGAGCTCTCCCTTAAAAACATTCAATATACTCTATTCTTACTCCCTTTTCATTTTCTTTATCTCATTCATCTTAGTTTAATGGTTAGTTTTCTTCTCTCTGGACCTGTTTTTTTATTTTATTTTATTTTATTTTTTCTGCCAATACTTCTACCTTTTGGAGATTCATAGCTATTTTGCATTTGAACTGCTTTTTAAATAAAACTATAACACAAAAAAAACTTTGGGACAAATGAAGGCTAAACACAAGAAGACCTTAAAACAACTTGAAGAATCTCTGTCACTTAATGCACATAGAAACATTGACAAAACAAAAGTCAAACATAGCATACAATTCAAATGTACTGCATGCAATATTCTCTAACTAGAAACTGTCATGCCAAGGTCATCTGTGGGTGGGTCTTTGAAACCATAAGCTCAAAATATTCTCATAGGATATTTAGTTAGTATATTTTTGAGTGAAAAGTCATTGTTTTTAAGGAGTTAGAAAAGGAGCATTTTGGCCATTATGGTAAAAAGTTAGTCGAATAGTTGCTGTGGGTTAAGAACGATAAAAACCAAAAAAATTAAGTCTGATGTCTGAAAATTTTATTCTGAAATCATCAAGTATTTATTAAAGTCTTGTTAAATGTTTCAGTGAGGCTTAGTGCTGTGGCTCATGCCTGTAATCCTAGCACTTTGGGGGGCTGAGGAAAGAGGGTCACTTGAACCTGGGAGGTGGAAGCCGCAGTGATCTGTGATCCTGCTACTTCACTCCAGTCTGGGTGACAGAGGAGAACCTGTCTCTAAAAAAAAGGAAAGAAAGAAAGAAAAAGAAAAACAAAGTGTTTCCACCAAGTCTTAGCTATCATCATTGGGAAAGGAAGGAAATGTGCACACCTGCAGTTGGGACTAGGCAGCAAGAAAGAAGGGAAAGCTGTTAAGAACCCATAGAATAAGAAGGCATCCTAAAAGCTTCTGCTGCTTCTTTTTTTTTTTTTTTTTTTTCTTGATACAGGGTCTCACTCTGTTGCCCAAGGGTGTGATCTCAGCAGTAATCAACTCACTGCAACCTCCACTTCCTGGACTCAAGCCATCCCACCTCAGCCTCCTAAGTAGTTGGGACCACAAGAACATGACACCATGCCTGTTTTTTTGTTTTGTTTTGTTTTGTTTTTTAGAGACAGGATGGACAGAGTCTTGCTCTGTCACCCAGGTTGGAGTGCAGTGGCACAATCATAGCTCACTGCAACCTCAAACTCCAGGGCTCAAGCACTCCTCTTGCCTCCGCCTCCCAAAAGTACCAAGATTACAGGCACAAGCCACCATGCTGGGCCAATTCTAAAAGCTTCTAAAGGAAGGAAAAACAAACAAACAAACAAACAAACAAACCAGGTCATAGATATAGAACTAAGAATCAGAATGAAACCAAACTTCTGAACAGCCACACAGAAAGCTAGAGACAATGGGGAAAAGCCTTCAGAATTAGGAGAAAAAATCATTACCAACCCTGAACATTTTTCTGTATTATTCAAATGATTTTTAAAGAGATAATACCAGTGCATAGCTCTATGATCATATTGAGAGAGGAGAAAGGAATAAACCGGTCAGGCAGGCAGTTAGGGTGGGTCCTCAGCTGAATTCTTTCAAACAAAAGAACAGCCTGAAAAATCAAGCAGCAGGCACAGATAAGGGAACTTGCACAGGGGGGACTTGCCTAAGACATGCCCACAGCCACACAGATAAGAAAGACTACACAGCTGACTTGCCTAGACGTGTCTGCAATGGAAAATTCTGTCTGCTGACACATGTGCAGTAAGGGGAACAAAGCAATATGGAGTAACTCAAGCTAAGGGCTCACAGGTGCATTAGGAGGTTGGTGTGGAGCTACCAGAAATTTGCATCTTATGCAAATGAGATGCCCTGCCCCCATCAGTTTCTGATAAAAGCCTTTGCATTCAACTGTAAAAACGGCAACCCTCTTTTGGGCTCCCTCTCCACTGCAGAGAGGCTTCTTCTTTTGCTTATTAAACTTTTGCTCCAACCTGACCCTTTATGTTCAAGCTCCTTAATTCTCTTGCTTGTGAGACAAAGAACTCCAGGTGATACCTCACAAGGAGAGATTGCTACATTGTGGCGCATTGGCAAGACTGTAACCATATGTATTTCTACTCCTCTTTAGCCTGAAAAGTAATCTCGTGAGAATAGTGTCTCTTTGCTATATAAATGTATCAATATATGTATATTTGGCGATGGCGGGCGGGGGGGGTCTCACTATGTTGCCCAGACTGGTCTCAAGCTTCTGGATCAAGCGATCCTCTTGTTTCAGTCTTCTAAGTAGCCAAGATTACAGGTGCATACCACTGCACCCTGCTTCTCAGCTTCTCTGCTACCACTCTCTCTCTGTCTTTCCATATATATATATATATATATATATATATATATATTTGTTTGTTTGTTTTTGAGACAGCGTCTCACTCTGTTGCCCGAGCTGGAGTGCAGTGGTGATATCACAGCTCACTACAGCATGGACCTTTCAGGCTCAAGCAATCCTGCCACCTTGGCTTCCTGAGGAGCTGAGACTACAAGCATGGGCCATCACATCGGGCTAATTTTGTTTATTTTTTGTAGAGATGTAGAGACTGAGGTCTCACTGTGTTTCCCAGTCTGGTCTTGAGATCCTAGGTTCAAGTGATCCTCCTGTGTCAGCCTCCCAAAGTGTTGGGATTACAGGCATGAGCCACTGTGCCCAACTGCCATATTTTTAACATTGTAATCATAGTAAAGCATTACCTGTTACAGACTTTAACGACGAGACGTACTAGAAGTTTGTATTCGTCCGTTCTCCCACTGCTAATAAAGACATACCTGAGACTGGGTAATTTATAAAGGAAAGAGGTTTATTTGACTCACAGTGCAGCATGACTGGGAGGCCTCAGGAAACTTACAATCATGGTGGAAGGGGAAGCAAACATCTACTTCTTCACATGGCATCAGGGAGAAGAAGAATGAGTGCCCAGTGAAGGAGAAAGCCCTTTGTAAAAACATCAGATCTGGTGTGAACTCACTATCATGAGAACAGGGTGGGGGAAACTGCCCCTTTGGTTCAATTATCTACAGCTGGTGCCTCCCACAACATGTGGGGATTATAGGAACTACAATTCAAGATGAGATTTGGGTGAGGACACACAGTCAAACCATATCAAAGTCGTAGGGTGTTTCTGAAGTAGCCTCACCACCTCTCCTAACTTGACTTCCCAAAAGAATTGGAATTCTCCTTATTAGGTGCAGGGAGTTCCTCTTCAAAGA
This sequence comes from Homo sapiens, assembly GCF_000001405.40. Lineage (NCBI taxonomy): Eukaryota > Metazoa > Chordata > Mammalia > Primates > Hominidae > Homo > Homo sapiens. Next base: position 138,430,146 of record NC_000007.14, on the reverse strand, counting down.
ATCAGCTTGTTCAGCTTCCTTGTTCTTTGTTCTCTATTTTCAGAGCCTAACTTCCTCATTCTTTGTGCCTCCTTGTCCCTAGTTATGGTAAACAACATTCCCGCCAGTTCTAATCTGATTCACACCTGTTCCCTTGGTTACCTGCCCTGCCTGTAACTGTCCTTCCCACCAAAAGTATTCTTCCCGCCAAAACTGCTCACCCCACTGCTGTAACCCACACCCCTGCTCCATTTAAAATAGCCAGCCGGGATTAGTTTAGATTGTGCAGTCCAGCCCCAGCCAATGAGAGCAGGACACAGCAACAGGGACTAACTGCATTAGAGATAACAATCCCTTCCCTTCTTTGTTTGGTGTGCTCTTGGGCTTGTGACTGATGCAGGCAGCACCCTTCTGCAGAAGTAAATTTGCCTTGCTGAGAAATCCTTAGTCTGAGTGTTCATTCTCTCTGTGGCTCCAAGCTCTTATTTCCAACATCCTTTTCAGAACTCCAGTGTAACTTACATTGTATTATGATCAATGGTCTCCTCATTAGACTTTTAGGGGGTGACCATCTCAGTCTCCTCGGCTTACTACACTCACTAGCCTCTCACAGGGCCTTGAATATGGTAGGAGCTCAATGGCCTCATGTTGATAGTTGCTATACTTTGCAGAATCTCCTATCTTTGGAAATCTTTTCAAAAATGTCTTCATAGGGCAGGCATAGTGGCTCAGGCCTATAATCCTAGCACTTTGGGAGGCTGAGGTGGGAGGATGACTAGAGCCCAGGAGTTCAAGACCAGCCTGGGCAACACGGCAAGACTCTGTTTGTTTGTTTTGAGATGGAATCTCACTCTGTCAGCCAGGCTGGAGTGCAGTGGTGTAATCTCGGCTCACTGCAACCTCCGCCCCCACCCCAGGTTCAAGCAATTCTCCTGCCTCAGCCTCCCGAGTAGCTGGGACTATAGGCACCTGCCACCGTGCCTGGCTCATTTTTGTATTTTTAGTAGAGATGGGGTTTCACCATCTTGGCCAGGCTGGTCTTGAACTCCTGACCTCATGATCTACCTGCCTCAGCCTCCCAAAGTGCTGGTATTACAGGTGTGGGCCACCGCGCCCAGCCAAGACTCTGTTTTATTAAAATAAAATAAAACAAAATAATTTTTTTTATTACTTCAAACTCTTTCCCCAACACCAGTTCTACCTCAAAGTAAAAAGATAAGTTATTTTATTTTATTTATCTATTTTTTAACTTTTGGGTTCAGGGTTGCATGTGCAGTTTTGTTATATAGGTAAACTCATGTCAGGGGTTTGGTGTACAGGTTATTTCATCACCCAGGTACTAAACATAGTACCTAATAGGTATGTTTTCTGATCCTCTCTCTCTCCTTCCACCGTGAAGTTATTTTAAAACCATGATTTTCCACAACTTATTCCATAAGGGTCAAAATTCATATTGAGATCATGAGGTCCAATCACACTTTACCTCTTGAAAATTTTTCTTCTTTCATATAAGTATCAATCATTGAGAGAAATAACTAGTTATTACACTCAATTCATTATTCATTGCTCATAAATATTTGAGTTGAATCACTCCAGATGAGATTCGATAGTAAAATACGCAATTTGAAGCCTTGCTTTCTACTGGAATAGTGGATTTCAGAACTTTTTAGAGCTTCAAGTATATATATATTTTCTAAATTATACAATGAATGAATCCAGTTTGTCTCTTACACTGGTGAGCACCCATTCCTTGGAAATGGAAAGCGATATCCACTTAGCCTTAGCCTCTCTAGAAGCCATTAGCTGTATGACTGGTAGTTACTGCCTCCTATTACTTTTTTTTTTTTTTTTTTTTTTTGAGTGAGAGTCTTGCTCTGTTGCTCAGGCTGGAGTGCAGTGGTGCAATCTGGGCTCACTGAAACCTCTGCCTCCTGGGTTCAAGAGATTCTCCCACCTCAGCCTCCCTAGTGACTGGGATTACAGGTGTGCACCACCATGCCTGGCTGATTTTTGTATTTTTGTAGAGACGGGGTATCATCATGTTGACTAGGTTAGTTTTGAACTCCTGGCCTCAAATGATCTGCCCACCTTGGCCTCCCAAAGTGCTGGGATTACAGGTGTGAGCCACCATGCCTGGCCCTCCTATTACTTTTTATAAAAGCATAGTGTTACAAAAGCATTAGTGCACAAGTAGGAGTATAAGTCAGTTCAGTTTGAAAGGTATAGCAAAGCTCTAAATTACTTTCACATATTTGACCCAAAATTCTACTGTAAGGATTTTGTTTTTGGGAAAAAGTATGCACCAATGTAAATAATGGCATGTATAGAAGGGTTTTTTGTTTGTTGTTTTTTGTTTGTTTGTTTTTGTTTTTTGTTTTGTTTTGTTTTTTGTTTTGAGATGGAGTCTTGCTCTGTCGCCCAGGCTGGAGTGCAGTGGCATGATCTCGGCTCACTGCAAGCTCTGCCTTCCGGGTTCACATCATTCTCCTGCCTCAGCCTCCGGAGTAGCTGGAACTACAGGCGCCTGCCACTGCACCCAGCTAATTTTTTGTATTTTTAGTAGAGACAGGGTTTCACCGTGGTCTCCATCTCCTGACCTCGTGTTCTGCCTGCCTCTGCCTCCCAAAGTGCTAGGATTACAGGCGTGAGCCACCGCGCCCGGCCCTGCTTGTTTTTTGAAATGGAGTCTTGCTCTGTGGCCAGGCTGGAGTGCAGTGGTGCAATCTCGGCTCACTGCAACCTCCACCTCCCAGGTTCAAACGATTCTCCTGCCTCAGCCTCCCGAGTAGCTGGGACTACAGGCATGCGCCACCATGCTCAGCTAATTTTTGTATTTTTGGTAGACTCAGGGTTTCACCATGTTGGCCAGGATGGTCTTGATCTCTTGACCTTGTGATCCATCCACCTCAGCCTCCCAAAGTGCTGGGATTACAGGTGTGAGCCACTGCACCTGGCCAGCATGTATAGAGGGTTTTTAAAAAATTACAGCAATAGTTTAATAGCCAAAAAACTAGAAACAATCAATAAACCAGTACTGAGAGTTTGCTTAAATAGTTATATCTATGAATTGAAATGCTACATAGCTTTTAAGACTGTCCTGTTGGAACACAATATAGGATATATAGGACACAATATAGGACAATATAGGATATGTCCCAGATAAATAGGTGAAGAACTAACTTATGGAAAAAAAAAAAAAAAAAAAAGAAGCAAGGAGGGAAGCAAGGAAGGAAGCAAGGATGGAAAGAAAGACCTGGAAGTGTATATATGAAAATGTTTCCGTGGTTTTTCCCTGAGTGAGATACAGGTGATTTTGTTTTCTTCTATGCATTTTTCTGCTTTTCCAGTAAACAGCTCTTTTTTTTAATCAAGCAAAATATTTTAATAAATAAAATGTCAAAGCAACCAAGAATGAACTGTAATATAAACTATGAACTTTGGGTGATAATAACATGTCAATGTAAGTTCATCAAATGTACCATGATGGTGTGGGATGTTGATATGGGGGAATCTATACATGTGTAGGGGTAGGGAGTATATGGGAAATCTCTGAAACTTTCACCAATTTTGCTGTGAATCTAAAACTGCTCTTAAAAACTGAAGTATTTTAAAATCAATCAATAAAAAAGAAGGAAGCAGGGAACCAAAGCATTAGTCCAAATGCTGGGCAAAAAATTGGGTTCTGTATCTAATCCCCAAAATGTATTCATAAGCTCTATCCTGCTTCTCACTCCTTACTTTAGGACTATTCCTAATTATAATAAGCATAAATTTTGTACAGCTCTTTAATTAATTTGTAAAATAGCTTACTCCATGAGAAGTAACATTGTCCTAAGTTTGAGAAAAAAAGGGTTTAGAGCAGAACTGCTGCTTATGTATTTATTTATTTTTATAGAGACAAGTTCTTGCCACATTGCCCAGGCTGGTCTCCAACTCCTGGGCTCAAGTAATTCGCCCACTTTGGCCTCCAAAGTGCTTGGGTTACAGGTGTGAGCTTTTCTTTTCTTTTCTTTTTTTGGAGATGGAGTCTCTCTCTGTCACCCGGCTGGAGTACTGTGGCACGATCTTGGCTCACTACAACCTTTGCCTCCCGGGTTCAAGCGATTCTCCTGCCTCAGCCTCCTGAGTAGCTGGGACTACAGGCACACGCCACCATGCCCGACTAATTTTTGTATTTTTTTTAATAGAGACAGGGTTTCACCATGTTGGCCAGGCTGGTCTTCAACTCCTGACCTCAGGTGATCCACCCATTTCTGCCTCCCAAAGTGCTGGGTTTACAGGCGTGAGCTACCATGCCTGGCCTTGAGCTTTTCTTTTTTTCTTTTTTTTTGAGATGGAGTCTCACTCTGTTGCCCAGGCTAGAGTGCAGTGGCTTGATCTCAGCTCACTGCAAGCTCCGCCTCCCAGGTTCACGCCATCCTCTTGCCTCAGCCTCCTGAGTAGCTGGGACTACAGGCGCCTACCACCACGCCCGGCTAATTTTTTGTATTTTTACTGGAGATCGGGTTTCACCGTGTTAGCCAGGATGGTCTCGATCTCCTGACCTTGTGATCTGCCTGCCTCGGCCTCCCAAAGTGCTGGGATCACAGGCGTAAGCCACCACGCCCAGCCGCAAGCTTTTCTTATATGATGTAATTAAACCTTCTTCTGTGAAGTATCCAGCATTTCTAAGAAAATGTTTTGAGCAATTTTCAGATAGACTTTTATTCTGACATAGGCAAAACCAGTGCTTTTCCTATTCTTTTGTTAGAATAGACAGCTAGGCAGACATGAGCAGGGCAGAGAGGAATGTTGGGCAACCATCAGGTGATGGTCAGGTGGTTGTTAAACCGGCTGGCTAAAATAATAATTGGTTACAGCTGGTGCCAGGGAAAGATGGTCTCCCAATAGATAGAAAACACCTGAAGCTGGTGACCAGCAGCTTCCCGATAAGATCTCAGGAGCTGGATGAGCAGGCTCAAGCATGAGCACTAAGAGGCAAAATGGTGGAGTTTACCAGTATGCGACCTTCCTCAAGGAATGCTCCACTGATAAGGGAAAAAAATGTCCCAAGTGAGTGAGCACGCACACATCTTCAGTAAACATACTGAGCATGCGGCCCTTCCCAAGTGCTGGCAGGCCACCACACATGTGGATAGCCCACCCTAAGGGAAGAATCAAGGGAGAAGAAATGCAAACCCCAGAACCCAGGCCAATGTATAAAACCCCAGGTCAAAGGCCAAACAGGGCAATTGGGTCTTTCAAGTCGCCAGCTTGGCCCTCTTGCAAGTGTACTTTGCTTCCTTTTGTTCCTGCTCTAAAACTTTTAAATAAACGTTCACTCCTGCTCTAAAATTTGTCTCAGTCTCTCACTCTGCCTTCTGCCCCTTGGCTGAATTCTTTCCTCCAAGGAGGCAACAACTGAGTTTGCTGCAGACCTGTAAGATTTGCTGCTGGTAACACTTTCACTCAACAATCAACAAAGAATGCTTCTGTGACCCCCGACGTGTGTGGGGTTTTACTCCCCACGCAACAAGCAAGCAATCAATTCTCCCAATTCTGCCGTGGATACAAACTGGGTTTCCCTAATTCAACTCAACCCTGACACTGTCTTCTTTTTTTTTGAGACAGAGTCTTGCTCTGTCACCCAGGCTGGAGTGCAGTGGCGCTATCTCGGCTCATTGCAACCTCTGCCTCCTGGGTTCAAGCGATTCTCCTGCCTCAGCCTCTGAGTAGCTGAGACTACAGGTGTGTACCACCACACCCAACTAATTTTTGTATTTTTAGTAGAGATGGCGTTTCACCATGTTGGCCAGGATGGTCTTAATCTCTTGACCTCGTGATCCACTCGCCTTGGCCTCCCAAAGTGCTGGGATTAAAGGTGTGAGCCACCGCGCCTGGCCTGACACTATCTTTTTGTTTTTTCTTTTTTACAATCCATAGACCTTATTCGGATTTCAGAGTCTGATACCATCTATCTATCTGGAGATAGCTTCAGATCCCAAAGGTTGAGGGCTCGGCCCTATAAAGCTGTTCCCACTTCAGATGCCAGTAGCAAGCACAGTTTGTGGCCTGAGTTTCTGGCTGACTAGCTATAAATTGGGGTTCCTACAATCCTCTCCTTTGGTTTAATTAATTTGCTAGATGAGGCCAGGTATGGGGGCTCATGCCTATAATCCCAGCACTTTGGGAGGTCAAGGCAGGTAGATCACTTGAGGCCAGGAGTTTGAGACCAACCTGGCCAACATGGTGAAACGCTGTCTCTACTAAAAATACAAAAATTAGCTCGGTGTGGTGGTGTGCACCTGTAATCTCAGCTATCCAGGAGGCTGAGGTATGAGAACTGCTTGAACCTGGGAGGTGGAGGTTTCAGTAAGCCAAGATCGCACCACTGCACTCTAGCCTGGGTAATAGAGTGAGACTCCCTCTCAAATAATAATAATAATAAGACCAGGTGTGGTGGCTCACACCTGTAATCCCAGCACTGTGGGAGGCTAAGGTGGGTGGATCACCTGAGGTCAGGAGTTTGAGACCAGTCTGACCAACATGATGAAACCCCGTCTCTATTAAAAAATACAAAAATTAGCCAGGCATGGTGGTGGGCATGTGTAATCCCAGCTACTTGGGAGGCTGAGGCAGGAGAATCGCTTGAACCCGGGAGGTGGAGGTTGCAGTGAGCCAAGATCGCGCCATTGCACTCCAGCCTGGGCAACAGAGCAAGACTCTGTCTCAATAATAATAATAATAACAATAAATTTGCTCGAGCAGTTCACAGAACTCAGGGAAACACTTCATTTACTCTTACCTTTTTATACTAGAAAATATTACAAAGAATACAGATGAACAGGGAGACGGGAGAGATGCATAAGGCAAAGTATGTGGGAAGGGGCACGGAGCTCCCATGTCCTCTCCAGGAGCACCGTTCTCCAGAAACCTTCACGTGTTCAGTTATTTGAAGCCCCCAGAACTCAGCCTTTTTAGGTTTTTACGGATGCTTCATTACACAGGCATGATTGATTCAATCATTAACCATTCATGAGCAATTCAATCTTCAGCCCCACTCCTTTCCCTGGAGGTTGGGAGGTGGTACTGAAAGTTTCAACCCTCTGATCATGCCTTGGTTTTTCTGGTGACCAGCTCCCATCCTGAAGCTATGTAGGGGTCACATGAGCATACAAAAGATAATTCTTTGTTTTATTTATCTATTTATTTTACACTTTTCAACAGTGTCACTTCTCAAACAAAAGACTCTTATCACTCTGGAGAATCCAAGGGTCTTAGGAGCTGTATGCCAAGAAACAGGATGAACACCGAATATATATTTCACAATATCACAACTTTGATGAGATTAAGAGATTCTTTAAGCCAGAATGCCTTGGAGAAATGACTGATCTCAGATTTGGGGCAGAAAATGTGTAAAGTGATTCTGGAACATCTTTTCTTTATGAGAGAGCAAGGAAACTATCAAAGACTACATGGTCATGTCAAAAGTTTATCAAAACCAACTTGAAGGCTGGGCACGGTGGCTCACACCTATAATCCCAACATTTTGGGAGGCCGAGGCAGGTGGATCACCTGAGGTTGGTTGTTTGAGACAGGCCTGGCCAATGTAGTGAAGCCCTATCTCTACGAAAAATACAAAAATCAGCCAGATGTGGGTGACAGAGTGAGACTCCATCTAAAAAATAAAAATAAAAATAAAAAATAAATAAAAAACTAACTTGAAGAGACAACAAACTCTTATTGACAGAAGGGATAATTCAAATATCGAAAAGAAGAATGGATTGTGGTGGCTTACACCTGTAACCTCAGCACTTTGGGAGGCCAGGTGGACAGATCACATGAGGCCAGGAGTTGGAGACCAGCCTGCCCAACATGACGATACCCCGTCTCTACTAAAAATACAAAAATTAGCCAGGTGTGTCAAAAAGGTGTGGTGGCACACGCCTACAGTCTCAGCTACATGGGCTGAGACACGAGAATCACTTGAGCTCAGGAGGCCAAAGTTGTAGTAAGCCAAGATCGTGCCATGGCATTCTAGTCTGGGTGACAGAGCAAGACTTCGTCTCAAAAAAAAAAAAAAAAGAAGAAGAAGAATAGATTAAAGCATATCACGTGAAAATTCAAGAGTTGATAGTCAACAGAAAACCACATCATTGGCCAGGAGCAGTGGCTCATGCGTGTAATCCCAACACTGTGGGAGGCTGAGACAAGTGGATCACTTGAAGTCAAGAGTTTGAGACCAATCTGGCCAACATGGTGAAACCCCATCTCTATTAAAAATACACACAAAAAAATTAGCCAGGCGTGGTGGTGTGGGCCTGTAATCTCAGCTACTTGGGAGGCTGAAGCAGGAGAATCACTTGAATCCGGGAGGCAGAGGTTGCAGTGAGCCAAGACTGCACCAGTACACTCCTGCCTGAGTGTTAGAGTGAGATTCCGTCTAAAAAAAAAAAATGGATCCGGCTGATAGCACCAGAAACCAAAGGCTGATCTTGCATCACAGAAACAGCATTAGTTATTACATGCCTCTGGATATAAAGCAACCGGGAGTGCACATTATCATCAACAAACTATTTTTGCAAAAAAGAAAAAAAAAATCAAACTTGAAGCTGAAGCTGATCACACCGCTAGATCTAACTATGGTACCAGTTTACAGGTAGGTTACACTGGGAGCTGAAGAATATGTGTGTGCTTGAGTGAGAAAATGACAGAGATGCAATTGGCAAAATCCAGATCGTGGGAAATTCTATATAGAATTGTTTTGTATTTATACAAATACAAACAACTTGGGTTCTTCAACATCAATGACAACAAAATGGCTAGTAAAAAAAAAAAGAGAGAAAAGGAGACCATAGGTTAAAGGAGACATAAAAAATATATCAACCAAATGTGGCTGGGCACGGTGGCTCACGCCTGTAATCCCAGCACTTTGGGAGGCTGAGGCAGGCAGATCACAAAGTCAAGAGATCGAGACCATCCTGACCAACATGGTGAAACCCCATCTCTACTAAAAATACAAAAATTAGCTGGGTGTGGTGGCATGCACCTGTAGTCCCAACTACTCGGGAGGCTGAGGCAAGAGAATCACTTGAACCCTGGAGGCAGAGGTTGCAGTGAGCTGAGATGGCACCACTGCACTCCAGCCTGGCGACAGAGTGAGACTCCATCTCAAAAAAAAAAAAAGGAAATGCAATGAGAAGATCTTGTTTGGGTGCTGATTGGAACAAAACATTTGTAAAAATGAAACATTTATGAACTGGTAAAGGAACCTTGAACACTGTCTGGATATTTAATGATATTAAGGAAATATTATTAATCTTTTATATGTATGCATATGTGTGTCCATATATATATATATATTTTTTTTTTTCTTTTTTTTGTAAGGATATGGTCTCAGTATATTGGCCAGGCTAGTCTTGAACTCCTGGGCTCAAGAGATCCTCCCACCTTGGCCTCCCAAAGTGCTGGGATTATAGATGCGAACAACCATGATGGTCTGTTAGTGTTTTTTTGTTATGTTAAAGAGAGAGGGAGAGAACATCTTAGAAGTATAAACTCAAGTATCTGTCGGGAAAGAAAATTTTCCTCTACCTTCTTAGGTCTCTGGCTTAATTTTCAAAACAAACTTACAAGAGAAAGATCAACAGGAGAAAAGTCACACAAATGAATTTGATGTTAAAAGTTTTCCATGGTGGCCGGGGGCGGTGGCTTATGCCTGTAATCCCAGCACTTAGGGAGGCCTAGGTGGGCAGATCACAAGGTCAGGAATTCAAGACCAGCCTGGCCAGCATGGTGAAACCCTGTCTCTACTAAAGATACAAAAAAGTAGCCAGGTGTGGTGGCACGTGCCTGTAATCCCAGCTACTCGGGAGGCTGAGGGAGGAGAATCGAATGAACCCAGGAGGTGGAGGTTGCAGTGAGCCGAGATCATGCCATTGCACTCCAGCCTTGGCAACAGGGCGAGACTCATTCTCAAAAAAAAAAAAAAAAACAAAAGAAGTTTTCTATGGTAGGGGTGGGAAGTGCTCACGGAGAGAAGAGAAAAAAACCTCTAAAGAAAAAACTAAGCTTGGAGGCTTTTATACCATTCAGGCAAAAGAGAATACATTTGAAGAGAAGTGATGAAATGAAAGAAAGGGTCTTTGCACTTCAAGGGGTGGCAAATTATAGGAAGGCAAATACATGGGGAAACTAATGGAAGGAAAGGGCTAGTGAGGTTTATGTAGGCCCTTTCTTGGTGACTTCTTGTCTCACGTGTTAAGGTGCTTATTCCCTCCCTGGTATGGGAAGTTGCCGAGGGTGCCCTTCACGGGGGGATTTTATGATCTGCTTTCAGGCATACAGGGGATGGCAGAGAGCTCTTCCTATGTTTGCTCTTCCTCAATTGCTGTCAGCTCAAAATAATCTTTATCCCAGAGTGGCATATTTGGAGGTGGTGTGTTCTAATCTCCTACATACCTATAGGTGAAATTTGGAAGTTGCTTTAAAATAATCCATTTGGGGTGGTGGAATAGATAGGAGTGTATATCAATAAGATTGGTTATGTGTTGATAACCTTTGAAGCAAGGTGACAGGTACAGGCTATCATGTTGCTGAACGCCAGGGGTTTGGTGTAGGTCTGGTTGTTCACCTTACAGAAAGCCAATCCCTGTGACAACAAATATTGACAGGGAGAAAGGCTTTCTTTTGGGTGACATCAGCCTAAAGATAGGAGACAAGTCTCAAATCCATCTCCTAACCAACTAAAGTTTGGGGTTTATATAGTGGGGAAGGCAAATAGGAATTAGGAAGGGATGAGGAAGAGGAGTTGGCCAACAGGTGTCTCATTGTCTTGGTATGATGATCTGGAACACTTCAGTTCCTTGATCCTATCTGAAAGCCCTGATAGTCAGTTTCCTGAGAAAGGAACTCAGTTAAGACAAATGTAAGTTTCTCAAGCTTTAGTTCTATGGGAAAACTGGGCCAGGTTTTTTTTTTTTTTTTTTTTGAGACGGACTCTTGCTCTGTCGCCCAGGCTGGAAGGCAGTGGCGCAATCTTGGCTCACTGCAAGCTCCGCCTCCCGGTTCAAGCGATTCTCCTACCTCAGCCTCCTGAGTAGCTGGGATTACAGGCACCCACCACCACACCTGGCTAATTTTTGTATTTTTACTAGAGATGGGGTTTCACCATATTGGCCAGGCTGATCTTGAACTCCTGGCCTTGTGATCTGCCTGCCTCGGCCTCCCAAAGTGCTGGGATTACAGGTGTGAGCCACCGCACCCGGCCTGTGGTTTAATTTTATGCAAAATTAGAAAGGTAGTGTAATTGAAACTGGCCTGGGCCAGGCGAGGTGGCTCATGCCTGTAATCCCAGCACTTTGGGAGGCTGAGGCAGGCGGATCACAAGGCCAGGAGTTCAAGATCAGCCTGGCCAATATGGTGAAACCCCATCTCTAGTAAAAATACAAAAATTAGCCAGACATGGAGACTCCATCTCAAAAAAAAAAAAATTGAACCACAATACAATGTCTTATAATAGGGTTCTTCATGGGTTGTTAGATCTCCACACACAGTTTTGTAAAGAGTAACTTGCTGGAATACTATGCAGCCATAAAAAAGGATGAATTCATGTCCTTTTTAGGGACATGGATGAAGCTGGAAACCATCACTCTGAGCAAACTATCCCAAGGACAGAAAACCAAACACAGCATGTTCTCACTCATAGGTGGGAACTGAACAATGAGAACACTTGGACACAGGGTGGGGAAGATCACACACCAGGGCCTGTCATGGGGTCGGGGGTGGGGGGAGGGATAGCATTAGGAGGAATACCTAATGTAAATGACGAGTTAATGGGTGCAGCACAGCAACATGGCACGTGTATACATATGTAACAAACCTGCACATTGTGCACATGTACCCTAGAACCTAAAGTATAATAATAAAAAAAAACAGTAACGTGCACATGAGGAGCCCAATAACCTGTACCAAGATAGTTTTCCTTGTACTTAGTCTAAAAATGTTATCTAGCTACCCATGAGTATCAGACAAAGAGTCTATGAAAGAAATCTATGAACTTTCTTCAAGTTCCCTCGAGCAAGACTGAAGTAAACTTTGACTCTGCTTACAATAAATTGTTACCTTAACAATTGTTTGAACAACACTGAGAGATAAGTAGTGTAAATATTGGTATGCTCACTCTTTAGATAAGGAAACTGAGATTCAGAAAAGTTCACTTTTCCAAGGACAAAGAGCTCTAGTTGAATAATTGGAAGAACAATTAGTAGAATCTAGATCATGTAATGCTAAGCTGTGTTCTGTTTCTTCTGGACCAGCTGCTTCTCCACAACCTTTGTTTCCTTACTAGGTGATAGAAATGTCCATGATTTCAGCCCCACAGAAACCAAGGTCTCTGTGCATTGTGTAGCAGACACTGTCTTACCTTGATATTGTTCTTTTAACTTGAGATATGCACAGTGAAAGAAAAACTATTTGTTCCTCCCTCTTACCCTTTGTGGGTAATTCTAGTATACAGTTATTGTATTAGAATATCACACTACTGGAGGTTTACTATGGGCAAACTCAGTTCGTGTATGAGAAGCTATTTTAAGACCACTTAACGGTATTCACTTAGGGGGAAGGAAGTTTATCAGACTGGATACAAAAGGCATATGAAACCCTGGCTTGCAAGATATGATATCTCTTCTTTGTGAGCCAGACCACTGATATGTCTCATATTCTATGTGCATTTCTGTTTTATCATTCAATAAAGTATTTTTAAAATTTTTGGTCTGTTTCAATTCCATCTGAGGGAAGCCAGAAAAAGCATTCTTTTTCTTGCTCTAGAGAGTTAACTTGGAAGCAGGTTAACCCTGCAGTCAGGATGGTGATAGGTGTAATGAAAGTCACAAGCAGAGTGCAACCCAAAGGGAAGTTGACATGCCAGTTAATTTGGTGACATCAAGTTCATTAGCTAGCACATGAGATGACATGTGGGTTGAGAGCTGGCTTTCTCAGTGAGCTCTAACTTGGTAAGACTCATACCATTAATGTAAAAACAACAGTAAAAGAGCTTTTGATTCATTAAGAAAAATTTGGGTCAGGTGCGGTGGCTCATGCCTGTAATCCCAGCACTTCGGGAGGCTGAGACAGGTGGATCACTTGAGGCTGGGAGTTTGAGACCAGACTGGCCAACATGGCAAAACCTTGTTTCTGCTAAAAATACAAAAATTAGCCAGGCATAGTGGTGCACGCCTGTAGTCCCCGCTACTCAGGAGGCTGAGGGAGGCTGAGGCATGAGAATTACTTGAACCCAGGAGACGGAGGTTGCAGTGAGCAGAGATGGTGCCACTGCACTCCAGCCTGGGTGAAAGAGTGAGACTCTGTCTCAAATAAATAAATAAATAAATAAATAAATAAATAAATAAATTGGAAGAGTGACAGTATTAGTTAGGTCAGCATCTGAAACTGGACCTCTAGAAGCTGGAGAGAAGCATATTAGACGAGAAGCACAGTAATACGCCAGATTGCAATGGGCTGATTGACAAAAGGAAAGGCCAAGAAAGATAATCAAGAAAGGGACCAGTTCAGCAAGAAATTAAAAATCACTTCTCCACGATCAATGCAACCAGATTCTCTTCCAAATTTCAGTGCAGCAATTCTGACAAGATTCATTTGGTTAGATACTGGTGAGTTTGAAGCTGAAACAATGGGAGAATTAGAACAACTCAGGAGACCTCCAAAAGAGTTAATGAGTAGTTGAAAAGGCAAATGAATTGAGAAGGTGAGAGAAAGGAGGGAGTGGTATCAGAGCCCCAAATCCTCAGTTATCACTGCTGAAATCAATAGGTAATTGACTAAAATTGATAGATGACAAAATAATAATTAATGAAAGTAGTAATAACCAATCTATATTAAGTATTAATGTGTCAAGAGCAGTTCTAAGTTCTTGACATGTATTGGCTCATTCTCTCTTTTTTTTTTTTTTTTTTTGAGACAAAGTCTCACTCTGTTGCCTAGGCTGGAGTGCAGTGGTGCGATCTCAGCTCTCTGCAACCTCTGCCTCCCAGGTTCAAGCGATTCTTCTGCCTCAGCCTCCCAAATAGCTGGGATCGCAGTCATGCGCCACCATGCCCTGCTAATTTTTGTATTTTTAGTAGAGACAGGATTTTGACATATTGGCCAGGCTGGTCTTGAACTCCTGGCCTCAAGTGATCCACCTGCCTCGGCCTCCCAAATTGCTGGGATTACAGGCGTGAGCCACTGTGCTTGGCTTAGTTCATTTACTTCTCTCAATAAGTCCTAGGAGTTGGGTATTATTATTATCTCCTGAAGTATGTTATTTAGATCAATGGAGATAACTACTAAGAGTTAAAAACTGGCTCCCAGTTGGACATGGTGGCATGCACCTGCTGTCCCAGCTACGTGGGGGAGGCTGAAGTGGAGAATCCCTTGAGCTTAGCAGTTTGAATCTAGATGGGGCAACATAGTGAGACTTCTTCTCTAAAAACTTTTTTTTTTAAGTGATTTCCTCTGGAAATGGAACTAAGAGGTCAAGAAGTGTAGGGAAGCATTCTATTGTTTTTAATTAACATCTTTCTGGATTGTATGATTTTTATTTTTATTTTTATTTATTTAGCCAGTCAAATTTAGCAGGGGGGATTATCTACCAACTTTAGTTACACTAATGTTAATAAGTTCTGATAACCCACTATCATTGGACCAGCCATGATTTTTGAAAAATTATTCTGGTAATTCATTATCTTGTAAAAATGTGAACATTGCCAACAAAGCTAAAGGCTAAAATACTAAAATCCACCAATATGATCTTCTACCACCAGCAATAGTAACTAATTTATCAGTTAGGTGTATTTTTTGTTGTTGTTGTTTGTTTTTGGAGACAGGGTCTTGCTCTGTCACCACGCGGGAGTGCAGTGGCACAATCATAGCTTACTGTAGCCTCTAACTCCTGGGCTCAAGCGGTGCTCCCACTGTGAGCCACTGAGCCTGGTTAGTTGTGTATTTTTCTAAATATTTCCATCTGTCTTTATATATGTACATATGAACTCTTGAAAATATATGAGGCCGGGCTTGGTGGCTCATGCCCATAATCCCAGCACTTTGGGAGACCAACACAGGTGGATTGCTTGAGCCCAGGAGTTTGAGACCAACCTGGGCAACATAGTGAAACCCCATCTCTATACACACACACACACACATACACACACACACACAAATTTAGCTAGCACACACACACAAATCCAAAAATTTCAGCTAGCGCGCGCACACACACACACACACACACACAAATACAAAAAAATTTAGCCAGTAGCACACACCTGTAGTCCCAGCTACTTGGGAGAATGAGGTGGCCAAATTGCTTGAGCCTAGAGGTAGAGGTTGCAGCAAGCCAAGACTGAGCCACTGCACTCCAGCCTGAGTGACAGAGACCCTGCCTCAAAAGAAAATAAAAGATATGGTATTTTTTTTCCATATATGGTATACCATTTGTTATGGGATGAATTGTGTCTCTCCCAAAAAAGATACATTGAAGTCCTAACCCCCAGTACATCAGAATGTGACCTTATTTGGAAACAGGGTCTTTACAGATAATCAAGGTTGTTAGGATGGGCCCTAATCCAGTATGACTGGTGTCCTTTTTTTCTTTTTGAAACAGAGTCTCACTCTGTCGCCCAGGTTGGTGTGCAGTGGCGTGATCTTGGCTCACAGCAACCTCCACTTCCCACGTTCAAGCAATTCTCTTGTCTCAGCCTCCCAGGTAGCTGAAATTATAGGCACCTGCCACCACACTGGGCTAATTTTTGTATTTTTAGTAGAGACAAGGTTTCGCAATGTTGGCCAGGCTGGTCTCGAACTCCTGACCTCAACTGATCTGCCCACCTTGGCCTCCCAAAGTGCTGGGATTGCAGGAATGAGCCACTGTGCCCAGCCAGTGGTGTTCTTTTAGAAAGGAGGAATCTAGACACAGAAACAGACATGCACAGAGGAAAGGTGATGAGAAGACACAAAGGGAGAATGCCACATGAAAACGGGGCATTAGAGTTGTGCTGTCACAAGCCAAGGAACACCCGGGGCCACCAAAAGCCAGGAAGATTCAGCAGGCGCAGGGTCCTGCCAGCACCTTGAGCTCCGACTTTTAGCCTCTAGAACAGTGAAATGATATATAAGTTTATGTTAGCCAGTGGTGTCCAACTCTTTGAATGCAAAGACTTTTTTGCTTATCTATAGTGGCAGATATCATGAAAATTATGCGCGGGCCTTTTTTATTTTCTTTAGCTCATCAGCTATTGTTAGTGTATTTTATGTGTGGCCCAAGACAATTCTTCTTTCAAAGTGGCCTAGGGAAGCCAAAGGTTAGGCACCCATGTCTAGTTTGTGGTGGCTTGTTAAGGAAGCCCTAGGAAACTGATACGCTATTCTATGTATCTTTAGGTTTCCTGCTTTATTTTGCTTTCCTTTTTTTTTTTTTTTTTTTTAAGACAGAGTCTCGCAACACCACCCAGGCCAGAGTGCAGTAGCGCAATCTCAGCTCACTGCAACCTCTGCCTCCCGGGTTCTAACGATTCTCCTGTGTCAGCCTCCTCAGTAACTGGGATTACAGGTGCCTGCCACCACACTTGGCTAATTTTTGTATTTTTAGTAGGGTTTACCATCTTGGCCAGGCTGGTCTTGAACTCCAGACCTCAGGTGATCTGCCCACCTCGGCCTCCCAAAGTGCTGGGATTACAGGCATGAACCACTGCGCCCAGCGCTACCTCTTTTATTTATTTATTTAAGACAGAGTTTCACTCTTGTTGCCCAGGCTACAGTGCAATGGCATGATCTTGGCTAACTGCAAACTCCGCCTCCTGGTTTCAAGTGATTCTCCTGCCTCAGCCTCACAAGTAGCTGGGATTACAGGCATACACCACCAAGCCTGGCTAATTTTGTATTTTTAATAGAGACGGGGTTTCACTGTGTTGGCCAGGCTGGTCTTGAACTCCTGACCCCAGGCGATCTGCCTGCCTTGGCCTCCCAAAGTGCTGGGATTACAGACATGAGCCACGGCACCTAGCAATACCTCTTTTTTAAATGTTGCGTAATATTGTATAATATAGCTACAGTTTATGTAGCCATTCCTCTTCTCCGGATGCTAGTTGTTTCTAATGTTTCATGATAAAAATGACTTAATGAGCCTTTGCATGAGTTTTCTTGCATGTAACTGTTAGTGCCTCTTTAGCATAGATACAAAGATGGGGAACTGCTGGTTCATAAGGTATACGCATATTGAAAAGTACTAGATATTGCCAAATTGCCCCCAAAGTGGTTTTACTAATTATACTCTTACCTGCAATGTAAGAGACCATCCATTTTCTTATAACCTCACCAATATGGATATTAGCAAACTTTTAAATCTTTACCAATATGTTGGTTGAAAGGTGGTATTTCATTCTTGTTTCAGCATTCATTTCCCTGATTACCAATGAGGGTTGTTATCTTCTCATATGTTTATTGACTATTTATATTTTTCCTCCTATAAATTGCTCATTCATACAAATTTGCTTTTCTATTGAGTTATTTGTCTTTTTCTTATTGATATAAAGGAGGCTTAAATATAGATTATCTACAAATAAAAGTACATAAACATTCTGGCTTATAACCTTTTGCCTGTTATAAATATTTACTATCAGTCTATGCATTTTCTTTAATTTTGTTCCTAGCATATTTCTGTCATACAGAAATTTTAAAATTTTCATGTAGTCAAATTTATCAATATTTTAACCTTTTTGTCCTTTGCCTTCGGTATCTTATCAAGGAAGATCTTCCTGGCAGGGTGCAGTAGCTCACACCTGTAATCCTAGCACTTTGGGAGGCCAAGGAGGGAGGATTGCTTGAAGCCAGGAGTTGGAGACCAGCCTGGGCAACATAGCAAGACTCTGCCTCTACAAAAAAATTAGCCAGGCATGATGGCACACATGTAGTTCCAGCTACTTGGGAGGCTGAGGCAGGAGAACCGCTGGAGCCCAGGAGGCCGAGGCTACAGTGAACCATTATCATGTTACTGCACTCCATCCTGGGTCACAGAGTGAGACCCTGTCTCAAAAAATAAATAATAAAATAAACAAGAATTAAAAAAAAAAACCAGAAAGTTGCATGATTTAAAAAGAAACAATGACGTAAAAAATCTTAGATTTTGAAATACTGTTATAAAAAAGGAATATTTGGAATAAGAAAGGGAGGAAAAATGTACAAATATTTAATATAAATTAATTTTTAATTTTCACTTGCTGTGTTGCCCAGACTGGTCTTGAACTCCTGGGCTCAAGTGAGCCTCCCACCTCAGCCTCCCTAAGTGCTGGGATTATAGGCATGACCCACTGTGCCCAACCAATATAAACTGATGGACACAAAATTTTAACTGGTAAAAAAGTCCTATAGTTAGTAAATATATTTGGAGGAAAAGATAGTTTATAAATAATATAAATATAAAATAAAATTATAAAATTCTACAGCTTACTTTAAGGCCATTACAGGAAAAGTTTGTCCATTTTAACCATGGATGAAATTCTAATGGAAGACAGCTGGACCCTTATCTTACACCATACACAAAAGCCAGCTCAAAATGGATTAATTGGGCTGGGAGCGGTGGCTCACACTTGCAATCCCAGCACTTTGGGAGGCCGAGGCGGGTGGATCACCTAAGGTCAGGAGTTCCACGCCAGCCTGGCCAACATGGTAAAACCCTGTCTTTATTAAAAATACAAAAATTAGCCAATCCTGGTGGCACATGCCTGTAATCCCAGCTACTCGGGAGGCTGAGGCAGAAGAATTGCTTGAACCTAGGAGGCGGAGGTTACAGTGAGCTGAGATCGCACCACTGCACTCCAGCCTGGGTGGCAGAGGGAGACTCTATCTCAAAAAAAAAAAAAAAAAAAAAAAAAAAGGGTTAATGACTTAAATATAAGAACTGAAAACATAAAATTCCTTAGAAGAAAATACAGGAAAAAGAATCCTGACATTGACTTTGGTGATGATTTTTGATATGACACCAAAAGCATAGGTTAAAAGAAAGTAAAAATAGACAAGTGGGAAGTGGGAATACAACAAACTAAAAACTTTCTACACAGCAAAGGAAACAACACAATGAAAAGGAAACATACAGAATGGGTGAAAATGTTTGCAAACCATAGATCTGATAGGGATTAATATCCAAAATACATAAGAAGCTCCTACAACTCAATAGCAAACAAATTAACAAACAAGAAACCCCAAAGAAATATCCTGATTTAAAAATGGGCAAACAGAATGGACACTTACCCAAAAAAGACATACAAATGGCCAGCAGGTATATGAGAAGGTGCTCAACATGACTTACCATTAGGGAAACGCAGATCAAAACCGCTGAGATATCACTTCACATCTGTTAGGATGGCTATTATCAAAAAAGACAAAAGATAACAAGTATTGGTGAGGACATGGAGAAAAGGGAACCCTTGTATACTGTCACTGGGAAAATATATTGGTGCACCCATTCATATGGCAATTCCTCCCCAAAAAAGTGCTAATGGAAGACAGACACAGTTGTGCCATATGTATGTATGTATGTATGTATGTATGTATGTATGTATGTATGTATGTATTTTTGAGACAGTCTCACTCTGTCACCCAGGCTGGAGTGCAGTGGCATGATCTCGGCTCACTGCAACCTCTGCAAACTCATCTACAAGGGATTGCATTTTTATTCACATAGACTACAATTTACTTGAGAGTGGATTATTTTTTAATTATATGTGTTGAAGGAATTTAGTTGCCGCCTGGGTTCAAGGGATTCTCCTGCCTCAGCTTCCCGAGTAGCTGGGACTCCAGGTGTGCGCCACCATGCCTGGCTAATCTTTGTATTTTTAGTAGAAATGGGGTTTCACCATGTTGGCCAGGCTGGTCTCGAACCCCTGACCTCAAGTGATCTGCCTGCCTTGGTCTCCCAAAGTGCTGGGATTACAGGCGTGAGCCACCGTGCCTGGCCAGTTGTGCCTTATGATGGCAATGTGAACACGTGGAAGGGAGCCACAGCATAAGCCTTTTGGGAAAAGCCTACGCATTGGACATGGCAAGAAATCCTTATAGCCACCAACACTGAGGAGCACAGAGACTTTACACCATAAGCGTTCTTTCTACAGAAAGTAGAAATTTTATTTGCAAAGAATTCCACAAAAGAATTTGTGATCCAAGAAAAAAATTAAGGTATCCAGGGGGCCTAATTGAACAAGAATAATGAAGAGATGAAACTAAGGTAAAATAGGCTGGGCATGGTGGCTCACACCTGTAATCCCAGCATTTTGGGAAGCTGAGGTGGGTGGATCACCTGAGGTCAGGAGTTTGAGACCAGTCTGACCAACATGGAGAAATCCCATCTCTACTAAAAATACAAAATTAGCTGGGCGTGGTGGCATATGCCTGTAATCCCAGGTACTCAGGAGGCTGAGGCAGGAGAATTGCTTGAGCCTGAGATGCAGAGGTTGCAGTGAGCTGAGACTGTGCCGTTGCACTCCAGTCTGGGCAAAAGAGCGAAACTCCATCTCAAAAAAAAAAAAAAAAAAAGAAAGAAAGAAAAGAAAAGAAAAAGAAAATAAGGTAAAATGTAGCCAGGAGCACATTTCTAAGTACTTCAGTCTCACAAACATTACAGAAGCACCCTAGGTAGGGACGTTATAGTCAGAAGTAATAAAATTCATTCACTGTGAAGTTTTTCTACCAGCCTTCGTGAAGACTTTGAAAACCATCAGTGGTTCGTTGGCATCACAACACGGTTAAATTTAAATTTTAATTTATGTTTGGTTTGGAGTTCCAGCTTTCCACAGTTTAGCTTGAAAAATGGACTTGCCCCCAAAGAAAAGCCTATCTTTTATTACAAGAATAAATTAAGGATTTAAAATATTCATCTGGAATAGTAATACAGAATAAAATCCTAGATAACTAAAGAATCAAAAAAAGCAATGCCCAGTGGTCATGTTATAAGAGATATACAAACATCTGTCTGAGCACTAATAAATTGAATAAATTTAGAATCAATTCCCTATAAGAATCATGAAGAGAAAAATCTGCATGTTATAGAAAGAGCATGAACCCTTAAGGGTCTGAAAAAATGGTTTTAATGCACTTCTAGCTGGGCAGATCTTGTGGGAATATGATTCTTAGGCAATCACTGAGACTCAGTTTTTTTATTTACCTTGAGAAAATGAAATATTGTTCAGCTCTCAAAATCAATGATTCTAGTTGTTTTGAAAAGATTGCATTTGATGTTTAGAGTATGAAAAAAAGAGGTACTCTATCTTTATTAAAGCAGTTAGATGAATAAACTATTAAAATGAGGGTTAGTTTATGTGCACAAATGCTTCAAAATATTGAACAATTATAAAGTCTTTATAGCTGATGAATAATTAGTGAGGTCTTTACTTCAGTAAGAAATTTTAAAAAAGCCTAAATCTTTTCATTTGTAGCTGCAAAGGAATGCAGAGTACAGAGTATATAATTTATGATACATAATAATCTCATGGACAGCTGGGAAACATAAAACTCATCTACAAGGGATTGCATTTTTATTCACATAGACATACAATTTACTTGAGAGTGGATTATTTTTAATTGTATGTGTTTGAAGGAATTTACTTGTATCAAAAGAGATGAAACAATAACATATGCTTTACTCTGCAAGCTTTTAAAAAATACAGCAGACAATAGGATGCTGGATTGTAGGCTTAACAGTTCTCTTTTTTTAATGCCCCATAACCATCTGTCCTATATTTTCTGGGATAGACCTGATTTCAATATCCTTTTCAATCATCTCCATAAACTTTCACAGTTCTCTAGAAATTCAAATATTTAGGAAATGAATTAATCAAGTTAGTATCCATTCAAATAAAAACATACATGTATTTTTCAAAAGACAGGAAGTTACAAGTGACAGAGAATTATAGGTTTAAGAAATAGCTTGATCGTTTACAGGAGCTCATGCATGCCAGTTCAGTATCCACATATAGCATCATTATAGATCCAGGAGCTATGGGGAATAAGCACAGATTCTGTTCAACCCCCAAATCTCAGAATACACTTTCTCAAATAAACATGGCTCCACCTCTGTTAGTTGCTCAGTTTCCGCCCATCTGTTCTGAGAATTGCTTTTCCTTCCTCGTTATAGCTTCCTGTGTCTGGACAGGCTTATCCTGTTTCCTCTGGATGATGTTTTTGTTTGGAATGAGTTCCTGATTCCTCTTCCTTTTCCGTTTTATCCACTCCGTTTAGTCTCTCATTTGCACAATAGACTCCTTACATGGTACATTCTAAACATGATTCCAGTAATAATCTCTAACATTTATGTATGATGGCTGGAATGCCCTGGCATTTGAGTTTAATATCATATTTTTTGTAGCATTATACACATACACAGCTTTAAGAATTTGGGAAGAACATGGTGAATGGTTGGGGGGAGGAAATGGCTAAGTGCTTTAAACATATCGTGATACCTAAGTTGTATGGCTATATATACACAAAAACAATTGATAAAATTCTACTTGAAAAGTCACAAAACATGAGAGACCATTTAGTTATATATTGGTTTGGGGGCAATGCGATGGGTAGGGTATATTTCTCTAAAGTGCCCAGTATAAATCTGCAAACTAGAAAAGAAGGACTCAAACCTGGGAGAAGATCATTAGCAAAACTCCAGCTTGCTCACAGGAAAAAAGGGGCTCATTTATAGCTATAGGAGTGAGAGGGAAGAGTCACCATAAAGGACCAAGTCCATATGGAGGCTGTTGAGAGACAATTCTCCAAGAATTTCTTGCATTTCTGCACATTTTGCAACCAGGGCACTGACTGCCTTTTGTTCTAATCTGTCTTTAGAGGACATTTATATAGCAAACTGTCTTGAAGGATAGAGATAGTGTCTCCCTTCATAGCAAAAGAACAAGTTTGCTTACTATCCAGTGTAGTAAAATAATCTTTCCTTCTAGGGCTAAGGACAAGTGTGCTATATAGCCCATTATAATAGGATTCTTTTTCCAAGCTCAGGGTGCTTTTCCTGTAACAGAACTCACTGCCTGTGCAGACACCAACGGGCGCTTGTGTCACCCTGTGGAAACTGAGGCTTGGGGAACTGGTTCCAAAATGCTGTTACTTTGGCTATTGCTATTGTTGTAAGTAATAAACAGTCCTTTATTTCTGACCCAGATGTCTCATGTCTTCTACTAGCATCCATGAAACTATAGCAGGCTGACTAGATAGCTAGCCTTCAGAGTAAACTATGATCCTTAAAGTCCTAATAGGACCTAGCCCAGGTATTAAGGTTACATAGTCTTTTGTGCTGTGATAACAGAATGTCTGAGACTGGGCAACTTATAATACACAGAAATTTATTGGCTCACAGTTTTGGAGGCTGGAAAGTTCAATATCAAGGGGCAGGCATCTGGTGAGGGCCTTCTTGCTATGTCATCATATGGCAGAAGGCAAGCGGGGAAGAGGGGGAAGAAAGCGGAGTGAACTTGCCCTTGTATAATGAGCACACTCCTGCCATGACAAGCCCACTCTTGAGATAATGGCATTAATCCATTCAGGAAGGTAGAACCTTCATGACCTAATCACTTCTTGAAGGTATCACTTCTTCAGGAGGCTGAGGCAGGAGGATCTCTTGAGCCTATGTTGAGGCTGCAGTGAACCATGATTGTGCTACTGCACTCTAGCCAGGATGACATAGTGAGACACTGTGTCTAAAAAAAATTAAAATTAAAATTAAAAAAATAAAAATAAGATCCCATCTTTTGATATTGTTACAATGGTAATTAAATTTCAACATGAGTTTCGGAGGGGACAGACATTCAGACCATAGCACATGGGCACCTGGTCCAGGGGAATTTAGGTGGGAGGCAGATATGCCAGACATGGTGCTAGAGGATTTTAGAGACTTTATTAATAGCCAGTCAAGAAGAGCAATCCTTGAGACCTGTCCTTTATGAGGGGAACGTAAGACTCCAGGCAAGTTGCTGACTGGGAGTTGGCAGCTGTATATTGTTTTGTGGTAGCGTGGTGAGAAACCTCAGGTACACAAGAGATTCGGGTAGAAGAGATCATATAGCTTTGCAGGCTTCCCCATGGAGAATTCACAGTTATTGCTGTCCTTACAGTGCCACAGAAATTCTTGGCATTTCAGTCTGTGAGCAGGTCAGCAGTGTCCAAATTCTTCTGATTTGTAGCTATAGACTCCAGGTGGACTCTACATGGTTTCCGAGGAGAAGAGTGGAGCACGTTGTAGATGGCTGAGTGCTCATTTAGAATAGCAAGTATGGGGCAAGAACTGACAGATTACACACTATAGCAGGATGCAACAAACTTTTATAAACAGCCAGATGGTAAATATTTTAGCCTTTGTGGGCCTTACAATCTCTGTTGCATGTACGGAAAACTCTCCTCTTGTAGAACCAAAACAGCCATGTATGAAACCAATGAGCATGGCTGCACTCCAATAAAACTTTATTTAGAGAAACAGAGGGCAAGCTGGGTTTAGATGGTGGGTGGTAGTTTGCACTACAGGATTGTTTTATATTTAGGCTGGCTTTATGAATGTGTGGCCAGTCACACAGGGCCATGAGCTCAGAAGGGCCCTGCACTTGTTTTGATGTTCTTCTGTCAATGTCAAAATTCTTAACAATTTTTAAACAAAGGCTGGGCTGGGTGGCTCACACCTGAAATCCCAGCACTTCGGGAGGCCGAGGCAGGAGAATTGCTTGAGCTCAGGTGTTTGAGACCAGCCTGGGCAACATGGCAAAACCTCATCTCTACAAAAAATACAAAAATTAGCTGGGCATAGTGGTTTGTGACTGTAGTTCCAGCACCCTGGGAGGCTGAAGTGGGAGGATTGCTTGAGCCTGGGAGGTGGAGGCTACAGTGAGCTGTGATTGTGCCACTGCACTTCTACTTGGGTGACAAAGTTAAATCCTGTCTCAAATAAACTTTTTTTTTTTTTAAAAAGAATATTTTGGACACTCTGTTTAAAGACTCAACATACAGTATAAATCTGTTGCTGAAATATCAAGCCTAATGCCATCATGCACTTAAAACACATTGCTTCTTGCCCTGATTCTAAGCACACATAATTTCAGTTATAATCTAGCTTTTCACACATTTCTAAGGATTCAGAATTAGACTGGGCGCTGTGGCTCACCCCTGTAATCCCAGCACTTTGGGAGGCCAAGGCGGGCAGATCACCTGAGGTCAGGAGTTTGAGACCAGCCTGGCCAACATGGAGAAACCCCATCTTTGCTAAAAATACAAAAATTATCTGGGAGTGGTGGTGGGCACCTGTAAACCCAGCTACTTGGGAGGTTGAGGCAGGAGAATCACTTGAACCCAGGAGATGGAGGTTGCAGTGAGCTGAGATCGTGCCACTGCACTCCAGCCTGGGTGACAGAGTGAGACTATGTATCAAAAAAAAAAAAAAAAAAAAAAAAAGAATTCAGAATTGATGTGGTCAGAATAGCTAGTTCTTTTGCCAGTTCCTTCCTTTCCCCACTGGCTGCTCTAAAAAGCCATCTTTGCACTGTTCCTTGTCCGGCTGGGCAGCTTTATCGCGCAGAGTCCCTGAACTCTCGCTTCTTTTTAATCCCCTGCATTGGATCATCCGCGTGACCCCCTATGTCAGAGGCAGCCGTAGACACCAGCTCCGAAATCACCACCAAGGACTTACGGGAGAAGAAGGAAGTTGTGGAAGAGGCGGAAAATGGAAGAGAAGCCCCTGCTAACGGGAATGCTCATGAGGAAAACAGGGACCGGAGGCTGACAATGAGGTAGATGAACAAGAGGAAGAAGGTGGGGAGGAAGAGGAGGAGGAAGAAGAAGGTGACGGTGAAGAAGAGGATGGAGGTGACGACGAGGAAGCTGAGTTGGCTACAGGCAAGCGGGCAGCTGAAGATGATGCGGATGACGATGTCGATACCAAGAAGCAGAAGACCCACGAGGATGACTAGACAGCAAAAAAGGAAAAGTTAAACTAAAAAAAAAAAAAAAAAAAAAGACCGCTGTGACCTATTCACCCTCCACTTCCCGTCTCAGAATCTAAACATGGTCACCTTTGAGTAGAGAGGCCCCCCCACCACCACCCACTGCCCACCGCCCACCGCGGGCAGTGCCACCCGCGGGTGACACACGCTCTCCACCACCCAACCCAAACCATGAGAATTTGCAACAGGGGACGAAAAAGAACCAAAACTTCCAAGGCCCTGCTTTTTTTCTTAAATGTACTTTAAAAAGGAAATTTGTATTTTTTATTTACATTTTATATTTTTGTACATATTGTTAGGGTCCGCCGTTTTTAATGATCTTGGATGACCAAACCAGCCTTCAGAGCGTTCTCTGTCCTACTTCTGACTTTACTTGTTGTGTGACTACGTTCATTATAATCTCAAAGGAGAAAAAAAAAACTTGTAAAAAAAAAGCAAAAACGACAACAGAAAAACAATCTTATTCCAAGTGTTATACATAAAGTTTCGGTGCCGCAAAAGGAATAGCACTCAAATATAAAATTTTCTTTTTAATTCTCAGCAAGGCAAGTTACTTCTATATAGAAGGGTGCGCCCTTACAGACGGAGCAATGGTGAGCTCACACTTGGACAAGGGAGGGGAAGGGCTTCTTATCCCTGACGCACGTGGCCCCTGCCGCTGTGTCGTTCCCCTATTGGCTAGGGTTGGACCGCACAGGCTGAACTAATTCCGATTGGCTAATTTAAAGAGAATGACAGGGTGAGTGCTCTGGCGGGAGTCAGGGCAGATCAGGTAATTGGGATGAGTTAGGGTGGAGCAGGTGATTGGAATGTAGGGTGGAGCAGGTGATCAGAATGAGTCAGGGTGGAGTAGGTAATTGGAATGAGTTAGGATGGAGTAGGTAATCGAAAAAGGTTGCTTTACGAGGAAGTTAAGTTTAAAAGTAGAAGGCAAAGAACTGAACATACTGACATAGTAATTATTTGAAAAGAAATTTAGAACTCATATCTAACACGAGCATTCCAGTAACTTTTTTGGGTATGTACTTAGCTGTACCACAAGTAGTTGGTTTGTATGAGATGGTTAAAAAGGCCAAAGATAAAAGGTTTCTTTTTTTTCCCTTTTTTGTCTATGGAGTTGCTGTTTATTATTTTTTTGGCCTGTTTGATGTATGTATAAAACAATGTTGTCCAACAAGTAACAGGAATTTTATTTTGCGGAGTTGCTCTAACAACAACAAAAATTCTTCCCTTCTTTTCTTTTCCCCTCCCCTCCCCTCTCTCTCCCCCTCCCCTCCCCTCCCCTTCCCCTCCCTTCCCCTCCCCTCCCCTCCCCTTTGAGAGAGTCTTGCCATGTTACCCAGGCTGACCTCCTTGAACTGGGCTCAAGTGGTAGTCCCACCTTGGCCTCCCAAAGTGTTGGTATTTCAGGCATGACCCACCACGTCTGGCCAAATTTCTTATTGTACTTAAATACATTGGTGTTTGTCTTAGTCTGTTCAGGCTGGTATAACAAAATACCTTAAAACTCGGTAGCTTATAAACAATAAAATTTATTACTCACAGTTCCAGAGCCTGGGAAGTCTGAGATCAAGGCAGTGGCAGGCTCTGTGTGTGAAGAAGGCCAGCTTTCTCATGGATGGTATCTTTATGCTGCATCCTTACATGGTAGAAGGGACTGAGCTTCCTGAGGCCTTTTTTATATAACAGCATTAATTCCATCCATAAGGGCTCTGCCCTCCTGACTTAATCACTCCTAAAAGGCCCTTCCTCTTAATAACATCACCTTGAGGGTTAGGTTTCAACACATGAATTTTGGGAGACACAAATATTGAGACCATAGCAGTATTGTTGTTTACATGTCAGTCTTCCGTTACTTTAGTGAGAACCGGTGCTCTTAGCAAATTGACAAACATAATTCAAATGAAGACGTACCACAAAAATGATGACTTCAACAAGGCAAATGTCACCTTGACAAGCCAGACAATAGTCAATATCCTTCACCATGTGTCTCCTTTTAGTATTGACATTAGGCTTTATTCAGGCAATGGATGAACCATTAAAACCTTGTATGCAGGAACGTTATATGATTGACTGTTAATCTGGAGATAGTTTGAAAGAAGAGATGACTGGGGATAGACTGGTGGGGGTGGGGAAAGGAAGGAAAGTAAGGAAAGAAACGACGAAGGAGGTGATTAAAAAATTCCATCTTATTTGGTTCTGATATTTACATGAAACACGAAAGAGTCTTTCAACTCAGTCTAGTGATAGAGAATGTAGGACTGCTTCACATGTATGTACCCTTTGACTCATCCAAATATCAAGGAGTGTGAAGACAGAATGAAAGGTAATCTTTTTCATATGTGGTGAGATTGCCCAAGAACAGATAAGATTTAGAACGGCATACTTTAATTATGAGGAACATTTGCTTACAGATATTTGATTACTATTAAATACATTCCGTAAGATCAATGTTTAATTTCAAACTGAAAGTTTGCTTTTTAATTTTAATAGCTGCAAAATTCTGCTAAAGAAAGAAATCATAAGAATCTACTCAAATGCAAGCTTCAGTAAATATGATATGGAAATATAAGATGCAAGAAAGACTTTTCATAAATTAAAACACATTTGTTACTCAAACATAAGTCATTTTTGTTTTTAGAATATAGGATGACTTTTACAAAAGACCAAAATTTTAAAGGCAACTATAAAATAGGCTATAAAAACCAAAGGATGATTTGTAAACATGGCGATATGGCATAGAATAAAATGAGCTATAAATATGTGGATTAGTAGCTAAGCACAAAGTAGTTGCTGGAGACATTTATGTAAAGCAACCAACAATGCATGCTTTTTTGTTGCTAAAAAATGTTTTATAACAGACAGATCTAATAACTGCTTACTGATTACCTTCACTATGTAAAGGACTATTTTATTTTATTTTATTTTATTTTTCCCTTTCCCTCAAAAGGTCTATTTTAGGGGAATTTGAACACTCATTACATTAGGACATAGTCTTTCCCTCAAGCTTGGATTCTAGTTGAGGGAGAAAAGGAATACATAAAAACCTAATAAATTTTACACAATACTTGACAAATAAAAGCAATAAAAACAATATTAATAAATTTTTAGTTCTTAAAATATTTTTATGTAAAGAAGATTATTTAATAATTTTTAAAAATCAAGAAATGTCAGGGAGAAAAAAGCTTTGCCTCTGTCTTCTTAATTTCTGTAACTGGAGGTATGTGAGTTAAACTGACAAAAGACAGATTAACAGGAGAAAGTACCCAATCCGCATTAGTATTTATGTGTACACGAGTTCAGAGGAAAGAAGTGAAACTCAAAGAAGAGATTAGACTCAGGGATTCATATACCCTTTTAACAATGGAAAGAGGGTTTGGACTTAAAGGATGATCATTTGTGGGGAAAAGGCTAGGAAACATCTGGGGGAACTAATGGAAGATAAGGGCTGCTTGAGTAAGACCTGTTTATGCAAACTCATCTTGGCATCAACTTCCCGTCTTGAGGATGAGTGGCTCTTCTCTCCCTGGTCTGGTGGAGAGGTTAGGGGGAATGTGTGTGTGTGTATGCGTGTGTGTGTATGTCTGTGACACTTTCATTAAAGAAAAATTTACGGCCTGCTTTTAGGCAGATGGCGAGAACAAAACTCTTCCTGAATTTGTTGATTCTCAATTGCCTTTAGCACAAAACAATCCTTAAGCCAGAGTGGCACATGGCATATTCTGCATTGCTTCAGCCCAATATAGCCTACCCTGATGGCCATGTTCAATAGTTGTGATAGCAATGTTGAGAAAGAAGATTGCTCTGTGGTTTGGGTGTGATGGCCCATGCCTATAATCCCAGCGCTTTGGGAGGCTGAGGCAGGAAGACTGCTTTAGGCCAAGAGCCCTAGAGCAGCCTGGGCAACATAGTGAAACCCTGTCTCCACAGAAAACTTTTAAAAAATTAGCTAGGCATGGTGGTATGTGCCTGTAGTCCTAGCTACTCAGGAGGCTGAGATGGGAGGATCACTTGAAGCCAGGATTCCAAGGCTGCAGTGAGCTATGATCATGCCACTGCACTCCAGCCTTGGTGACAGTGAGACGCTGTCTGAAAGAGAAAAAAAGATTGCTCTGTGGACTTCACAGATACCTAACACCATTCCTCAGAAAGTGATGACAAATTCTGCTATCTCCTATTATAAAATTTTGAAATTTTATAATAACTTTATTGAAGATTTAAAAATATTCATTACATCATATTTACTTGTTTTAGGCCCCCAGGACCCAAGGGATAATACATTATGAATATTGATTAATCACTACTACCACACTGCTCCCCAGTAAGATAGGAAAATACCTTTTTATTTTAAAGATAATGTTTTTTTACTGATTATAAACTAATACATGCTGTTCAAAGTTAGGAAAGTTCAGGATAAAAGTCCCACCATCCAGAGAGACTATGACTGTGAACATTTTTCCATATTACTTTCTAATCATTTTTTATTTCTTAGCATATTTAAGAACATGTAGCTGGAATGGCACAACAATATATCTTGAATGCCAAGTCTGATTAGTATGTAGTGAAGCATGGAATGGAGAAGGCTCCTAAAGCTCCATCTGGTTTGTGATTTTTGATATTGAAAAATGCATAAAATTTGTCAATTTGCCAAGTCCCTGTTTGCTATGGTTTGAATGTGTCCTGCAAAATTCATGTGGGCTGGGAGCAGTGGCTCACACCTGTAATCCCAGCACTTTGGGAGGCTAAGGCAGGAGGATCGCTTGAAGCCAAGCATTCGAGAGCAGCCTAGGCAACACAGAGAGACCCCATCTCTACAAAAAAATTTAAAAAAATTAGCCAGGTGTGGTTTCATGTGCCTGTATCAGCTACTTGAGAGGCTGAAGCAGGAGGATCACTTGAGCTCAGGAGTTGGAGGCTGCAATGAGCTATAATCTTGCCATTGTACTCTAACCTCATCAAGAGAGTGAGACCCTGTCTCAAAAAAAAAAAAAAAATTCACATATTGAAACTTAATTTCCACTGCGATAGCATTGAGAGATAATGCCTTTTGGAGGTGACTAAGTCCTGGGGAATAAGTCATCCAGGCTGGAGTGCAGTGGCATGATCATAGCTCACTGCAGCCTTGGACTCCTGGGTTCAAACAATCCTCCCACCTCAGCCTCCTGAGTAGTTAGGACTAGAGACACATGCCAACATGCCTGGCTAATTTTTTTTTTTTTTAATTTTTGTAGAGATGGGGTTTCACTATGTTGCCCAGTCTGTTCTTGAGCCCTCATAAGTGGGATTAACAACCTTTAAAAGGACTGGAGGGAACAACATAGGCCTTTGCCTCACCCTCCTTTCTGCCATATGAGGACACAGCATTTAAGCTGTCATCTTGGAAACAGAGACAGAGCCATCACCAGACACCAAACCTGTCAGTGCCCTGATCTTGGACTTCTCAGCCTCTGAAACTGTAAGGAATAAATTTATGTTCTTTCTAAATTACCCAGCCACAGGTATTTTGTTATTGCAGCACAAATGGACAAAGACAGTGTTGTAGATGATTGCTGAGAACAGTGGCAGTTGGCTTTCACTCTTTATTAGAAATACCTTGATTACATTTTAACAACTTTATTCAGATGAAATTGACATACCATACAATTTACCCATTTAAAATAAACAATTCAAAATTTTTAGTGTATTTACAGAGTTGTGCAACCAACACTACAATCTAAGTTTAGAACCTTTTTATCAAACCCAAAAGAAACCCCCCACATCCTTCCACAGCCATTCCATTTGTCTCTAGTCCCACCAACCCTAGACTGTCACAAATCTATTTTTTGTCCCTATAGATATGCCTACTCTAGACATTTCATATAAATGGAATCTTGCAATACGTAATCTTATGTGATTGGCTTCTTTTACTTAGCATTTGATGTTTTCAAGCTTCAATGTAAAACATATCAGTAGTATTTAATTTATTTTTATTGTCAAATAATTTTTTTATTATATGGATAGACCACATTTTACGTATCTGTTCATCAGCTAATGCACATTTAGTTTGTTTCATTTTCTGCTATCATTCATATTGCTGCATAAACATTTGTATACAAGTTTTGTGTGGATATACACTCTTAGTTCTCTTGGGTCTCTACTTATCAGTAAAATTGTGTGGTCCTATGGTAAGTTTATGTTTATGGTTTTGAGGAATTGACGGACTATTTTCCAAAACACACCCCACCAGCAATGTATTAGGGTTCCAGTTTCTTATATCCTCTCCAATGCTTGTTACTATTTGTCTTTTTTATTATAGGCCATCTTTCCTAGTGGTTGTGAAGTAGCATCTTGTTATTGTTTTCATTTGCATTTTCCTGATGGCTAATGATGTTGAATATCTTTTCATGTGCTTATTGGCCATTTCTTTAGAAAAATGTCTTTTAGATCCTTTGCCCATTTTTAAATTTGATTGTCTTTTTATTATCAAATCATAAAATTTCTTTTATATAGTCTGTATATGAGGTCCTTATCAGATATGTGATTTACAAATATATTCTCCCAATCTGTGGATTAACTTTTTCTTTCTTTCTTTTCTTTTCTTTTTTTCTTTTTCATTTTTTTTTTTTTTTTAGATGGAGTCTCACTCTGTCACCCAGGCTGGAGTGCAGTGGCACAATCTTGGTTCGCTGCAACCTCCGTGCCCTGGGTTCAAGTGATTCTCCTGCCTCAGCCTCCTGAGTAGCTGGGATTACAGGCACCTGCCACTACGCCTGGCTAATTTCTGTATTTTTAGTAGAGACAGGGTGTCTCCATGTTGGCCAGGCTGGTCTCGAACTCCTGATCTCAAGTGATCCACCCACCTTGGCCTCTCAAAGTACTGGGATTACAGGTGTAAGTCACCACACCCCGCTGATAGGGTCTCACTCCTACCCAGGCTGGAATGCAGTGGCATGATCATAGCTCACTGCAGCCTTAAACTCCTAGACTCAAATAACCTTCCTGCCTTAACCCCCTGAGTAGCTGGAACTACAGCTATGCACCACCATGCCCTGCTAAGTTTTTTTTTTATTAAGTTTTTTGTAGATATGGGGTTCACTATGTTGCCCAGGCTGATCTCCAACTCCTGGCATCAATCAATCCTCCTTCCTCAGCCTCCCCAGTAGCTTGGACTATAGACGCATCCCACTGCAGCTGGCTCCAATGAATACTTTTCATTATGGTACATTTCACTTTGGACCGGTCACATTTGAAATTCTTGATGGTCATGTATGGCCATGGCTATTACCCTGGAGAGTGCAGGTTAGAGGATTAGGTGGCACTAGATTGAAACTATGGAGGTCAGAGACTGGATTTCACTCTTATATTTGTAGAACCCATCAAAGTGCCCAGGATATGGGAAATATTCAAGAAATATTAGTTGGTTGATTAGTTATTAATAATTACACTAGCAGGTTGGGCTGTAATCACATGAAACTCTGTGCCTGTGCTGTGCCTGTGGCTCAAGAAAATGCCCCAGGTGTTTCTGGGGTGATCAAAATCTGCTAGGCCAGTTAATAGGTAATCTTTAGTATTCTATTCAGAACCACTTCAAAGGCTGGGAAGGAGGAGGGGCTCACTTCAAAGGCTTTAGGAGAGAGAAATAGAGCAAGTTAGTAAAGCTGGTTGCCAGGACAACCTTCTCAGCATTGAAAGCGGACAATCAGGTTGTAGACCTAGGCTGGGTATAGCTGTGATCTTTGCTTTTGTAATATACTGTCCTTTTGCTTGGCTCTAAGGAAGAGCAGTTTTTAAATGGCAATTTAAGAGTGTAATTTGGAGCCAGGAAGCTATATGGTGCTAAAAGTGTTTAAGTGCAAAGGGAAGGAAAATGGGCAGAATGTTGATTGGAAGGGAACCACCTGAGGTGAAGCACAATCACTTATAAGGTTCTAGTTCAAGAGGAACTTTTAACCTTAACTTGCAGATAGACCTCACTTAATGGGAAACCAAGAATTGGGAGCAAAATCAGTTTTTTCTTTGGCCTTAGAATGTCATTAGATTAGGCAGTTTAAGAGTTAAGAAAGTAATTATTTGATACTTAGTTGATTTTTTTCTTAAGTTTTATTCTCAATTTGTTATTTAAATATTTATGCAGATGTTAGTCGGTAATTTTTTTTTTTTTTGAGACAGGGTCTTGCTCTGTTGCCCAGGCTGGAGTGCAGTGGTGTGATCACGGCTCACTGCAGCTTCAACCTCCTGAGTTCAAGCGATTCTCCCACTTCAGCCTCCCAAGTAGCTAGGACCAGAGGCATGTGCTTTCATGCCTGGTTAATTATTTTTATTTTTTGTAGAAAGGGGTCTAAATTTTTAAATAAATAAAATTTAATAAACTTTTGTGGGAACTATTACTGTATGCCTGGCACTTTACTAAATGCTTTTTATGTATTTAATTCTCAGGAAAAAAAATTGCCTACATTTTATAGATTTTTGTTTGTTTGATTTTTTAGCAACTCTTCTATGACTTGAATCAGATTTTTTAAAAATTGAAGTTTTGGCCAGGCGCGGTTGCCCATGCCTGTAATCCCAGCATTTTGGCAGGCTGAGGTGGGAGGATCACGGGAGTTTCACAGCAGCCTAGGCAACATACGAAGACCATTGTCTCTAAAGAAATAAGAAATTTAATTTTTAAAAAAATTTTTAAGTTTTGAGAGATTAAGTGCCTTGTTCAAGAATTGTTATGGCTGGGCATGGTGGCTCACACCTGTAATCCCAGCACTTCAGGAGGCTGAGGTGGGTGGATTGCTTGAGCTCAGGAGTTCAAGACCAGCCTGGGCAACATGGTGAAACCCTATCTCTAGGAAAAAAAAAAAAAAATTAGCCAGGTGTGGTGGTGGGCTCCTGGGGTCCCAGCTACTTGAGAGACTGAGGTGGGAGGATCATTTGAGCCTGGGAAGTCCAGGCAGTGCACTCCATTCTGGGGGACAGAGTGAGACCCTGTCTCAAAAAAAAGAAGAAGAAAAACAATTGTTTCTATAGAAATAATATAACTGTGGATAACTTTTATATTTCCATTATTTTTTATTTAAAAACTTTTAAATTTACATATAACTGTACATATCTGTTTAGTACAATGTGATGCTTTGTTTTATATATACACATGCATACACTGTGTGATGATTACATCAGAGTAATTAAGCATATCTCTCCCCTCAGACATTATCATTTCTTTGTAGTGAGAACATTCAAAATTTTCTCTTCCAGCTATTTTGAAATATGCAATACATTATCGGTAACTATAGTCACTCTTTGTGCAGGACACCACAACTTTTTCTTCCTAATTACAACTTCCTACTTGTTGACCATTCTCTTCCTGTTACTGAACCGAACTGGGGTCTGTTTGCTGGGTGCGCTAAGACCAAACATCCACACTGAGGTTTCGCAGTGGGAGAAAGGAGGGCGTTTATTTGCAGAGCGCCAAACAAAGACAATCAGGCAGCTCAGGCTTAAGGCCTGACCTCTCCAAAAGCTTACAAACAAGGGTTTTGTTTGTTTGTTCGAGACATAGTCTTGCTCTGTCATCCAGTCTGGAGTACAGTGGTGCCATCTCGGCTCACTGCAACCTCTGCCTCCCAGGTTCAAGCGATTCTACTGCCTCAGCCTCCCAAGTAGCTGGGATTACAGGCATGCGCCACCACGCCCGGCTAATTTTTGTATTTTTAGTAGAGACGGGGTTTTGCCATGTTGGCCAGGCTGGTCTGGAACTCCTGACCTCAGGTGATCCACCCGCCTCAGCCTCCCAAAGCGCCGGGATTACAGGGATGAGCCACCGCGCCATACGTACACGCGAGGGTTTTTAATGGTGGGGTGCAGATCAGGAAAGCAGACGTTACAGGCAAAATTGTAAATCAATGCATGGAGGTTATACTTTGGCCTAAAGTGGTGGGATATCTTAAAGGCGGGTGTATTAGTCCGTTGTTGCACTGCTATAAAGAAGTACCTGGGACTGGGTAATTTATAAAGAAAAGAGGTTTAATTGGCTCACAGTCTGCAGGCTGAAGCATGGCTGGGGAGGCCTCAGGAAACTTAAAATCATGGCAAAGGCAAAGGGGAAGCAGGCAGCACGTCTTCACATGGCCAGAGCTGGGGGAAGCGGGTGGAGGAGGTGCTGTACACTTTTAGACAACCAGATCTCATGATAACTCACTCACTATCATAAGAACAGCACCAAAAGGGAAATCTGGCCGGGCGCGGTGGCTCACGCCTGTAATCCCAGCACTTTGGGAGGCTGAGGCGGGCGGATCACGAGGTCAGGAGATCGAGACCATCCTGGCTAACATGGTGAAACCCCGTCTCTACTAAAAATACAAAAAATTAGCTGGGCGTGGTGGCGGGCGCCTGTAGTCCCAGCTACTCGGGAGGCTGAGGCAGGAGAATGGCGTGAACCGGGGAGGCGGAGCTTGCAGTGAGCCGAGACCGCGCCATTGCACTCCAGCCTGGGGGACAGAGCGAGACTCCGTCTCAAAAAAAAAAAAAAAAAAAAAGAACAGCACCAAAAGGGAAATCTGCCCCCACCATCCAATCACCAATCACCTCCCACCAGGCCCCATCTCCAACACTGGGATTACAATTTGACATGAGATTTAGTTGGAGACACAGATCAAAACCATATGGCAGGGGTGAGGTGGGGGGGCTACTTATAGGTCTTAGGGAGATTCAAAGATTGTTCCATTTGCAACTGGTTAAGGAAGGAAGGAAGGAAGGGAAGCTTTGTCTAAAGCTTGGGGTCCTCAGAAAAGAATCTTAGATGTAGCCTGTGGGTTTGACTTCCCCCAGGTCCCTCAGGAAGAAGTTCAGAAAGAACTTCTGTACTTCTGGTGGGGGTCTGGGTTTCTGAGAAACATCTCAGTGACAAACGTTAAGATGTTGTCTTTAAATTTTATTTGGAATCAATCATTTTGTGACTTGAACTTTCTTGGCTATTGCTTTAAGCTACTATTACCTTCTTGCTTATCCAGTTCATTTACTTCTCAAGGCTAGCTGGGTGCCTGGAGTTTCCCTTGAAGGAACTCAAGGTTTTCCTTTATTTCCATGCTTGGGGGGGTGTCCAACAGGCCCCTAAGAGGAGTCCCTGCTTCATCTCATTCTTACTCTCCCCAGCCCCTCCCTTCCCCAGTCTTTGGCAAACACTGTTGTATTCTGTACTTCTATGTGAACACATTTTTAGATTTCACATATGAGTGAGATCATATGGTATTTATCTTTCTGTGCCTGGCTTATTTCACTTAACATAAGCTCTCCAGGTTCATCCACGTCAAATAAGATAACAGGATTTCATTCCTTTTCATAGCTGAATTGTACTCCATCATGTATAGATACCACATTTTCTTTATTAATTTATCTGTTGGTGGAAACTTAGGTTGATTACTTATCTTGGCTATTGTGAATTGTGCTGCAACAAACATGAGAGTCAGATATCTCTTCGACATACTGATTTCATTTCCTTTGGATATATACCCAGTATTGGGATTGGTAGATCATATGGTAATTTTATTTCTAATTTTTGGAAGAGCCTCCATACTGATTTCCATAATGGCTGTACTAATTTACATTCCCACCAACAGTGTGTAAGGGCTCCCTTTTCTCCACATCCTCTTCAACACTTGTTATCTTTTGTTTTTTTTTTATGATAGCCATTATTCTCCTCCATTTAAAACAATTGGCAATAATTGTACATATTCATGGGATACCTAGTGATGTTTTGATACATATAATATATAGTGACCAGATCAGGATTATTAGCATATTCATCATCTCAAACATGTATCATTTCTGTGTTGGGAACATTCAATAGCCTCCTTATAGCTATTTGAAATGATATGATACAAATGTATCAACAGTTATTGTTAACTATACATATTGATACATATTGTTAACTATACATATTGATACATATTGTTAACTATATGGATGTTTCCAACAGAAATGATACATATTGTTAACAAATAGCTATAAGGAGGCTATTGAATGTTCCCAACACAGAAATGATACATATTGTTTGTTGTTGTTGTTGTTGTTTTTGAGACACCCACACCCAGCTAATTTGTGTATTTTTAGCAGAGATGGGGTTTCACCATGTTGGCCAGGATGGTCTCGATCTCTTGACCTTGTGATCCACCTGCCTTGGCCTCCCAAAGGATTACAGACTTGAGCCACCATGCCTGGCCACATATTGTTAACTATATATCATTTCTGTGTTAGGAACATTCAATAGCCGCCTTATAGCTATTTGAAACTATATGATACATTATTGTTAACTATAGTCATTCTACAGTGATTTAGAACACTATCTATTTATACTTTTTTTTGTTTTTTTTTAGTGACAGGTTCTCACTTTGCTGCCCAGGCTGGAGTGCAGTGGTGCAATCATACTCACTGTCACCTCAACCTCCTGGACTCAAGCAATCCTCCCACCTCTGCCCCCTGCATAGCTAGGACTACAGGAGTGTGCCACCATGCCTGGCTAAGTTTTAAAAGAAAATTTTGTAGAAACGGAGTCTCACTATGTTCCCTGGGCTGGTCTAGAACTCCTGAGCTCAAGCAATCCTCCTGCCTTGGCCTCCCAATGTGCTGGGATTATAGGAGTGAGCCATGGTGCTCAGCCCGGCTAATTAAAAAAATTTTGGTGGGGGGTGGCTGCGGTGGCTCACATCTGTAATCCCAGCACTTTGGGAGGCCGAGGCAGGCGGGTCACCTGAGATCAGGAGTTTGAGACCAGACTGGCCAACATGGTGAAACCCTGTCTCTATTAAAAATACAAAACATTAGCCAGGCGTGGTGGTGCATGCCTGTAATCCCAGCTACTCAGGAGGCTGAGGCAGGAGAATCGCTGGAAACCAGGAGGCAGAGGTTGCACTAACCTGAGATCGTACTACCGTACTCCAGCCTGGGAAACAGAGTGAGACTCCATCGCAAAACAAAACAAAAAAAATTATTTTAATTTTAATTTAATTTAATTTAATTTTATTTATTTATTTTTTTTTAGAAACAGAGTTCTGCTATGCTGCCCAGGCTGGTCTTTTTTTTTTTTTTTTTTTTTTTTTTTGAAACATAGTCTTGCTTTGTTGCCTAGGCTGGAGTGCAGTGGTGTGATCTCGGCCCACTGCAACCTCCACCTCCCAGGTTCAAGCTATTCTCGTGCCTCAGCCTCCCCAGTAGCTAGCATTACAGGCATGCACCACCACAGCTAGGTAATTTTTGTGTTTTTAGTAGAGACGGTGTTTTGCCATATTGGCCAGGCTGATCTCGAACTCCTGACCTCAAGTGATCCACCCACTTCAGCCTCCCAAAGTGCTGGGAATACAGGCGTGAGCCACTGCGCCTGGCGCTATGCTGCCCAGGCTGGTCTTGAACTCACGGCCTCAATCGATCCTTCTGCCTTTGCCTTTCAAAATGCTGGGGTTATAGACATGAGCCACTGTATCCAGCCTATTTCTACTTTCAGAAAATACTTGTGAATATTATCCCTCATAATAGCCTTAACTAACCTGTAAAATTCCAAGTAAATGATAATATGAGGCTAAATGGATAGGGCCTTCAAGAGACTGAAGGGATGAACATAGATTACAATTGCAGATTCATATAATGAAAGTGACATTTGAGGAACACATTGCCCTAATAATTAGAAAACATTTAAAGAAGCAGATTGGAGGCAAATGCAATGTCTAGAAATATTTTGTGATAATCCCAGGAGAAGGTGAAAGGGGCCTAGAATAAAATGTTATACACAAGAAAGGAAGGCACTGGTGACGCTCCCTGGTGACTGATCTCAATCAATCTAACTTTCTCTTGCCTTTATTTCCTACAGGGTCTTCTATTCTAACCAGCCCAGTATGAGTTATTAGTTCTATTCCATTCATTGACTCATGGATTTTTTTTTTTTTTTTTTTTTTTTGAGACCGAGTCTCACTCTGTCGCCCCAGCTGGAGTGCAGTGGCGCAATCTCAGCTCAGCAAACTCCGGTCCTGGGTCCAAGCGATTCTCCTGCCTCGGCCTCCCGAGTAGCTAGGACTACAGGCGCATATCACTGCGCCCAGCTAATTTTTGTATTTTTAGTGGAGACAGGGTTTCACCATGTTGGCCAGGCTGATCTCAAACTCCTGACCTCAAGTGATCCACCCACCTTGGCCTCCCAAAGTGCTGGGGTTACAGGGAAATGAGCCACTATGCCCGGACTGACTCATTGATATTAAATAATGCTTTTCTGTGCCTGATATGCCTTCCTTGCACTCTTTGTTGAGAAGGAATTCTTGACCAAAGAACAGATTGATTCTTTTTTTTTTTTTTTTGAGACGGGGTTTCACTCTTGTTGCCCAGGCTGGAGTGCAATGGCACAATCTCAGCTCACCACAACCTCCGCCTTCTGGGTTCAAGCGATTCTCCTGCCTCAGCCTCCCGAGTAGCTGGGATTACAGGCATGCACCACCACACCCGGCTGATTTTTTTGTATTTTTATTAGAGATGGGGTTTCTCCATGTTGGTCAGGCTAGTCTCAAACTCCCAGCCTCAGGTGATCCACCCGGCTTGGCCTCCCAAAGTGCTGGGATTATAGGCTTGAGCCACCACGCCCAGCCCAGATTGATGCTACTCCCTTGCCAAGCACTATATTAATTGGTTCATTGGAGAAAATGGTGCAAAAAACATTTAGAATTCATGGAAGTATAAAGTGTCACAAAGATTTTTCAATAGTATTTTTAAACTTAATATTAATCCATTATCCCAAGTTGACTGCACTTTTTCCTCAACCCTCCTTGAGATTGAGGTCTGTTCTTTTTATTCAAAAATTCTAATAGCAAAGTCAATCATTACTACCTTTCCTCCCTGGACCCCCACTCCCGTATAAGGAGAAGCAGATAAATAAAACTACACAGATAAGACACTGAATTCTCAAACTCCCTTTTCTAGCCTAAATGATTGGCAGTGATGCTGAAACTGCCTTTGCAAGATTATGACAGCAAGACATCTGACCCAGTTGACTCCATTTTGCTTCTGACCTCCAAGCTGTCTTTGATCATTTTTGGGTATAGGCCAAGCTAACTTTGGGAGGAATTTAGTTTATAGTTTAACCTTAAAGCAAACATCTTTGCTTTAACAGCTCTTCCCAAAATCAAACTGCCTTTGTAAAACTAATGAAAGGCCACAAGATTAGGATTATGAGAGGGGCCTGAATTCTGATAAGATAGGCATAGTTTCTATAATCTTTTACTAGCTCAGGAGTCATAGGGCTGGAGGTCACAAGATTTGTGACTTGCCCAATTGCTCCTGTAGATAACATCAGGATTGGATAACCTAAGATTGGTCTTTTGAAATGTTATTCAGACTTTTGCATTCTGGCCACTGACTAACCCCACCTAGACCCATGACTCATGATGGACTCAGCTCACAAGGACTTCTTCCACACCTGCATAATTTCTTTTTTTTTTTTTTGAGATGGAGTCTAGCTCAGTTGCCCAGGCTGGAGTGCAGTGGCTCGATCTCGGCTCACTGCAACCTCCGCCTCCTGGGTTCAAGCGATTCTCCTGCCTCAGCCTCCTGAGTAGCTGGGATTACAGGCAACCATTGCCATGCCCAGCTAATTTTTGTATTTTTAGTAGAGACAGGGTTTCACCATGTTGGCCAGGCTGGTCTTGAACTCCTGACCTCATGATCCGCCTGCCTCGGCCTCTCAAAGTGCTGGATTACAAGCGTGAGCCACTGCGCCCGGCCTCACACCTATATAATTTCATCTCCAACCTATCAGCAGCACCCATTCCCTAGCTCTCTGCCTGCCAAATTATCCATAAAAACCCTAGCCTCTGAGTTCTCCAGGAGGCTGATTTGAGTAATAATAAAACTCCCATCCTACGGTTTGGCTGACCTTGCATTAATTACATTCTTTCTTTACTGCAATACTGCAGTTGTATCAGTGAATTGATTTTGTCTGTGCAGCAGGCAGGAAGAACCCATCAGACAATGATAGGTATCCTGTGGTAGTTACTACTGCCATTCAGTATATGTTTTGTTAACCCCTTTTGAGCATATAAAATTGTGCTTGCTGGCCCCTTGTGATTGTGTGGGGTCTAGCTACTAGTTCTGACAAATGAGTTGTGAGCAGAAGTGACCCATAATTGCTAATGTGAGAACCTCAATGGCTTTGTTTCATTTTTGCACAGTGATTGGCATTATTCCAGGTAATGACTGCTCTATCATTGTGGGTTCTGAGTGACACAGCAGAGCCCCATAAACTCTCAGTAGAAGTGTAACATCAGTGGCTGGGTGTGGTGGCTCATGCCTATAATCCCAGCACTTTGGGAGGCTGAGGCAGTCAGATCCCCTGAGGTCAGGAGTTCGAGACCAACTTGGCCAACATGGTGAAACCCCGTTTCTACTGAAAATACAAAAATTAGCTGGGCGTGGTGGTACACATCTGTAGTCCCAGCTACTTGGGAGTCTGAGGCAGGAGAATTGCGTGAACCCAGAAGGCGGAGGTTGCAGCAAACCCAGATCCTGCCAGAGTGAGACTCTGTCTCAAAAAAAGTAAATAAAATTGGAAAAAAAAAAAAAGACGTGTAACATTAATGAGGAATAAATTTATGTTGTGTTAAGCTCACTACGATTCTGTAGTGGGTGGTGAAGTCTTCTTTCTCATCGATTTGTGGATTTGATGTCTGCTTGTGCAATAGCTAGGTTGGTATTTTTCTGGTGTATGTTAGTATATTAAAACTGGTTTTGTAATCCCAGCACTTTGGAAGCCTGAGGTGGGTGGATCACGAAGTCAGGAGATTGAGACCATCCTGGCTAACACGATGAAACCCCGTCTCTACTAAAAATACAAAAAAAAAAAAAAATTAGCTGGGCGTGGTGGTGGGTGCCTGTAGTCCCAGCTCCTCGGGAGGCTGAGGCAGGAGAATGGCATGAACCCGGGAGGCGGAGGTTGCAGTGAGCCGAGATCGTGCCACTATACTGCAGCCTGGGTGACAGAGCGAGACTCTATCTCAAAAAAAAAAAAACAAAAAAAGAAACAAAAAAAAAACTGGTTTTGTTACATCCCATTCACATTCTGCTTGTTCAACACCTATGCACTGCTGCTTATTAAAATATGTTGAATATCATCCCTCTGGCTGGTCAAAAATACCAGAAAGTATGCAGTGCAATATTGTAAGAAATATTTTAAATATGAAGAATATTTCTTTATTCATTTGAAAAAATTTAGCTCATGGATTACATCATTGGTGTGAAATCCCAAAAGAAGGTACATTATCTCACATCACCACAGTTAAAGTGCTTTAGATAGAACCTGAGCTGCGAGTATGTAAACTTTATCCTAGGACTCTATAATATGAAGGATAGTTAAGGCTGTTTTGTTATTTTATTTTTATAATTACTTTTTCTTTTTTTTCTCTGTAAAAATAAATGACAGAAACATACTTTTTTTTTTTTAAAGGAGCATTTGAGCCTTTTGATGTGAGAATTGCATTCTAAGTTTTTCCCTGTCCCTTTATTAAACAGTACTGGGAGCAGGCATATTTTCTTTT
Source organism: Homo sapiens (assembly GCF_000001405.40). Classification (NCBI taxonomy): domain Eukaryota; kingdom Metazoa; phylum Chordata; class Mammalia; order Primates; family Hominidae; genus Homo; species Homo sapiens. Next base: position 138,386,630 of record NC_000007.14, on the reverse strand, counting down.
CCCCAAGTTAAACAATTCTGGGACCAAACATACTTCCTGTCCCAGAGCTAAATAATTCTAAGGTGAAGCGTACACCCTTCTCTCTGCTAAACAATATTGAGACCAATATTGAGGCCAAGCATGGTGGCTCACGCCTGTAATCCCAGCACTTTGGGAGGTTGAGGCAAGCAGGTCACTTGAGGTCAGGAGTTCGAGACCAGCCTGGCCAACATGGTGAAACTGAAAACACAAAATTAGCTGGGCGTGGTAGCAGGCGCCTATAATCCCAGCTACTTTGGAGGCTGAGGCAGGAGAATCGCTTGAACCTGGGAGGTAGAGGTTACAGTGAGCCAAGATCACACCACTGCACTCTGGGCTGGGCAACAGAGCAAAACTCTGTCTCAAAATGAATGAATAAATAAATAAATAAGTAATTGGGAACAGTAGGCCAGGGGCTGTGGCTCATACCTGAAATCCCAGGAGGATCACTTGAGCCCAGGAGTTTGAGACCAGCCTCAGCAACATAGTGAGACCTCATTTCTTTTTCTTTTCTTTTTTTTTTGGAGATGGAGTTTCGCTCTTGTTGTCCAGCCTGGAGTGCAATGGTGCCATCTTGGCTCACTGCAGCCTTTGCTTCCCAGGTTCAAGCGATTCTCCTGCTGCAGCCTTCTGAGTAGCTGGGATTACAGGCATGTGCCACCATGCCTGGCTAATTTTGTATTTTTAGTAGAGATGGGGTTTCACCATGTTGGCCAGGCTGGTCTTGAACTCTTGACCTCAGGGGAGACACCCACCTCGGCCTCCCAAAGTGCTGAGATTACAGGCCAGAGCCACCGCGCCCAGCCGAGACCTCATTTCTTAAAGGAAAAAAAAAAAAAAAAAAAAAAGCGGGACATGGTGGTGCACATCTGTGGTCCCAGATACTCAGGAGGCTGAGGTTGGGGAATTGCTTGAGCTCAGGCAGTTGAGGCTGTAGTGAGCCCTGATCCCACCACTGCACTTCAACCTGGTCGACAGAGCAAGACCCTGGGCCAAAAAAAAAATAATAATAATAACAACAACAAAACAAAACTGAGAACAAGTAAAAGCAAGTCAGCTGCTCGCTGCAGGAAATATCTTATGAATCAACAAATTAGTTTACTTATTAAGACTCATACCTACAAATCAAGACTCAGCTGCCACACTGTACCCACCAATTAAAAGTTATGCCATAAACTATACTCAATCCCCAACAGTCCCCCATTTTGTAAGGCCTTCTTTAAACATCACCCAACCCAGGTAATGAAACCCTAAAAACATTCTGTCCTAATTTCCCATTCTGAGAAACTACTGGATTCTGGCAAGATCATGTTCTTCCCTACTGCAGTGCCTCTAATAAACTTACCTTTCCTTGATCAACAGGCTTTTCTAATTAATTTTAAAGGAAATCAGTTCGCCAAATTGCTTTTTTTTTTTTTTTCTTGAGACGGAATCTTGCTCTGTCGCCCAGGCTGGAGTGCAATGGTGTGATCTCTGCTCACTGCAACATCCACCTCCCGGGTTCAAGCGATTCTCCTGCCACAGCCTCCCAAGTAGCTGGGATTACAGGCAGGTGCTACAACGCCCAGATAATTTTTTTGTATTTTTAGTAGAGACGGGGTTTCACTGTGTTGGCCAGGCTGGTCTTGAACTCCTGACCTCAGGTGATCCACCCGCCTTGGCCTCCAAAAGTGCTGGGATTACAGGCGTGAGCCACTGCACCCAGCACCAAATTGCTTTCTTAAATGTGAAATTTTCACCAGCATGCATGAGGGTGATGGTATCCCTTTATCTGTGCTAGCATTAAATGTGATTGTGTTAGGAAACCTTTGCTTATTTGAGAGAAAAAAAGTAGTACTGTATTGTGTTAATTTTATCTTAGATTATTCTTTTCCCCCCTTTTTAAATAGAGACAGAGTCTCTCCTGCCTTGTTGCCCAGGCTGGAGTACAGTGGCTATTCATAGGTGCATTTATCACACGCTACAGCCTTGAACTCCTGGGCTCAAGTGGTCCTCCTGCCTTAGCCTCCCAAGTAGCTGAGCCTATAGGCCTGTGTCACTGTGCTAGCTTAGATATTTTATTTTATTTTTTGTTTGTTTTTGAGACAAGATCTGACTCTGTCACCCAGGTTGGAGTGCAGTGGCACGATCTCAGCTCACCACAACCTCCACCTCCCAGACTCAAGCCATCCTCCAGCCTCAGCCTCCTGAGTATCTGGGACTACAGGCAATTGCCATCATGCCCAGCTAATTTTTATATTTTTTGTAGAAGCAGGGTTTTGCCATGTTGCCCAGGCTGATCTCCAACTCCTGAGATCAAGCAATCTACCTCCATGGCCTCACAAAGTGCTGGGATTACAGACGTGAACCACCATGCCTGGCCACATATTTATTTAATTAATTAAATTTAATTAATTAATTAATTAATTTTTTGTGACAGGGTCTCACTCTGTTGGCCAAGCTGGAGTGCAGTGGTGTGATTATAGCTCACTGTAACATCGATCTCCTGGGTTCAAGTGATCCTCCCATCTTAGCCTCCTGAGTAGCTGGAACTATCAGTGCACACCACCATGCCCAGCTAATTTAAAAAAATTTTTGAAGAGATGGAATTTCCCTATGTTGCCCAGGCTGGTCTTGAATTCACTCCTAGGTTCAAGTGATCCTCCTGCCTTGGCCTCCCAAAGTGTTGGGATTACAACTGTGAGCCACTGCACCTGGCCTAGGTGTCTTAATTTTATGTTGTCAAATTGATAAAATCTTTTCCCTCCTGATTGTTTCTGTTGCCTTTACTCTTACAGTTCTTCCCCTTTAGAAATTTGGTAAGTATTAAGTTATTTTTGTATATAAATTACTTTTTATTTGAACAGAAATACATGCACATATGTTACATGCTTATGAAAAAAAGTCAAATTATACTTCTTCCCAACCCAGATCTCCAGAAATACTAATGGGTCTGTTCTTTCATCAATTCATACCCACACATATAGCCTTTAAGCAATGATAACCTGTTTCAAACTTTCTTCTGCTCTTTTTCTCTTTTACTTACTGGTATACCTGTGATATCTTTCTAGATTAGTATGTGTATATGTAGCCCATTTAAAAAAAATAGCTGCCCAATTTTCTACTGAATAGCTCAGGATGATAAACAGCGATGCCTCTTAGTCTACTATACTTCATATAATGCTGCAATGAACCGTTTTGTAAGTATGTCTGTGTACATAGGCAGAAATATCAATGGTTAAATTTTCAAAACTGGAATTGCTGAGTCAAAGCAATTGTTTATTAAGACTCTCCAATTTCAAGAAAATTAGTACTCTGCCTATATGTTTTATTTTTTCCCCTATTTTGTTATTTCAGTTTGTTTGTGGTACTTTTGGCCATACAGAAAAATTTAAATATTTATGTAGTCCATTTATGAATCTTTTCCTTTATAGTTTCCAGGATTTGCATCTTATTTAGACACATACCATAATTAATTTATGTTTTTGTCTACTACTTTTAAGATTTCAGTTTTACATTTAAAATTTGGAGTCATGTGGAGTTTATTTTGGCAAAAGGAAGGAGGAAGGGAGCCAAGTTCATTTCTTTCCAGATGGCTTCCCAGCATCCCAACACCATTGATCACAAATCAGCTTTTTCCCTACTGTTTTTATATGTTGCCTTTATCCTCTACTAACTTTCCATGTACATTTGGACCTCTTTCTATAGTTTATATTTTGTTTCACTGATCTGTTTGTTTATTCATGCATCAGAACCAAGGCTTTTAAATTATTATTTTTTTCTTTCCTTCTTTTTTTTTTTTTTTTTTTTTGAGACAGGGTCTCACTCTCTCACCCAGGCTCCAGAGCAGTGGTGTGATCCTGGCTCACTGAAACCTCTGCCTCCCGGGCTCAAGCGATCCTCCCATCTCAGCCTCCCAAGTAGCTGGGATTACAGGCACACACCACCATGTCCAGCTAATTTTTTGTATTTTTGGTAGAGATGGGGTTTCGCCACGTTGCTCAGACTGGTCTCAAACTCCTGAGCTCAAGCGATCTGCCCTCCTCGGCCTCCCAGAGTGTTGGGATTACAGGCATGAGCCACCACACCTGGCCTAAATTACTATTCTTTATAACACATTCTATACATTAATTTTTATTTTACCTGGAATTGATTTTGTTATGAATGTCGTGTGAGAATCTAAATGCCAAATAAAGTCACACCGTAGACAAAAACAAGAAAGTCAAAGAAAATGGAAGTGGTGGATATTGAGCTCTCAGAGCTTGTTTGTATAATTAGCTCGTGAAAGGTGGGAAGAAAGAATATCTTATGGTGATAGTATTTTTGTTATGTTATTACTAAAAATAGATTATGGTGTGTTCATTATTATTAAAAATATAATAAATGAATATTGGTCTTAAATACATAACTACTTTGATCACTGATTCCCATCTCTATAGTTCTTCTTTAAAATTATTAACAAATTTTACTATCTGAATTAATTATGGGAAGCTGTATCTTGTTATTACACTAGCCTAACCTTCTATCTTTATAATTTAGTCTTTCTTGTTTTTATAATTTTTATTTAAGAAAATATGAATTATAAAACATAATATTTGAATTTTGTCACAGGGCTCCAAAGAGGAGCAGTTTCATGATGTGACAGAAATATGTGGTGCTGAACCCAGAATCTTTGTCCAACAGATTGACTTGCCTATAATTGTATTAGCTTCCTTCTAGTAAAATTTATTTAGTATTATTATTTCTTGAGATGGAGTCTCACTCTGTCACCCAGGCTGAAGTGCAGTGGCGCGATCTCGGCTCACTGCAACCTCTACCTCCCAGGTTTAAGCGCTTCTCCAGCCTCAGCCTCCCAAGTAGCTGGGATTACAGGCGCCTTCCACCATGCCTGGCTAATTTTTGTAATTTTAGTAGAGACGGGTTTCACCATGTTGGCCAGGCTGGTCTCAAACTCCTGACTTAAAGTGATCCACCTGCCTTTGCCTCCCAAAGTGCTGGGATTACAGGTGTGAGCCACTGCATCTGACCTCCTTCTAGTAAAACTTAAAATGAACTACATCTCTAAAGAAATCAGGCCAGGCAAGGTGGCTAGCACCTGTAACTCCAGCAGTTTGGGAGGCCAAGGCGAGAGGATCGCTTGAAGTCAGGAGTTTGAGACCACCCTGGGCGACATAGCAAGACCCCATCCCTCAAAAAAAAAAAAAAAAAAAAAAAGTAGGCCGGATGAAGTGGCTCGTAACTGTAATCCAACCACTTTGGGAGGCTGAGGCAGGAATATTGCTTAAGCTCGGGAGTTCAAGACCAGCCTGCTGGTCAACATACTGAGACTTCATCTCTACAAAAAATAAACAAAAATTAGGTGGGTATGGTGTTACATGCCTAGCTACTCGGGGGGCTTAAGTGGGAGGATCTTTGAGCCCAGGAGGTCAAGGCTGCAGTGAACCGAGATCTTGCCACGGTACTCCAGCTTTGGCGGCAGAATGAGGCTTTGTTTCAAAAACAAAAAACAAAACAAACTGAAAAAGCAAAAAAAGTATACAAATAAAATAAAATAAAAAGTGAACAGGTGCTTTAAGCACTAGGAGAGTTTAAGCATAAGATTACAAAAGAAAATGATGCCAGATTGCTTCCTCCGCTATGTATGTTCCAGAAAGACCTTAATTGTCCAAGGAACACAATGGTTTAGGGTTGAATTCACCTGCAATTTTATGGTAGACACAGATCACGGTGATCTCTACCACAAAGACTGGGAAAGCCTAAAATACTGACCTTTTCTTTTTTGAGATGAGTCTCGCTCTGTCTCCCAGGCTGGAGTGTAGTAGCGAGATCTCGGCTTGCTGCAACCTCTGCCTCCTGGGTTCCGGTGACTCTCCTGCCTCAGCCTCCAGAGTAGCTGGGATTATAGGCATGTGTCACTACTCCTGGCTAATTTTTGTATTTTTAGTAGAGATGGGGTTTCACCATGTTGGCCAGGCTGGTCTCGAACTCTTGACCTCAAATGATCCACCGCCTCAGCCTCCCAAATACTGACCTTCTTAATCTTATTTGCAGGCAATTCTGGCTGCTGGTACATAAACAGAAGACTATTGGTGCATAGTGGGAAAGACTTTTATTTCCTCATGAAAGAGGCAGATGTGGCCAACACCATCTCTTCTGTTTTTTCTTTTTCCTCTCTTGAAAGCAGACTTAATGTCCAGAGCTCTGGCAGCTATTTTTAGTCATGAAGTATATGCAAAGAGCATCTCAGAACATTGGCCTGGACCTTGATGCCAGTATTCCCTATCTACAAACTCCTTATATGAAAAAAAAAAACAAAACAAAACTTCATTTTTCTGAGTCACTGCTAGTTAAGTTTTCTATAACATGCAGACAAGAGTTGCGGACAGTATAGTAATATATATGCACCAATTGTAAAAATACAGATCAAATAATTAACGAGTTTCTTGCCTATATAATTTATTATTTATTTATTTATTTTTGAGACAGTCTTGCTCTGATGCCCAGGCTGGAGTGCAGTGGGGTGATCTCGGCTCACTGCAACCTCCATCTCCCAGGTTCAAGCGATTCTCCTGCCTCAGCCTCCCGAGTAGCTGGGATTACAGGCACCTGCCACCACACCCAGCTAATTTTGTACTTCTAGTAGAGACAGGCTGTTGGCCAGGCTGGTCTCCAACTACTGACCTCAGATGATCCACCTGCTGCAGCCTCCCAAAGTGCTGGGATTACAGGCATGAGCCATTGCGTTCAGCCAGAGATGGGGCTTTTAAGAGGTGATTAGGCCATAAAGCCATTCCTCCCTCGTGATTGTAATTAAGGCCCTTATAAAATCAGCTTCAGGCAGCTTTCTGCTCTGTAGCCTTTCTGCCTTCTACCTTGTGAGGGGACACAGCACTTCTTCCCTCCTCTGGATGGAACAGCATGGCACCATGTTGGAAGCAGAGAGCAGCCCTCACCAGACGCTAAACTTTCTGGTGCCTTGACCTTGAACTTCCCTGCCTCCAGAACTGTGAGACAATAACTTTCTATTCTTTATAAATTACCCAGTCTCAGGTATTTTGTTGTAGCAGCACAAAATGGACTACAATTTGCAGATTAGGATTATAGGTGAGGGGCGGTAACTGGAGCAGTTTTCTCTATTGGCTTGCTCTCTGCAGATGAGCCTGTGTGTAAAAGTCACTGTGAAAAATGGGAAGAAGATCTGAATAGAGAACTTCCTAGTATATTTTCTGAGCCCACTTGAGGTTAGAGACCATAAATCCAGAAAGTGAACATTCAGCAGTTTTGGTATTGAGAAGGCAGCTAGTCTGGCTGATCCAGTGGTTGGGGTTTTGCCAGGTGGATGGGACGGAAGAAAAATGTTGCAAAGAAGTTGCTGATATCCTACATGAGTGATTGATGCATTCAATATTATCTGGATTGAGAGGAAAGTGACAGCAGCTGAGACATATGAGGAGAAAGTAGTGTTTGAAGAATGGAGGAGATTAGTGAGGTAAAAATATAGTTGAAACGGGAGTGAGTGAGCTAGCATAGTGGATTGATAAAAGATTGGGTCAGAAAATTTTAGATTTAAGAGAAAATTCAACCTTACTTTTTTTCCACAAATATTTTAATTAAAGAATCATCTGCAGCCACCCCGTCTGGGAGGTGGGGGGCGCCCCCGCCCGGCAGCCGTCCCGTCTGGGAGGTGGGGGGCGCCCCTGCCCGGTAGCCGCCCCGTCTGGGGGGTGGGGGGCCCCTCTGCCCAGCCGCCACGTCTGGGAAGTGAGGAGCCCCTCTGCCCGGCCGCCACCCCATCTGGGAGGTGTACCCAACAGCTCATTGAGAACGGGCCATGATGACCATGGCGGTTTTGTCTAATAGGAAAGGGGGAAATGTGGGGAAAAGAAAGAGAGATCAGATTGTTACTGTGTCTGTGTAGAAAGAAGTAGACATAGGAGACTCCATTTTGTTCTGTACTAAGAAAAATTCTTCTGCCTTGGGATGCTGTTGATCTATGACCTTACCCCCAACCCTGTGCTCTCTGAAACATTTGCTGTGTCCACTCAGGGTTGAATGGATTAAGGGCGGTGCAAGATGTGCTTTGTTAAACAGATGCTTGAAGGCAGCATGCTCGTTAAGAGTCATCACCACTCCCTAATCTCAAGTACCCAGGGACACAAACACTGCGGAAGGCCTCAGGGTCCTCTGCCTAGGAAAACCAGAGACCTTTGTTCACATGTTTATCCGCTGACCTTCTCTCCACTATTGTCCTATGACCCTGCCAAATCCCCCTCTCCGAGAAACACCCAAGAATGATCAATAAATACTAAAAAAATTAAAAAAAAGAATCATCTGGTGGGCTGGGTGCAGTTGCTCACACCTGTGATCCCAGCACTTTAGGAGGCTGAGGCTGGTGGATCACCTGAGGTCAGGAGTTCAAGACTAGCCTAGCCAACATGACGAAATATCATCTCTACTAAAAATACAAAAATTAGCTGCGCGTGGTGGTGCATGCCTGTAATCGCAGCTACTCAGGAGGCTGAGGCTGGAGAATCGCTTGAACCCGGGAGGCGGAGGTTACAGTGAGCTGAGATCGAGCCATTGCACTCTGGCCTGGGCAACAGAGCAAGACTCTGTCTCAAAAAAAAAAAAAAAAAATCATCTAATTCAGGCACACAAAAGTTAAAGAAGTAGATAATTCCCAATCTCACCACATAGAGATAACTTGTAAATATGCCACTGAATTTTTTCCAATTATTTATATATTTAATAAAGCTTCTTACTATGGAAATCTTAAGTATATTTTAAAGTGGAGGGAATAACATAGCACAGAACTATGTAGCCATCATCTATTTGCAAAAATTATCAATTTTTAGAAATCTTCTTTTGATGTATACTCCTTGATATGGTTTGGCTGTGTCCCTACCCAAATATCATCTTGTATGGTAATTCCTGCAATTCCCACATGTCATGGGAGGAACCCGGTGGAATGTAGTTGAATTTTGGGGGTGGGTCTTTCCCGTGCTGTTCTTGTGATAGTGAATAAATCTCACCAGATTTGATGGTTTTTTAAAAAAGGAGTTTCCCTGAGCAAGCTCTCTTCTCTTGTCTGCTGCCATGTGAGACATGCCTTTCACCTTCTGTCATGATTGTGAGGCCTCTTCAGCCATGTGGAACTGTAAATCCAATAAAACTTTCTCACTTGTAAATTGCCCAGTCTCAGGTATGTGTTTATCAGCAGCATGAAAATGGACTAATACACTCCTCTACTTTCTTTATTTGCTTATTATTTCATATTAAATTGCAGCATTTCACCTATAGATACTTCTGTATGTATCCCCAATGGATAAAGACATTAAAAAAATATATATCATCACACCTGACCAAAAAAAAAGTGTTAATTTCTTAACATCTTCTAATACCCAGCTTGTGTTCCAACATTTTTATTTGTTTGTTTGTTTGTTTGGTTTTGAGATGGATTTCACTCTTGTTGCCCAGGCTGCAGTGCAATGGCATGATCTCAGCTCACTGCAACCTCTGCCTTCTGGGTTCAAGCAATTCTCCTGACTCAGCCTTCCAAGTAACTAGGACTACAGGCATGCACCACCACACCCAGCTAATTTTGTATTTTTATTAGAGATGGGATTTCACCATGTTGGTCAGGCTGGTCTCAAACTCCTGACCTCAGGTGATTCACCTGCCTCAGCCTCCCAAAGTGCTGGGATTACAGGCGTGAGCCACTGCACCAGACCTGTGTTCCAGTGTTTGAATCACAATCCAAATAGGTCTGCACATTGCATTTGTTTGATTTATCTCACAAATTTCTTTTAATAAAAAAACAGATCTTTCCTCCCTTTTGTAACAATTCCATTTAGTTATTGAATTTTCTACACTCTGAATTTAGATGGTATCATTTATCATGCTCCTCTTGTCCTTAAATTTCTGGTAAAACTGGAAGTTAGATCTAGTGGTTTGATTGGGTTCAGGTTTAATTTTTTTTTGGTAGAATATTTTACAGATTTAATGTAGATTGTCATATTTTTCTAGCTATAGGACATATATGCACATATACAAAAAATGCTTATTTGTATACTATATACTAGAGTGATATATTGTATCCTGCATTTTAACCTAACAATACTACATAGAGCTCTGTTCATATCAATAGTACAGGTATATATCCTTATTTTAAAAATGGCTGGTCAAGTATTTAGTTTTAGAATGAACAATAGTTCTACTGATTTCCTATTGATGGACAATTGGGCTTTAAAAATGATCTAAAATTATAATTAGCACTATGGCAAAGTTCCTTATAAATAAATCTTTATATCTTGTTTGTTTTCTTCTTTATCTTCTTCTTCCTTTTTTTTTTTTTTTTGAGACGAAGTTTTGCTCTTGTTGCCCAGGCTGGAGTGCAATGGCATGATCTCGGCTCACCGCAATCTCCACCTCCTGGGTTCAAGTGACTCTCCTGCCTCGGCCTCCGGAGTAGCTGGGATTACTGGCATGTGCCACCACACCTGGCTAATTTTGTATTTTTAGTAGAGATGGGGTTTCTCCATGTTGGTCAGGCTGTTCTCGAACTCCCAACCTCAGGTGATCCGCCAGCCTCAGCCTCCCAAGGTGCTGGGATTATAGGCATAAGCCATCATGCCTGGCTTTTTTTTTTTTTTTTTTGAGTCAGGGTCATGCTCTGTTGCCCGGGCTGAAGTACAGTGGGGCAGTCTTGGCTTACTGAGGCCTTGACCTCCATGGCTCAAGTGATCCTCCCATCTCAGCCTCCCAGTTAGCTGGAACTATAGGTGTATGCCACCATGCCCAGCTAATATTTTTATTTTTTGTAGAGATGGGGTCTGGTTATATTGCCCAGGCTGGTCTTAAACTTCTGGCTCAAGTGATCTTCCTGCCTCAGCCTCCCAAAGTGCTAGGGATTATAGGCATGAGCCACCATGCCCAGCCAATTTTTTTGTTAGGAAAAACTTATAGGAGTGAAATTGTTGGTTCAAAGAATATGCATTTTCAACTTTTTGATAAACATTGGGAATGATAGTAAAAGAAAAAATATTAATTTTATTTATTTTTTATTAAGATGGAGTCTTGCTCTATTGCCCAGGCTGGAGTGCAGTGGCCTGATATCGGCTCACTGCAACTTCCACATCTCTGGTTCAAGTGATTATCTCTTTTCAGCTTCATGAGTAGCTGGGATTATAGGCGCCTGCCACCATGCCTGGCTAATGTTTGTATTTTTAGTAGAGATGGGGTTTCACCATCTTGGCCAGGCTGGTTTCAAACTCCTGGCCTCAGATGATCCAACTGCCTCAGCCTCCCAAAGTTCTGAGATTGCAGTCGTGAGCCACCGTGCTTGGTAGAAAAAAAAATTTTTTAAATAAAATTGCTAAACTGTTTCATTCCTGAAACTTTATCTGAAATCACATCAGTGCTTCTTTGTATACCTATTTTCTATAGCCTCATCAAATATTTGTCAAATATTTTAAATCTCATCCAAACTCATGGATGAGAAATGTTTTGAAAATACTTTACTGTATATTTGCTCAAATGTGTGTTTGAGAGAATAGACATTTTTGAACATTTTTGGCTATTTTCATTATTAAAAATTGCCAGTTTAAGTCCTTTTGTAACCAAACTCAGGTCTGGCTGCTCGCCACTTGGAAGCCAAAAAACAAAGTGCCATGTGGTAAAAGGAAAGCAATTTTATTCAAATGGTAGCAGTTGAAGAGAATGGCTGTGCTCAGGTCTCAAAGAATCATATCAAATTTTTAGGCAGAGTGAAGGGGTTTAAGAAGGGAGACCTGGGACAGGTGTGGTGGCTCATGCCTGTAATCCTAGCACTTTGGAAGGCCAAGGTGGGTGGATCACCTGAGGTCAGGAGTTCAAGACCAGCCTGACCAATATGGTGAAATACAAAAAATACAAAAATACAAAAATTATCTAAAAATACAAAAATTAACTGGGCATAGTGGCACGTGCCTGTAGCCTCAGCTACTCAGGAAGCTGAGACAGGAGAATCACTTGAGCCCGGGAGGTGGAGGTTGCAATGAGCTGAGATTGTGTCGTTGCTCTCCAGCCTGGGCAACAGACAGACTCTGTCTCAAAAAATAAAAAATAAAAAATAAAATAAATAATAAAGAAATAAATAAAAATAAATAAAATTAAAAATTAAAAAAAAAAAAAAAGAAGGGAGCCCTGGTCTGGGAGATACATGGGAGTGGTGTAGGGTGCAGGGTCTGTGTGTCTTGTTGCAATGGCTGTCTTGAGTTATAGTTCACCTGGAGTGTGGGCTGGTGCCATCTTATCTTGACAATGGCCAGGTTGTAGATTAACTTCCTGAGGTAATCTCTAGATGGCAGAGAACTGCAAAACTGGGTCTCCATGCCTGGTTTCTTTCAAGATTAGCCCCTGGAAATTCTAAGGAAGTACATAATTAGATAATTGAGCACAGGCAAGGAAGTGCCTGGTGGGACAGAGAGGAAAACAAAGGATTTTAAAGTACATTTCAAGACTACATTCTGAGATTAGAAAAAAAAATAATCTAAGATGCATTTTAAAGCTAAGGTACTTGGTTATACTTTGTTCATTTTTTTCTTTGATTTTCTTATCTTTTTATTATTAATTATTTAAATAATTTTGTATCATAAAAGTCACACATACTGGCTGGGTACAGTGGCTTATGCCAGTAATCCTAACACTTTGGGAGGCCAAGGCTGGCGGATCATGAGGTCAGGAGTTCGAGACCAGCCTGGCCAGCATGGTGAAACCCCGTCTCTACTAAAAATACAAAAAATTAGGCAAGCATGGTGGCGTGCACCTATAGTCCCAGCTACTTGGGAGGCTGAGGCAGGAGAATTGCTTGAACCTGGCAGGCAGAGGGTGCAGTGAGCCGAGACTGATGAACTTTTAAACTATAATTATTTGCTTTTTTTACTCAAAAGGGGTCATACTATATAACTCTCTATAACTTTGCTTTTATTTTTTTCTCAATAATATATCATAGATACCTTTTCATTTAGCACACATAGCTACACTTCATTCTTTACTTTGGTTATATTAAATGCCATCGTTTGGATGAACCATGATTTATTCTACCACTCACCTGTGAATGGGTATATACAGATTTTTGTTATTAAAATGTTCTAATAAATTCTCCATTCTCTTTGGGTGTGGTGGCTTACGCCGATAATCCCAGCACTTTGGGAAGCTGAGGCAGGCAGATCACCTGAGATCAGGAGTTCGAGACCAGCCTGGCCAACGTGGTGAAACCCCATCTCTACTAAAAAAAGCAAAAATTAGCAGAGCATGGTGGCAGGCGCCTGTAGTCTCAACTGCTCGGGGGGCTGAGGCAGGAGAATCACTTGAACCTGGGAGGTGGAGGATGCACTGAGGTGAGATCGCACCCCTGCACTCCAGCCTGGGTGACAAGAGCGATAATTCTGTCTCAAAATAAATAAACAAATAAATAAATTCTCCATTCTCAGCGTCTATACGGCTGTACATGATTATGTCCATAGGATAAATTCCTAGAAAATAGAATTGCTGGGTCAAAGGTAATGTATTAATACATTAAAAAATTTGATAGACATCCCTATAATCCCCTCCGAAGAGACTTAACACTCCCACTAATAGTGTAATGGAAACTACTTCCCTAGTACTTTGCAAACTGATCGAGAACAATGATATTTTATAATTTTAACATATAGTTATTTATATAAGGCTATCTATTCATATCATTAGTGGCCATTCTTGTGAAACGTCTATTCGTGTCCCCTGCACATTTTTTCACCAGGTTGTTTGACTGTTTTTTTCTTTTTGATTTGTATTTTCTTCTTGATTTTATATTTTAAGGATTTTAGGATTTTAATATATTTTTATATTTAAGGATTTTATATATTATATTTCTATTTTCTTGTTTTATAGTTTAAGGATATTGACACATTGCTTGTCACATATGTTGCAAATATTTTTCCTTTCTGTAATTTGTCCACCTTGTTTTGTGATTGATGTCTAAGCTTTTTTTTTTTTTTTTTTTTTTTTGAGATGGCGTATCGCTCTGTCGCCCAGGCTGGAGTGCAATGGCATGAGCTCGGTTCACTGCAACCTCCGCCTCCCGGGTTCAAGCTATTCTTCTGCCTCAGCCTCCCGAGTAGCTGGGACTACAGGCGCCTGCCACCATGCCCAGCTAATTTTTATATTTTTAATAGAGACGGGGTTTCACCATGTTGGCCAGGATGGTCTCGATCTCTTGACCTCTTGATCCGCCCGCCTTGGCCTTCCAAAGTGCTGGGATTACAGGCGTGAGCCACTGTGCCCAGCCGATATCTAGACATTTTAATTCTTACATAAGTAACAAATAATTTTCTTCATTGTTTTGAACTGGTTTCAAGTTTTAAAAGTTCTTCATTGCAAGTGCATTCATTAAATGATATTGGTTTAAAATCCCTGTCAGATAATTCCAACATCTGATTCACCTCACTACTGTGGCTGTTGATAATCTTTTCTCATGTCAATTTGTGGTGTTCCTGGTTCTTGGTATAACAAATGATTCTCTGTTGCATCCTATACATTTCTGGTATTATGTTAGGAGGCTGAAATCTATTTAAATCTTCTGTTTTAGCAAGTAATTATCTGTATAGGGTTAATGCGTGTGTCTTGACTTACCTTTTTGGGCTGTGGGCCCCAGGACAATTTAGTTTTCAGAGCTCTGATAGTGCTATTCTGGTCTGCTTGATTCACCTGGGGTTTCTGGGGCACCTGCTTAGGCAGAATATACTTCTCAGGTCCTGGTGTTGCTAGGTGGGCATGGGAGACATCAGTGCTACAGGGAGGATAGCACAATTATGAGTTTGCCCAGTGCTGGCAGGGACCCCCTCAATCCCTGCTGGTGCCATGTGTGGTGGTGAAAACACTTGCTGGGCCTACTGGTGCTGCTAGGTGGGAGTGGGAGATGCTGGGGATGAAAGGACCAAGACTGTTTCTTAGTCCTTCCAAGTGTCAGTGAGCTTCCAATCTCTGTTTGGAGCCTCTGGTGTGGGAGGAAAGGAGATTGGGAAATGTCAGGCCTGGGCTGCCTCCTGCTGCTGCATGGAGGGCAATGCCCATATATTTAGGGGTGACCTCTCAAAATGTCTGTAACTAACTTTCAAGCAAACAAACTCCATAAACCAATATCTTTCCTGAATATAAATCTTTGACATATTAGTACACTGGATCCAGCAGAAGGTAAGTTGAAAATGTGGAGTTTATATAAGGAATGCAGGATTGGTTCAGTATTTGAAAATCAATCAACATAATCCATGGTATCGACAGGCTAAAGAGAAATTACATGAGACCAGGCATAGTGGCTCATGCCCAGAATCCCAGCACTTTGGGAGGCCAAGGTGGGTGGATTGCTTGAGCCCAGGAATTCAAGACCAGGTTAGGCAACATGGGAAAACCCCATCTGTACGAAGAATACAAAAATTAGCCAATCATGGTAATGAATGCCAGTGGTCCCAGCTATTCAGGAGGATGAAGTGGGAGGATGACCTCACTGAGCTGGGGAGGCTGAGGCTGCAGTGAGCTGTGTTTATGCCACTGCACTCCAACCTCTGGATGACAGAGTGAGATTCCATCTCAAAAAAAAGGAAAAAAGCTATGAGAACTAATAAGTGAGATTAGCAAGGTTGCATGACATAATATATAAGGTCAGTAGAGAAAAATCAATTGTATTTCTTTATACTAACAATGACAATTGGAAATAAAAATAAAACAGGCCGGGCACAGTGACTCACACCTGTAATCCCAGCACTTTGGAAGGCCGAGGTGGGCTGATCACCTGAGGTCAAGAGTTTGAGACCAGCCTGGTCAACATGGTGAAACCTTGTCTCTACTAAAAATACAAAAATTAGCCAGGCGTGGTAGCCTGCAGTCTCTTCTACTTGGGAGGCTGAGGCAAGAGAACTGCTTGAACCTGGGAGGCAGAGGTTGCAGTGAGCCAAGACTGCACCATTACACTCCAGCCTGGGTGACTACAGCAAAATTCTATCTGGAAAAAAAAAGTTTATAACACTTCTATTTAATAAATCAAGTACAGATCTAAAATGGAGAGGGGGCAGTGAAAAAAAAAAAAAAAGGAGACATATGCTGTATTCATGGATTAAAATACTGAGTCTTAAGATGTCAATTTCCACGGGGCATGGTGGCTCACACATGTAATCCAAGCACTTTGGGAGGCCAAGGTGGGCGGATCATCTGAGGTGAGGAGTTCAAGACCACCCTGATCAACATGGAGAAACCCTATCTCTACTAAAAATGCAAAATTAGCCAGGTGTGGTGGTGCATGCCTGTAATCCCAGCTACTTGGGAGGCTGAGGCAGGAGAATTGCTTGAATCTGGGAGGCAGAGGTTGTGGTGAGCCAAGATCATGCCATTGCACTCCAGCCTGGGCAACAAGAGCAAAACTGCATCTCAAAAAAAAAAAAAAAGTCAATTTCCCCCAAAATTTATCTGTGAACATATCCTCATCAAAATCTCAGCAGAGGGTTTTGATAAAACCTCACAAACTGATTCTAAAATGTATATGAAAGTGTAACCATCTCACGAGTTCTCCTTGTCTGCTGCCCAGATAAAGCCAATTCATAGAGACAGGGGGATTGCAATAGAGAAAGGGTTTAATATATTCAGAGCTGGTTAAAAAGGAGACCAGAGTTTTATTATTCAAATCAGTCTTCCTAGAAATTTGGAGATTGGGGATTTAAAAAAATTTAGTGGGCAAGGTGGCCAGGGAATGGGGAGTGCTGATTGGTTGGATTTGAGATGAAATCATAGGGGGTCAAAGTGGGTTCTTCTTGCTGTCTTCTGTTCCTGGGTAGGATCACAGAACTGGTTGCACCAGATTACTGGTCTGGGTGGCATCAGCTGGTCCATCATAAGACAGAGTCTAAAAATATTTCAGGCCAGGTGCAGTGGCGCATGCCTGTAATCCCAGCTCTTTGGGAGGCTGAGACAGGAGGATCGCTTGAGGTCTGTAGTTCAAGGACCACCATTGTACTTCAGCCTAGGTGACAGTGTAAGACCCAGTCTCCAAAAAAAAAGAAAGAACAATACCTTGAACACCAATCTTAGCTTTTACAATAGTGATGTTATCCACAGGCACAATTGAAGAGGTTAGAAATCTTGTGGCCTTTGGGTGCATGACTTATAAACCACAATTTCTGATCATGCAGCTAATTTGTCTTTCAAAGGTGGTCTGGTCCCCAGGCAAGAAAGGAGTTTGTTTTGTGAAAGAGCTGTTATCATCTTTGTTTCAAGGTTAAAGTGTACACAAATTTCTCATATAGTTAGCTTGGCCTATGCCTAGGAAGGAATGAGAACAGTTAGGAGGTTAACAGCAAGATGGCAATCAGATCTCTTTCACTGTCATAACTTTCTCACTGTTATAAGTTTTGCAAAGGCAATTTCAAAAAAGCAAATGGACTAGAATAGCCAAAACAATTTTGCAAAGAAAGACAAAGTTGGTGGACTCATACTACTTGATTTTAAGACTTACTGTAAATGTCCTATAATCAAGACAGTGTGGTATCAGCAAGAGACCAATGGAACAGAATAAATAATCCATTCAATAACGCAATTTAATGGAGGAAGAATAGCCTTTTCAACAAATAGTGTTGAAACAATTCACCACCCATATGCAAAAGCAAGAACTCAACCATAATTTCTTTTTTTGTTGTTTTGAGATGTGTCTCACTCTGTTGCCCAGGCTGGAGTGCAGTGGTGCCATCTCAGCTCACTGCAATCTCCACCTCCCGGGTTCAAGTGATTCTTCTGCCTCAGCCTGCTGAGTAGCTGGGATTACAGGCACATGCCACCATGCCTGGCTAATTTTTGTATTTTTAGTAGAGATGGAATTTTGCCATGTTGTCCAGGCTGGTCTTGAACTCCTGACCTCAGGTGATCCACCTGCCTTGGCCTCCCAAACTGTTGGGATTATAGGCATGAGCCACCGTGCCCAGCCTCAACCCATAATTTCTAAGAAAAAAAAAAACAGGAGAAAAACTTCATGACCTTGGATTAGGCAAAGATTTCTTAGAACCCAAAAGCAGAACTTTAAAAGAAAAAAAATTAATAAACTGAACTTTTTTTTTTTTTTGAGTTGGAGTCTCACTCTGTCGCCCAGGCTAGAGTGCAGTGGCATGATCTCGGCTGACTGCAACCTCCACCTCCCAGGCTCAAGTGATTGTTCTGCCTCAACCTCCTGAGTAGCTGGGATTACAGGCACATGCCACCAAACCCGGCTAAGTTTTGTATTTTTAGTAGAGAAGGGGTTTTACCATATTAGCCAGGCTGGTCTCGAATTCTTGACTGTTTCATGTGTCTGTGTGAAGAGGCCACCAAACGGGCTTCGTGTGAGCAACAAGGCTGTTTATTTCACCTGGGTGCAGGTGGGCTGAGTCCGAAAAGAGAGTCGGCAAAGGGTGGCGGGATTATCATTAGTTCTTATAGGTTTTGGGACAGGTGGTGGAGTTAGGAGCAATGTTTTGCGGGCAGCGGGTGGATCTCACAAAGTACATTCTCAAGGGTGGGGAGAATTACAAAGAACCTTCTTAAGGATGGGGAGAATTACAAAGTACATAGATCAGTTAGGGTGGGGCAGAAACAAATCACAATGGTGGAATGTCATCAGTTAAGGCTATTTTCACTTCTTTTGTGGGTCTTCAGTTGCTTCAGGCCATCTGGATGTAGACGTGCAGGTCACAGGGGATATGATGGCTTAGCTTGGGCTCAGAGGCCTGACATTCCTGTCTTCTTATATTAATAAGAAAAATAAAACAAAATAGTGTCAAAGTGTTGGGGTGGTGAAAATTTTGGTGGGTGGTATGGAGAGATAATGGGCAATGTTTCTCAGGGCTGCTTTGAGCGGGATTGGGGCGGTGTGGGAACCTACGGTGGGAGAGATTAAGCTAAAGGAAGATTCTGTGGTAAGGGGTGATATTGTGGGGTTGTTAGAAGAAACATTTGTCGTATAGAATGATTAGTGATGGCCTGGTTACAGACCCTGTGGGAAAGGCTTCTATCCATCCAGTGAAAGTGTCTACCCAGACCAAGAGGTATTTTAGTTTCCTGACTCGAGGCATGTGAGTAAAGTCAATTTGCCAGTCCTGGGCAGGCACAAATCCCCAAGCTCGGTGTGTAGGGAAGGGAGGGGGCCTGAACACTCCCTGAGGAGTAGTAGAATAGCAGATGGAACACTGAGAAGTGATTTCCTTGAGGATAGATTTCCACGATGGAAAGGAAATGAGAGCCTCTAAGAGGCAGTCTAGCAGCTTGTAACCTACGTGGAAGAGGTTATGAAATGACAACAGAATAGAATGTGCCTGTGAGGCTGGAAGGAGATATTTTCCTTGGTCCAAGAACCATTTGCCTTGAGTGGGAAGAGATCGATAGGTGGAAATTTCAGTAGGAGAGTAAATAGGAGTGACCAATGAGAAGGAGAAAAACTGGCCATGAGGGACAGAAGATGGAACACTAGCTGCTTCTTTAGCTACCTTATCAGCATAAGCATTGTCCCGAGTGATGGGATCTGATGCCTTTTGATGGCCCTTGCAGTGAATGACTCCAGCTTCCTTTGGAAGTAAAGCGGCTTTTAGAAGAGTTTTTATTAAAAAGGCATTAATGATGGAGGACCCTTGTGTAGTGAGGAAATTTCTTTCTGCCCATATAACAGCATGGTGGTGCAGGATATGGAAGGCATATTTAGAGTCAGTAAAAATATTGACGTGTAATTCCTTTGCAAAAGTGAGGGATTGAGTTAAGGCAATGAGTTCGGTTTGCTGAGAGGTAGTGGAGGGGGGCAGAGTGGTAGGCTCAATGATAGATGTGGAAGATACTATAGCATAGCCTGCCTTTGCTGGTGTGTGGCGATTAGGCCTGTGGAACTGCCATCAATAAACCAAGTGTGATCAGGGTGAGGAACAGGAGAGAAGGAAATATGGAGAAATGGGGTGAATGTCAGGTGTATCAGAGAGATACAGTCATGGGGGTCAGGTGTGGTATCCGAAATAATGTGGGAGGCAGGATTGAAGTCCGGGCCAGGAACAATGGTAATTGTGGGAGACTCAACAAAGAGTGAGTATAGCTGAAGGATCCAGGGAGCAGAAAGTATATGTGTCAGGTATGAGGAAGAAAATAGATTTTGGAAGTTATGAGAACTGTAGAGAGTGAGTTGAGCATAGCTTGTGATTTTGAGTGCCTCTAAAAGTATTAAAGCAGCAGCAACCGCCACACCCAGACATGAGGGCTAGGCTAAAAGAGTAAGGTCAAGTTGTTTGGACAGAAAGCCTACAGGGCGGGGTCCCAGCTCTTGTGTAAGAATTCCAACCAGACAGCCCTGCACTTTGGTTGTGTGTAATGAAAAAGGTTGGGATGAGTTAGGGAGAGCTAGTGTGGGAGCAGCTTTTAGGGCTGTTTTTCAAGGAATGGAGAAGGAAGTGGGGAAAGGATTTAGGATCTATGGGGTCAGCTAGGTTTCCTTTTGTGGGTTTATATAATGGTTTTGTTAGGATGGCAAAACCAGGTATCCGAAGGCAAAAGTATGCCCAGGAAGGAAAGGAGTTGTTTTGTAGAAGGGGTTGGAGTTTGAGAGATCAGTCAGACACGATCGGCAGGGAGAGCATTGTGTTTTCACGAAGAATTATGCAGAGATAGGTAATGGATGAGGAAGAAATTTGGGCTTGACTGAAGTAATGGGAGCTGTCTTTGAAGCCTTGTGGCAGTACAGCCCAGGTAATTTGCTGAGCCTAATGGGTGTCAGGGTCAGTCCAAGTGAAAGTGAAGAGAGGCTTTGTGATGAAGGGTGCAAAGGAATAGTAAAGAAAGCGCATTTGAGACCCAGAACAGAATAATGGGTTATGGAGGGGTTTTGGAAGGAGGTATTGAGGATAGGAGAGTATATGGCTTTGGCACCATGGGTTGGATAGGCAAGACAATTGGTTGATAAGGCGCAGATCCTGAACTAACCTGTAAGGCCTGTCTGGTTTTTGGACAGGTAAAGTGGGGGAATTGTAAGGAGAGTTTATAGGCTTTAAAAGGCCAAGCTGTAACAGGCAAGTGATAACGGGCTTTAATCCTTTTAAAGTGTGGCAGGGTAAGGGTGATTAGATTTTAATGAGATGGTAAGGGGTACATGATCTGTCTCCAAGGAGACAGTAGAGTTGTCCTATACTTGTAGATTAAGGTGAGGAGATACAAGGGGAGGATGTGAAGGAGGCTTTGAAGTGGGGAAAAGGGCAGCAATGAGGTATGGCTGTAGCCTAGGAATAGTCAGGGAATCAGTTAATTTAGTTAAAATGTCTTGACCTAATAAGGGAGCTGGGCAGGTAGGGATAACTAAAAAGGAGTGCTTAAAAGAATATTGTCCAAGTTGGCACCAGAGTTGGGGAGTTTTAAGAGGTCTAGAAGCCTGGCCGTCAACATCCACAACAGTTATGGAGGCAAGGGAAACAGGCCCTTGAAAAGAAGGTAATGTGGAGTGGGTAGCCTCTGTATTGACTAAGAAGGGGACAGACTTACCCTCCACTTTAAGAGTTACCCAAAGCATCTGTGATGGTCCAGGAGGCTTCCAAGGCGATCGGGCAGTGTCAGTCTTCAGCTGCTAAGCTGAGAAGATCCGGGAAGGAGTCAGTCACAGAGCCCTGGGCCAGAGTTCTAGGGGCTCTGGAAATGGCTGCCAGGTGAGTTGGACAGTCTGATTTCCAGTGGGGTCCCGCACAGATGGGACATGGCTTAGGAGGAATCCCGGGCTGTGGGCATTCCTTGGCCAGTGGCCAGATTTGTGGCACTTGAAGCAAGATCCTGGGGGAGGCGGTCCTGGAGGAACGCCTGGCCCATTGTGGTTCAGACGTTTTGAAGTTCTTGTGTGCTGGAGTTGTGGCTGGGGTTTCTCTCACAGTGGAGGCCAGTAATTTGCCAACTCAGAAATATGTTGTTACCTATTAGAATGAATAAAACTCCCTAACTCTGAGGATACCAAGTACTGCCAAAGATGGGATACAACTGTGACTCCTTTACATTGCTAGTAGTGTCGACTGAAAGATCATATAGCAGACCCTATAACTTAAAGATTTTTTTTTTGAGAGAGAGACTCTGTCTCAATAATAATAATAATAATAGAATTGCTAAACGTAAAAAGTATCTGGGCAGCTGCTGGCACTTATGGCCTATGAAGAAAACATTGGGTATTATACAGATTCAGTTATAGGGGATTAATGAAAAGACTGCTTAGCTAAGCAAGTCGACTCTTTATCTACCTCATTCTTTTTGATCTATTTGATTTTAGGTGGTTTGGTTCATGGGAACACTGGGTAAGGCGCGTACTCCAAACTCTTGGTATTATCCTTCCAAAAGTCATAATAGTCTGGTATACTGTATTCTCTCAAAGGTTTTAAGTGTTTGCATCCAGCTATCTCTAGAATGTCAAATGGTCTCTCTCCAACTGGAATGACAAGAGCTGAAAGAAGTGTGTGACCCTGAGGACACCTTAACTTATGGATGATATGCTGAGACCAGAAACCCAAAATGATGGTAACTGAGAGTTACCTAAGGCCCTAAGTTTTTGACACACTCTCACCTAAATGAGAACCTGACCAAAAATTTTAAACAAAATT
Source organism: Homo sapiens (assembly GCF_000001405.40). Classification (NCBI taxonomy): domain Eukaryota; kingdom Metazoa; phylum Chordata; class Mammalia; order Primates; family Hominidae; genus Homo; species Homo sapiens. Next base: position 138,363,999 of record NC_000007.14, on the reverse strand, counting down.
ATGAGAGGCCATTGTTTTGGACTGAGCTCACACACTAGGCCCCAACAGACCAAACCAAACCAAAATGGAGTCAGTCATGCTAAATGTGACATAATCAAACTAAGACTTTAAGGAAACACATAGATCCTAGAACAGACCGGGTTTTGTTTTTCTCCTGTAAACAGGATGTTCCAGCATAAGGAGGTACCCTCTGTTCTAGCCCTTGTTCCTACCTTGCAAAACCCACTGTTCTACTGTTTCCCAGTAGGTTTCAAGACCGAGTAAGTGCATTTATGATGGTGACTAAAGTTTTGGTTAATCTCTCAAAATTGAGAAAATGGCCAAAAGGAGGGAATTGTTAAAGCGAATAAAATACGGCCTGAGAAGGACTCTGTACTTCTATATTTGAGTCCATATTGATGAACTGCAACCTAACTTAATAGGTAGATAAGATTGAAAACCTAACCTAGGAGTATGTGCCTGTAACAATCGCTGAGTCCTGGCCAAACCCAGCAGCCTTACTTCACCCACTATACACTGCTGAGTGTTCAAATAAGGCAAATGCCAACCTGTATCCAATCTAGCTGTTTTTGTACCTGGCTTACAATTTCTGTACGTCATTTTACTTTTGTGTTTATAAATTTACTCTGACCACGAGGCATCCCTGGAGTCTGTCTGAATTTGCTGTGATTCTGGGGGCTGCCCACTTTGCGAATTGTTCACTGCTCAATTATACTCCTTTAAATTTAATTCAGCGGATGTTTTTCTTTTAACAATGTGTATACAAAGGAGACTTCAGAATAAAGACCCAACTTCCCAATGAGTTACAGAAATTTATATACCATTTAGAGGTTACAGAAAGAATGGGGGCTTGGATTCTGGTAAAACAGTTTGTGGGAAGGGGGAAAAAAGGTGGCTTGGCTAGCAAAGGTGGTCTTCTTGTTATATAGATGAAGCCTCCCTCAGAAAGAACAGATGGTAAATGTTTCCTTTTGAGACTTTTAAAGGTGTCAGACGCGCAGTCTTTACTGGATCTGGGAAAGAGATAGAAACGGAGAGGTCATGGCTGCATTAGCAGAGATTTTTTATAGATCCAAATTTTCCCCACTTAAGACAATTTAGCAAGGCCACTTCTGTTTGCTAGCCAAGCTGCAGCCATTTCAAAATATGTCAAAGAAATATATTTTGGGATAAAATATTTTTGTTTTTGTTTTTTGAGACAGAGTTTTGATCTGTCACCCAGGCTGGAGTGCAATGGCAAGATTCCGGTTCATTGCAACCTCCGCCTCCCAGGTTCATGTGATTCTCGTGCCTCAGCCTCCCGAGTAGCTGGGATTACAGGTGCCCACCACCGTGATCAGCTAGTTTTTGTGTGTTTTTTTGTTTGTTTGTTTGTTTTTGTTTTTGAGATGGAGTCTCACTCTGTCACCAGGCTGGAGTGCAGTAGTGCGATCTTGGGTCACTGCAACTTCTGCCTCCCAGGTTCAAGCGATTCCCCTGCCCCAAACTCCTGAGTAGCTGGGACTAAGGTGCGTGCCACTACGCCCGGCTAATTTTTTGTATTTTAGTAGAGATGGGGTTTTACCATGTTGATCAAGATGGTCTTGATATCCTGATGCTGTGATCCGCCCGTCTCAGCCTCCCAAAGTGCTGGGATTACAGGCGTGAGCCACCGCATCTGGTCTAATTTTTGTATTTTAAGTAGAGATAGGGTTTCACCATGTTGCCCAGGCTAGTCTTGAACTCCTGACCTCAGGTGATCCACCTGCCTCAGCCTCCCATAGTACTGGGATTACAGGTGTGATCCACCGTGCCCGGACAAAATATTTTAATTTTCTTCACTGTCAAAAAACAACTCCTGAATTTAGGTAAGGAAATACAGTAGTTCCCTCCCTTATCTGCATATGTCCCAGGACCCCTAGTGGATGCCTGAACTGCAGATATACACAATCCTATGTATAATGTTCTCTAAATCTGATAACCCAGACAGCTACTAAGTGATTTTTGGGTGGGCAGTGTATACAACATGGATCCACTGGACAAATGGCTGATCCACTTCCCAGGTGGAATGGTGTGGGATTTCATCACCCTTCTCAGAACAGTGTGCAATTTAAAACTCATGAATTGTTTATTTATGGACTTTTCCATTTATTAAGATACTACTTTCAGATCGAGATTGACCCCGGGTAACTGGAACCTCGGAAAGCAAAACAGTGTATAAGCCAGGGTGGGGCAACAGTACTTTGAAAGCATAATTGGTAGAGGAGGAGGAAAAGAGACTATTTCCAACTGGAAGAATGCTCTTGCCCTAAGATCTCCAAGTGTCCCAAAGGTTGGGCAGAAAGAGCTTTTCTATTGCAGGGAAAAGTAAATGAGGCTAGAAAGGTGTGGGGAAGTGGGGTGAAAGGATGGAGATGGTCTGATGGAAAGCAAATGTTTTAGACTGAGGTCAGCTTATTCTTGGGTGAATTCTGTAAGGAAGGGTTGTATACTGGCTCAGGCTGAGGGTGGATCAAAGTTCAAGAGCCTGGAAAGTAAAAGAGAAACTCAAAGTCTGGTTAAAAGCACTTGCTTTGGCCAGGTGCAATGGCCAAACTTTGGGAGGCCGAGGCAGGAAGGCTGGTTGAGCCGAGGAGTTCAAGACCAGCCTGGGTAAAATGACGAGACCCCATTTCTACCGAAAAAAAAAAAAAAAAAAAAAGAGTTAGCCAGGTGTGGTGAGGCATGCCTATAGTCAGCTACTTGAGAGGCTGAGGTGGAATGATGGCTTAAGCCCAGGAGTTCAAGGCTGCAATGAGCTGTGATGGTGCCACTGCCCTCTAGTCTGGGTAATACTTAGGACCCAGCAAACTTCTTATGCATAAAGGAAGCTTAAGCAGAGGCTGAGTCCTTGAACACCCTCTTCCAAATGAATAGCTGTTACTACCATTAGCCGTCAACCAGATCCCCGGGGAAAGGTAAATGGCCTCACGCGTCTTCCAAGGGCTGCCCCCACAGATCATTCATGAGAAATTCTTTGCTAGCCCCCCATAAACCTGGACACGCCAATTGTAAATCAAGTCAACAATCTAAGTCTAGCTCCTAAAACTGATCATGTCTATTAACAAGCTTATTAAAGTCAAGAATCATTTCCTCCACCTACCCAGCAATATCTTCATAATTGACTTCTTCTTTACTTCCTCTTCCTGTTGAAACTTTCACCTTATCTTATGTAAAATGTAGACTTACTGGGCGCTAACTAAAGTCTCATGGGAATGCGGTTGCTTGTCTTACTGTCTAACCTATATGTCTCCCCAGCCCTTAAGGAAATAAATAAATACTAAACCTCCTCAAAACCTCTTCCAAAAAACAGCCACAAGTGTGTCTATGGCTTATGTTTTTTCCTGGACACACCTTAAAACTGGCTTGATAAACCTTGATGATTGAGATCTATGCCTCAGTCGTTCATTTCAGTTGTCCAACTAATCCTTTAGGAGGCAACACATGGGAATTTGGAGGTTGTGTATCTGGTTTTGTTATGGGTAAACAAGGGAGATATCTCAGTCTCTTGGGGAAGGGTCCTTCTTTGCAATAAGTTGTTTCCTGGAACATAAAAGTTTGGGAGATTTCATCATCACTGTTATCTGAGATCACAGGGCTTAGGCAAAACTCAACATTGTTATTACACAACTTTTTTGCTTGTCAAAATTCAGATCTATACACCTTAAAAGAACGTATTTTACTCTACCATGATGAGAAAGAAAAGAAACTTTTTTTCTAAGAAATGTGAGCCCCATTTAATGATCAGACCCAGAGAGGCATTGAAATGCAACAGCGGTCACGTCTCACTCCCCGCTTAGGCTAAGTAAGTACCTCTTGAAGCCACTTGGTATGTGGGCTCCAGACTGACAGACGCCAAGTAGCCATAAAATGCCACATGCTGGACACCATAACTCATACCCTGTAGTTCAACAACGTATAGCCAATCACAAACCAATGCTATTTCTGTAAACCAGTAAGAATTCCTGTGAGACAACTTTGGACCAGCCCATTCCTGGTCCCCATTGTCTTTAAAATCCTGCTGTAACAAAGGCTGAACAGTGGACTTTTCAAGGAAACTTGGAAGTGTGTCCTGGGCTGCAGTCCTCAACATTGCCTCAGATTTTGCTTCAGATTCTTATTGAGGTTGATAATAACTATACCTCAATACGTCTGATTCTTTTATAATTTTTTTTTTTTTTTTTTTGGTAGAGACAGGGTCTCATTCTGTTGCCCAGGCTGGAGTACAGTGGTGTCATCATAGTGTTGCTGGAAAGAGGTCCCGATCCAGACCCCAAGAAAGGGTTCTTGGGTCACACGCAAGAAAGCGTTTGAGGCAAATCCATAGAGCAAAAATTAAAACAAAAATCAAAACAGAAACGAAATAAAACAAATCCACAGAGCAAGGTGAAAGCAAGTTTATTAAGAAAGTAAAGGAATAAAAGAATGGCTACTCCATAGGCAGAGCAGCAGCACAGGCTGCTGGTTGGTTTTTTTGTTTGTTTGTTTTGAGATGGAGTCTTATTCTGTCACCCAGGCTGAAGTGCAGTGGCGCGATCTCAGCTCACTACAAACTCTGCCTCCTGGGTTCAACCGATTCTCCTGTCTCGGCCTCCTGAGTAGCTGGGATTACAGGCGTGAGCCACCGCATCCGGCCTGGTTGGTTATTTTTATGGTCATTTTTTGAGCATATGCTAAACAAGGAGTGAATTATTCATGATTTTTCCAGGAAAAGGGTGGGGATTTCCCAGAACTGACGGTTCCTTCCCTTTTTAGACTATATAAGGTAACTTCTGGACATTGCCATGGCATTCATACACCGTCATGGCGCTGGTATGAGTGTCTTTTAGCATGCTAATGCGTTGTGATTAGCAGATAATGAGCAGTGAGGACTACCAGAGGTCACTCTCACTGCCATCTTGGTTTTGGCTGGCTTCTTTACCCCATCCTGTTTTATCAGCAGGGTCTTTATGACCTGTATCTTGTCCTGCCGACCTCCTATCTCATCCCGTGACTAAGAATACCTAACCTCTTGGGTATGTGGCCCGGCAGGTCTCAGCCTCATTTTATAGCCCCTATTTAAGATGGAGTCCTTTTGGGTTGAATCCCTCTAGTAATAGTTCACAGAAGCCTTGAATTTCTGAGCTCAAGTGATCCTCCCACCTCAGCCTCCCAAGTAGCTGGAGCTACCAGCACCTGCCACCATGCCTGGCCAATTTTACAATTTTTTTGTAGAGACAGCGTCTTGCTATATTCCCAAGCTGGTCTTGAACTCCTGGGCTCAAGTGACCCTCCAACCTTGGCTTCTCCAAGTGCTGGGATTACAGGCATGAGCCACCACACCCAGCCTTTTAAAATTAAATTAAATTAAAACTTTTTCTCAAGACAGGTTAGTTTAATTTTATAGAAGAAATACTTTCAAACAATACAAATGACACAATTAGAGAGAACAGTTACAAAACAAGGAGACGAATACTGATTATAACTTTTTCTCACAACAGAGGGCTGCTTACTTCTGCGATTATTGACCCAAGCTTGACAATTCAGAGATTAGAAAAAATGAAAGCCAAATTCCCTTTTACATTTAGTACTGTCTCAAAAGAACACTGGTGGCAGAATTCTGATCATTTTGAGACAGAACTGCACCTAAAACTTGGCAGAATTTTCTTTATCGCAAGGCCCAGTAGATGAACAAATTTAAACATCAGGTGAAAACACCCAGCCAGGCATGGTGGCTCACGCCTGTAATCCCAGCACTTTGGGAGGCCAAGGCAGGTTGATCACCTGAGGACAGGAGTTCGAGACCAGCCTGGCCAACATGGTGAAACCCTGTCTCTACTAAAACTACAAAAATTAGCCAGGTGTAGTGGCGGGTGCCTGTAGTCCCAGCTACTTGGGAGGCTGAGGCAGAAGAATTGCTTGAACCCAGGAGACAGAGGTTGCAGTGAACCGGGATTGTGCCACTGCACTCCAGCCTGGGTAACAGAGCGAGACTCTGTCTCAAAAAAAAAAAAAAAAAAAAAAAGAAAAGAAAAGAAAAGAAAAAAAGAAAACACCCTTTAAGCTGTTAGGACTTCATTCTTCTGGTATGTGAGACATTTTCTGGGGGTGGCAGTATTAACTAATCAGAAGCTGCAAAACCACATCATGAATGGCTGGGCGCCATGGCTCATGCTTGTAATCCCACAACTTGGGAGGCCGAGGCGGGCGGATCACGAGGTCAGGAGATCGAGACCACGGTGAAACCCCGTCTGTATTAAAAATACAAAAAATTAGCCGGGCATGGTGGCGGGGGCCTGTAGTCCCACCTACGCGGGAGGCTGAGGCAGGAGAACTGCATGAACCTGGGAGGCGGAGCTTGCAGTTAGCCGAGATCGCGCCACTGCACTCCAGCCTGGGCGACAGAGCGAGACTCCGTCTCAAAGAAAAAAAAAACCCATATCATGAATGAGATGCAAAGTAGGGTGTTTCTCGCCCTCCCGCCTGCTCTGGCCAGCCTCTAATGCCTGCGTTTGTACAGAGCTGGCGGATCTCCCACCTTCATTTGTCTTGATTTTTTTTTTCCTTGCAAAAAAAGCAGACACAGGCAGGGAGGCAGGGAGGGGCAAAAAGGTAAACAGGACCACTCCTTGGACTGGTACTGAAGCAGGCGCTGCGTTTGTTTCTTGTGAGGCATCGGTTGATTCTTTTGTTAAAAAAAAAAACCTGGCCGGGCACCCTTGCTCACTCTTGGAATCCTAGCTCTTTGGGAGGCTTAGGTGGGAGGATCACTTGAGCTAAGGAGTTCGAGACCAGCCCGGGCAATATGGTGAAACCCCGTCTCTACAAAAAATACAAAAATTAACTGGACTTGGTGGCGAGCACCTATAGTCTCAGCTCTGAGTGAGGCTGAAGTGGGAGGATGGCTTGAGCCTGGGAGATCGAGGTTGCAGTGAGCTGCGATCACCACAGCCCTTATCCTGGGCAAAAGAGAGACCCTGTCAAAAAAAAAAAAAAAAAAAAGCCCCAGCCAGGGCTAGGCACAGTGGCTCAAGCCTGTAATCCCAGCAATTTGGGAGGCTGAGACTGGAGGATTGCTCAAGCCCAAGATTTCCAGACCAGTCTGGGTGACACAAGAAGACCCCATCTCTCCAAAAATTAGCTGCGCTTGGTGGCATGCACCTGTAGTCCCAGCTGCTCAGGAGGCTAAGGTGGAAGGGTTGCTTGAGCCCAGGAGGTGGAGGCTGAAGTGAGCTAGGATCCTGCCACTGCACTCTAGCCTGAGTGACACAGCAAGACCCTGTCTCTAAAAAAAAAAAAAAAAAAAAGACAAATGACAAAACAAAACAAACTCCTTGAGGGTGAGTTTGAGAATTCGGGTAGGAGTGGGAAGGAAGCACTCCACATGGAAAGTTTGATAAACTGGGCAGTGAAATTTACTTGAAAACTCTTGTATGGAGGCTTCCTCTACTGGCACAGTGGGTTTTCCTCACATTAGTACTTAACAGGGATTGGCAGAAAGCCGTCTGTATTGCCCTTGAAAGTTTCAACAGCTGAGGCCTAGAGACAGGGCCTGATCAGCAATGCTGTCTGCAGCGGACAGTGCTGCTAAGGATCCATTGCACTCTTTTAATTAATTAACTTATTTAATATTTATTTATGTACTTTTTATTAGCAGACCTGTGTAGTATCCAAATCACACTGTCTCTACTTCTGTTGTGGGCACATATAAAAAACAAATGGAGGCCAGGCGCGGTCATCCACGCCTGTAATCCCAGCAATTTGGGAGGCCTAGGTGGGTGGATTACCTAAGGCCAGGAGTTCGAGACCAACTTGGTCAACATGGCAAAACCCCATCTCTACTAAAAATACAAAAATTAGCTGGGCTTGGTGATACATGCCTCTAACCCCAGCTACTTGGGAGGCTGAGGCAGGAGAATCGCTTATATTCAGGGAGGCAGAGGTTGCAGCGAACCGAGATCATGCCACTGCACTCCAGCCTGGGCGACAGAGTGAGACTCCATCTCAAAAGAAAAGAAAATGTTCTAAATATAGATTGTGGATAGTTGTACAGCTTCTTAGATGTATTAAAAACTCTTGTGCTCTTTAGACAGGTGAGTTTAATGATATGTATATTATATCTCAAGTTGTTAAAAATGTAACAAAACCCTTTAAATTATAAAAGAAAAGAAACACACACACATAGATGGGCTTACTTTAAACTTTATAGATCTTCACTTGCATAGGATCTATCCACATTCCTCTGAGGAGTCCTAGCATTCCTCTGAGGAGTCCTAGTAAGGTATTGCATTTTCGTAAAGATCGCAAAAGTAGAATTTTACACCATTATGTTAAGACTATTTTCTCTTTTCACTGTAGCTTCTCATGGTGGTATCATTGAAGTGGTTATAGGCATTTTTGAAATCGGGCAAGAGGGAAGACGAATTGGGGCTATATTTAGGCCTGATTTAATGGAATATATTTACATGTTTTGTAGTTAGTTTGATAAATAATAATGATCTGTGATCCTAATGTCTCAAAATGGAGTTACTCATGTTAGGTGGAATTAACACCACAGTAAAATTGCTCTTCTTTACTTTTTTTTTTGTTTGAAATGGGGTCCCACTCTATTGCCCAGCTAGAGTGCAGTGGTGCAATCATGGCTTTAGCTCAGTATAGCCTTGAACTGCTGGGCTCAAGCCATCCTCCTGCCTCAGCCTCCCCAGTAGCTGGGACTACAAGTGCACGCCTCTGCACCCAGCTATTATTTTGATTTTGTTGTTGTTGTTTTGAGATGGAGTTTACTCTCAGCCTCCCCAGTAGCTGGGACTACAAGTGCACGCCTCTGCACCCAGCTATTATTTTGATTTTGTTGTTGTTGTTTTGAGATGGAGTTTACTCTTGTTGCCCAGGCTGGAATGCAATGGTGCAATCTCGGCTCACTGCAACCTCTGCTTCCTGGGTTCAAGCGATTCTCTTGCCTCAGCCTCCCAAGTTGCTGGGAATTTTTTTTTTTTTTTACTGCTTTTTATACAGTAATTGTATTGTGGGCCTGGCATGGTGGTTCACGCCTGTAATTCCAACACTTTGGAGGCTGAGGAGGGAGGATTGCTTGACTAGCCTGGAAAACATAGTAAGACCTCATCTCTACAAAAAATTAGTTGGGCACGGTGGCACACTTGTAGTCCCAGCTACTCAGGAGGCTGAGGAGGATCGCTTGAGCCTCGGATACCAAGGCTGCAGTGATCTATAATCGCACCACTGCACTCTAGCCTGGGCAACAGAGTGAGACCTTGTCTTAAAAACAAAAACAAAAACAAACTGGCCAGGTGTGGTGGCTCATGCCTGTAATCCCAGCACTTTAAGAGGCTGAGGTGGGTGGATTACTTAAGGTCAGGAGTTTGAGACCAGCCTGACCAACATGGTAAAACCCCATATCTACTAAAAATACAAAAATTAACCAGGCATGGTGGCGTGTGCCTATAGTCCCAGCTACTTGGGAGGCTGAGATGGGAGAATCACTTGAACCTGGGAGGCGGAGGTGACAGTGAGCCGAGATTGTGCCACTGCCCTCCAGTCTGGGCAACAGAGTGAGACTCCATTTCAAGAATCAATCAATCAATCAATAAATGATTAGCTGGGTGTGGTGGTATACACCTGTAGTCCCAGCTACTTGAGAAGCCAAGGTGGGAGGATCACTTTAGCCCAGGATTTGAGATTGCAGTAAGCCATGATCACACCACTGTACACCAGCCTGAGTGACACAGCAAAATCCGTTAGAAAAAAAAAAAAAAAAGCTGGCTAGGTGTGGTGGCTTAGGCCTGTAATCCCAGCACTTTGGGAGGCTGAGGTAGGTGGATCACTTGTGCTCAGGAGTTCAAGACAACCCTGGGCAACATAGTGAGATACCCATCTCTACAAAAAAATACAAAAAAATTAGCTGGGCGTGGTGGCAAGTGCCTGTAGTCCAAACTACTTGGGAGGCTGAGGTGGGAGCATCATTGCACCTGGGAGGTGGAGGTTGCAGTGAGCTATGATCTTGCCACTGTACTCCAGCCTGGGTGATTGTGTCTCAAAGAAAAACTAAAAAGCTAATGCTACCTGTTTTAGGTTTTGGATACAAAGGCACTTCGTTTTTAGGTAACAAAGTTTGTTCTTTGTTATTTTTTGTGTGTAACAATTGAGGACTGCAAGAACTGGCTCACACCTATACTCTTAGCAGTTTGGGAGGCTGAGGTGGGAGGATTGCTTGTTCAGGAGTTCCTGGGAAACATAGCAAGACCCCATCTCTATTAAAAATAAAATAAAAAATAAAAATTAGCCAGGCATGGTGGTGCATGCTTGTAGTTCTAGCTACTTGAGAGGCTGAGATGAGAGGATCACTTGAGCCTAGAATGAGGCTACAGTGAGCCATGGTCATGCCACTGCAATCCAGCCTAAGTGACAGAGCGAGATGCTGCCTCATAATATAAAATAAAATAAAATAAATAAAGCAAAATAGAGCTGTGAAAAAGTCTCCAGAAGAAGAAACACACAATTCAACCTCCACACTAAGAGAGTTAACTAATCTCCAGTAGGGCTTCTAGTGGCCAAAGGCCATGCCCCGGGATAACCCAGCCCCCCTTACATTTCTGCCTGTAAAAACTTAAGGTTGCCAAAAGAATTTACTGTTAGTTGCAGCCAAAACCTGATGATAGACCCCTGACCTCCTTTGTCTTGGACCATTTACCTTTGAAATCTTGCAATTGTAAATCCTTTCTCTGTCTTTTTGAGGTGTATATCTATTTTCTTCAACTGTGGAATATGTTTTTCAAGGACCTGGGAGCCATCCCTTTGAAATATCATTAGGAAAGATAAGGCCCCTGTCTTCCAGTCTCTGTGGAAGCGTAGGAGCCTAACTTTGATAAACACCAGTTGGTGGACAGAGATGGCCTGATCATGTCCCTTAAGGCCCTTCAGTACTTTTCCTTTAGGACACACCTGGTTTGTGTGGGTGAGGGGGAGGGCTTTGCTGCAAGAGGGCTTGCCTGGGTGGGTCTGGCTTGGGATCCTTCCTGAGGTTGCTGTCAGAGAATGGCTGGGGCTGCAACAGCATGGGGCTAGAGCCGCTGGGGCCGGCCCTCCACTCTCTCACTATCTGGCCTCTCCAGGTCTCACCATGCGACTGGGTTGGGCTAGTCCGGGCCTCAGGGTAGTTGCACTACTTATCTAGCAGTTGCAGATTTCAACAGTGAGTATTCTAGTGAGCAGGGCGGAAGCTGCAATGCCTCGTCTGATCTAACCTTGAAAGGCAATGAGTCACAAGTCAGCCTGGAGTAAAGGGGAGGAAAGTAGACCCCATTTCATCATAGGAAGAATGTGAAGGCCACATTGCAGATGAGTACAAAGGATGGGAGATAACGCTGTGACCATCTTTGAGGAATGCCGCTGGCCACAATCATCTACTTGGCCAGCATTCAGATTTAATATGTTATATATTGTCTTTTATAGCCATAAATATTAATACTTCTTTGCCCCTCCATTTTCTTTTGGAATATTAGGCTCTCTCCCTTATTTGTGGGAGTTTACAACATTTTAGGCATTTGTCCAGGGCCTATAAAGCTGGGAGAAATAGGCTGGGTGTGGTGGCTCATGTCTGTAATCCCAGCACTTTGGGAGGCCGAGGTGGGCAGATCACCTGAGGTTAGGAGTTGGAGACCAGCCTGGCCAATATGGTGAAACCCATCTCTACTAAAAAATACAAAAATTAGCCAGGTGTGGTGACGGGCGCCTGTAGTCCCAGCTACTTGGGAGGCTGAGGCAGGAGAATCACTTGAACCCGGGAGGCAGAGGTTGCAGTGAGCCGAGATCGAGCCACTGCACTCCAGCCTGGGCGACAGAGCGAGACTCCATCTCAAAAAAAAAAAAAAAGCTGGGAGAAATAGAGAAATAGGCTATCTATATACACTGATAGAAATCTGTGTCTTTGAGACCTTTCTGACTGAATTCATGCTCTGGGCCACTATGACTGCCAAATTATCTTCATTATTAGATCTAGCATTTAAGCCCAGGGACTTCATATGACTCTTAGCAGTGAATAAAACCAAACAACAATGACAAAAAAAAAAAAAAAAATTCCAGGGACACCAGCCCCTTGAGATTTTTATATTTGCCATTTTAAAAATAATGCCATTAAAAAATAAATTGTTAATAAGATATGAAAATTAAGAACATTAATTTTTCTCTCTTTGAAAATAATTACATAGAGATTAAATTAAGAAAGAGAAGATGGCCGGGTGCAGTGGCCCACGCCTGTAATCTTAGCACTTTGGGAGCCTGAAGCAGGTGGATCACTTGAGGCCAGGAGTTTGAGACCAGCCTGGCCACCTTGGTGAAACCCCATCTTTACTAAAAATAGAAAAATTAGCTGGGTGTTGTGGTGCACACCCATAGCCCCAGCTACTTGGGAGGCTGAGGCAGAAGAATCACTTGAACCCAGGAGGTGGAGGTTGCGGAGAGCCAAGATCATGCCACTGTACTCCAGCCTGGGCAACACAGCGAGACTCTGTTTCAAAAAAATAAAAATTTAAAAATTTAAAAATAACATAAAAAGGAGAAGGTGAAATTAGTAGTGTCAAGTTTGAATTTTGAAAACTCTAATTAAGAATCTCAATAATTTCTTGATAACAGACAATATTCACCCCATAAGTCTATTTAGAGAAACACAATCATGCAAAGGTAGGGTTGTTTTCAAAGATTTTAAAATTCACACCCTCTCCCACTTTTAATTATTCACAGAGTATCAGTAAGAGAGACAAAGAGATCTACCTCCACCCAGGTAAAATCCCAAATCTGAGTCTAAGAGACTTTTGGAGACTCCTAAGTCTTATAGGATTGGCAGATTTGTTTGCCTGTGTATAGCAATAAACCAATACACTGAGACAGTGGGGTTTGCAGCAGAGAAGGAGCTTAGTAATCCCAAGGCCACTGAGTGAGGAGAAAGATGGAATCCTCAAGTCTCAAATCCATCTCTCCAAGGAGTTCTGGGGAAAGGTTTTTAAGTGGATCATGGATGATGAGGGGCTGGAAAATTGGGGTCATTGATTGGTCAGGGTAAGGAGGATGAGATCATTAGGTAGAAACTGCAATCTTCCATGAGTCAGCTCCTTGCTGGGTCCTTCAGAACAGCTGACGTCAGTAGTTTTATCAGTGAGCAGAACCTAAAAGAGAAATTGAAATGGAAAGCTTACTTCACAATGTCTTAGATTTTATCTATAGAACAGAAAATGAACAGAGTCTTGTGACAAGGGCTACGTTATCCTGGGGCAGTAAGCAGCAACAAGCTACAAGGAAGTGGGCAAAAGGGCAAGCTGGCTGAATGATTACTGCTGATTATGCTGCAAGCCTAGTTGAATTTTATTTTTTTTCCCTTAATCAGTTTTATAAAATTTCCTTGGCGATGGTTTCATAGCAGATGAGTATAGCTGGAAGAGTGTTGCCCAGGCTGGAGTGCAGTGGCACGATCTCAGCTCACTGCAACCTCCACCCCCCAGGTTCAAGCCATTTTCCTGCCTCTGCCTTCCGAGTAGCTTGGATTACAGGTGTGAGCCACTGTGCCCAGCTAATTTTTGTATTTTTAGTTAAGATGGGGTTTCACCATGTTGGCCAGGCTGGTCTTGAACTCCTGACCTCAGGTGATGCAACTGCCTCGGCCTCTCTAAGTGCTGGGATTATAAGCCTGTGCCACTGCTCCTGGGCTTGGAAAAGTGTTCTTATGGAATCCTCAGGAAAATCAGTCTGTGAAGCAGTTCCATTTGATCAGAATCAGAATATGGGATGCTTGAGGGTTTTTTTTTCAATCTCCTTGAGTGTGTTTTATGTGTACTGCAATGAATGAAAGCCTAGACTGTCTATTGCAGCTATTGGATGTTCACGTCGATGGAGGTCCTGTCTTTCCCCATCTCCAATCCATCTGTGCAATTCTCTGGACAGAGAGGGTACACTTGACAGAGGGTTTTCACTTGGCACTGTACTCATGTTCTCTTTTGGCACATTTTCAGTCCTACTAGACTTAGGCTTATATTTTTTGGCAAGTGTGTTTTTCTCTAATCATTTTAGTGTTGTCTGTCACAGAGCTGAATTTGTACCATATATAATCTCTATATTTTGACTGACACAGTTTTCTACTCTAATTTTTACACATAACATCCATATGCATAAATAGTCTCTGTACAGTATTTCTGAGAGTATTTCTCAGAGGAAGCGTCACTGTTGAATATTGAAGGTAAAAGCTTCTGAGGCCTTGAGAGAATGAATAAAGTTCCTGAAATAATTTTCTACTACAATTCTCTTAACTCCATCTACAAATATAACTATTGTCAACACTTGGCTCTGTATTTTTCCAGTCATTTATTTCTCAGAAAATATAGACAATTTTTTTTTTTAGATAATTGAGGTTATATTGAATATACTACTTTGTAAGTATCTCTTTCCTATGTTATTACATATGTTTTTATTTTTTTCTCTTAAGAAACTCACGGTTAAGTTCTTTTTTTGTCAATAGCTTATTTATGTCATTTGCCTATGTAAAAATTTTAAAAATGAATTATTGTTGAGTTGCTTTTGCTATTTTTCATTTGACATACTGTTTTCCTAATCTTTTTTGTTGTTGTTGTTGTTCTTTTGAGAAGGAGTTTCACTCTTGTTGCCCAGGCTGGAGTGCAATGGCGTGATCTCAGCTCACTACAACTTCCACCTCCCAAGTTCAAGTGATTCTCCTGTCTCAGCCTCCTGAGTAGCTGGGATTACAGGCATGTGCCACCACACCCGGCTAAGTTTGTATTTTTAGTAGAAACAGGGTTTCCCCATGTTGGCCAGGCTGGTCTTGAACTCCTGACCTCAGGTGATCCACCCGCCTCGACCTCCCAAAGTGCTGGGATTACAGGCGCCAGCCACCAGGCCTGATGCTGTTTTCCTAATCTGTTTAGATTGTTTGTATCCATCAGATTTGCTGTATAACAAATTATCCAAAAACTTAGTGGCTTAAAATAAGGAATATTTGTTATTTCTCAGGACTCTGTGGGTTTGGCTGGGAGGATTTCTGGTCTGGACTGGTTTGGCAGATCTTTAAGGTCAGCTGGCAGATCTCTAAGGTCAGCTTGCAGCTCAGCTGGGGCCATGGTCTAGGGTTGGCTGCACACAAAAGTGAAGGCAGGGGCCAGGCGCAGTGGCTCACGCCTGTAATCCCAGCACTTTGGGAGGCCAAAGCAGGCGGATCACCTGAGGTCAGGAGTTGGAGACCAGCACCGGGTGGATTCAGCTATTTCTAACTTAGCATTTCTCAACATGTATTCAGGACAACATTAAGTATATAACAATTTATGCTGCTTGTAATAAAAGTCAATATATTTTGAAAAGTTGTATGAAACACTCCCCATTTGAAGATTCATGCATCTTATTTAATATCCTATATCAAAGTTTTGAGAAGTCTTGATGTAAATATACCTGCTTAACTCTGATTTAGTGTTTCACAAACTTGTTTTTCAAGTCACACTTAACAGTGTTCTTGAGAATACAATTTAGCACATATGTCCGTAGAAGAATGGCCCTTGGACAAGCAGTATTTCTTCTAAAATTAAGAATCGAGACCAGTCTGGCCAACATGGTGAAGCTTCATCTCTACTAAAAACACAAAAATTAGCCGGGCATGGTGGTGGGCACCTGTAATCTCTGCTACTCGGGAGGCTGGGGCAGGGGAATCACTTGAGCCTGGGTGGCAGAGGTTGCAGTGAGCCAAGATCGTGCCATTGCACTCCTGCCTGGGCAACAGAGCAAGACTCTGTCAAAAAAAAAAAAAAAAAAAAAAAGAATAGAGACTTAATAACAGCATTGCCCATGTAAGGATTGAGATCTCCAGAAATATTAGTCGTCAGAGTTTAGAACACTTAAAAATGAAGAAAAAATGTCTTAATAATCAGTGCACAGCTTGGCAAGAAGTATTTATTTAACAAGACATACCATATCCTTTACAAACAAACCAAGTAAGAATGGAGAGAAATTAGGTATTGTTGATTAAGCAAGGAAACATTTTAAAAGTTTTCCCTCAATTAAGAGAGTTAAACATGTCTGGTTCTTGCTTTCTTCTAACATTTTTTTTTCTCTACGCAGTTGGCAAATAAAAGAATAAAAGTTTTAGAAATGGGCTGGGCTGAACCTAGGAGGCAGAGGTTTGCGGTGAGCCAAGATCACGCCATTGCACTCTAGCCTGGGCAACAAGAGCGAAGCTCCATCTCAAAAAAAAAAAGAGAGAGAGAAAAGAGAAAAAGAAATGGGCCAGGCATGGTGGCTCATGCCTGTAATCTCAGCACTTTGGGAGACTAAGGTGGTAGGATTACTTGAGTCCAGGAATTTGAAACCAGCCTGGGCAATGTAGAAAGAGCCTGTCTCTACAAAAAATAAAAATAATTAGCTGGCCATGGTGGCATGCACCTCAAGTTCCAGCTACTTGCAGGGCTGAGGTGGAAAGATTGCTTAAGCCCAGGAGGCTGAGACTGCAGTGAGCTGTGATCATGCCACTGCACTCCAGCCTGGGTGACAGAACAAGACCCTGTCACACACACACAAGGAAAGCTTTAGAAGTTAGTGAATTAATGTTCTAAAAATGTAGTTCATCCAAGGTAGTTTTCTCTGAGGGAGAAGGGGCGGAAGGGACGGGGTAGCAGGCAATAGATAGCTCTCATGGGATAGGATGTTGATGAAAAAAAGAACAATTTCTATCCAGTGAGGAAGACATTTAAAGATTTATTTTGTGGTAGTGGTGGTAAGGAATTCTTGTTGGCCTTGTGCACTTGTAGTCTGTGTATATTTATTGTTTTCTGAATTTTTCCTTTGGCTCACTCTATTATAGTATTGAGATACATGGCTGCAGTTGCTATATTTGGAGCTATTTATTGCATTAGCAACAGCTATTGACATATTCTTCCAGCCCATGAATGATGTTAAAATATACATCAATTTTTTATTTCACTACTCTATTTAATATCCATTGACTGCAAAGTGTGAGACCCATCAATTTTAGATTATGTGTTTCTCACAGAGTAACAAAATGGTTTATGATGGGAATATCATTATCTGGTAAAGCTATGTAGTCACTGCAGAAGTCTTAAAATACACACACACACACACACACACACACACACACACAAATATTATTGAGACCGGGTCTCTCTGCCGCCCAAGCTGGAGTGCAGTGCCATAATCTCGGCTCACTGCAGCCTCAATCTCCTGGGCTCAAGCAATCCTCCCACTTCAGTCTCTCGAGTAGCTGATATTACAGGCACACACCATCACGCCTGGCTAAGTTTTGTATTTTTTGTAGAGACAAGGTTTCACCATGTTGCCTGGGCTTAAAAGTCTTGTTGTTACAATAGGTGATTCCTTTGGCCATACCTGTGTGTGCGTGTGAAATGACATCACATTACAATAATAAAAAGGTATTGTTTCTCTGAGTCTCTTCTTATTTGCTGATGATTTCCAAATTCTCTCCAACTGTTCAGGAGTTCTCTAGGATGTGCCTAGTGTGTACGCGGGAATGCAATCCTCCCAGCTTCTGTTTCCTCCAGCATGTCCTCAGAGGCACATTCTCTCAGTTCTAATATGGTAGTCTCCACTGGCTGTCTCCTTGCTCTGGCTGCTGCTGTAACATTCCCTGCTGACGCTTCTCAAGTCAAAACATACACTCTTCTGGCTCGTTGCTCAGGTAGAAGTTATGTTCTACATTTCAATATGCTCACAGTACTGAATGGGAGCATCGTCAATTAAAGATGGTCATAATTTCTTTGCTTCTTCTCTCATTGAGAGGTACAGTCTAAGTCCCCCACTCCTTGAATCTGGCTGGCTCTAGTGGCTTACTTGACCAATACAATGTGGCAGAAGTGACATTCTAGGACTTATTAGTCTAGGTCGTAAGTTTGCACCTTTCAATTGGGCATCTTGAAATGCTTGCTTTGGGGTAAGCCAGCTACTGCAGAAGTCCATCTTACCTGTGACCACTATGTTGTGAGGAAGCCCAGGCCAGCCACCTAAGAGGCTGCAAGGAGAGAGAGCTCCTTCCATGCTCTTACTGTTCCATCCACACCAGCATGTTCACCAGATATAAGAGTGAAGGAGTCATCCTGGTCATTCAGTGTTGGGGTGATCAAACCCAGCACCAGGTCGTTGAGGCAACAAAGTCTGGTGGAGTCAAAGGAATGAGAAAAAGTTTGAGAGAGAAAGTGGGACCAGGGGGCCATTGTGAGTGTGGAGGCTGCAAAGCCTCCGAGCTCTGGAAGCCCATGCTATTTATTGGTGCTCAAACAAAGGAACAGGTGGTGAGGATGTGGGGGTTGAAAGGAAACAGTGTATCAAGTGAATGACAAACATATGGCTACTTGAGATAATGGGAGCGCTAGAAGCAAGGAGCCAGCAAGTCTAGCAGACATGCAAGCCCTGCCTCAGCTTCTCTCCCAACACTTAGCTTTTCTCCCAACATGCCCCCCTTCTTTTTTGTAAAAACCACCACAGCTATCATTATTACTAGCATAAGGTGGCCTCTTTTTTAAATCAATTGAGCAAGGCGATTGCAGGCTGTGCAGCCCTTAACTGCCGGTTGGTGAGCCAGCTTCATTTTTCTTAGCCCTTATTCAAAATGGAGTCACTGTGGTTTGAATGCTTCCTACATATCTCCCCTTTCCCTTTTACAAGAGGACCCTTAATCCTAGGGGTTGCAGAAGGATGAAGGTCCGTCTTCTGTAATGGCTGAATAGGGGTGATGATACTCCTGCCTACCTATTAGGGTCTCTTGTAAATTCAGGGTAGAGAGGCGTTCAGTCAGAAAGCATTGGTCCGTTAAGCATCAATAGGTAAAACCCTGGTGCTCCAGCAGTTTCTCAGCATGGCTCATACTGGGGGAACCAGGTCCATGGTTGGGATCCATGGGCCCTTCCAGTCTCCTGTTTCATGGTCGTACACATCTTGAGGGCACCTACATGGTTTGTTCATCACCTGCAAAACACAAGCATACCCTCACCCCCACGTTAGTAAATCTACTGAAACAGAAGCAAAAACTTTTGTGGCTGTACCCAGGAGGCGTGCCATTGCTGAAGCATTTGTAACTCAGCTTCTGCCTCTTTGGTTAATTACTGCAGGGCAAAACTTACCATTGATAATGAGAAGCAGGACTCTTCTAACAGAAGGCACAGAGAAAGCAAATTGAGGCTTAAAAGCAATCCTTAAACCTTCCATTTGCACTGTATAGGTGTGTCCACTAGATGCTGTGGTTCATGATAGATCTTCAGATGTTTGGTGGGCACCCACACAGGCACCTGATTGTCACGTGGAGAGACACAAGCAAATCCTCTTCCCCATAAAATTATCATTCCTTTTTCCCAGCTCTTTGTATGTGCATCCCTCCACCATATATCTTGTCCAGCCTTTTTATTTTCCTTTTATCCTGTCAGGTGTTGTTCAGCTGCAGTCATGGGTTGATCTTCTTGAAAATTTTAAAAATCTAATGTTAATAAAGCTAAATGCAATTGCATATGTGGTGTCTTATATTCCTAGTCCCCTCCCTTTTGCTTTTGTATTTGAGTTTTTAAAGTATGATTAGCTCTTTCCACTATTGCTGGTCCTTGTAAGTTATATGGAATACCCGTAGTGTGGGTAATATTCCACTGTTGAAAAAATGTAGCCATGGCTTTACTACAGTATCCTGGGCCATTATCAGTTTTTATTTTTTCTGGGATTCCCATAGCTGAAAAGCAAGTTAAAAGATGTCTTTTAACATGAGCTGCAGCTTCCCCTGTTTGACATATGGCCCAAATAAAATGTGAACAGGTAGCTACTGAAACATGAACAAAGGACAATTTTCCAAAAGCAGGAATATGTGTTACATCCATCTGCCAGATGGAATTTGGAGATAAACCTCTAGGGTTAACTCCTGTTCCTTAATGTGGCAGATGCAGGACTTGGCAGGCAGAACAGTGTTACACAATTTCTTTAGCTTGTTTCCATGTTAGACCATATCTATTTCTAAGGCCTGCGGCATTAAGATGGGTTAAAGAATGAAATGTGGCCGGGTGTGGTGGCTCATGCCTGTAATCCCAGCACTTTGGGAGGCTGAGGTGGGTGGATCACGAGGTCAGGAGATTGAGACCATCCTGGCTAACAAGGTGAAACCCCGTCTCTACTAAAAATACAAAAAACAAATTAGTTGGGGGTGGTGGTGGGCGCCTGTAGTCCTGGCTACTCCAGAGGCTGAGGCAGGAGAATGGTGTGAACCCAGGAGGTGGAGCTTGCAGTGAGCTGAGATCACGCCACTGCACTCCAGCCTGGGTGACAGAGCGAGACTCTGTCTCAAAAAAAAAAAAAAAGAATGAAATGTTTGTGCATCAGCAAAGACCACAGACACCAATGCATCCACCGTTTGATTAAGTTTAGTTAAAGGGCCAGGGAGGTTAGTATGTGCTCTCATATGAGTGATATAGAAAGGTGAATGCCTTTGTTGTACCGCTTGCTGTAAAGCATGAAATAAAAGATTAAGTTGTTCATCAGTCACATTTCGAATTAAGGCACATTCAATATTTTGCGTGGCTTGATTTTAGACTTAGGATAATGATTATCAAGAAAGCCAACAAAACTGGCCAAATTAACTTGCCATTCTTGGGAATTAATATAGGCTTGTTGAATTTGTTTGGTAATGGAACTGTAATCTGATTTGGATCATATCCCGTTAACTTTGTTGTGCGCAGCCTCACTTATCCTACTGGCACAGCAATTTGATCTAAGTACAGAGTGCGCATTTTGGTTGTATTGTGAGGTAGAAAAAGCCACTCAACCAGATCATCCTGTTAAACTATAACTCCTATAGGCGAATGCTTAGTAGGAAAAACTAAACTGTAATGGCTGTATTGGATTAACCTGTTCTACTTGTGCTTGCTGAATTTTGTCCTCAATTAATTGACATTCCTCCAATGCTTCTTTGGGCAGGGAGCATTTACTGTTAAGGTTAGAATCATCTCATAAGTAGAAAAGAGGCGAGACATAGCATAGGTAGGAATGCCTAAAGTTGGATGAATCCAATTAATGTCTCCTAATAATCTTTGGAGATCATGTAAGGTTTCTAAATTATCTCTTCAAATTTGAACCTTTTGAGGCTTAATAGCACTTTGCTCTACCTTCATTCCTAGATATTGAAAGGGAGTAGAAGTTTAGATTTTATCAGGGGCTATAATTAACCCTGCGGCATTTACAGCCTTTTCTGTTTGTAGCACAACATCAATTCTTCCCTAGTTTCAGCTGCACACAGAATATCATCCATGTAATGGATAATATAACATTTTTTGAACTGTTCTCTAACTGGCTTAATAGCTTTCCTGACATAAGTTTGACAAATAGGCTATTTAGCCTGCCTTGTGGTAGTACTTTCCAATGGTATCTGTCCACTGGTTCTTTATTATTTATGGCGGGAACAGTAAAAGCAAATTTTTTATAACCTTGGGCAGCTAAAGGAATGGTTAAAAAAAAAAAAAGCAATCCTTTAGATCTATCACTTTGAGAGGCCAGTATTTTGGGATCATTGCTGGGGAGGGCAGCCCTGGTTATAGCACACCCATGGATTGAATCACAGCATTAAGAGCCCTTAAATCTGTTAACGCTCTCCATTTCCCTGATTTTTTTCTTAATCACAGATACCGGAGAATTCCAAGGGGGGAAAGTAGGCTCTATATGTCCCTTTTGCAATTGTTCCTGCACCAGTTCTTCTAAAGCCTCCAGTTTTTCCTGTTTCAGTGGCCATTGCTCCACCCAAACCAGTTTGGCAGTTAGCCAAACAAGAGGAATGGGAGCCAGAGGCTCAATAATGGCCACTTCTAAAAATGACACCCCAATCCGGTCCGATCTGTTTGCCCTTTTAATTCTAAAGGTTCTGATTGGCCATTTTTATCTTTTCCTAGTCCTTTTCCTAGGCGATATCTCATACTTTTCATCATTTGTCTACTATTATTACTATATTGATCCATAGGAATAGATATTTCAGCATCCCATTGTTGCAATAAGTCTCTACCCCATAAATGGACAGGAATAGGTGTAATGATAGGCTGAATTGTCCCTTCCTGACCATCTGGCCCTCGACATGGTAAAATCAAAGAACTTTGAAAAACTTCCGAGGCAGCTCCTACTCCAGCAATACCAATGGATGCCTTTTGCTTAGGCCAGTGCTGGGGCCATTGATTTACAGCAATAATAGAGACATCAGCTCCAGTATCTACTAGTCCTTCAAAATCTTTTCCCTGAGTAGTTACTGTGCAAATAGGTCTTTTGTCAAACACTTGACTAACCCAACACACAGCCTTTCCTGCTGGATTAGTATTACCAAAGCCTGCTGTTCTTTTCACTGTGTTGCTTCCTAGTTTTATGTAAGGTAACAGCAACAACTGAGCAATTCTTTCTCCTGGGGAGGCAGACTACCGAGGGAACTAAAACTAATTGAATTTCTCTGGTATAATCAGAGTCAATTATTCCCACATGTACAGTAACACCTTTTAAATTTAGATTAGAACTTCCAAGTAATAGACCGACTGTTCCTGCGGGTAAGGGTCCCCTAACTCCCATGGGGACCTTCTGTGGCTCCCCAGGAAGTAAGAAGATTGGAATTGTGCTCTAGAGGTCTTTGGCAGCACTGCCTGCTGAGGTGGGGAACAATTGTTGTACATTTGTAAGGGCACTGGCTGTGCTGGGTATGCCTTGGTTTGTTGAGGGTCTCAAGGCAGGCCCCTCTTCCCATTTCCCAAAAGAGATTGTCCAACTTTGCTAAATTTAGAATGACACTGACTTGCCCAGTGATTGTCTTTCATACTCTGGGGACATACACCAGGACTTTTCTGTTGATTGACAGTCGTAGTTTTTGCCTTTTGATTTTCTTTTCTACATTCCTTTCTTGTGTGTCCAAATTGCCCACAATTAAAGCAAGAGCCTGAGAAGTGGGGTATATTATTTCCTACTCTTAATCCAGCCATGGCCTGAGCTAAAAGAGTAGCCTTATGTAAGTTACCTCCAATGACATCGCAAGCCTTAATATATTCAGCTAAATGAGCCTTCCCTCTCAGGGGTCTAATAGCAGTTTGACACTCTGCATTAGCATTATCGTACGCAAGAAGCTGTATTACAACATCCTGTACCCTTTTATCAGTTATGGCTTTATACACAGCCTCTTGGAGCCAAGCAATAAAATCAATATATGGTTCTTTACATCCTTGTTGGACAGAACTGAAAGAAGGATATTTTTCCCCTGTAACATTTATCCTTTCTCATGCACGCAAGCACACAAAGCGCAGCTGAACAATGGCAACATCCTCCATTACTGCTTGATTCTCTAATCGACCCCAGTTAGGGCCAACTCCCATTAACTGTTCAAAGGAAACAAGCACAGCTGGCTGTGCTTATGTGTTTTCCTTTGCCTGAGTTTGAGCTTCATCAGCCCACCAGGTTTTAAACTGCAAGTACTGAGATGCAGTGAGAACATATTTTGTCAAAGCATCCCAATCATATGGTATTAATCTATTATCAAGAGCCATATTTTTTAATAAAGTTTGCACAAAAGGAGAATTTGGCCCGTATTGACAAATGGCTTGCTTAAATTCCTTTAGTAACTTAAAAGGAAAAGCGGCCCAATTAGCTATATTCTGTCCTCCCTGCTAGATTATAGTAATGGGAAATTGCCGTGTTTCAAGGTCTCCCTCAGCTCTAGCTTTTTGAATAGAATTTTGTATAGCACCATCAATTGCTCCAGGTTTTAATGTTGCAACTACAAGAGCAGTAAGTTTTTCAGCTAATTTATTTTCTCACTCATTAAGGGGAGAGAGAGGAGGTGGTCGTTCACTTAATTCAGCAGGTGAAGCCAATGGGCTAGTAAAACATACTTTTTTTAGTCTTCCTTTCTTTTCTTTAATCTCCTCTGGTAGCTGTTCTTCACACTCAGAATCTGAAGTTAGTTTTTTACACTCGTCCTCCTCTTCCTCTTCCTCATCTGAATCTGCCTCATCATCTGTTTGAAATAGGTCAAGAGCTGCCTTTATTAGCCCCCACATTGACCAAATGGAAACTGCAATTTTTGCTCCATCTTTATATGCCTTTTTAAAATCTCTGCCAATTCTCTCCCATTCATTCAACTCCATGGTCCCTTGTTCCAGAAATCATGGGCAAAACTACTTCACTGCACTAAAGAGTGATAACAAATTCTGAGTAGTAACTTTCACTCCCCCCTTCATAATAAATGTCTTAAGAAATTTAAATAAGCAGAATGTCTGCTGTCACTTTGTCCCATTGTTACCCTGGTTCTTCCAAGTGCTCAGCTTTCCTGCTGAGCTTCTTTTAGACGTCTTCAGGTGTCCTTTGATGATGTGTCCTCCACTTTCACATGCTCTAGCCTTTCTTCACTGGGGCCTTCGTCACCCCACGTTGGGAAGCCAGGAATGTTGGGGTGATCAGACCCAACACTAGGTCGTGGGGGCAACAAAGTCTGGCGGAGTCAAAGGAATGAGAAAAAGTTTGAGAGAGAAAGTGGGACCAGGGGGCCATCGCGAGTGTGGAGGCTGCAAAGGCTCCGAGCTCTGGGAGCCCATGCTATTTATTGGTGCTCAAAAAAACAAACAGGTGGTGAGGATATGGGGGTTGAAAGGAAACAGTGTATCAAGTGAATGAGAAACATATGGCTACTTGAGATAATGGGAGTGCTAGAAGCAAGGAGCCAGCAAGTCTAGCAGACATGCAAGCCCTGCCTCAGCTTCTCTCCCAACAATTCAGTTTCAGCAGACATTGCATGGAGAAGAATCGAGAAACCAGTTGACAGTCAAAACTGGAGTCCTTGGCTGGGGATGGTGGCTTATGCCTGTAATCCTAGCACTTTGGGAGGCCAAGGCTGGCAGATCACCAGAGGTCAGGAGTTTGAGACCAGGCTTGCCAACATGGCAAAACCCCATATCTACTAAAAATACAAAAAATTAGCCAGGTGTTGTGGCCTGCACCTGGCTACTTGGGAGGCTGAGGCAGGAGAATCATTTGAACCTGAGAGGTGGAGGTTGTGGTGAACCGAGACCACACCATTGCACTCCAGCCTGGGTGACAGAGTGAGACTCAGTCTCAAAAAAAAAAAAACAAAAAAAACCCCACAAAACTGGAGCCCTAGACATATAACACCACCCTAGCTCTTCCTGGCCACTGAGCCATGTGAGGTACCAGTCATATGGAACAGAGGTTAGCTATTTCTACTTGATCTGCTTGCATTACTGATCTGCAAAGTCATGAACATAAAAAAATAAAAAGATGTTTCCTAATGCCACTAAGTTCTGAGTGGTTTGTTACACAGCAATAGATGACTGGAGCAGGGAGAACATTGGCTTATTTCAACTTATGCCATCCAGTGTTACAGAGGCTAATGAGTGTTCCCTGCACTCTATTGTTATACAGACATTTTAGGATAACAGCTTTCCTCAGACCTCTGGCATGAGTCCCTGGGCTGGGGGCCAAGAAAAATTGGCTAGAGAAGATATGAACAGCACACATCCTGCTTTATTCAAAATTGTTCATCTAGAAAATTATCCCAAACAATGGGGAATAAGAAAATATCTGGAGAGAATAAACAAGTCAGTCACAAAGAAATGGGAATTAGAATGTCCTCAGTCTTTTCAACAGTACTAATGGAAGCTTGAAGATAATACAATGCTTGCAAAATTTTGAGTGAAAATTATTTTCAACCTAGAATTCTATATATCCTCCAGACTATCAGTGAAGCATGAAGATAGAATAAAAACATTTTCAAAATAGAAAGATCAAGGAAAAAAGATATCTATCATGTAAATGTTTTAAGGAAAATGCTAAAAGGTGCTCTGAAGTACAAACAACAAAAAAGATATAGGCTGTGAGAAACAAGAGATTCAGTGCAGAAAAGTCACATGGAAGGTTTTTTTAAGACAGAGTCTCAGTCTGTCGCCTGGGCTGGAGTGCTGTGGTGTGATCCCAGCTCACTGCAACCTCTGCCTCCCGGGTTTAAATGATTGTCCTGCCTCAGCCTCCCGAGCAGCTGGGATTACAGGTGCCCGCCGCCATGCCCGGCTAATCTTTGTATTTTTACTAGAGATGGGGTTTCGCCATGTTGGCCAGGCTGGTCTCAAACTCCTGAACTCTGGTGATCTGCCTGCCTCAGCCTCCCAAAGTGTTGGGATTACAGGTGTGAGCCACTGTGACTGGCCTTTTTTTTCTTTTTTGAAAGTATACTTGAGAAACGGAAATCTTAAGATGGTGGCTGTGCAGCATATCTACAGTACACTCTTGATTTGAGGTACACCTTTAAAAAAAAACTGATAAACTTTCTGACATGTTTAATCATGGGGGGGAATATATTTAAAGTATGTCATAGAACTATTGGAAATTATAGGAAGACTTAAATATTCACAAAAATGCAGCAGATTAACTCCAGATAAAGTAGTAAATTATACAAGAAAGAAAATATAATCTTAATATATCTCTAACTCACAGGGAACAATATTTACATAGTCACAGTCACAATAAGGAAAAAATGAAATGAGGGTCAAAATTATAAAAAGTTAACTTGGCGGAGGAAAAAAATAATTGGAAGTGAGCAACATCTTTATTTACCATAATATGAAGTTATAGATATTGTTAAAAATAGATGACTCAAGATGTTATATGTACTTTATTTAGAAATATGAATATAAGTATTTGAAGAAAAATCAGTTGAGTTGAGAATGGCTTGTTCTGGGGAATGAGATGAGAGGAGGAAGGCAGTGGGGAAAAAGGAAATGTCTGTGGTGGAAGCCTTTTAGTGCTGTATGAATTTTTTAACTACTTACATGTAATACTTAAAAAAGTATAAAAAATATTTGGAGGCCAGGTGCAGTGGTTCACCCCTGTAATCACAGCACTTTGGAAGGTGCATTACCTGAAGTCAGGAGTTTGAGACCAGCCTGGCCAACATGGCGAAACCCTGTCTCTACTAAAAATACAAAAATTAGCCAGGCATGGTGGCATGCACCTGTAGTCCCAGCTTCTCGGGAGGCTGAGGCAGGAAAACTGCTTGAACCCAGGAGGTGAAGGTTGCAGTGAGCTGAGATGGCACCACTGCATGTCAGCCTGGGCCACAGAGTCAGCAAGTGTGTAGATACTAAAAGTAAAATTAGAGAATCTTAAAAATAAGAAAGTACATTTTGTGTCTGATTATAGAAGAAGTATGTTGCTGAACAAAATACAAAATACAAAAATGCCCGATGAAGAAAATAATCTGTATATATGACCCTTGAGCAATGTGGGTGTTAGCAGCACCAACCCCCAATGCAGTAAAAAAAAAAGCCATACATAACTTTTGATTCCTCCCCAAATTTAATTAATCGCCTGCTGTTAACTGGAAGCCTGACTGATTACATAAACAGTTGATTAACACATATTTTATATGTTATATGTATTAAATAATGTATTATTACAATCAAGTAAACTAGAGAAAATAAAACGTTGCTAAGAAATTCATAAGGAAGAGAAAATAAATTTACCATTCATTAAGTGGAAGTGAGTTATCATAAAGGTCTTCATCCTTGGTGTGTGCACACTGAGGTGGAGGAAGAGGAGAGGAGAGGGGTTGGTCTTGCTGTCTCGGGGTGGCAGAGGAGGAAGAGGTGGAAGACATAGAAAGGGAGGCAGGGGAGAAGGCACACTTTGTGCAACTTACGGAAATGCATAGTAATTTCTGTCTGACTTTTCTGTTTTTTAATTTCTATAAAAATATTTCTATATGGGGCCGGGCGCAGTGGCTCATGCCTGTAATCCCAGCACTTTGGAAGGCCGAGGTGGGTGGATCATGAGGTCAGGAGATCGAGACCATCCTGGCTAACATGGTGAAACCCCGTCTCTACTAAAAACACAAAAAATTGTCTAGGCATGGTCATGGGTGCCTGTAGTCCCAGCTACTCAGGAGGCTGAGGCAGGAGAATGGCATGAACCTGGGAGGCAGAGCTTGCAGTGAGCCAAGATCGCACCACTGCATTCCAGCCTGGGCGACAGAGCGAAACCCTGTCTCAAAAAATAAATAAATAAATAAATAAATAAATAAATAATTTCTATATGGTACCAATCCACTCCTTCTTCTACCATTTGCTTTAGTTTTAGTGTCTGTATCATAGAAAGTTCTATGGTGTTTGGAGCTGGCTTAGAAACACTCATCTCCATCAAGTTGTTGTCTGTTCATTCCTCTGGTGTGGTGTCTATTAGCTCTTAAATTTCTTCAAGATCCATACCTTGAAACCCTTCAACCTTCAATTTTTTTTGGTGCCATATCCGTGATCTTTGTCATGATTTCCATGATTGGCTCTGTCATAACTCCTATGAACTCTAGCCTGGGTGATAGAGTGAGACCTTGTCTCAAAAAAACAAAACAAAGACCAGTTGTGGTGACTCACGCCTGTAATCCCAGGACTTTGGGAGGCCAAGGCAGGTGGGTCACTCAAGGCCAGGAGTTCAAGACCAGCCTGGCCAACATGGAGAAACCTCATCTCTACAAAATACAGAAATACAACAATTCCATCTCTACAAAATACAAAAATTAGCTGGGCGTGGTGGCACACACCTGTAGTCCAGCTACTCAGGAGTCTAAGGCATGAGAATTGCTTGAATCCAGGAGGTGGAGCTTGCAGTGAACCCAGATTGTGCCACTGCACTCCAGCCTGGGTGACAGAGTAAGAGTCTTTCTCATTAAAAAAAAAAAAAAAAAAATTCTGTTCAGGGCTGGGCAGAATGGCTCATACCTGCAATTCCAGCACTTGGGGAAGCTGAGGAGGAAGGATTGTTTGAGCCAAGAGTTCAAGATCAGCCTGGGCTACAAAACAAGACCCTGTCGCTAACAAAAAAAAAAAAAAAATTATTTGGGCATGGTAGTGTGCACTCAGGAGGCTGAGGTGGAAGGATTGCTTGAGCCCAGGAATTTGAGGTTGCAGTAAGCTATGATCACACCGTTGCACTCCAGTCTGGGTAATAGAAAGAGACCTTGTCTCAAAAACAAAAAACCTGTTCAGGCAGATATCCTTTCTCCTCAATAATTTTCTTAAAGGTATCTAAGAACTTGTCTGCTGCTTCTTGGTTAGCAGAATCTGCTTCTCCTGTTATCTTGGCATTTTTAAGCCAAATCTCTTTCTAAAATTATCAAACCATCCTTTGCTGGCATTAAATTCTGCAGCTTTAGATCCTTTACTTTTCTTTTGCTTTAAGTTGTTTTATAATGACTTTACTTTTTCTCAAATCATATTAAAGTCCATAACTATGCCTGCCTTATAGCAATCTTTCACCCACATAAAAGCTGCATTTTCAATATGAAACAAAAAGGTATTTCAAAAAAGTGCAAGGTTTTTTGCACCTGCTGGCTTAGCTGCAGCAATGGCTTGATGAATTTCTTTTTCCTTTTTTATAATGGTCTTTATTGTCTCACACATCTGTGTGAAGAGTTCACCAAACAGGCTTTGTGTGAGCAACAAGGCTGTTTATTTCACCTGGGTGCAGGTGGGCTGAGTCCAAAAAGAGAGTCAGCAAAGGATGGTGGGATTATCATTAGTTTTTATAGGCTTTGGGATAGGCGGTGGAGTTAGGAGCAATGTTTTACGGGCGGGGGTGGATCTCACAAAGTACATTCCCAAGGGTGTGGAGAATTACAAAGAACCTTCTTAAGGGTGGGGGAGATTACAAAGTACATTGTTCAGTTAGGGTGGGGCAGAAACAAATCACAATGGTGGAATGTCATCAGTTAAGGCTATTTTCACTTCTTTTATGGATCTTCAGTTGTTTCAGGCCATCTGGATGTATATGTGCAGGTCACAGGGGATATGATGGTGTAGCTTGGGCTCAGAGGCCTGACATTCCTGACTTCTTATATTAATAAGAAAAAATAGCATAAAATAGTATTGAAGTGTTGGGATAGCGAAAATTTTTGGGGGGTGGCATGGAGAGATACAGGGCGATGTTTCTCAGGACTGCTTTGAGCGGGATTAGGGGCGGTGTGGGAACCTAGAGTGGGAGAGATTAAGTTGAAGGAAGATTTTGTGGTAAGGGATAATATCGTGGGGTTGTTAGATGGAGCATTTGTCATATAGAATGATTATTGATGGCCTGGATATGATTTTGAATGAATTGAGAAACTAAACAGAAGACACAAGATCTGAATAAGAGAAGGAGAAAAACAGGTATTAAAGGACTAAGAATTGGGAGGACCCAGGACATCCAATTAGAGAGCGCCCAAGGGGGTTCAGCGTAATTACTTGCTTGGCTGGCAAGTTTTTGGGCTCTATCCTTGAATTTTTTTATGTTGTCATATACCAGGCTAGATTGATTTAGACAAAAACAACACTCTTCATTTAAAAATATACAGAGTCCTCCTTTTTCAGCAGTAAGTCAAGGCCTTGGCGGTTTTGGAGGACAACTGCAGCTAGAGAGTCCAATTGGCCTTGAAGGACTGATAAAGTTTGTGATATGTCTGTGATGCTAGCAGAAAAGTACCTATATGGAAGAGGTTGTGAAATGATGATAGAATAGAATGGGCCTGTGAGACTGGAAGGAGATATTTTCCTTGGTCCAAGAACCATTTGCCTTGTGTGGGAAGAGATTGATAGGTGGAAGTTTTAGTGGGAGAGTAGGTGGGAGTGACCGATGAGAAGGAGAAAAACTAGCCATGAGGGACTGAAGTTGGAATGCTAGCTGCTTCTTTAGCTACCTTATCAGCATAAACGTTGCTCTGAGCTATGGCATCTGATGTGTTTTGGTGGCCCTTGCAGCGTATGACTCCAGCTCCCTTTGGAAGTAAAGCGGCCTTGAGAAGAGTTTTTATTAAGGAGGCATTAATGATGGAGGACACTTGTGTAGTGAGGAAGCCTCTTTTTGCCCATATAACAGCATGGTGGTGCAGGATATGGAAGGCATATTTAGAGTCAGTATAAATATTGACATGTAGTCCCTTTGCAAGAGTGAGGGCTCGAGATAAGGCAATGAGTTCAGCTTGCTAAGAGGTAGTGGAGGGGGGCAGAGCGGTAGCCTCAATGATAGGTGTGGAAGATACTACTATAGTGTAGCCTGCCTTTGCTGGTGAATGACAATTAGGCCTGGTGGAATTTCCATCAATAAACCAAGTGTGATCAGGGTGAGGAACAGAAAAGAAGGAAATATGGGGAAATGGAGTGAATGTCAGGTGGATCAGAGAGAGAGTCATGGAGGTCAGGTGTGGTATCAGGAATAATGTGGGAGGCCGGATTGAAGTCCGGGCCAGGAACATTGGTAATTTTGGGAGACTCAACAAAGAGTGAGTATAGCCGAAGGAGCCAGAGGGCAGAAAGTATATGTGTCAGGTGTGAGGAAGAAAATAGATTTTGGAAGTTATGAGAACTGTAGAGAGTGAGTTGAGCATAGTTTGTGATTTTGAGGGCCTCTAAAAGTATTAAAGCAGTGGCAGCCACCACACGCAGACATGAGGGCTAGGCTAAAAGAGTAAGGCCAAGTTGTTTGGACACGAAGGCTATAGGGTGCAGTCCTGGTCTTGTGTAAGAATTCTAACCACACAGCCCTGCACTTTGTCTGTGTGTAATGAAAAAGTTTGGGATGAGTTAGGGAGAGCTAGTGTGGGAGCAGCTTTTAGGGCTGTTTTGAAGGAACAGAAAGAGGAGTGGGGAAAAGATTTAGGATCTATGGGGTCAGCTAGGTTTATCTAGAATAGAATAATGGGTTGTGGAGGGGGGTATTGAGGATAGGAGAGTATATGGGTTTGGCACTATGGGGTGGATAAGTAAAATAATTTGGTTGATAAGGTGCATATCCTGAATTAGCTTGTAAGACTTGTCTGGTTTTAGGACAGGTAAAATGGGGGAATTGTAAGGAGAGTTTATAGGCTTTAAAAGGCCATGCTGTAACTGGTGAGTGATAACAGGCTTTAATCCTTTTAAATCATGCTGTGGGATGAGATATTGGCCTTGAGTGGGGTAAGGGTGATTAGGTTTTAACGGGATGGTAAGGGGTGCATGATCGGTCTCCAAGGAAGGAGTAGAGGTGTCCTATACTTGTGGATTAAGGTGGGGAGATACAAGGGGAGGATGTGAAGGAGGCTTTGAAGTGGGGAAAAGGGCAGCAATGAGGTATGGCTGTAGCCTAGGAATAGTCAGGGAGGCAGATAATTTAGTTAAAATGTCTCAACCTAATAAGGGAGCTAGGCAGGTGGTGATAACTAAAAAGGAGTGCATGAAAGAATGTTGTCCAAGCTGGCATCAGAGTTTGGGAGTTTTAAGAGGTTTAGAAGCCTGGCCGTCAACACCCACAACAGTTATGGAGGCAAGGGAAACAGGCCCTTGAAAAGAAGGTAATGTGGAGTGGGTAGCCTCCATATTGACTAAGAAAGGGACGGACTTACCCTCCACCATAGGAGTTACCCAAAGCATCTGTGATGGTCCTGTAGGCTTCCGAGGTGATCGGGCAGTGTCAGTCTTCAGCCGCTAAGCTGAGAAGATCTGGGAAGGAGTCAGTCAGAGAGCCTTGGGCCAGAGTTCCAGGGGCTCTGAGAGTGGCTGCTGGGTTGGACAGTTCGATTTCCAGTGGGGTCCCACACAGATGGGACATGGCTTAGGAGGAATTCCAGGCTGCGGGCATTCCTCGGCCCAGTGGCCAGATTTCTGGCACTTGAAGCAAGATCCTGGGGTAGGCAGTCCTGGAGGAACGCCTGGCTGCTGTGGTTCAGGTGTTTGGAAGTTCTTGTGTGCTGGAGATGTGGCTGGGGTTTGTCTCATGGTGGAGGCAAGGAATTGCAACTCAGAAATTCTTTGCTACTTGGCTGCCTCTACTCTATTACTGTATACCTTGAAGGCAAGGTTAATTAAGTCCTGTTGTGTGGTTTGAGGGCCAGAATCTAATTTTTGGAGCTTTATTTAATGTCGGGAGCAGATTGGGTAATAAAATGCATATTGAAAATAAGACGGCCTTCTGGCCTTTCTGGGTCTAGGGTGGTAAACGTCTAAGGGTTGTTGCCAAATGGGCCATGAACTGGGTTGAGTTCTTATATTTGATGAAAAAGAGCCTAAATGCTAACTGATCTGGGGGAGGTCGGATAAAGAAAAAGGAGCATTAACCTTGGCTATGGCTTCAGCTCCAGCCACCTCTTTAAGAGGAAATTATTGGACAGGTCGGGGAGGGCTAGTCACGGAAAGAAACTGTAAGCTGGACGGGGTGTGAGGAGGGGTTGATAAAAGGATTATAGGGTGGGGGAGTGGAGGCTCAGGAAGAATTGTGACCTGGCTCGGCCTGGCGAGGAGCAGCCTGGGGAGAAGGGGAGAGGTCAGATGAGTCCGTAGAAAAGGAAGATTCAAAGGACTCAGAGCTTGGGGTGGAGACTGATGGAACAGGCAGGAGAGAAAGAAGAAAGATTTGGGATGAGTCACATTGGGAGCAGAGACTAGGGAGGGACCAATGTGTAAAGAATGCCTGGACGTCAGGCACCTCAGATCATTTGCCCATTTTTTGACAAAAATTATCTAGATAGGCAAATAGGATAGGCAAATCAAAAGTGCCATTCTCTGGCCACTTGGAACCACTGTCGAGTTTGTATTGGGGCCAAGCGGTATTGCAGAAGAAAATAAGATGCTTAGATTTTAGGTCAGGCAAGAGCTGAAGAGGTTTTAAGTTCTTGAGAACACAGGCTAAGGGAGAAGAAGGAGGAATAGAGGGTAGAAGGTTGCCCATAGTGAAGGAGGCAAGTTTAAAGAGAAGGGTAGAGACACTGAGAAGGGAGTGGGGAGCAGCCCTGGGCTGCAATGTGGGTGAGCAGCCGAAGCAGGCGTCCCCACAATTGAGTTGCCACCAAGGGAATGTGGGTGAATGACCAAGACAGGGGTCCCTGCAGTGATCAGACACCAGTGGAATGTCGGTGAATAATCAGACAGGCATCCCCCCAGTGATGAAACACCAAGGGAAGACTGTCTTCCCAAGTCCATGACTGGTGCTGGAGTTTTGGGTCCACGGATAAAATGTGTCTCCTTTTTCTCTACTAGAGAGGAAAAAGAACTGGAATTGGATGGACAAGGAGATTGAAGGTATTGAGAGAGGAAGATTGAAGGGTAGTGAGAGAGGCTGGAGAAGAGAGTGAAAAGATCACTTACCCTATTTGAAATTGCTGAGGTATTCTTTGGGCTGGTTGGTCTGAGGACCCGAGGTCATAGATGGAGCTCTTCACGGAGTGAGGGTGAGGACAGGGGACTGGTCTCCCAAAGGAGTCCCTCTGACCTGGGTCTTTGGCACCAAATGTCTCACGCGTCCGTGTGAAAAGACCACGAAACAGGCTTTGTGTGAGCAACAAGGCTGTTTATTTCACCTGGGTGCAGGTGGGCTGAGTCCGAAAAGAGAGTCAGCAAAGGGTGGCGGGATTATCATTAGTTCTTATAGGTTTTGGAATAGGTGGTGGAGTTAGGAGAAATGTTTTGCAGGCAGGGGATGGATCTCACAAAGTACATTCTCAAGGGTGGGGAGAATTACAAAGAACCTTCTTAAGAGTTGGGGAGATTACAAAGTACATTGATCAGTTAGGGTGGGGCAGAAACAAATCACAATGGTGGAATGTCATCAGTTAAGGCTATTTTCACTTCTTTTGTGGATCTTCAGTTGCTTCAGGCCATCTGGATGTAGACGTGCAGGTCACAGGGGATACAATGACACAGCTTGGGCTCAGAGGCCTGACACTTATGCTGGATTCATTTATCTTGAAATGGTTGCAACCACAGTTATGGACCTCAATCTATGGTACATATCAAGCAATTTAGCTTTTTCTTGTAATGTCATGACTTTCCTCTGCTTCTTGGAAGCACTTCCAGCATCACTAGTGGCACTTTGTGTGGGTCCAATGGTGCTATTCAAGGTTTATGGCATTGCACTAAACAAGATGAAAATACACAAGAACTTCAAGAGATTTTTTTTTTTTTTTTTTTTTTGAGATGGAATCTCACTCTGTTGCCCAGGCTGGGGTGCGGTGGTGTGATCTCGGATCACTGCAACCTCCATCTCCTGGGTTCAGGCGATTCTCCTGCCTCAGTCTACTGAGTAACGGACTACAGGCATGTGCCACCTTGCCCAGCTAACTTTTGTATTTTTAGTAGAGACGGGGTTTCACTATATTGGCCAGGCTGGTTTCAAACTCATGACCTCGTGATCCACCTGCTTCGGCCTCCCAAAGTGCTGGGATTACAGACGTGAGCCACCATACCCACCCTACTAATTTTTTATAATAAAGAGTTAATGTCATTTTCATCTCCAGTGGTGCCAAATAAGGTTTTTATGTGTTTGTTTTGTTTTGATTTGATCTGTTTTGGTTTAATCTGCACTTTGGCTCTCTCTTTTTTGAGTATGTTGATCAACTCACAGGTTTTTCACATGCTCTATACATTTCCATCAGTTAGAGTGCAAAAGCAAAGCTGCTCAGAGCAGCCTGAGGAATGTGAGGTATGCAGAACTTATCAGCCGCAGAGAGACATGAGCATGAGACTGCAGTCACAGTCCTGGCACCCAGGCCCTGGGCAATTGTTTACAGGTATTTTGTTTCTTCTTTCTTTCCCTGTAGTTTCCGGATAGCTGATAAACTACCTGAAATATTACTACAAGTTGCACAATGTGACCCTCACCCATTATTCTGGGATTTGTGATACAAGGACAAGGCACAGCCAGTCAATAGCTTATGTTATTGTAATGAACCAATGTAAATTCTTGGTAAACTTAGAAATGTTCTCCTAAGTTCTTTTTATTTAAAAACCCACTTGGAGCATATACTCAGGGCAACGGTTCTAGGACTCCTGGGCTCTAGCTCTCAACCTTGACCCAAATAAACCCTCTACTTAATTTTGCCTCAGTTTCTTCTTAGATCAACAAGAGTCATGCAAAAATTCTTTCAGCTTTGACCAGAGACAGCTCTGGTTTTTTTTTGTTGTTGTTTTTTTGTTTTTTTGTTTTTTTTCTGAGACAGAGTCTTGCTCTGTCACCCAGGCTGGAGTGCAGTGGTGCCATCTCAGCTCATTGCAACCTCTGCCTCCAGTTCAAGTGATTCTCCTGCCCCAGCCTCCCAAATAGCTGCGATTACAGGCGTGTGCCACCATACCCAGCTAACTTTTGTATTTTTAGTGGAGATGGTGTTTCACCTTGTTGGCCAGGTTGGTCTCGATTTCCTGACCTCGTGATCCAGCTGCCTTGGCCTCTCAAAGTGCTGGGATTACAGGCATGAGCCACCACACCCGGCTGCCACAAGTGTTTTTCTAAAACACAAACCTTGCTACTCCTTGTTTAAAAGACTCGAACAGACTTTCTCTGTCTTCAGGAGAGTCAACTCCTTGTACATATTCCAAGGCCTTTCACATCCAAGACTTCTTTTATTAGAGATGAATGTTCACCTAACACCCAAACCACTGCCTTCCAGAATTACGGATTTCATGGAAGAATACATTTTCAAATGGCACCAGATATATTTAGTATACCCAACCTTCCTGGTCTTTAGGCAACAGATCCTCTTTCAGTCCATCCTTATTTTTTCTCACCCCTGAGGCTCATTTCATGCATGACTCTAAATTATATGTAGAAGACAGACCTAGCTCAGAATCTGACTTGTGCACAAAAAGTTTGTCCCCAAATTTAGATCTGTTATTGCACCTCTTACTAAATCTGGAGATGGTTAAATAGTTTTCTTGCAGTTAATCTTTTATTGTGTCTATCCAATAAGAAAGGAAGTGATGGAAGTATATGGGACAGGTAAGTGCAGCTTGCAGGTTTGCTGTTTGTGAGTACATCAGCATTTAAATTTTACAAATCTGGGGCTCATACTCTTGAATGTAAGTCTTTGCCTTCTCATGGAGCCTGTGTGTTTGCTCATGCAGTATTAAATTCCAGGAAAACAAGCTCCCCTACTCTCCTGGGGAAATCCTGACACCTTTTTCAAATCCTATTCAATTATAAGCTCTTGCATAATCATTCCTTCATAATGGTCATCTCCTCCTACCTATTTGCAATTAATAGAACCTCTTCTGTTTTCTCACACTACTCTGATCATACCTCTATCATAACGTATCACCTTGCATGAGCTGTTCATCTCAGCTCTCACCCACTGCATTAGACAGGAGCTTCTTGAAGGCAGGGACTATATCTTTTTCATCTCTTTTCCTCTTCTCCTGAGAATTGTTTTCAAGGGTAGCCTAGTAGGAAACAATGCAGATTGTGAAGTGTTGAAACTATTTCTAGAGGCTGTAGAAGGAAACCGCCCTTGTAGCTGCCTGTTACCTATTAAGAATGTGTCAGGATGGGCCGGGCGCGGTGGCTCAAGCCTGTAATCCCAGCACTTTGGGAGGCCGAGGCAGGTGGATCATGAGGTCAGGAGATCGAGACTGTCCTGGCTAACAGGGAGAAACCCCGTCTCTACTAAAAATACAAAAAATTAGCTGGGCGTGGTGGCGGGCAACTGTAGTGCCAGGTACCTGGGAGGCTGAGGCAGGAGAATAACGTGAACCCTGGAGGCAGAGCTTGCGGTGAGCCCAGATCGCGCCACTGCACTCCAGTCTGGGCAACAGAGCAAGACTCTGTCTCAAAAAAAAAAAAAAAAAAAAAAGGAATATGGCAGGATGGGCCGGACGCAGTGGCTCACGCCTGTAATCCCAGCACTTTGGAAGGCCAAGGCGGGCGGATCATGAGGTCAGGAGATCAAGACCATCCTGGCTAACACCGTGAAACCCAGTCTCCACTAAAAATACAAAAAAGTAGCCAGCATGGTGGCGGGCACCTGTAGTCCCAGCTACTTAGGAGGCGGAGGCAGGAGAATGGCGTGAACCCAGGAGGCAGAGCTTGCAGTGAGCCGAGATCGTGCCACTGCACTCCAGCCTGGGCAACAGTGCGAGACTCAGTCAAAAAAAAAAAAAAAAAAAAAATATATATATATATATATATATACACACACACACACATATATGTCAGGATGGCTGGGTGTGGTGGCTCACGCCTATAATCCCAGCACTTTGGGAGGCTGAGGTGGGTGGATCACCTGAGGTCAGGAGTTCGAGACCAGCCTGGCCAACATGGTGAAACCCCATCTCTACTAAAAGTACAAAATTAGCTGGGCATGGTGGTGGGCGCCTGTAATCCTAACTACTCAGGAGGCTGAGGCAAAAGAATCACTTGTTGCACTCCAGTCTGGGCAACAAGAGTGAAACTCTGTCTCAAAAAAAAAGAAAAAAAAAGAAGTGTCAGGAGAACACAGTCAAGTGTGACCTAACGATGGGGATAAGTTCTTGGAAACATGTCCTCAGGTGATTTTGTGGTTGTGGCTGTGCAAACATCATAGAGTGCCCGTATACCAACCTAGATGGTAGAGCTTACTATTCGAAACCTTGGCTGTGTGGTACAGCCTGTTGCTCCTTGGCTACAAACCTGTACAGCAGGTTACTCTACTGAATACTGTGGCAATTGTAACACAGTGGTAAGTATTTGTATATCTAAACATAGAGAAAGTACAGTAAAAATACGGTATTACAGAGTTGCCAAAAAATATATATATATATGTATATATATGGTAGTATAATCTCATGGAATCACTGTTGTATAGGCGGTCGTTACAGTGCATGACTTTATGTACATAAAGCTATCCTGTGCGTGTACCAAGGCTGTCCATGGCCGCATTGCTGACACATGACACCCGGGTTTACTCTGACATGAGCTAAAATCTCCACTACAGAATGAGTGATGGAACAAATAAATTCTGGGTTTTCTGCAACAGCTGGTGCAGCCTGGGCTACATACGCCTCTTGCCAAGAGCTCACTCATGCCCAGGGGAAGAGCTTGGGATCCAGGCAGCTGACTGTGTGGGGCTGAAAGAGGCAGTGCAGAGTTTCCAGCAGGAGTGGGCCCCTGTCCTTCCTCTCTCCAACAGTTGGATCTGTCAGGTTGTGTGTGGTCACTGCCTTGCTTGGGAAGATGGCATCGTTCTCTGCAGGGCGTGGCAGAGTAACCTTGGCTAATTCCCAGGCATTAGTTAGCATTGGATACACCTGCTTAGTAGTTCTCTCTCTGTCACTCTATTACTTAATCTTTTAAAGTGTTTATCTATAAATATGGGATTAAATAAAAATTTCTTGGCACAGAGCTTGTTGTATTTTAAACTGCCATTGCATTTTAGTTCTCATTCTTGCTATTTTTCTAATTGGTAGGTGATAATCACTTAAAATACGTTTGTGGATTGAAGAATTAAAACTTGTTAATAGATATTATCAAGCAAAGTAGAAATATACATCAATTTAAAAGTGGGAGATCTTTTTTCTCTTTTTTTTTTTTTTTTTTGATATGGAGTCTTGCTCTGTCGCCCAGGCTGGAGTACAGTGGTGCGATCTCAGCACACTCCAACCTCTGCCTCCTGGGTTCAAGAGATTCTTGTGCCTCAGCCTCCCTGAGTAGCTGGGATTATAGGCACATGCCACCACACCCGGCTAATTTTTGTATTTTTAGTAGAGATGGTGTTTCACTCTGTTGGCCAGGCTGGTCTCGAACTCCTGACCTCAAGTGATGCACCTGCTTCAGCCTCCCAAAGTGCTGGGATTACAGGCGTGAACCACCACGCACGGCCAAAAGGGGAAGATCTTTGATGAAACATGAGAGGAGATTCAAGCTACCACTTGATAATGAACTAATTGATTATTTTATAACAATGACAAAAATTTAAAAGAAAATTCAGTCTGCCATTAATGGCAAAAATAGTTCATGAAGGATTTGAAATCAATTAGGAAGAAATGTGAATGTTTTATATTTATATTTACTTTTGATTGAAACACACCTTAAACTAATATTGCTGTGTTTGTAAAATCTGTAGGAATGAATGCCTCTGCTATAATTACCAAGAGGAAAATTTAGAATGAGAGGGTTTTGTAAAGAAATTTAAAACACTGATTAATTTTATGAAGAGAAAGAAAGGTATTTTGTTAATCTTGTGTTGATATATTCAAATAATACTTCCTAAGAAAGGACAGTTAATGATGGATCTCCCTCTATTTATTTTGCAGCTTCACTGAGGTATGATTGACAAGTAAAATTGTATAAATTTAAGGTATGCAACGTGATGATTCGATATATGTGTATAATGTAAAATATTTAGCATAATCAGGTTAGTTAGCACATCCATCACCTCACACAGCTGTGTGTGTGGTAAGAACGTTTAAGATCTACTCTCTTAGGAAAGTTCAAGTATGTGATGCAGTATTGTTAACTATAGTCAGCATGCTCTACATTAGATCCCCAGAACTCACAACCGAAACTTTGTACCCATTAACCAACATCTCTCCTTTTCTGCTTTCCCACAACCCTGACAACTACCATTCTCTTCTGTTTCTGTGAGTTTGGGTTTTTCAGATTCCATATTTAAATGAGATCATACAATGTTTGTCTTTCTCTGTCTGATTTATTTCATTGAGCATAATGCTCTTAAGGCTCATCCAGGTTCTCACAAATGACAGGATTTTCTTTTCCCTCCCTCCCTCCTTCCCTCCCTTCTTTCTTCCTTTCTTTCTTTCCTTCCTTCCTTCCTTCTTTCTTTCTTTCTTTCCTTTCCTTTCCTTTCTTTCATTTTATTATTCTTTTATTGAGACAGAGTATCACGCTGTTGCTCAGGCTGGAGTGCAATGGTGTGATCGCAGCTCACCACAATGTCTGCCTCCCGGGTTCAAGCGTTTCTCCTGCCTCAGCCTCCTGAGTAGCTGGGACTACAGGTGCACACCACCATGCCCGGCTAATTTTTGTATTTTTAGTAGAGATGGGGTTTCACCATATCGCCAGGCTGGTCTCGAACTCCTGACCTTGTGATCTGCCTGCCTCAGCCTCCCAAAGTGCTGGGATTACAGGTGTGAGTCACAGCACCTGGTCCAATTTTCTTCTTTATTATGGCTGAATAATAGTCCATTTTGTGTGTGTGTGTGTGTGTGTGTGTGTGTGTGCATGTGTATCTGTTCATCTATTGATAGACACTTAGGTTGTTTCCATTTCTTGGCTATTGTAAATGATGCCACAACAAACAGGAGTTCAGATCTTCCCTTTGAGACATTAATTTTATATCCTTCATACCTCAATGAAGCTGCAAAATAAATCCCCAGAAGTGGGATTGCTAGATCATAGGATAGCTCTATTTTTTTTTTTTTTTTTTGAGGAATCTCCATTTTCTATAATAGCTGTACCAATTTACATTTTCACTAACCATGTTCAAGGGTTCCCCTTTCTCCACATCCTCAATAATACTTGTTATCTCTAGATTTGTTTTGTTTGTTTGTTTGTTTGTTTTGATAAGCATCATCTTAACAGGTGTGAGGTGCTATCTTATTGTGGTTTTGGTTGCATTTCCTGATGGCTCGTAATGTTGAGCACCTTTTCATGTACCTGTTGGCTATTTGTATGTCTTTTTTGGGAAAATGTCTTTTCTTTGCCCATTGGATTATTTGTGGGTTTTTTGCTATTGAGTTGTATGAGTTCCTTATATATTTTGGATATTCACTCCTTGTCATACATATGGTTTGCAAATATTTTCTCACATTCCATACGCTGCCTTTTCACTGTGTTGATTGTTTCTTTTGCTATACAGTAGCTTTTCAGTTTGATGTGTTTATTTTTGCTTTAGATGCCTGTGCTTTCGGTGTCATATAAAAAAAAAATTGTTCCAGCCGGGCTTGGTGGCTCATGCCTGTAATCCCAGCACTTGGGGAGGCCAAGGCTGGTGGATTACGAGGTCAGGAGTTCAAGACCAGCCTGGCCAAGATGGTGAAACCCCGTCTCTACTAAAAGTACAAAAATTAGCCGGACATGGTGGCGGGTGCCTGTAATCCCAGCTACTCAGGAGGCTGAGGCAGAGAATCGCTTGAATCTGGGAGGTGGAGTTTGCAGTGAACCAAGATTGCACCACTGCACTCCAGCCTGGGTGACAGAGCAAGACTCTGTCTTAAAAAAAAAAAAAAAAAAAAAAAAATTTTCCAAGACCAATATCAAAGAATTTTTCTCCTATGTTTTCTTCTAGAAATTTTATGCCTTCCAGACTGATATTTAAGTTTTTCATCCATTTTGAGTTGATATTTGTGAGTGATGTACGATAGGAGTCCAATTTCATTCTTTTGCATGTGGATATTCAGTTTTCCCACCACCGTTTTTTGAAGAGGCTATCCTTTCCCCATGGTGCATTATTGCCACCCTTGTCAAATATTAGCTGAAAGTTTTTCTCTGGCCGGGTGCAGTGGCTCATGCCTGTAATCCCAGTACTTTGGGAAGCCCAGGCGGGTGGATCACTTGAGGTCAGGAGTTTGAGTGAGACCCCATCTCTACTAAAAATATAATGTTGTCTTATTGATAGAACGTGGAAATAACTTAGAATAGAATAACAAATACAACAGATTAGTTGAATCCAAACAACTAATTAGCAACCTTGGTGGAAGCTGCAGACAAACCTTAGCTGGTCTTTTTTTCTTTTTCTTTCTTTTTTTTTTTAACAAAGTTTCACTCTATTGTCCAGGTTGGAGTGCAGTGGCACCAACTCAGCTCACTGCAACCTCTGCCTCCCAGGTTCAAGCGATCCTCCTGGCTTAGCCTCCCAAGTAGCTGGGACTACAGGCATGCACCACCATGTCTGGCTAGTTTTTGTATTTTTAGTAGAGATGGTGTTTCACTGTGTTGGTCAGGCTGGTCTTGAACTCCTGGCCTCAAGTAATGCGCCTGCCTCGGCCTCCCAAAGTGCTGGGATTACAGGCATGAGCCATCACACTCGGCCTGAGCTGGTCTTTCAGTAATTAAGTAAGTGAAGCTGGATCCTGGTGAGAGAGCCAGGTGGGAAGGGCTACCTGGCAGAGTCTTCAACTGACCTGCGCACTGGGAGGAGTGTGCACTAAGAGGAATAGGCACTGGGGTGGAGCCACAGAACTTTGCCACGTGTTTGCAGCAGGGAGGAGCCTGGCCCCTCCTGGGTGGAAGCCGGAATTCAATCTGTGAGGTGAGAAGCCTACACTAGCAGGAACTCTGGCCTTTTGGAGAGTCCCTGTTCCCTGCCCCTCCCCTGCCTTTGTTTGTTTGTTTGTTAACTTTAAGTTCCGGGATACAAGTGCAGAACGTGTAGGTTTGTTACATAGGTATACGCATGCCATGTTAGTTTGCTGCACTTATCAACCCGTCAGCTAGGTTTTAAGCCCTGCATGCATTAGGTATTTGTCCTAATTCTCTCCCTCCCCTTGGCCCCCACCCCCGACAGGCCCCAGTGTGTGTTGTTCCCCTCCCTGCA
This sequence comes from Homo sapiens, assembly GCF_000001405.40. NCBI lineage: Eukaryota > Metazoa > Chordata > Mammalia > Primates > Hominidae > Homo > Homo sapiens. The sequence continues at coordinate 138,320,675 of NC_000007.14, read as the reverse complement.
TCCATATGTTCTCATTGTTGAATTCCCACTTATGAGTGAGAACAGGTGGTGGTTGGTTTTATATTCCTGTGTTAATTCGCTGAGGATGATGGCTTGCAGCTTCATCCATATCCCTGCGAAGGACGTGATCTCATTCCTTTGTATGGCTGCACAGTATTCCACAACGTGTATGTACCATGTTTTCTTTATCCAGTCTATCATTGATGGGCATTTGGGTTGGTTCCACGTCTTTGCTATTGTAAATAGTGCTGCAATAAACGTATGTGTGCATGTGTCTTTATAGTAGAATGATTTATATTCCTTTGGATATATACTCAGTAATGGAATTGCTGGGTCAAATGTATTTCTGGTTCTAGATCCTTCAGGAATCGCCACACTGTCTTCCACAATGGTTGAACTAATTTATATTCCCAACAACAGTATAAAAGTATTCTTATTTCTCCACAGCTTCACCAGCATCTATTGTTTCTTGATTTTTTAATAATTGCCATTCTGACTGGGGTGAGGTGGTATCTAATTGTGGTTTTGATTTGCATTTCTCTAATGACTAGTGATGTTGAGCTTTTTTTCATGTTTGTTGACCGCATAAATGTCTTCTTTTGAGAAGTGTCTGTTCATATCCTTTGCCCACTTTTTGATGGGGTTGTTCATTTCCTGTAAATTTGTTTAAGTTCCGTGTAGATTCTGGATATTAGACCTTTGTCAGGTGAGTAGATTGCAAAAATTTTCTCCCATTATGTGGGGTGCCTATTCACTCTGATGATAGTTTCTTTTGCTGTGCAGAAGCTCTTTAATTTAATTAGATCCCATTTGTCAATTTTGGCTTTTTTTTTAATACTTTAAGTTTTAGGGTACATGTGCACAACGTGCAGGTTTGTTACATATGTATACAAGTGCCACGTTGGTTGCTGCACCCATTAACACGTCAGTTAACATTAGGTATATCTCCTAATGCTATCCCTCCCCCCTCCCCCCACCCCACAACAGGCCCCGGTGTGTGATATTCCCCTTCCTGTGTCCATGTGTTCTCATTGTTCAATTCCCACCTATGAGTGAGAACATGCGGTGTTTGGTTTTTTTGTCCTTGTGATAGTTTGCTGAGAATGATGGTTTCCAGCTTCATCCATGTCCCTACAAAGGACATGAACTCATCATTTTTATGGCTGCATAGTATTCCATGGTGTATATGTGCCACATTTTCTTAATCCAGTCTATCATTGTTGGACATTTGGGTTGGTTCCAAGTCTTTGCTATTGTGAATAGTGCCACAGTAAACATATGTGTGCATGTGTCTTTATAGCAGCATGATTTATAACCCTTTGGGTATATACCCAGTAATGGGATGGCTGGGTCAAATGGTATTTCTAGTTCCAGATCCCTGAGGAATCGCCACACTGACTTCCACAATGGTTGAACTAGGTTACAGTCCCACCAACAGTGTAAAAGCATTCCTATTTCTCCACATCCTCTCCAGCACCTGTTGTTTCCTGACTTTTTAATGATTGCCATTCTAACTGGTGTGAGCTGGTATCTCATTGTGGTTTTGATTTGCATTTCTCTCATGGCCAGTGATGATGAGCATCTTCTCATGTGTCTTTTGGCCGCATAAATGTCTTCTTTTGAGAAGTGTCTGTTTATATCCTTCGCCCACTTTTTGATGGGGTTGTTTGTTTTTTTCTTGTAAATTTGTTTGTGTTCATTGTAGATTCTGGATATTAGCCCTTTGTCAGATGAGTAGATTGCAAAAATTTTCTCCCATTGTGTAGGTTGCCTGTTCACTCTGATGGTAGTTTCTTTGGCTGTGCAGAAGCTCTTTAGTTTAATTAGATCCCATTTGTCAATTTCGGCTTTTGTTGCCATTGCTTTTGGTGTTTTAGAGATGAAGTCCTTGCCCATGCCTATTTCCTGAATGGTATTGCCTAGGTTTTCTTCTAGGGTTTTTATGGTTTTAGGTCTAACATTTAAATCTTTAATCCATCTTGAATTAATTTTTGTATAAGGTGTAAGGAAGGGATCCAGTTTCAGCTTTCTACATATGGCTAGCCAGTGTTCCCAGCACCATTTATTAAATAGGGAATCCTTTCCCCATTTCTTGTTTTTCTCAGGTTTGTCAAAGATCAGATAGTTGTAGAATTTTTGGCTTTTGTTGCAATTGCTTTTGGCATTTTCATCATGAAGCCTTTGTCTATGCCTATGTCCTGAATGGTATTGCCTAGGTTTTCTTCTAGGGTTTCTATAGTTTTGGGTTTTACATTTAACTCTTTAATCCATCTTGAGTTAATCTTTGTATAATGTGTAAGGAAGGGGTCCAGTTTTAGTTTCCTGCATATGGCTAGCCAGTTTTCCCAGCACCATTTATTAAATGGGGAATCCTTTCCCCATTGCTTGTTTTTGTCCGGTTTGTTGAAGATCAGATGGTTGTAGGTCTGTGGTCTTATTTCTGAGGTCTCTATTTTGTTCATTGGTCTATATGTCTGTTTTGGTACCAGTACCATGCTGTTTTGGTTACTGTAGCCTCATAGTATAGTTTGAAGTCAGATAGCATGATGTCTCCAGCTTTGTTCTTTTTGCTTAGGATTGTCTTAGCTATATGGGCTCTTTTTTTGGTTCCATATGAAATTTAAAGTGTTTTTTTCTAATTCTGTGAAGAATGTCAATGGTAGTTTAATGAGAATAGCATTGAATCTCTAAATTACTTTGGGCAGTATGACCATTTTCAAGGTATTGATTCTTCCTATCCACAAGGCTGGAATGTTTTTCCATCTGTGTCCTCTCTTATTTCCTTGAGCAGTGGTTTGTAGTTCTCCTTGGAGAGGTCCTTCACGTCCCTTATTATCTGTATTCCTAGGTATCTTATTCTCTTTGTAGCAAATTGTGAATGGGAGTTCATTGATGATTTGGCTCTCTGCTTGTCTACTGTTAGTGTATACGAATGCTTGTGATTTTTGCACATTGATTTTGTATCCTGAGACTTTGCTGAAGTTGCTTATTAGCTTAAGGAGTTTTTGGGATGAGATGATGGGGTTTTCTAAATATAGAATTATGTCATCTGCAAAAAGAGGCAATTTGACTTCCTCTCTTCCTACTTGAATGCGCTTTATTTCTTTCTCTTGTCTGATTGCTCTGGCCAGAACTTCCAAAACTATGTTGAATAGGAGTGGTGAGAGAGGGTTTTTTCCCAATAAATCCCATTATTCTCACCCTTAAAATCATCTGCGAGGCTAATTTTTCATGGCCGTGTGGTAAGGACCTGGCTCTTAGCTGAACTAAGGAAAAAGTCCCACAACACTGGGTTGTGACATTACCCCGTCTAAATGACATGCATTTAAGACTACTGATTCAAAGACTATAGAAAAGGACTCAATACTGCATTCTATATTGTGCAAAAATTTGCCCTAGTGTTTGCAGCTCTGCATCTCATGTTCAATTAAATCCATGATTGATATACATAGTTAGCCAACCAAGAAGTTAACACAAAATCCAACGAAGAAGTTAACACCAAATGTGTCTTATTAGTGTGTGCTGACTTAATACCATGAAGACTTAGAATTAAATACAGAGAGAAGCAAGTAAGTCAAACCAATACAATTAATATTTTGGCATCAAATTTAGAAATAACCTATGCATGTTTATTTGGCATTTTAGAAGGTAACTGGACATATCAGCTGTCCACGTTAAATAACAAAATTCAGAAAATATGATTAATTGTAGAGTTTATTCAAGCACAAACCTTGTGGGATAGCTGCCCTGGAAGTACAGATTCCAAAGAATGGAAGTATGTGTTCAGAAGCATAGATGTCTAGGGTTGTTTATATAGACAAGGGAAGTTTAACGGAATTTCAACATCTTTCTATATAAGGCTTAATGCATAGTTACAATGATCTCATTGGTTGAGGTGATATTTTTCTTTCAGGAAAAGTATATTTAACGTTCCATACTGAAGATGTAATAGTCATGGGGTCTTTTGCGCCATCTGGTCTGAGTTAACAAAACTCAGAACAGAAAAGGAGGAGGTTAATCTATAACAAAGGTCAGTGATTAGGAGAATAGGTCTGGTCTCTTGTCTCTCCTAGTCATTTACAGAACAAGGAGAGAGAGAGTTAATATATAATCTGAGAAACAGAAGTTGCAACTACATGCTACCCAACTCAGATCACAGTCCCATCTCTTTCAAGACTTAAAGCATTTTGAGTTCCAACAACTTTAATGCTTTCTTTATTTCCACACAGCCTTGGGATTATAATTTAAAATGTGTAACTGAGGCCAGGCAGGGTGGCTCATCTCTGTAATCCTAGCACTTTGGGAGGCTGAGGTGGGAGGAATCCTTGAGCCCAGGAGTTCAAGACCAGCTTGGGAAACATAGTGAACCCAGGAGTTTCGAGACCTGCCTGTCTCTATTTTTTTTAAGTGTAATTGAGTAACTTCTGCTCATTATATTGAATGTAATTTAAGATTCACATTCCACACATGTAAAAATTTAACACATTAGATTTATAAATTATAGAAGTGCTTGGGAAAATTGGTTTTTATTAGACAATTGAAATGCTTAAAAAAGAAATTGTAGTATATTGACTTATGGTGATAGTTAAGATTATTACAATATTAATTGCATAAAAAAATCCTTAAGTAATTGTTAAGTTTTTGAATTTATGAATAGCATAAGATTTACAAATTTAATTTATATCTAAGAAAGAACAAAGTTTTCAAATTTTTAACCTTGCTAAAATAAATACTGAATTGTAAAACAAAAGTGACCCCTGAAATAATCTTTTTTTGCATAAAAGTTACCTTCAAGGGCACCAAAAGCTCACATTGACTTTTTATTGAAGATATTATCTTATCTTCTTATAAATCTTCTTGTCAGTTTCTCTAACATGTTGTCAGAAGATTAAGATCCTTTTATTTTATTCCTTTATCTAGAAGCCTGATCTTTAGTTTCCATCAAAAATGTCAATTTCTGGCTGGGTGCAGTGGCTGACACCTGTGATCCCAGCACTTTGGGAGGCCAAGGTGGGCAGATCACTTGAGATCAGGAGTTCGAGACCAGCCTGACCAACGTGGTGATACCCCGTCTCTACTAAAACATACAAAAATTAGCTGGGTGTGGTGGAGCATGCTTGTAGTTCCAGCTACTGGGGAGGCTGAGGCAGGAGAATTGCTTGAACCCGGGAAGCAGAGATTGTAGTGAGCCTGGATCATGCCTCTGCACTCTAGCCTGGATGACAGAGCGAGATTCGGTCTCAAAGAAAAAAAATTTCAATTTCTAGGAGCTTCCAGATAGCTGCACACCTGGAGGTTCTTGGAGGGTGGTGCACCTGGAGATGGCATGGAAGCTTGGAACCTCTTCCCCTCTACTCTGCTCTGTGCACTTCTCCATCTGTTTCCATGTCAATATCCTTTAAAATAAACTTGCAAATGTAAATAAATATTTCCTTGAGTTCTGTGAGCCATTCCAGAAAACTAATGGAGCCCCAGGAGGGGAGCATGGGAATCCCAGTTTATAGCCAGTGAGTGAGAAGCACAGGCCACTATCTGTGCTTGCAACTGGCATTGGAAGTAGGAGGGCGGTCTTGTGGGACTGAGCCCTCACTCCATCTCCAGGTAGAGAGTGTCAGAATTGGACTGAATTGAAGGGCACCCAGCTGGTGTCTACTGCAGAAATGATTGCTTGCTGGTGTGGGGAAAAACCCACATATTTGGTTATAGAAGTCTTCTGTGCTGGTTGTTGGGGTGCAAGAATGGTGAAAAAAACAATGCGTGTTTTTTTAGTTTTTGAGACGATCTCATTCTGTTGCTCAGGCTGGACTGCAGTGCCATGATCACAGCACAGTGCAGCCTCTGGGGCTCAAGTGATCCTCCTGCCTCAGCCTCCCGAGTAGCTGGGACTACAGGCATGTGCCACCATGTCTGGCTAATTGTCTTTAATTTTTAATAAAGAAGTGGTCTTGCTATGTTGTCCAGGCTGGTCTCGGAACTTCTAGGCTCAAGCAATCGTCCCACATTGGCCTCCCAAAGCTTTGGGATTATAGGTGTGAGCCACCATCCCTGGCCTTAGCTTGTTTTTTTTTTTTTTTTGTTTTTCTACTCAGAATTGGTATCAGTAAAGCAGCATTTGCTGGAACAGACCTGGCTCGTGGAAACTTGTGGTTTGGAAAGATAAAGGATAAAAGCGTGGGGGGAGAGGAATATTTGATCTCTGGGTGGTGCCCTAGTCACCCATAGTATGAAACTGCAGCTGCACTGGGTTCAGTAACTAAAGGTCAAATTTACCAGTGGAATTTAGAGATTATGGTAGACCTAACTCCTCAGGAGTTGGCCCATTGGATATGTATGGAAATGCAAAATAATCAGAAGAATGATGAACACACAATCCCTTGGTTGTTATCTGTACTAGCTAAAATGAAAGTAAAAGAAAGTATTGGGTTGGGCCTTGAGGCTGGACAAAAGGTCAGAGGTCGTCTGTCTGATCTCAGGCAACTTAGCCTCAAGGCCACTCTCAAAGGGGAAAATTCTGCCAGGGCAACAGAAGTTATCTCTAAGATTTCTGTTCACCAAGAAGGTAGTCAGTGTGGGGAGAGAGCTGGGTGCAGTGGCTCATGCCTGGAATCCCGGCACTTTAGGAGGCTGAAGCAGGAGGATCACTTGAGCCTGGGAGTTTGAGACCAGACTGGGCAATATAATGAAATTGCTTTTGCAAAATTGTGACTGAGACAGTGAAAGAGATCTAACCGAACTGACTCCACCCTGCTTCTAACCTTTAAGCTGTCCTTGTTCCTTCCTGGGCACAGGCTGAACTAACTTTGAGAGGAACTTAGTTTATAGTTTATAGTTTATTTTTATTTTTTAGTTGGAGGCTCACTCTGTTGCCAAGGCTGGAATGCAGTGGTGTGATCTCGGGTCACTGCAACCTCCGCCTCCCAGGTTCAAGCGACTCTCCTGCCTCAGCCTCCTGAGTAGCTGGGATTACAGGCATGCGCCACCACGCCCGGCTAATTTTTGTATTTTTAGTAGAGACGGGGTTTCACCATGTTGGCCAGGGTGGTCTCAAACTCCTGACCTCAGGTGATCCACCCACTTCCACCTCCCAAAGTGCTGGGCTTATGAGCCACCATGCCCAGTCTATAGTTTATAGTTTAAAACAAAGTTGATAACAGCCCTTTTCCCAAACAAACCTCCTTCTTGCCTGGGGAATAGACTGCCTTTGTAGTACTAACAAATTAGCCACAAGATTAGAAATTATCATTTAGGGGTCATGCAGCTGGGGGCTACAAGGTTCTAACCCTCCCTAAAGTGCTTCTAAGATCAGTGCTTGAGATATTTTACAGACCTGGCACTTGATGGATCAGCTGGCACCACCCAGATCAATAAACTGGCTCATCTGATCTTGTGGTCCCCACCCAGGAACTGACTCAGCACAAGAGAACACCTTCGATTCCTTATGATTTCATCTGCTACCTAACCAATCAGCACTCCCTGGCTCATAGGCTTCCCCCGCCACCACCAAGTTGTCCTTAAAAACTCTGATCCCTGAGGCTGGGCATGGTGGCTCACGCCTGTAATCCCAGCACTTTGGGAGGCCGAGGCAGGCGGATCACGAGGTCAGGAGGTCGAGACCATCCTGGCTAACACGGTCAAACCCCATCTCTACTAAACATACAAAAAAAAATTAGCCGGGCATGGTGGTGGGCACCGGTAGTCCCAACTACTCGGGAGGCTGAGGCAGGAGAATCGCTTGAACCTGGGAGGCAGAGGTTACAGTGAGCTGAGATGGTTCCACAGCACTCCAGCCTGGGCGACAGAGTGAGACTCCATCTCAGAAAAAAAAAAAAATCTCTGATCCCTGAATACTCTGGAAGACTGATTTGAGTAATAATAAAACTCTGGTCTCCCACACAGCCGGCTCTGTGTGAATTATATTTCTCTATTGCTATTCCCTTGTCTTGATAAATCAGCTCTATCTAGGTACTGGGCAAGGTGAACCCATTGGGCAGTTACAATAATGAGACCTGGTCTCTACAAAAAATAAAAAATTAGCCAAGTGTGGTGGTGCATGCCTGTAGTCCCAGCTACTCAGTAGGCTGAGGTGTAAGGATTGCTTGAGCCTGGGAGGTTGAGGCTGCAGAAAGCTGTGACTGAGCCATTGAATGCCAGTGAGGACTAAGCTCTGTTTTTTTCTTACCTTGCCCAAATTCCTATCTAAGGAGTCTGGAAAGTCATGCCCTACAAATCAAATTCTCATCAGATGAGTTTTATTTAAGCCTATATATCATGACTTACTTTCCAATGACTCTGGCATAACATTACGTGACAAAGAAGAAAATCAAACTATTTTACCCTAAAACATGTTCCTTCGCCATATGTATTTGAGATGGAGTCTTGCTCTGTCCCTCAGGCTGGAGGGCAGTGGCATGATCTTGGCTCTCTGCAACCTCCATCTCCTGCGTTCAAGTGATTGTCCTACCTCAGCCTCCCGAGTATCTGGGATTACAGGCATGTGCCATGATGCCTGGCTAATTTTTGTATTTTTAGTACAAAAATACATGTTGGCCATGACTCTCTCATTTCTCTCTCTCTCTCTTTCCTTGGTTACTTACAAGATTGGGTCAAAACACAGGTGTTAATACAACACTATAAAAGGCTGGGTGGACCAAAGGGAGCCCCTCTTAATAATTAAGGGGTTCCAAATAGGTTTGCTGTATTTACCTCAATCTGGAGAAATTGAGAGTCTGAAGGCAGAGATTACAATGAGAAATTTGATCTGATATTGTCTAGGGCACTAGTTAGGAAAATTAATTAAGATAAAGATTGATAAAAGGGCTCAAGGAGACACAAAGTCTTCTGCATGAGAGAGGGTAAAATGGCCCAGGGACAGAGAAGTTCCTGAGATTAGAACACAAAATGAGAGTGTTGACAGGATTTTTCTTTAATTTGTCTAGGGGAACATTCCTTTAACTAGTATCATAAAGCCAAAACCTGTTGATAATATCCACTGGGAACCACAGTTAGGAAAGTAAGGGTTGATGGATTTAAGATAAAAGTTCATAGGGGAGTAGTTATATTTGAATACACTTCATGTGAAGTGGATGCCTCTCTTTTACCTGATTGTGTTATGGGGATGGACATTGTATCTAACTGGGAAGTGTCTTGTACTTCCCTCATTGGTTTCTTTCTTTTTTTTTTTTTTTTTTTGAGACGAAGTCTTGCTCTGTCACCCAGGCTGGAGTGCAGCGGCGTGATCTCGGCTCACTGCAATCTCCACTTCCTGGGTTCAAGCAATTCTCCTGCCTCAGCCTCCTGAGTAGCTGGGACTACAGGCACGTGCCACCATGCCTGGCTAATTTTTGTATTTTGAGTAAAGACTGGGTTTTGCCATGTTGGCCAGGCTGGTCTCAAAACTCCTGACCTCAGGTGATCTGCCCACTTCAGCTTCCCAAAGTGCTGGAATTACAGGCATGAGCCACCGCAAGAGGCCCACTGGTTTCTTATAAAAGCATTTGCATTCAGCTGTAAAAATGGCAACCCTCTTTTGGGCCCCCTCTAACAGCAGAGAGGTTTCTTCTTACGGTTATTAAACTTTTGCTCTAATCTCACCCTTGGTGTCCACGCTCCTTACTTTTCATGGTTGTGAGACAAAGAACTTCCAGCCATACCTCAAACAACGAGAGACTGCTACATTGTAGTGCATTGGTGAGACTGTAACACTAATGGGAACCCCAGTAAGAGTGCCTAGGCCTACACAATGCAGAGTAGAAGCTGGAGTGCTGGTTGGGCAAATTCTCCATTTAGTATCCTGTGTGGAACATTTACTGGGTCTTACGGAAAAAGTCTATGAGTGCCTTCCAATAATAACTATTGGTGCTTTAGACTAGAGAATTTCCACGGGTGTGCCCTTACTTCCTTGTTATGTGACATTAATTGGAGCTTCCCCTGCCGCTGAAGGACATAAAATGACCTTGAAACCTGAAATACCTATAATGTCTAGGATGTCAGAGAAACACTCTAATGGGATGACAGTGCCCAGAAGGCCTCCATAATAAAAACGAGTGTTTTATATGAGATCATGTTATCTAGTGAGTGCAGGTAAGAAACACTCATGATCAGGGAGCCTCTTTCCCCTAGGACTAACTCTGGAACTGTGGGACTGGGTGAGGAGCTGCTGGATTCTACAATGCCTAATAAATAGCTCTTAACCGACTGAGAAATAGCTGCTTGACTTATGGATGGCAGTTTCAAGGTGAATAGACAACATCCTATTTGGAAGGATGCCACTTTGATTGAAGAAGATAACAACAGACCAGCCTGATGGGCTGAATTGCATGCTGAAGGATGGAACAGTGGTAAAAGCTCCTGTGTTTGGGTTTGTTAGCTCATGGGCATTGGCTGGGCCACATAGTCAGGCAGGACAACAATGGAACCCTTGTCTATTAAAAGAATGCCCATGTGGGTCATGGTCCTATGGAAATTTGAGGAGTGCATTGAAGCAGGACCCATTGATGACCGTTAGAAGAGCTAATGGTTCCAGGTTTAGAAGGTGACTAGAATTGACAGCACATATCCCTGTGGGCTTCCTTGAGGTGGACACCTGAGTTCATGAAATGAGTAGATATGTTTTATAATAATAAAAACAGAACAGAAGATATTGCATGGATTTGGATGACCAAAAATTATTTATTCAGACCAAAGAACATACTGTACATAATGCCCAAGAATGGCAGAGATATCCTCCTCAGAGTAGTGGTTTGATAGAGAAGTGAAATAGGCAATTAATGCATTGGTTGTCAACACACACCTGATCCTATTGGAGGGTGGAGGGTGGGAAGAGGAAGAGGATCAAGAAAAATAACTAATGGGCACTAGGCTTAATACCTGGGTTTTGAAATAATCTGTACAACAAACCCCTATGACACAAGTTTATCTACATAACAAACCTGCACATGTACGTCTGAACTTAAATTAAAAAACAAAAAAAGAGTCTGGACACCGTGGCTCGCCCCTGTAATCTCAGCATTTTAGGAGGCTGAGGTGGGCAGATTGCTTGAGCCCAGGAGTCTGGACAACATGGCAAAACCTCATCTCTACAAAAAAATAAAAAAATTAGCTAGGCATGGTGGTGTGTACCTGTAGTCCCAGTTACTTAGGAGGCTGAGATAGGAGGATAACTTGAGTCCAAGAGGCAGAGGTTGCAGTGAGATTGCACCACTGCACTCCAATGTGGATGACAGAGTGAGACTCCATCTCAAAAAAAAAAAAAAAAAAAAGAAGGGAGAGAGATGTGAACACATTAGCACACTCAGCACCCCTGCCACGTGACGCCCTGCAGTACCTCAGAGCTCTGCAGAGAATCTCCACCAGCAGGAAGGCCCTCCCCAGATGCAGCTCCTAGACCTTGGACTTCTCAGCTTCCCAGACTGTAAGAAATAAATTCCTTTTCTTTATTAAAACAACAATAACAAACATTGATTATCTCCCTGGTGGTCTAGTTGCTAAAAAAAAATAAAGGAAAACATTGGTTGTCTAAAACAAGGGTGAGGAGTGATAGAAGCCTGAGGGATGGTGTGTGCACCTTCATGAGTCTGTGCTCACATGCATGATGGGTGGGACTAAAGCTGTGTCCCCACTAGATTTTCCTGGTTGTGTGTGTGTGTGTATGTGTGTGTGTAAGTATCTGGGGAAGGGGGTCAGTAGGATGCTGGTATGTCTATGCAATTCTTGCCAAAGGAGGAGTACGTTGGTATAACAACTATCATTTTTTTCTTCTCCATATCACTTCAATTTTCTTTTCTTTTTGTACCTGACACAGTGGGTCTAGGACCAGGGTTGCAACTGCCACCTTTTGAGACAGGGTCTCACTCTGTCACCCAGGCTTGAGTGCAGTATTGCAATCTTGGCTCACTGTAGTCTCAACCTCCCAGGCTCAAGTGATCCTCCCACCTCAGCCTCCTGAGTAGCTTCACCACCATGCCCAACTAATTTTTGTATTTTTTTTGTAGAGATGGGGTTTTACCATGATGCCCAAGCTGGTCTTAAAATCCTGGGCTCAAGCAATGCACCCACCTCAGCCTCCGAAAATTCTGGGATTACAGGTGTGAGCCGCCACACCCGGCCAGGTATAAGTTCTAAGCAAGAAACTGTAACTATGTTTTAAGATTTCATGTTATAATTCCTAAGGGCCTAATGGGGGTGGGTTGTGCCCTCCCCACCACACTCCCCCTCCCCTAGCAAAATTAGAGTTTAACAGTTGTCAACCTGAGGTGATCAAAAGGGTCAGAATCCTGTTTGGAAGGTTTATTCAAGTGAAAACCTCGGTTAACAATTCCAGAACACACACTCCAGAGAAGTGGGGTCAGTGCTCTGAAGTTAAAAGCTAAGCTCTTGTTTTTATAAGAATACAAAGAAATTTCACAGAATTACAACATTTTCTATACAAGGCTGGTTTACAAGTTACAGCAAATTAGCTACTGTTTGATTTCTTCTCTGAGTGGCTGGTTTACTTTTATTTATATCTAGTTTTCATTTCCTTTCCACTTTATTTTTTATTTATTTATTTTTTTGAGACAGAGTTTTGTTCTTGTTGCCCAGGCTGGAGTGCAATGGCATGGTCTCAGTTCACTGCAACCTCTACCTCCTAGGTTCAAGCAATTCTCCTGCCTCAGCCTCTCAAATAGCTAGGATTACAGGTGCCTGCCACCACGCCTGGCTAAAACACAAACACAGGTATCCATCACCATGCCTGGCTAAAACAAAACAACACAGGTAAGGGAAAAAGCTTAATCTGTAAGTACAGAAACAAAGGCTTACTGCTTCCTAGGTTACAGCTGCCTGTCACGTGGCCCAGACCCCATAATTCACATTCCTTTCAGTCTCAAAATAATTTAAGAGTTCCGATGGCTTAGATTGGGATTACTTATTTTCATACAGTTAATGCAGCTATATTGCCTGGTGATAACAATAGCCTGTAGTTCTGCACCTTACCCTGTATGAATGGAAGTAGACTGAGTGGGAAGTCCTTTTGAGACTACTGTTGCTGCCTGTAATCTAGTCCAGGACAGCAGCTGGTCTAGATTGTAATGTCAGCTTCCAAAGGTGAAAACTTGTGGGTATTAATGGAAAGAAGAAACAATAGGAACTGAGAGTAAATAAATGAATAAATGGATTAAGAATTGAAGGAGATCCAGTATCACGTTAACACCTTGAAAGAGACTCAGAGCAAGAGGCGACATTGTCTCTTAGCTCAGTTATACTAGATGCGTGAAAGGGGGAAGCTATATGTTTGCTGAGACCACTCCTGCTTTTGGGACTTAACAGAATTAATGGAAACCTGCAAACCTCAGTGACCTCCCACCAGGCCTTGCTTAGGGGACATATTCATACAATAGGATGGCAAACTGGATTATTATTATTTTTTTTTTTTTCAAGACAGGGTCTTACTCTGTCGCCCACGCTGTAGTACAGTGGTGGGATCATAGCTCACTGCAACTTCGAACTCCCAGTCTCAAGCAATCCTCCCACTTCAGCCTCCCAAGTAGCTAGGACTATAGGCACACACCACCACAGCTGGCTAATTATTTTTTTTTTTTTTATTTTGAGACCGAGTCTCACTCTGTCACCAGGCTAGAGTGCAGTGGCGTGGTCTTGGCTCACTGCAACCTCCACCTCCCGGGTTCAAGCGATTCTCCTACCTCAGCCTCCTGAGTAGCTGGGATTACAGGTGCCCACCACTATGCTTGGCCAATTTTTGTATTTTTAGTAGAGACGGGGTTTCACCATGTTGGCCAGGATGGTCTCAATCTCTTGACCTCATGATCCACCTGCCTCGGCCTCCCAAAGTGCTGGGATTACAGGAGTGAGCCACTCTGCCTGGCCCACACCTGGCTAATTTTTAAATTTTTGGTAACTGTGAGGTCTTGTTATGTTGCCCAGGCTGGTCTTGAACTCCTGGGCTCAAGCGATCCTCCCACATTTGTGTCCCAAAGTGCTGGGATTACAGGCATGAGCCACCGCACCTGGCCTGGACTAACTATTAATGACTGAATGGGATTCTAAGAATGTGCCAGTGTCTTTTGGGTTGTATATCCTTGTGCCGCAAGGGATCTGTGTTTGAATACTGGGGGTGGACTGTGAGATTGTGAAATATATATTTGGTCTACATACCCATCTCCTAGCCTGCAACTCCTAAAATCCTTGGAATCTGTGATAAGTGTCTTTTTGTATGCTAATGAGTTTACTAATCCTGGCAATTCCTATGTAGCTTCAGGATGAAGGCTGGTTATCAAAAACACTAAAGCAGGATTAGAGGGTTGGAACTTTCAGCCCCATCCCCCTACTCTGGGGAGGGAAGGGGGCAGAAAATTAAGTTGATTACCAATGACCAATGGTTTAATCAATCATGCCTACATAATGAAGCCTTCATAAAAACTCAAAAGGGCAGGGTTCAGGGAGCATCTGAAGAGCGGAACACATGGTGGTTCCTGGAGGGTGGCACTCCTGGGTAGGGCAAGGAAGCTCTGAGGCCTTCCCCTGTACCTTGCCCCATGCATCTCTTCATTCATATCTTTTGTTTTATATATATATATTTATATATAAATATATATATATATATATAGAGAGAGAGAGAGATGGAGTCTCACTCTGTCACCAAGGCTGGAGTGCAGTGGCACAATCTTGGCTCACTGCAACCTCTGGCCCCTGGGTTCAAGTGATTCTCCTGCCTCAGCCTCCCAAGTAGCTGGGACTACAGGCACGTGCCACCATGCGTGGGTAATTTTTGTATTTTTAGTAGAGATGGGGTTTCGTCATGTTGGCCAGGCTGGTCTCGAACTCCTGACCTCAGGTGATCCACCCGCCTCTGCCTCCAAAAGTGCTGGGATTACAGGCGTGAGCCACTGTGCCCATCCGTACATATATATATTTTTGAAACAGGGTCTTGCTCTGCTGCCCAGGCTGGAGTGTGGTGAATCATGGCTCACTGCAGCTTCAACCTCTTAGGCTTAAGCAATCCTCTCACCTCAGCCTCCTGAGTGGCTGGGATCACAGGTGCGTGCCACCACACCTGGCTATGTTTTTATTTTTCATAGAGATGGAGTCTTGCTGTGTTGCCCAGGCTGGTCTCAAACTCGTAGGCTCAAGTGATCCACCCACCTAGGCCTCCCAAAGTGCTAGGATTATAAGCATAAGTCCCTGCACCTGGCTGCAATTGTAATTCTTATCACTGCTGATGGGAGTGTAACTCGGTAAAGCCTTTTGTTAAAACTGGCAGTATATACTAACTTGCACATATGCAAATCTATGCAGTTGCACTTCTAGATATGTACACCCAGAGAAAGGCATACTATGTTCAGCAAATGAAATGTACAAGAAAGTTTATAGCAGCACTGTTCAAACTTCAACCTGGAAACTAAATATTCACGATTCATAGAATGTATAAATGGTGGGTTCATGTAATGGTGCACTATATACAGCAATTAGAATGAGGAAATTACAAAAATATGTAATAATTATAAACCTTACAGATATAATGCTGGGCCAAGGAAGTCAGACATTAAAAAGTACATATTGTATTTTTCTAAAATATAAACATAGGTGAAGTAATTTATGGCCTTAGAAGGATAGCCTTAACAGAGTTGGGACTGGAAGAGACCAGCCAGGAGTTTCTGTGATATTAATCTCAATATGTTGCCCAGGCTGCAGTACTGTGGCTGTTCATAGGCATGATCACCGCACAGTGCAGCCTTGAATTCCTGGGCTCCAGTGATTCTTTCACCTCAGCCTCTGAAGTAGCTGGGATTATAGGCAAGTGCTACTGCACCCAGCTGGCTTCTGAACTTCTGATTGAATGTTCTTTATCTGGGTGGTAATTACATGGGCATGTTTTCACTTTGTGAAAACTTACTAAGCTGTAGACTTAAGATTTTATTTATTTATTTATTTATTTTGCGATGGAGTTTTGCTCTGTTGCCCAGGCTGGAATGCAGTGGCACGATCTTGGCTCTCTGCAACCTTCGCCTCCTGGGTTCAAGCAATTCTCCAGCCTCAGCCTCCCAAGTAGCTGGGATTACAGGTGCCCACCACTATGCCTGGCTAATTTTTGTATTTTTAGTAGAGAAGGGGTTTCACCATGTTGCCCAGGCTGGTCTCGAACTTCTGACCTCAGGTGATCAGCCCACCTTGGCCTCCCAAAGTGCTGGGATTAAAGGTGTGAGCCACTGCGCCAGGCCAGTAGACTTAAGATTTTGTATTCTTTCATAGGTATTTTATACTTCATAAACAAGTATAAGAACAGCAAAAACATAGAAGGAATTCAATGCAGGCAATTGACTACATAAATGATGGAAGAGTTGAGAAACCAAACAAAGGCTGGTGAGGCAATGCAGAAATTATGAAGAGCGTAAAGCAACTACCAACAGCATAAACAACTCCAATGCTGGAGGTACAAGGGCAATATTACTGGGACTCTCCTCTTAACTAGGCCTCAAGCTTGGTTTTACATGTCCTTAGCTTACTGAGCCCAGTTTTTCAAGAATCTTGTTAAGGCAGTTTAGCAAGAATCCTTTCCTCTTTGATATCTCATCAAATTCCTCATCCCTCAATTTCAATATCTAAATGTTTGGTCTGCTTTTAGTAAAAATCCTGTTAAACTGGTTTAACAGAAATCCCTTACTCTTGATGGTGAATTGAGTTCCTCTTAGTAATTTTCCATTTAGTGGCCTTTTTACTCATCTAGTAGGCTAGAAATTCCCAGCTGTCTTTGCCGTACTCAAGAGTTGAGTTCGGCTCTTTACTGAGATCTCTCTTCCCTACTGCAGTAGCTTGAATAAAATCTATCTTACCGTTTACAAATATTTATTTATTTTTTGAGACAGGGTCTTGCTCTGTTGCCCAGGCTGGAACGCAGGGGTACGGTCATGGCTCACTGCAGCCTCAACCTCCCAGGCTCAAGTGATCACCCCATCTCAGCCTCCTGAGTAGCTGAGACAACAGACCTGCCACCATGCCTGGCTATTTTTTTTTTTATTTTTGTAGAGACAAAATCTTGCTATGTTATCAGGGCTGGTCTCGAACTCTTGGGCTCAAGGGATCCTCCTGTCCTAGCCTCCCAAAGTGCTGGAATTACAGGCATGAGCCACTGTGCCTGGGCTGTATTTCCATTTTTACAAGTGTCCAGTGCATACTTTTTCTTTTACAGTAGGAACTGGGGTCATCCTGCAGAAACTGAAGCCACAGCAGCCATTTTGGAGACACAGAGGAAGTGAATCCACTGCCAGAGTCACTGTGGGAGGCAGAGGGAACACAGGGGAAATACTCTAGCTTCTCCCTCCCTCCCAGTTTCTGTCCTCCAGTCTCCTGTCAGTATCTCCCATTGGCAGAACCTGGTTTCAACCTTCATATCTCTTCTCACTTTTAGTTTATTATAATTTGTCTGAGATCTGTTACTAATTCTACCATGAAGACCAGTAGTACATGGCTACTGTATGCTGCCTGAGAAATCAAATCATTTCTCCATAGAAAGTTTAAAGCCTAAAGATTTCTGAAGCTTTGATAAATGCTAAGATAAGGAAAATTTTCACTATGAAGGTAGCAATCAATCTCTTTTTGGGTTTTGTTGGTTGATGACGAGAGAGATTAATGACAAAGTGGGCAGATAGGAAGAAATGTGAATTCAATTTCTGTTTTCTGCAAAGAATATTTATTGATTTTAAAAGGCAGAATAACTTGTAAGAGGAATGTGAAAATGAAGGTGGGTAAAGAGATTGTAAGAGAAAATCTTAATAATCTAAAATGAGTTTTAAGACCAAACTCAGATAAATTATATTTTGAGCTCTTAAAGAACTTGTAAATGAAATGGAAAAGAACATCTAAGATGAGAGAGTGTTTAAATGTTCATAAGAAAGAGGATGGATTCTGTGCATTGTATATTACTAAGCAGCATATTTCAATTAACCCCAACAAGATTTTCCAACCACTTATTAAAGAAGTTATCAAACAAAAAAAGGTAGTCATTTGGACCAGACATAAAATGCTTAAAAATATATCAGCTTAATCAAAGACTTTACATTAACCAGCTTACTGACATGGTTTTAGAGAAATGAAGAATTTATTTATGGACTTCACCTTGATTACAACAAGGCATTCTACTTTTCCTTGTGGATGACTTAGAGTAGTACTATCTGAACGCTGATACATTTAGGCAGAATTTAAATTGGTTGATCAACAATACCAATAATTTATTGATTTACTGGATATCAATTTAGAGTTTTATTAGGATGAATCGACATCCTTCCCCAGGCCTTGTAATTGGGATTTCCTTTTTAAAATAGATCATTGTATAAATAAAAGGATGATGAGATTATCAACTATTTGAATGACACCAAACCGAAACAGAAGATGAATATGTTTTTGGTTTTTTTTTTGAGACGGAGTTTCGCTCTTGTTGCCCAGGCTGGAGTGCAATGGCGCAATCTTGGCTCACCGCAACCTCTACCTCCCGGGTTCAAGCGATTCTCCTGCCTCAGCATCTTGAGTAGCTGATCCACCAGCAGGCCCAGCTAATTTTGTATTTTTATTAGAATCGAGGTTTCTCCATGTTGGTCAGGCTGGTCTCAAACTCCTGACCTCAGGTGATCCTCTCGTCTCGGCCTCCCAAAGTGCTGGTATTACAGGTGTGAGGCACTGCGCCCGGCCAGAAGGTGAATATGTTGATTCCCAAAATTAGAATTCAAAATATGTTCTCAGTGGCTCACATGTGTAATCTCAACACTTTGGGAGGCCAAGGGGAGAGGGTTGCTTGAGCCCAGGAGTTTGAGACCAGCATGGACAACATAGCAAGACCTTGTCTGTATTAAAAATTAAAAAAAAATTAGCTAGGCTTGGTGGTACATGCCTGTAGTTCTGGCTACTTGGGAGTCTGAAGAAGGAGGTTCTTTTGAGCTCAGGAGGTCAAGGCTGCAGTGAGCTGTGATTATGCCACTGAACTTCAGCCTGGGTGATAGAGTGAGCGCCTGTCTCATAAATAAATAAATTTAAAAAAATTTAAATTTTATTTTCAGAATGACATCAGCAAGATGGGAGAATAGGAGTTTCTGGCCCTCACGCTCCTATAGAAACAGTAATTTAACAACCATCTATAGATGAAAATACCTTCATAAGAGTAACATGAACACATATGCAATAAATTTCACTGACAATGATAAACAAATGGACAAATATAGAATAATGAAATACTGTAATAGTGGTGTATAAGTCACTTTTAGCTGTAGTGTTAAAGTTAATAGACAAAAATATGGAGAATAATGATAACAAAATTGGTTAATGGATACACAAAATAAAAAGAAATAAATCCTGACATGAATAACAGAGTTTGAGGGGGAGGAAATAGAAGTGTAGAGTTTTTATATGAAATTGAGGGTAAGTTTTTACTAGCTTGAAATAGACTGGTATAATGATTAGAAGTTTTATGTAAGCTTTATGACCACACAGACACACACACACACCTGTAGTAGATACAAAAAGATAAAAAGAATCAAAGTATATTACTATAAGAGAACTACAAAATAGATAACAATTAACAAAATAGGAACAGTAAGTCCTCACCTATCAATAATTACTTAAGGGCAAACAGATTAAATTAACCAGTGAGGGCTGGGCATGTGGCTCACTCCTGTAATCTCAGTACTTTGGGAGGTGGAGGCAAGTGGATCACCTGAGGTCAGGAGTTCAAGATCAGCTCGACCAACATGGTAAACCTCGTCTCTACTAAATACAAAAAATTCGCCGGGCGTGCTGGTGTATGCCTGTAATCCCAGCTACTTGGGAGGCTGAGGCAGGAGAATCACTTGAACCCAGGAGGTGGTGGTTGCAGTGAGCTGAGATTGCACCATTGCCCTCCAGCCTGGGCAACAAGAACGAAACTCTGTCTTGAAGAAAAAAAAAATTAACCAATGAAAAGAGAGAGTGGCTGAGTAGAATAGAAAGTAGGATCCAACTATATGCTGTCTACAGGATTGTCACTTGGGATTTAAGGACACAAAAGGATAAAAGTGAGGGATGAAAAAAGGTATTCCATGACAATGGTAACTGAAAGAGAGTAGAAGTGGCTATACTTATATTATACAAAATAGACTGTAAGTAAAAAACTGTCACAAGTAATAAAGAAAGTCATTATATAATTATGATAGGATTAATTCAGTAGAAAGAAATAACAGTTATAAATACATATGTACCCAACAGCAAGCCATCTAAATATATAAAGCAAAAATCGATAGATCTAAAGGGAAAATAGCAATAAATAATAGCAGGAGACACAAATATCCTACTTACGAAGATAGACAGATCATCCAGACAGAAAATCAATATAGAAGGCAGGCGTGGTGGCTCACACCTGTAATCCCAACACTTTGAGAGGCCAAGGAGGGCGGGTCACCTGAGGTCGGGAGTTCAAGACCAGCCTGACCAACATGGAGAAACCCCATCTCTACTAAAAATAAAAAATTAGCTGGGCATGGTGGCGCATGCCTGTAATTCCAGCTACTCGGGAGGCTGAGGCAGGAGAATCGCTTGAACCCGGGAGGCGGAGGTTGCAGTTAGCCGAGATCGTGCCATTGCATTCCAGCCTGGGCAACAAGAGTGAAACTTTGTCTCAAAAAAAAAAAAAAAAGAAAAAGAAAAGAAAGAAAATCAATACAGAAACAGCAGACTTGCATAGCATATAGACCAAGTGGATCTAAGAGATATATAGACTATTCCACCCAATTTTTGCGGAATATACATTTTTCTAAATAAAAAAACATAAGGAACTAAAATGACAAATTATATGCCAACAAATTGGATGACCTAGAAGAAATGAATACATTCTACCAAGACTGAATTAAGAAGAAATAGCCTAAACAGACCAATAACAAATAAGAAGATTGTCAATAATCAAACCCTTCAACAAGAAGCACAGAAACAGATGGCCTCATAGGTGAATTCTACCAAACTTTGAAAGAAAAATTAATATTAATCCTTCTAAAACTCCCTCATAAAAGAGAAGAGGGAACACTTTCAAACTCTCTTTATGAGGCTATAATTATCCTGACACTAAAGCCAGACAAAGACATCACGAGAAAAGAAAACTATAGGCCAATATGCAGATGAACATGGATACAAAAATTCTCAACTAAATATTAGCAAACAAAACTCAAAAGCACAATAAAAGGATTATATAGCGTGATCAAATAGGGTTTATTGCTGGGAAAGAAGGATGGTTTGACATACACAAATCAATCAATGTGATATGCCATATTAGCAGAACAAAGAAGAAACAGCACATAATCATCTAAGCAAATGCAGAAAAAACACTTGACAAAATTCGGTACCTTTCGTGACCAAAAAAAACTCTCAACAAATTAGGCATAGAAGGAACTTAACGTAATACAAACCACAAAAGATAAGTCCATAGCTAACATCATACTCAATGGTGAAAAAGCATTTCCTCTAAGATTTGGAACAAGGCACAGATGCCCATTCTCACAACTTCTATTCAACATGATACTAGAAGTTCTACATAAAGCAGTTAGGCAAATATATAAATAAATAAGACATTCAAATAAGAAAGAAATAAGTTAAATTTTCTGTTTGCAGATGACATAATCTTTTATGTAGAAAACCATATAGACTCCACCAAAAAACTGTCAGAACTAAGAAAAAAATGCAACAAAGTTATAGGATACAAGTTCAATATATTGAAATCAGCTGTGCTTCTATATATTACAATGAATTATGCAAAAAGAAGATTAAGAGAATCCCATTTATAATAACATAAAAAAGAAAAATACTTCAGAAATAAACTTTTAAAATTTTTTTTATTTTTATTTTTATTTTTTTTTAAGACAGGGTCTCACTCTGTCACCCAGGCTGGAGTGCAGTGGCTCAATCGTAGCTCACTGCAGCCTCAGTCTCCTGGGCTCAAGTGATCCTCCCACCTCAGCCTCCTGAGTAGCTGGGAATTTAGTCACGTGCCACTATACTGGGCTAATTTTTGTATTTTTTGTAGAGACACAGTTTTGCCATGTTGCCCAGGCTGGTCTCAAACTCCTGGGCTCAAGCTATCCTCCTGCCTCAGCCTCCCCAAGTGCTGGGATTGGAGGTGTAAGTCACTCCAGCCGACACTTTGTGATTTCAAAATATATTACATTCTTTTACCAAGTACCCGCCAATATGGGCCGCATTTGCACTAAAATCCTGAAGAAGGTGGCCTGGGTCATCACTGAGAAGTACTACATCTACCTGGGCAATGACTTCTACATGAGCAAGTATGTGTGCAAGGAGATCACCATTACTTCCAGCAGAGAGCTCTGCAGCAAGATAGCAGGCTATGTCACACATCTGATGAAGGAGATCAGAGGCTCAGATTCACAGGTGTCTCCATCAAGCTGCAGGAGGAGGAGGAGAGACAGAAGTAATTATGTTCCTGAGGGCTCAGTCCTGGATCAGGAAATCACTGAAGTAGATGCTGGCACTAAGGAAATGCTGAAACTTCCAGGTTTTGGTAGTGTGTCCAACTCCAGGTCACCCAGCATGTAATTGGGATGAATTCTAAAACACCATGTGGAGCCGTATGAATCTTTCTGTTGTGCTATTAGGTTGGTGCAAAAGTAATTGTGGTTTTTGCCATACTTTTAATTATGTAAATTGTTAAATTGTTGCCATTACCTTTACACTTGATCTTAGCCCAAAGGCCGAGAAGTGATCCTGTTACTTTTAATGGCAAAAACTGCAATTATTTTTGCACCAACCTAATATAATATTTTCCTTAAATTTAGAGGCTGGGTGCAGTGGCTCATGCCTGTAATCCCAGCTACTCAGGAGTCTGAGGCAGGAGGATCACTTGAACCAAGGAATGTGAAAATATAGTGAGCTATGATAGCACAACTACGCTCTAGCCTAGGCAACAGAGTGAGACCTTGTCTCTAAAATCAATAAATCTGGGACAACAGCCAAATACACACACACACGCACACACACACGTGTGTGTGCATATGTATATTTGGATTGGAAGAATAAATATTGTTAAAATATCCATGCTACCTAAAGTGACATAACAATTCCTATCAAAGTCTCAAAGGCATTTTTCACAGAACTAGAAAAAAATGCTAAAATTCATATAGAACCACAAAGGACCTTAAATAGCCAAAGCATTTTTGAGCTTGCTCTTTCTCTCTCTACACACACACACATACACACACACACACATACAAACACTGCAAAGTTACAGTAATCAAGTGTATGATACTGGCATAAAAACAGACATATAGACCAATAGAATAGAATAGATAGTCCAGAAGTAAACTCACACAAATACGGTCAATTGATATTTGACAAAGGTGCCAAGAATACCAAATGGGGAAAGGATAGTCTCCCTATAAATGGTGCTGGGGAAACTGTATATCCACATGCAAAAGAATGAAAATGGACCCTTATTTTATATCATATACAAAAATTAGGATTAAAGACTTAAACATGGCCAGATGCAGTGGCTCATGCCTGTAATCTCAGCACTTTGGGAGGCCAAGGCAGGCAGATTGCTTGAGCCTAAGAGTTTGAGACCAGCCTGGGCAACATGGCAAAACCCTTTCTCTATACAAAATACAAAAATTAGCTGGGCAAGGTGGCATGTGCCTATAGCCCCAGCTACTTGTGAGACTGATGTGGGAGGATTGCTTGAACCTGGCAGGTTGAGGTTGCAGTGAGCCATGATCCAGCCACTGCACTGCAGCCTCAGCAACAGAGCAAGACCTTGTGTCATTAAAAAAACAAACAAACAAAAAAAACAAAAAAAGACTTAAATGTAAGACTTGACACCATAAAATTCCTAGGAGAAACATAGGAAAAAATCTTCTTAACATTGACCTTGGCAATCATTTCTTAGTTGTAACAACCAAACACAGGAAACAAAAGAAAAATTAGACAAGTGGGATTACACCAAACTGAAAAAACTTCCCCACAACAAAAGAAACAATCAAAATAATGAAAAGGAAACCAACCACTTATTTGATAAAGGGTTATTTTATTTATTTATTTTGAGACAGAGTTTCACTCTTGTTGGCCAGGCTAGAGTGCAGTGGCTTGATCTCAGCTCACTGCAACCTCTGTCTCCTGGGTTCAAGTGATTCTCCTGCCTAAGCCTCCCGAGTAGCTGTGATTACAGGCTCCCACCACTATGCCTGGCTAATTTTTTATATTTTTAGTAGAGTTGGGGGTTTCACCATATTGGCCAGGCTGGCCTCGAACTCCTGACCTCAGGTGGTCCACCTGCCTCGGCCTCCTAAAGCGCTGGGATTACAGGCCTGAGCCACCGCTCCCGGTCTGATAAATGAGTTACTGACCACAATATATGAAGAACTCCTAGAACTTAATAGCAAGGAAACAAATACACTGATTTTATTTATTTAGTTAGTTATTGAGAGAGGATCTGGCTCTGTCGCCCAAGCTAAAGTGCAGTGCTGCCAGCCATCATAACTCACTGCAACCTCTGCCTTCTGGTCTCAAGCTATCCTCAGCCTCCTGAGTAGCTGGGACTATAGGCACATGCCACCTCATCCAGATAATTTTTGTGTTTTTTGTCAGCGACAGAGTTTTGCCATGTTGCTCAGACTGGTTTTGAACTCCTGGGCTCGAGGGATCCACTAGCCTTGACCTCCCAAAGCGCTGGGATTACAGATGTGAACCACTGCATCCAGCCATAACCTGATTTTATTATTATTATTTGAGATGGAGTCTCACTCTGCCGCCCAGGCTAGGGTACAGTGGTGCGATCTCAGCTCACTGCAACCTCTGGTTCCCGGGTTCAAGTGATTCTCCTGCCTCAGCCTCCTGAGTAGCTGTGATTACAGGTGCACGCCACCATGCCCAGCTAATTTTTTTATTTTTAATAGAGTAGTTTTACCATGTTGGCCAGGCCAGTCTTGAACTCCTGACCTCAGGTGATCTGCCTGCCTTGGTCTCCTGAAGTGCTGGGATTATAGGCATGAGCCACCATGCCCGGCCCATAAACTGATTTTAAATGGGCAAAGGATCTGTAGAGACATTTCTTGAAAGAAGACATACAAAATGGCCAGCAGGTATACGAAAATAAGAAAATGGCCAGCAGGTATAAGGAATAGTGATGCTCAACATCACTATTTATCAGTGATATGCAAATCAGAATTGCAATGATGTATCATCTCACACCTGTTAGAATGGCTATTATAAGGAACAAAACAAAACCAAAACCAAAACCAAGATAACAAGCTGTATTAGTCTGTTCTCATGCTGTTATGAAGAAATACCCCATACTGGGTAATTTAAAAAGGAAAGAGGTTTAATTTACTCTTCCCTTTTTATAGTTACCAATACAGGCACACCTCATTTTATTGTGCCTTGCTTTATTGAACTTTGCTTGTAATTGTGTTTTTTACAGATTGAAGGTGTGTGGCAACCCTATGTCAAGCAAGAATATCAGTACTACCTTTCCAACAGCACGTGCTCACTGTTCAGCATGGCTAGGGAGGCCTCAGGAAACTTACAATCACCTTGGAAGGTACCTCTTAACAGGGCGGCAGGAGAGAGAATGAGAACCCAGCAAAGGGAGAAGCCCCTTATAAGACCATCAGATCTCATGAGAACTCACTCACTATCATGAGAACGGTATGAGGGAACTGCTCCCAGGATTCAATAATCTCCACCTGGCCCCTCCCTTGACACGCAGGGATTATGGGAACTACAATTCAAGATGAGATTTGGATGGGGACACCGCCAAACCATATCACAAGTGTAGCTAAGGAGGTGGAGAAAAGGGAACCCTGTACAATGCTGGTGGGAATGCAAATTGGTGCAGCCAATATAGAAAACAGGAAGTTTCTCAAAAAATTAAAAATAGAACTAAGAGATGGTTCAGCAATCCCCCTTCTGGGAATGTATCCAAAATAAATAAAATCAATGTCTGGAAGAGATAGCTGCAGTCCCATGTTTGCTGCAGCATTATTTACAGTAGCAAAAACATTTAAACAACTTAAATGTCTGTGGACAAATGAATGAATAAAGAAAATGTGGTATATAAAGACAATGAAATGTTATTCAGCCTAAAGAAAGAAATCCTGCATCTGGGACAAGTATGAACCTGCAGGGTATTATGCTAAGTTAGATAAGCCAGACACAGAAGGACAAATATTGCCAGCTAGGCTTGGTGGCTCATTCCTATGATCCCAGCACTTTGGGAGGCTGGCGCAGGAGGATCACTTGAGCTCAGGAGTTTGAGACCAGCCTAAGCAATATAGTGAGACCTCATTTCTATTAAAAATAAAAAACAATTAGCTGGGCATGGTGGTGCACACCCGTGGTCCCAGCTACTCAGGAGGCTGAGGCAGGAGAATCGCTTGAGTCCCGGAGGTCAAGGTTGCAGTGAGCTATGATCATAGCACTGCACTCCAGCCTGGGTGATAGAGCGAGACCCTGACTCAAAAACAAACAAACAAAGGCTGAGTGCAGTGGCTCACACCTGTAATTTCAACACTTTGGGAAGCCAAAGCAGGAGGATGGCTTGAGCCCTGGAGTTTGAGATCAGCCTTGAAAACAAAGTGAGACCCTGTCTCTATTTAAGAAAAAAAAAAGGCGTCTAGACATGGTGGCTCACACCTGTAATCCCCACATTTTGGGAGGCCGAGGTGGGTGGATAACCTGAGGTCAGGAGTTCGAGACCAGCCTGACCAACATGGTGAAACTCCATCTCTACTAAAAATACAAAAATTATCTGGATGTAGTGGCGGGTACCTGTAATCCCAGCTACTCGGGGGGCTGAGGCAGGAGAATTGCTTGAGCCCAGGAGGTGGAGGTTGCAGTGAGACAAGATCGTGCCATTGTACTCCAGCCTGGGCAACAAGAGCGAAGCTCTATCTCAAAAAATAAATAAATAAAAATAAATAAATTTATTTTAAAGTCACATGACACTTCTTATATGAAAAATTTAAAATAGTCAAACTCACAGAAGCAGAGAGTGAAATGGTGGTTGCCCAGGGCTGGAGTGAGGAGCGGTAGAAACCGGAAAATGTCAGTAAAAGGGTACAAAGTTTTGACTGTACAAGATTTGTAAGTCCTACATATCTACTGTACAGCATCGTGCTTATAGTTACCAATACAGGCGCACCTCATTTTATTGTGTCTTGCTTTATTGAACTTTGCTTGTAATTGTGTTTTTCACAGATTGAAGCTCTGTGGCAACCCTATGTCAAGCAAGTGTATCAGTACCACCTTTCCAACAGCATGTGCTCAGCTGTTGTGTCTCTGGGTCACATTTTGGTAATTGTCACAATATTTCAAACTTTTTCCTGATTATTGTATGTATTATGGTGATCTATGATCTTTGATGTTACTACAGTAATTATTTTGGGGCACCACAAAGACAGCAAACTTAAATGATAAATGTCGTGTGTGTTCTGCCTGCTCCAATGACTGGCTGTTGCCCCATCTCGCTCCATCTCTTTAGGCTTCCCTATTCCCTGAGACACAACAGCATTGAGAAGAGGCCAATTAATAATCCTACAATGGCCTCTTTGTGTTCAAGTAAAAGTAAGAGTCACACATCTCTCATTTTAAATCAAAAGCTAGAAATGATTAAACTTAGTGAGGAAGGGATGTTGAAAGCTGAGACAGGCAGAAAGCTAGGCCTCTTGTGCCAAACACTTAGCCACGTTATGAATGTAGAGGGAAAGTTATTGAAAGGAATTAAAAATTCTACTCCAGTGAACACATAAATGATTAGAAAGCATAGCAGCCTTATTGCTGATGTGGAGAAAGTCTGAGGGGTCTGGATACAAGATCAAACCAGCCACAACATTCCCTTAAGCCAAAGCCTAATCCCGAAGAAGGCCCTACCCCTCTTCAATCCCATGAAGGCTGACAGAGATGAAGAAGCTGCTGGGGAAAAGTTAGAAGCTAGCAAGGTTGGTTTATGAAGCTTAATAAAAGACACCAATCTTCACAAAATAAAAGCGCAAGGCGAAGCAGCAGGTGCTGATGTAGAAGCTGCAGCAAGTTTTCCAGAAGATCTAGCTAAGATATCTGATGAAGGTGGCTACACTAAACAACAGACATTCAAGGTAGAAAGCACAGCCTTCTATTGGAAGAAGATGCCAGCTAGGACTTTCATAGCTAGAGGGGAGAAGTCAATGCCTGGCTTCAAAGCTTCAAAGGAGAGGCTTGCTTTCTTGTTAGGGACTAATATAGCTAGTGACTTTAAGTTGAAGTCAGTGCTCATCGACCGTTCTGAAAATGCTATGGCCCTTAAGATTTATGCTAAATCTACTCTGCCTGTGCTCTATACATGAAATAACAAAGCTTGGACGACTGCACACCTGTTTACCTCATGGTTTACTGACTATTTTAAGTCCACGATTGAAACCTACCACTCAGAAAATAAAAGCTTCCTTTCAAAATCTGACTGCTCATTGACAGTGTACCTAGTCACCCAAGAGCTCTGATGGAGATGTACAAGATTTATGTTTTTATGCCTGCAACACAATATTCATTCTGTAGACCAAGGATCGAGGAGTTATTCTGTTGTTGTTTTGTTTGTTTGTTTTGTTTTTTGGGTTTTTTTTGAGATGGAGACTCACTCTGTTGCGCAGACTGGAGTGCAGTGGCGCGATCTTGACTCACTGCAACCTCCATCTCCCCAGTTCAAGTGATTCGCCTGCCTCAGCCTGCAGAGTAGCTAGGATTAGAGGCATGCGCCACCATGCCAGGGTAATTTTTGTATTTTTAATAGAGACAGGGTTTCACAATGTTGGCTAGGCTGGTCTCAAACTCCTGACCTCAAGTGATCTGCCTGTCTCAGACTCCCCAAGTGGTGGTATTACAGGTGTGAGCCATGTGCCTGGCCTGTTTTGAGGCTTTTAAGTCTTACTATTTAAGAAATAGTTAAGGCTATAGGTGTCATAGATAGTGATTCCTCTGATGGATCTGGGCAAAGTAAATTGAAAACCTTCTGGAAAGAATTCACCATTCTAGATGGCATTAATAACATTTGTGATTCATGAGAGGAGATCAGAATATCAATAGTAACAG
The DNA here is from genome assembly GCF_000001405.40 of Homo sapiens. Lineage (NCBI taxonomy): Eukaryota > Metazoa > Chordata > Mammalia > Primates > Hominidae > Homo > Homo sapiens. The sequence goes on along the minus strand of NC_000007.14, from coordinate 138,291,602 downwards.
GAAGAAGTTGATGCCAACCCTTACAGATGACTCTGGGAGGTTCAAGACTTCTGTGGAGTATGTCAGTGTAGATGAGGTTGGAAATAGTAAAAGAATTAAATTAGAAGTGGAGCCTGAAGATGTGACTGATTTGCTGCAGTCTCGTGATCAGACTTGAAAGGATAAGGAATTGGTTCTTACGGATAAGTAAAAAAAGTAGTGTCTTGAGATGGAACCTACTCTTGGTGAAGATGCTGTGAACGTTGTTGAAATGACATCAAAGGATTTAGAATATTACATCACCCTAGTTGATAAAGCAATGGCAGAATATGAGAGGAATGCCTCCAATTTTGAAGGAAGTTCTACTGTGGATAAAATGTTATCAAATATCACTGCATATTACAGAGAAGATTTTTGTGAAAGGAAGTCAACTGATGCTGCAAACTTCATTGTTGTCTTATTTTAAGGAATTGCCATAGCCACCACAACCTTCAGCAACCACCACCCTGATCAGTCAGCAGCCATCAACATCAAGGCAAGACCCTCCACCAACAAAAAGGTTAAGACAGGCTGAAGGTTTAGATGATAGTTAGCATTCTTTAGTAATAAAGCATTTTTAGGTTGGGCATGGTGGCTCATGTTTGCAATCCCGGTACTTTGGGAGGCTAAGGAGGATGGATTGCTTGAGCTCAGGAATTCAAAGCCAGCCTGGGTAACATGACAAAACCCTATGCCTACAAAAAGTACAAAAATTAGCCAGGTGTGGTAATGTGCACTTGTAATCCCAGCTACTCAGGAGGCTGAGGTGGGAGGATTGCTCAGCTGCAGTGAGCCAAAATCAAGCTTTGAGGCCAGGAGTTATAGACCAGCCCTGGCAACATGGTGAAACCCTATCTCTACAAAAAATACAAAAAATTAGCCGGGCATGGTGATGTCCCTGTAAGATCACGTGAGCCTGAGAGGCAGAGGTTGTAGTGAACCGAGATTGTGCCACTGCACTCCAGCCTCAGCCATAGAGTGAGACCCCATCTCAAAAAAAAAGTAAAATTAAAATATGTACTTTTTTTTTTTTTTAGACATAATGCTATTACACACTTAGGAGACTTCAGTATAGTGTAAACATAACTTTTATATGCACTAGAAAGCTAGGCTGAGGTGAGTGGATTGCTTGAGTCCAGCCTGGGCAACATGGAGAAACCCTGTCTCCACTAAAAACACAAAAATTAGCCGAGTATGGTGGTGCACGCCTGTAATCCCAGCTACTTGGTAGGCCAAGGCATGAGAATCACTTGATCCCAGGAGGCAGAGGTTGCAGTGAGCTGAAATTGCACCACTGCCCTCCAGCCTGGGTGACAGAGCGAGACTCAGAGACTCAGTCTCAAAAAATAAACAGAAAAAATAGAATAGAAAAGGCTTGGAGTTCAGAATGCCCCAGGAGTATGATGTGATCATTAACAATCTATAAAGTTGTTGGAAGTAAATGCTTGGTGTCGCCAAGTGAAAATAGTACTTAGGCAAAAGTTTTCTCAGCAAGGCAATTTACTTCTATAGAAGGGTGTGTCTCATGGATGGAGCAGTGGCAAGAGCACACAGGACAAGTGAGGGGAAGGGGCTCTTATTCCTAACACAGCTAGTCCCTACTGCTGTGTCTTTCCTCTGTTGGCTAGGGTTGGACCACACAGTCTAAGCTAATTCTGACTGGCTATTTTAAAGAGAGTGAGGGTACACGCCAGAGTGGCAGGGTGAATAGTTTTGGCAGGAGGGACAGTTACAGAGTAGGTGACTAAGGATGACTAAGGACAGAGCAGGTGATAGAAGCTAGGAGGGGGTTGTTTACTGAAACTAGGGGCAAGGAGATGTAAAGAATGTGGAAGTCAAACTTTAAAACAGAGAACAAAGAACAGGGAAGCTGAACATACTGACACATTGGTTCTTTGGAGAGGGACTCAGAACTCATTGTACTTAACAATTTTCTCCCTCTCGAATTTTAAAGGAAGTTAACAGGCTAAACTTTGAAGACGAATTTACTGTATCCTACAAAGTGTTCTTAGTCTTTGTGGAGTCCTCCTAATTAGGGAAAAGGAGTCAGGCTGGCAGGACCAAGGGAAAGCAAAAGGAGAAAGTAGGGAAGTTATCAGTCGGCCTTTCTTCATGGTCCAGGACACATACCCATCTTGTGCTGACAACTCACAACCTTCCTGTGCCTAGCTGTCACCAAATACCTACAAGTTAGCTCACTGCAGCCTTGGCATTATCAGTACTGCAGGTAGCACTCTTCAGCATAAGCAATATTCTATAAAATCCCCAGCAAGCCTTTATTTCCTTGCAGTCAGCTCCTCTCTGGCTGGTCTGCCCATTGCAACCTTGCAATGTATTTTCATACTTTCTCTAATATATCTGCCTTTCTTTATTTACAACTGTCTTGGTAAATTCTTTTACCCCCATGCCACTGACCCAGATATTCAGCACTCACCTGAGACAGTCTGCAGCAATTAAGGTACAAGATCTCTGTTGGGTGGAAAGTTCTGTTCTGCTCTGTATTGGGTAGGTACAACAGAAATACTATACTTAATTCTCTGTGCTCCATTTGCAGAGATATCTAGGCAAGCATGGAGAATAACTGTGATAGCAAAGGGATTTCCAATTCTTCAGAGTGCTAATGGACTGACTAAAATAGATCATTTCCTCATTTGCATCACAAAGAATCTAAATGACAGATATAATTTACTGCTGTTTACTAAGGTTATATCTGCACTATCAGGGTTGTTGAGTCTGTTTTGTTTACTTTTACAATTACAGATTTAAATGTCTTAGTTGTGCACATAAAGACTTCTTTGAAGGGGTCAGGCGTGGTGGCTCACGCCTGTAATCCCAGCACTTTGGGAGGCCAAGGCGGGTGGATTGCCTGAGCTCAGGAGTTCAAGACCAGCCTGACCAACGAGGAGAAACCCCATCTCTACTAAAAATACAAAATTAGCCAGGTGTGGTGGTGCATGCCTGTAATCCCAGCTGCTCGGGAGGCTGAGGCAGGAGAATTGCTTGAACCTGGGAGGTGGAGGTTGTTGTGAGCCAAGATTGCACCATTGCACTCCAGCCTGGGCAACAAGAGTGAAACTCTGTCTCAAAAAAAGAAAAAAAAAGACTTCTTTGAAGGACCAGATTCGTAATAATTCTAGTTATTTCAGTTAGCAGTTTAAAAAAAATAAATTATTCTACATGCTTACCTTCTACTTAGGAATTATTTTTGAGATACATTCTGATGTACAAAGTCTTGTTAGAAAAATACACAATATATTAGTAAAACTACATAAATGTACAGGTGTGAAAAAACTGGAATTAGACATAATCAGACTTTGGAAATGTGGAAAGAAGTTTTTACCTCAAAGGATACTACGCAGTTTGTCCACCTGGCTTTTTGTATATATGTAATTGCACCAATATTTGTGAGCAGGATTTCTTTCTATAATATTGATTGTTATCAAGGATAGTATGAGGTGAAAATGAATGGGGATAGCTTTAATTCAGGCAAAAGATGAATTTGACTAGCTGTAATCTTCAAAAGATCAAGAAAAGATAAAACAGTTCCAGTTTTAAATTTAACTAAATAAACTGTTAATATGTGAATAAAATTTTCATGTTGTTTAAACAAGAAGCATCCTTTCAGATAATTTGTTCCAAGCATGTGTCAAAGCTGTGTTTTAAACTTGCACAAATGAAGAAACCTAAGCAGACGGATTAATTGTTTTTTCTCTTGATAGAGGAAGTCAGAGAAAGGGAATAGGTGATTAGATAATTAAGAAAAGAATGCCAGCTGGGCACAGTGTAATCCCAACAGTTTGGGAGGCTGACATGAGAGGATTGCTTGAGGCCAGGAGTCCGAGACCAGCCTGGACAACATAGTGAGACCCCATCTCTACAAAAAAATGATTAGCAAATAGCCATCCTAGCTACTTGGGAGGCTGAGGTGGGAGGATGGTTTCAGTCCAGGAGTTTGAGGCTGCAGTGAAGTATGATCATGCCACTGCACTCCAGTCTGGGTGACACAGCAAGACCCTGTCTCTTCTAAAAATGGGAAAAAAAAAAGAAATAGAAAAGAATGTCTGATTATATATTATTAGACCCTTGGCTAAGAATAAGTTGAAAGGCAGATAGCTAATTTTAAGAACAGTTCTTTTCAGTTCATTAAAATTTACCTGAAAATAGCTTTAGCAATTATTAATTATAGTAATTTCTGCCAGGTGTGGTGGCTCATCCCTGTAATCTCAGCCCTTTGGGAGGCAGAGTTGGGTGGATTGCTTGAGCCCAGGAGTTTGAGACAAGCCTAGGCAACATAATGAGACCTTGTCTGTATAAAAAATAAAAAAGAAATTAGCTGGACATAGTGGCATACACCTGTAATCTCAGCTACTTAGGAGGGTGATTGGGGAGGATTGTTTGAGCCCAGGTCAAAGCTGCAGTGAGCCGTGATCACAGCACTGCATTCCAGCCCGAGTGAAAAAGCAAGATGCTGTCTCAAAAATAATAATAATAATAATTTCTTCCCTGAAAGAAATTGCAAATTGCATCATACAAAAAAAGTTGTGTCCCAAACTCAGTATTTGCCTAAGGCAATCTTTAAATATCTAAGTCAAGAGAATGTCTGTCCCATTGTATTTCGTTGTGAAATCATTATGTGAATGTGATTAGTTAATAGTTTTTGCATTTCTTACATACAGTGAAAATTAAGAATAGACAATTTATACAATACATACTACACACAATCATGTTTACTATCAGTATTCATATATACATTGAAATTGTTCCTTTTAATCAGTTTTCTACTTTAAGGAAGATTTCCACACAAAATCCTATGTTTATTCTATTTAGTACTAGCTATTATATTGTATATGTTCTATTCCATTTAGCTGGTTTTATTTACATAGCAAAACGTGATGAATAGTAAACAAAACTATGGCCATAAGACATAAAATTCAAAATGTTGACTTCGTTTGCAGCCTTTGTAAAGAAACTGCTCCATTATCGAATGAATGAATAAATGTCTCCTCATTGTATTCAGTTTTCCAAAGCAAGACTTTGTTTAGGATACTTTCCCTCATGATGATGGAGAACAGGAAAATATTTGCATTCCTGGATTCTGAAAAAGAGTACACATGTGGAGATTATTGTCTGAATTTGATCTCTTCTCCATAATATGAAATGTACAATGTTTTGCCTTGGCCTCCCAAAGTGTTGGGATAATAGGCATGAGCCATCATGCTTGGCCTCACAATTCGATTTTTATCATTTTGTTCTTCCAACTTCTTGTTCTGCTTATCTTAAACTAGTAATATACTTTTACCAAGTCATCTGCTTCTAGACCATAATAGTCCTGGAAATCCTTATGATGTTAATGTCATTAATTAATGATGGTAATGACAATAATGTCAGTTAAATTGACAATTATACCTATCCCTTCAGTTTTTAGCAGTCAAGTCTTTATCATAAAGCTCTGAAGCTACTTTTTTTTTTTAAGATGGAGTCTCATGCTGTCACCAGGCTGGAGTGCAGTGGTGTGATCTCGGCTCACTGCAACCTCCGCCTCCCACATTCAAGAGATTCTCCTGCCTCAGCCTCCTGAGTAGCTGGGACTACAGGTGCGTGCCACCATGCCCAGCTAATTTTTGTGTTTTTAGTAGAGATGGGGTTTCACCATGTTGGCCAGGCTGGTCTCGATCTCTTGACCTTGAAGATACTTTTTGATGTTTCTTCCAGAAAACCCAATATCTGGTCTGTGGCTTATACAATGATGTCAGGCAACTCTCAGGTGAGAAACAGACACTACTTGTTGATAACAAGACTTGAGTTAATATTTTAGACTAAATTACAATATCAGAATGGAGAACAGTGGAATCACTGTCAAAGTATATATGTACATAGGCTTGCCTAAATATTTCATAAGTACTTAGGCCTATGATGGCCATGGACAATGAAGATATTCACAAATATCCAGGACATTACCATAAATTCTGTAAAGTGTGTATCATGATCTACAATAAATGATAAAGGCATTTAAAATCTAAAAATTCATTTTTAGATTTTCAGAAGTAATTTTGTTCATAGTTCTTGAACATAAATATCAGTAAGCCTCTACCATCCTGAAAGGACATACAATTACTAAAACATATTCATGTTAACAATAAATTGCCTTAGTTCATTTGGTCTGCTCTAAACAAACACCATAGACTGCACAGCTTAACAACAACAGAAATTTATTTCTCCCAGTTCTGGAGACTAGGAAGTTCAAGGTCGAGGCACTGGCAGATGTAGTGTCTGGCAAGGGTTTGCTTTCTGATTCATAGAGCACCTTTTTGCTGTGCCCTTACAGGGTGGAAGGGATAAGCTAGTTATCTGAAGTCTCTCTTTTAAATTTTTTATTTATTTAGTTTTAAAATTTATTGTTATTTCTTTAGATGAGCTCTTGCTGTGTTACCCAGGCTAGAGTGCAGTGGCACAATCACAGCTCACTGCAGGCTTGACCTCCTGGGCTCAAGTGATCCTCCCATGTTAGTCTTCCAAGCAGCTGGGACCACAGGTATGTGCCACCACGCTTGGCTAATTTTATTTTTTGTAGAGAGGGGGTTTCACCGTGTTCCTCAGGCTGGTCTCGAACTCCTGGGCTCAAGCAATCCTCTTGCTTTGGCCTCCCAAAATACTGGGATTACAGGCATGAGCCACCAAGTCAGGCGAGTCTCTCTCTCAAAAAAAGAAAAAAAATTAGTTTTATTATTTAGAGATGGGATCTTGCTTTTGCCCAATCTGGTCTCTAACTTTTGAGCTCAAGTGATGCTCCCAACTGAGGCTCCTGAGTAGCTAGGACTGCAGGCATGTGCCATAGAGCCCAACTTCTGGGGTCTCTTTTATAGGCTCACTAGTCCCAACTATGAGGGCTCTGCCCTTCATAACCTAATCATTTCCTGAAGGCCCCACCTCCTAATACCTTCACCTTGGGGGTTAGGATTTCAACATATGAATTTTTGGAGGGACTCAAAGATTCAGAGCATAGCACAAATTATCTGTACAAAATTAACCCCTCGAGAACCCCTTTTTGTCTGACAGCTTTCTGCACACTGTGGCCCCCAAAAACAGGATGGCTCTGTTAATACAGTTGAGCTAGTTTAGAAAATATGGACCATACTTGAATCATGTAGGTGGACATTCACATGTGAATGTTTTATTCACCAGATATTCTGTGTGTGTGTGTGTGTGTGTGTGTGTGTGTGTGTGTGTGTGTGAGATGAGGTCTTGCTCTGTCAACCAAGCTGGAGTGTGTGATCATGGCTTACTGCAGCCTTGACCTCCCAGGCTCAAGTGATCTTCCCACCTCAGCCTCACAAGTAGTTGGAATTACAGGTGCATGCCACCACATCTGGTTAATTTCTGTATTTTTTGTAGAGACAGGGTCTCACTGTGTTGCCCAGGCTGGTCTTGAACTCCTGGGTTCAAGCAATCTTCCAGCCTCAGCCTCCCAATGTGTTGAGATTACAAGCATGAGCCACTGAATCTGGCCCTATCAGATATTCTTAACATTGACATTGTTTGGATCTTTCTTTTTTTTTTTTTTTTTTTTTTTTGAGATGGAGTCTTGGTCTGTCATTGCCCTGGCTGGAGTGCAGTGGCGTGATCTCAGCTCACTGCAACCTCCGCCTCCTGGGTTCAAGCGATTCTCCTGCCTCAGCCTCCCAAGTAGCTGGGATTACAGGCATGAATCACTGTGCCTGGCCTTGTTTGGGTCTTTGATTTGAGAAAGTTGGTCATCTTATTTGCTGTATTATTAAAATTCATCATCACATAGATATCAGTAAGTGTACTGAAATCATTATCAGAGTCTCTATACTTCACTAAGCTACCAAAGGCTCTGAACTTCTATTTCCAGAGACTATCTATAATAGCCAGATCTAGAGAAAATAAAATATGCCACGACAAAAGATACTGAACGCTAGGGTAATGGGGTAAGGTAAAGTTTTATATCTTTTTTTTTTTTTTTTTTCCTGAGACAAGGTCTTGTTCTGTTGTCCAGGCTAGAGTGCAGTGGCATGATCCTAGCTCACTGCAGCCTTGAACTCCTGGGCTCAAGCAATCCTCCCATCTCAGCTATATATGTGTGCGTGTGTGTATATATATATATATATATATATATATATATACACAGTTTTTGTAAAGATGGGGTTTCACTACGTTGCCTAGGCTGGTCTCAAACTCTTGGCCTCAAGCTATCCTCTTCACCTATAACCTCCCTGCCGCCCCCTCCTCCCCCCCGGCCTCCCAGAGTGCTGGGATTATAGATGTGAGTCACTGTGTCCAGCCAAGTTTGTCTGTCTGTGAAATGAAATGCATTATATTTGAAAAATAAACATGCTCAAAATGCCTAGTCTGCCTATGTATTGTAAGCAGATACTTTAACATTTCCCTCGGGAAGACGTGTGTGGGAGAAAACTATGTCAGCAAAAATTTCAAATAGTTTGGTGTAGTTGAGGATATTCTCTGGACACTTTTTAGATGAGGAAGAGTTGATCCTGGAGGCGAAGGTAAATGCTGGAGCATAATGGGAATGATAAGGTCATACCAAAAATTCTTGAGCACTGGGAACTGTGCTCTCTATTTTCCATTCTTATAGCCCCAGAACTTAGTTCAATGCTTGGTACATACCTATATTGGTTTGTTTTTACACTGCTGATAAAGACATACCCAAGACTGGATAATTGATACAGGAAAAATGTTTAATAGACTTAAAGTTCCACATGGCTGGGGAAGCCTCACAATCATGGTGGAAGGTAAGGAGGAACAAGTCACGTCTTACATTGATAGCAGCAGGCAAAGAGAGAAAGCTTGTGCAGGGGAACTCCTCTTTATAAAACCATCAGATCTCATGAGACTTATTCACTATCTTGAGAACAGCATGGGAAAGATTTACCCCCATGATTTAATTACCTCCCACTTGTCCCTCCCATGACACATGAGAATTCAAGATGAGATTTGGGTGGGGACACAGCCAAACCATATCAATACCTAATAAATACTTGTCAAAATACAATTTTTAAAAGTTAAAAACATGACTGTCATACAAATATAGAATGAACACATGGCAAAGATATGTTAACTTAATGAGAGAACCAGTAAGATGGCAAACTTGGATAACAGAACACTTTGTGGAACTGGGCACTTACAGGCATTTTGGAAGGACTGTTAGAATAAGTTGCTAGGTGAGATACAAAATTGGTTAACACATACAAGGCAATAAAATGATAACCTAGTCATAATAAATAAATTGTAGAACCAAAGACAAAGAGAAAAGTCTTTAGAGAAGCAAGAGAAAATGTACATGCAACTTTCGAAGGAGCAACCGCAAGACTGACAGCAGTTTTTGACACACAAGGGAAACCAGCAAGAGCTAGAATGGAGAATATCTTCAAAGCATTGTAGAATGTAAGTTCCAAATAGAATTCCACAGGTAGCGAAAATCTACTTAAGCATATAACCAAAGGCATTTTGAGATAAAGAGAATGAAAGTAGTAAATATATGGATAAATGTAAAGAAAGATTGATTTCACCTGGGTGCGGTGTCTCCCACCTGTAACTCAGCATTTTGGGAGGCTGAGGTGGGTGAATCACTTGAGCTCAGCAATTCGAGACCAGCTTTGGCAACATAGTGAGACCCCCGTCTCTATTTTTTAAAAAATAAAAATTACAAAAACTGATTTTTTTTTTTTTTTTTGAGACAGAGTCCTGCTCTGTCACCCAGGCTGGAGTGCAATGGCATGATCTTGGCTCACTGCAACCTCTGTCTCCCAGGTTCAAATGATTCTTCCACCTCAGCCTCCTGAGTAGCTGGGATTACAGGCACCTGCCATCATGCCCGGCTAATTTTTGTATTTTTGTAGAGACCGGGTTTCACTGTGTTGGCCAGGCTGGTCTGGAACTCCTGACCTCAGGTGCCACCTGCCTCTGCCTCCCAAAGTGCTGGGATTAGAGGCATGAGCCACGGCACCCAGCCAAAACATTGATTTTTTAAAACATTAATAATAATGTCTTGTGGTATGTTCAAACATAGAATAAAAACATTTGTTAAAGTATGTGTGGCAACTGGCGTAAATGAAACGAATGGGATTTAAGATCTTTATATTGAACAAGAAGAAGATAAAAGTATTGATTAAAACTAGGCTTTGATAATTGAAGAATGCATATTGGCATTCTAGGGAAAACATGAAAATAATAATAGTGTGTAGAGGGAAAAAGGACTTATAAAAATTGGTCAAACCTCAAACCAAAAGAAGTCAAGAAAATAAAGAAAATAAACGTAAAACTGATGGAAAAATAGAACTCGCAAAATAAGAATGTAGGTCTAACCCCAGATACGTTAGTATTATAATTATACTAAAATAAAATGGATTTTTTTTGTTTTTAATAAGTTTTTAAGCCATCATACTTTGGAATTTAAAAAATTGTACATATTTGTGTTTTGGGGGAAGGGAGTTAATATTTATTTAATCATTTTATTAGGCTAAATTAATATTGATCCCAAAACTTGGTAATGACAATACAGGAAAGGAAAAAAATTATAACAAATCTTATTTTTTAAAACGTTTAATTTTGAAATAGCATAAGAAGTTTCAAAGGCATATACAGGGAAGTTCTGTGCACCGGTCACCCAGGATCTTCCAATTATAACATCTGTCATAACTATAGCACAATATCAAAACCAGAAAGTTGACATTGGTACTCTGATGAAAAAATGTTTGAGATAAGAAAAAAACAAAGTGGGCTGGGTATGGTGGCTCATGCCTGTAATCCAAGCACTTTGTGAGGCCGAAGTGGGCGGATCACCTGAGGTTGGGAGTTCGAGACCAGCCTGACCAACATGGAGAAACCCCATCTCTACTAAAAATACAGAAAATTAGCCGGGCGTGGTGGTGCATGCCTGTAAACCCAGCTACTTGGGAGGCTGAGGAAGGAGAATCACTTGAACCCAGGAAGCAGAGGTTGCCGTGAACTGAGATCGTGCCATTGCACTCCAGCTGGGGCAACAAGAGCGAAACTCTGTTTCAAAAAAAAAAAAAGTGATTTTTCTACTTGTACACTCAGTACAACGCTTAACACTGAACACTTCTTATACCGGATATGTCGGGGATTTTCCCCACACACCAAGCAATTCTCCAGTGGACACCAGCTGAACGTCCTATAATGTAACTCAATTCTGACACTAATTCTCTGGAGTTAGAGTCACAGTCCACAGGTTAAGAAAAACTGCTTCCTCTTCAGACACCAATTCCAAACCCTAGGTTGTGACCTGTTCTTCTGACCAACCAGCTAAAATTGGGGGTTCACATGATCCCCTCCTTGGGTTCAGTTAGTTTGTGATAGTGGTTCACAGAACTCAGAGAAGTACTTACATTAAGCAGTTTATTATCAATAAATAATATAGTAAAGGACAAGATGAACAGCCAGATGGGAGAGATGCACAAGGCAAGGCGAGTGGGAAGGAGCGCAGAGGTTCCATACTCTCTCTGGAGGCACCACCCTCCAGGAACTACGACATGTTCAACAATCTAGAAACTCCTCAGACTCTCTCCTTTTGGGATTTTATGGAGGATTCACGACCTAGGCACGGTTGATTAAATCATTGGCCGTTGGTGATCACCTCCATCTTCAGCCCCTCTTTTCTCTTGAGGTCGGGAGGTGAGGCTGAAATTTCCAACCCTCTAATCCTGTGGTTGGTTCCTCTGGCAACCAGCCCCCATTTTGAGGCTGTCCTGGAGCCCACCAGGAGTCATCTCATTAAAACAAAAGATGCTCCTGTCAACCAAGAAATTCCAAAGGATTTAGAAGCTCTGAGACAGACACTTTTTTTTTTTTTGAGACAGAGTCTCTTCTTTGTCACACAGCCTGGAGTGCAATGGCACAATCTTGGCTCACTGCAACCTCTGCCTCCCCGGGTTCAGGCGATTCTCTTGCCTCAGCCTCCAGAATAGCTGGGATTACAGGCATCTGTCACCACACCCGGCTAATTTTTGTATTTTTAGTAGAGACAGGGTTTTACCATGTTGGCCAGGCCGGTCTCAAACTCCTGACCTCAGGTGATCCGCCTGCCTCTGCCTCCCAAAGTGCTAGGATTACAGGCGTGAGCCACTGCGTCTGGCCTAGACATGTGTAATTTCCTGAGTGATAAAAGTGTCTGTGGCCCAGCATGGTGGCTCACTCCTGTAATCCCAACACTTTGGGAGGCCGAAGTAGGTGGATCACATGAGGTCGGAAGTTCAAGACCAGCCTGGCCAACATGGTGAAACCCCATCTCTACTAAAAATACAAAAAGTAGCCGGGCATGGTGGCTCTTGCCTGTAATCCCAGCTACTGGGGAGGCTGAGGCAGGGGAATTGCTTGGACCCGGGGGGCGGAGGTTGCAGTGTGCCGAGATTGCAACAGAGCACCACTCCAGCCTCAGTGACAGAGTGAGACTCCGTCTCAAAAAAAAATTACAAAGGTCTTAGGAGCTCTATGTCAGGAACCAGAGTCAAAGACCAAATATTAGAATAAAAGATTCTCCTAGCATCCCTATCTACAAGGGTGTTTTTTTGTTTGTTTGTTTGTTTGTTTGTTTGTTTTTTGAGACAGAGTTTCGCTCTGTCCCCCAGGCTGGAGTGCCGTGCCTATCTACATGAGTATTAGGAGCTCTGTCTGAGGAAAGGGGTCAGAGACCAAACATATCTTTCTTATTTTATCACAATACCACAGGTTGATACCACAGAGCTTATTCAGATTTCACTCAACATATTTGAACTCATTTGTGTGTATATATGACTCAGTGCAATTTTATTATGTGTCACTTCTGTAACAAACACCACAATCAAGATACTTAACTGTGCCATCACAGAGTTCCTTGTGCTAGTCCTTCATAGAGCCACACACCCTCCTTTCCCTGTCCCTGACATTCAGCAACTACTAATCCATTTTTCATTCTATAATTTTATCATTTAAAGAATATTTTAGGCTGGGTGTGGTGGCTCATGCCTATAATCCCAGCACTTTGGGAGGCCAAGGCGGGAGGATCACGAGGTCAGGAGTTCAAGACCAGCCTGGCTGACATAGTGAAACCTCATCTCTACTAAAAATACAAAAATTAGCTGGATGTGGTGGCATACACCTGTAATCCCAGTTACTCGGGAGGCTAAGGCAGGAGAATTGCTTGAACCCAGGAGGCGGAGGTTGTAGTGAGCCCAGATCGCGCCACTGCACTCCAGCCTGGGTGACAGAGCGACACTCCATCTAAAAATAAAAAAATAATATTATATAGGCTGGGCATGGTGACTCATGCCTGTAATGTCAGCACTTTGAGAGGCTGAGGTGGGAGACTACTTCTTTCTACTTTGAGCCTAGAAGTTCGAGACCAGCCTGGGCAACATAGGGAGACCTTGTCTTTACAAAAGTAAAAAAAAGCTGGGCGTGGTGGCATGTGCTTATGGTACCAGCCACTTGGGAGGCTGAGGTGGGAGGATTGCTTGAGCCCAGAAGGTTGAGGCTGCAATGAGCCATGATCATGCTACTGCACTCCAGCCTGGGTGACAGAGCAAGACCCTGTCTCAAAGAAAAACCACAAAATAAAAATATAAAAAGAATGTTATGTATCAATGGAATCATAAAGTATACTACCTTTTGGATTTGGCTTCCTTCCTTCTGGATAACTTTAAAATTCACCTAAGTTGTGTGTATCAATAGTTTGTTGCTTTGTATTGCTGAATAATATTCCATGGTATGGAAGTATCACAGTTGTTTAACCATTCACCAATTGTAGGACATTCTAGTTGCTTCTAGTTTTTGACTATTATAAATAAATCTGCTGTGAATAGTTGCGTAGAGAATTTAGTGTGAACATAAGCTTTTATTTCTCTGGGATAAATGCCCAGATTACAATTACTGGGTCATATGGTAATTGTATGTTTAGTTTTAAAAGAAAAATCCAAAATTTTTTCAAGAGTAGTGGTATCATTCTGTCTTACCAGCAATGTATGAATGAATCCAACTTTTCTGCATTCTTATCAGCATTTATTATCACTATATTTTTATTTTAGCCATTCTGATAGGTAAGTAGTGATTCTCATTGTGATTTTAGTTTATAATTCTCTAATGACTAATGATGTTGAACATCTTTTCACGTATTGATTGCTATCTGTATAGTCTCTTAAATGAAATATTTGTTCATGTCTTTGCCCATTTTAGATTTCTTTCTTTTGCTTTTTACTGTTAAATTTTGAGAGTTCTTTATATATTAATGATGTTAGTCCTCTGTTGATTACATGATTTGCAAAAATTTTCTTCCAGTCTGTAATTAGTCTTTTCATCATCTTAACAGAGTCTTTTGCAGAGTAAAAGTTTTTATTTTTGATAAGGTCCATGAAAGGCTTGGATTTGTGTCCCTGCCCACATCTCATGTAGAATCATAATCCCCAGTTTTGGAGGAAGGGCCTGGTAGGAAGTGGTTGGATCATGGGGGCAGAGTTCTCCCTTGTTGTTCTTGTGATAGTGAGTGACTTCTCATGAGATCTGGTTGTCTAAAAGTGTGTAGCACCTCCCCCTTCTCTCTCTTTCTCCTGCTTCCACCATGTAAGATGTGCCTGCTTCCCCTTTGACTTCTACCAAGATTGAAAGTTTCTTGAGGTCTTCTCAGCCATGCTACCTGTACAGCCTATGGAACTGTGAGCCAATTAAACCTCTTTTCTTTATAAATTACCCAGTCTCAGGTAGTTCTTTATACAACGAGAGAATGGACTAATACAGTACAAGTTATCTTTTTATTTTTTATTGATTGTGATTTTGGTGTTATTCTAAAATCTCTTTGCTTAGGTCCCAAAGATTTTCTTCTATGTTTTCTCATAAAAGGTTTATAGTTTTGTTTGTTTGTTGGTTGGTTTGTCTGTTTGAGACGGAGTCTCACTCTGTTGCCAGGCTGGAGGCAGTGGTGCCATCTCGGCTCACTGCAACCTCCACCTCCCAGGTTCAAGCGATTCTCCTGCCTCAGCCTCCTGAGTAGCTGGGACTACAGGCATGTGCCAACACACCCAGCTAATTTTTGTGTTTTTAGTAGAGATGGGGTTTCACCATGTTGGCCAGGATGGTCTCGATCTCTTGACCTTGTGATCAACCTGCCTCGGCCTCCCAAAGTGCTGGGATTACAGGCATGAGCCACCGCGCCCAGCCAGGTTTATAGTCTTATATTTTAAATTTATGTCATGATCCATATTGAGTAAACTTTTGTATAATGTGTGAAGTTTAGGTCAAACTTCTTTTTTGTTTTTTCTTTGACTAGGATACCCAGTTGCTCCAACACGATTTGTTGAAAAGAGCATTTCCTCCATTGACTTTCCTTTGCATCTTTTTCAAAAAGCAGTGCACTATACTTGTCTGGGGCTATTTCTGGATTCTCTATTCTGTGTCTCTCCTTCTGCTAATACCACATAGTCTTGACTACTGTAGCTATTTAAGTCTTAAATTGGACAGAGTGATTCTGCCATCTTACTTTTTAAAATATTAATTTAGCTATTCTTGTTTTTCCATATACATTTTATAATAACCTTGTCTTTATCTACAAAAAAAGGTTGCTAGAATTTTTATAGGAGTTGTGACAAGCCTATAGACCAATCTAGGGAGAGTTAATTGCTTTACTTTACTATGATGAGTCTTTGTATTCATGAACATAGTATATGTCTCTGAGTATTTGATTCTTCTTTAATTTTTTTCAATCAGCGTTTGTAATTTTTATCATAAATAAATGACACTGCTGGGTGCAGTGGCTCACACCTGTAATCCCAGCACTTTGGGAGGCTGAGGCAGGTGGATCACGAGGTTAGGAGTTCAAGACCAGCCTGGCCAAGATGGTGAAACCCTGTCTCTACTAAAAATACAAAAATTAGCCAGGCATAGTGGCAGGTGCCTATAATCCCAGCTACTCGGGAGGCTGAGACAGAGAATAACATGAACCCAGGAGGCAGAAGTTGCAGAGAGCCGAGATTGTGCCACTGCAATCTCTGCCTACCGGGTTCAAGGCAGGAAGATTGCTTGAGGCCAGAAGTTTGAGATTGGTCTCGTCAACATAATGAGGCCCCATCTCAACAATTTTTTTTTTAAAATAAAGAAATGCAATTGATTTTTATGTGTCAATTTTGTATCCTGCAAGCTTACTGAACTCATTTATCAGCTCTAGGAGGCTTTTCTTGTTTGTAGGCTCCTCAGTATTTTCTACATAGGCAATAATATTGTCTGCAAATAGAGACAGCTTTATTTTTTCCTTCCCAATCTGTATGCTTCTTATTTCTTTTTCTTCCCTATTGTTATGAAAAAAAAAACTCCGATACTGTTGAATAAGAGTGATGAGAGTGGACCTCTTTGTCTTCTTCCCAATCTTAGGGAAAAAAACCCCCAGTCTTTCTCAATTAATTATGTTAACTGTAGGTATTCTGTAAAGGCTCCTTATAATGTTGAGAAAATTTTCCTCTAGTTCTACTGTCTTAGGAGTTTTTATCGTGAATGGGTATTGAATTTTGTGAGATTTTCCACATCAATTGATATGATATAATATAATTTTTCTTTTTTAGCCTGTTGATATAATAGATTACATTAATTTTCAAGTATTGAATAAGCCATGCAGACCTAGGACAAATCCTCCTTGCTTGTAGTGTATTATTCTTTTTATACACTGTGGTACTTCCTTTGCTAATGTTGAGAATTTTTTCACCTATGCTAATGAGTGATGTAGGTCTTTAGTTTTCTTTTTTTGTGATGTCTTTGTCTGGTGTTATCAGGATAATACAGGCCCATAAAACACTTGAGAAATGTTTCTATCTCTTCTGTTTTTTGGAACAGTTTCTGCAAAATTGATATTGCTTCTTTTTTGAATGTTTGGCAAAGTTCTCCAGTGAAACTGTCTGGGCATTGAGATTTCTTTTCTGAGAGCTTTTAAATTATAAATTCAATTTCTGTAAGAGCTGTGGGACTACTAAGGTTATCTTTTTAAATTTTTTTCATAGATTATTGGGGTACAGGTGGTATTTGGTTACATGAGTAAGTTCTTTAGTGGTGATATTTGAGATCCTGGTGCACCCATCACCCAAGCAGGATGCACTACACCATATTTGTAGTCTTTTATCCCTCGCCCCACTCCCATCCTTCTCCCCAAGTCCCCGAAGTCCATTGTATCATTCTTATGCCTTTGCATTCTCATAATTTACCTCCCACATATCAGTGAGAACATACGATGTTTGGTTTTCCATTCCTGAGTTATTTCACTTAGAATAATAGTCTCCAATCTCATCCAGGTCACTGCGAATGCCATTAATTCATTTCTTTTTATGGCTGAGTAGTAGTCCATCATATACATACATATATATATACACACACACACTTTACAGTTTCTTTATCCACGTGTTGATTGATGGGCATCTGGGATGGTTCTACAATTTTCCAGTTGCCAGTTGTGCTGCTATAAACATGCATGTTCAAGTATATTTTTCGTATAATGACTTATTTTCCTCTACGTAAATACCCAGTAGTGGGATTGCTAGATCAAATGGTAGTTCTATTTTTAGTTCTTTAAGGAATCTCCTCACTGTTTTCCATAGTGGCTGTACTAGTTTACGTTCCCACCAGCAGTGCAGAAGTATTCCCTGATTGCCGAATCCACGCCAACATCTACCGTTTATTGAATTTTTGATTATGGCCATTCTTGCAGGAGTAAGGTGGTATGGCATTGAGGTTTTGGTTTGCATTTCCCTGATCATTAGTGATGTTGAGGATTTTTTCATATGTTTGTTTGCTATTTGTATATCTTCTTTTGAAAATTGTCTATTCATGTCCTTGACCCACTTTTTGATGGGGTTGTTTGTCTTTTTCTTGCTGATTTGTTTGAGTTCATTGTAGATTCTGGATATGAATCCTTGGTCAAATGTATAGATTGTGAAGATTTTCTCCCACTCTGCGGGTTGTCTGTTTACTCTGCTGACTCCTTTTGCTGTGCAAAAGCTCTTTAGTTTAATTAGGTCCCAGTTATTTATATTTATTTATTTATTTATTTATTTATCGAGACGGAGTTTCGCTCTGTCACCCAGGCTGGAGTGCAGTGGCGCGATCTCGGCTCACTGCAACCTCCACTTCCCAGGTTCAAGCAATTCTCCTGTCTCAGCCTCCCAAGTAGCTGGGATTACAGGCGTGCAACACCATGCCTGGCTAATTTTTGAATTTTTAGTAGAGATGGCATTTCACTATGTTGGTCAGTCTGGTCTCGAACTCCTGACCTCATGATCCACCTCCCAAAGTACTGGGATTACAGTCATGAGCCACAGCGCCTGGCTATTTTTGTTTTTATTGCATTTGCTTTTGGGTTCTTGGTCATGAAATCCTTGCCTAAGCCAATGTCTAGTAGGGTTTTTCCAATCTTATCTTCTAATCTTCTAGAATTTTTATAGTTTCAGATCTTAGATTTAAGTCCTTAACCCATCTTGAGTTGATTTTTGTGTAAGGTGAGAGATGAGGATCCAGTTTTGTTCTCCTATATGTGGCTAGCCAATTATCCCAGCATCATTTGTTGAAAAGGGTGTAGGACTACTAAGGTTATCTGTTTCAGATAGCTAAGTGATGTGATTTGGATCTGTGTCCCTGCCCAAATCTCGTGTTGAATTGTAATCACCAGTGTTGAAATGGGACCTGGTGGAGGTTTCTCAAGAATGGCTTAATATTATACCCTTGGTGCTGTTCTCATGATGTTGAACGAGTTCTCATGAGATCTGGTTGTTTAAAAATGTGTAGCACCTCCCCACTGTTCCTCCTGCTCCAGTCATGGGAAGTGCCTCACTCCCCCTTTGCCTTCCATCATGATCAGAAGCTTCCTGAGGACTCCCCAGAAGCAGAAGCAACTATGTTTCCTGTACAGCCTGCAGAGCTGTGAGCCAATTAAACCTCTTTTCTTTATAAAGTACCCAAGCTCATGTATTTCTTTATAGCAGTGCAAGGATGAACTAATAGACTAAGCTTTGGCAGTTCATGTTTTTCAAAGTTGGGTCTGGTGTTTTCTAGATTTTCAGATTTATAAGCATAACTTTCTTTTTCTTTTTTCTTTTTTTATTGAGACAGGGTTTTATTCTTTCACATAGGCTGGAGTGCAGCGGCACAATCTCGGCTCACTGCAACCTCTGCTTCCTGGGCTCATGCGATCCTCCTACCTAAACCTCCCAAGTAGCTGAGACTACAGGTGCATGCCACCATGCCTGGCTAATTTTTGTATTTTTGTAGAGATGAGATCTCGCCATGTTGATCAGGCTGGTCTCAAACTCCTGGGCTCAAGTGATCAGCCCACCTCGGCCTCCCAAAGTGCTAGGATTACAGGCTTGAGCCGCTGAGCCTGGCCAAGTATAACTTTCTTCACAGTGTCTCTTATTATTCTTTTAATGGCTGCAGAATCTGTTGTGATAGCATGTTTCATTCCTGATTGCTTCATTTTATATTTGTCAGTCTTAAGAGAAGTTTATCAACTTTTTTTGTGTATGTGTGAAACAGGGTCTCACTCTGTTGCCCAGGCTGGAGTGCAGTGGTGAGATCATAGTTTATTGCAACCTCAAACTCCTGGGCTCAAGCAATTCTCCCACCTCAGCCTCCCAAGAAGCTGGGACTACAGGCATGCGCCACTGTGCCTGGCTATTTTTTTTCACAATTTTTTGTGGACATGGAATCTCCCTACGTTTCCTAGACTGGTGTCAAATCCCTGGGCTCAAGATATCCTCCCACTTCATCCTCCCAAAGTATTGAAATTACAGGCGTGAGCCACTGCACCTGGCCAATCTTATTCATTTTTCAAACAACTGGGTTTGTGCACCTGTAGTCCCAGCTACTCAGGAGGATGAGGTGGGAGGATTGCTTGAGGCCAGGAGTTCCTGGCTGCAGTGAGCTATGATTGTGCCATTGCACTCCAGATTAGGTGACAGGGCAAAACCCTATCCCTAAAAAAAATTTAAAAATAAAAATAAAAGACCTGGGTTTTTTCATTAAATTTCTATATCGTTTTCCTGTTTTTAATTTCATTGATTAATTTCTACTTATGTCTATATTTCTTTCCTTCTGCTTGCTTTGGGCTTATTTTGGTATTATTTTTCTCAAGGTAGGAACTTAGATTACTGATCTGAAATCTCTTTTCTGATATGAGCATGTCAGTGCTATAAATTTCCTTCTCAGAACTGCTTTAGCTGCATCTCACAATTTTTTTTGTAATTATTTATTTAATTTTTAAATAAAAATTATTAAATTTTCAGCCATTATTTTTTCAAAAAAAATTTTTTTTGAGATAGTTTCACTCTGTCTCTCAGGCTGCAGTGCTGTGGTGCAATCTCAGCTTACTGCAACCTCTGCCTCCTTGGCTCAAGTGAACCTTCCACTGGCATGCCCCACCATGCTTGGCTTAATTTTGTAAGTTTTTTTTTTGTAGAGATGAGGTCCCACTATATTGCCCAGGCTGGTCTCGAAATCCCAGGCTCAAGCAGTCCTCCTGCCTCATCCTCTCAAAGTGCTGGGATTATAGGCATAAGGCACTGTGCCCAGCCAAGCATCTCATGAGTTTTGACATGTTGTATTTTTATTTTCATTCAGTCTATGTATTTTTTTTTATATATTCTTTGAGACTTTCTCTTTTACTCATGGAGTTATTTAGAAGTATGTTGTGGCTGAGCCCAGTGGCTCACACCTGTAATCCCAGCATTTTGGGAGGCCAAGGTGGGTGGATCGCTTGAGCCCAGGAGTTTGAGACCAGCCTGGGCAACATACAGAGGCTGCAACTCTACAAAAAAGAAAAAAAAAAGAAAAGAAAAATTAGGCAGACAGGCCTGGCGCGGTGGCTCACGCCTGTAATCCCAACACTTTGGGAGGCTGAGGTGGGCGGATCACGAGGTCAGGAGATCGAGATCGTCCTGGCCAACATGGTGAAACCCTGTCTCTACCAAAAATACAAAAAAAATTAGCCGGGTGTGGTGGCGGGCGCCTGTAGTCCCAGCTACTCGGGAGGCTGAGGCAGGAGAATGGCGTGAACCCAGGAGGCGGAGCTTGCAGTGAGACGAGATCGCACCACTGCACTCCAGCCTGGGCGACAAAGCAAGACTCCATCTCAATAAATAAATAAATAAATAAATAAATAAAAATTAGGCAGACATAGTGGCATGTGCCTGTAGTCCCAGCTATTCAGGAGGTGGGAGGATTGGTTGAGCCCAGAAAGTTGAGGTTGCAGTGAGCTGAGATCATACCACTGTACTCTGTCCTGGGAGAGGGTGAGACCCTGTCTCAAAAAAAGAAAAGAAAAAAAAAAGTGTGTTGTTCAATTTCCAAGTGTTAAAATAATTTTCTGGTTTTTTTCTTTTGGTTATTAGTTCTAGTTTGATTCCTTCATGGTCAGAGGACATACTCTGTATAACTTTAATTCTTATAAATTAGTTCAGGTATGTCTGCTATTTAAAAATTTGTTTTCTGTTTTTCCTTCAGTTTCCTATTCCTTTTTCTCTTTTCTTTCCTTCCTGAGGGTTACTTCAACAGTTTTTAGTGCCCCATTCTGACTTCTTTATAATTTTTTTTTTTGTAGATGGAGTCTCGCTCTGTCACCCAGGGTGGAGTGCAGTGGTGTGATCTCGGTTCACTGCAACCTCTGCCTCCCAGGTGCAAGCAATTATCTTGCCTCAGCCTCCTGAGTAGCTGGGACTACAGGCGCAGGCCGACACACCAAGCTAATGTTTTGTATTTTAGTAGGACGGGGTTTCACCATGTTGCCCAGGCTGGTCTCGAACTCCTGAACTCCGGCAATCCGCCCGCCTCAGCCTCCCAAAGTGCTAGGATTACAGGAGTAAGCCACTGCGCCTGGCCCCTTTATAATAATTTTGAGTTTATCATTATGTATAGTATTTTGTGTTTTTTTGATGTAGTCTCACTCTGTCAGCCAGGCTGGAGTGCAGTGGCGGGATCTCGGCTCACTGCAACCTCCACCTCCCGGGTTCAATTTAAGCGATTCTCCTACCTCAGCCTCCCAACAGCCTGGGACTACAGGCATGTGCCACCATGCCCAGCTAATTTTTTGTATTTTTAGTAGAGACGGGGTTTCACCATGTTGGCCAGGATGGTCTCAATCTTGACCTCGTGATCAGCCCACGTCGGCCTCCCAAAGTGCTGAGATTACGGGCATGAGCCACCGTTCCCTGCGTATGTATAGATTTTTTAGTGGCTTCTCTAGGTGTTACCATATGTGGATAAAACTTGTTTCAGCCTACTGGTGTTAATGCTCTACCACTTGCAGAGAAATGTAAAAATATTTTTCCACTTGTGTGCCTTTATCCTCCCTACTTTTAAAATATGGTTGTTCAGTCTTTACTTCTTTTATTCCAGCCCCATTTTTATTCTTCTCTCCTTTTGAGATTATGATGATACAAATATTAGATTTTTCCCCCCATAATTCCCTGAAGCTGTTCACTTTTTCCCCAATCTATGCTCTGTTTGTTGTTCAGATTGAGTAAATTGTATTAATGTATCTTCACACTCACCGATTCTTTCCTCAGTCATCTCTCCTGTTGAAACTATCTAAAGAGTTTTTTCAATTATTGTATTTTTAGTTTTATAATTTACATTTGCTTTTTTTATAACTTCTATTTCTTTGCTGAGTTTTTCTATTTTTCATATATTTCAAGATAATTTATAATTAATTGTTGAAGTATTTGTATGATTCTTGCTTGAAAATCTTTGTTGGATAATGCTAACAGCTGCTTCATCCAGTTGCATTAACTCAAAGTAGAATGATGTCACTTGATTTCCCTTCCACATTTAAACTGTATGTTTTCTGGTCTTTGGTCTAAAAAGTTGGTGGTTGTATTCTGGATATTTCAGCTGTATATTAGGGGACTCTGGGTCCTATTTAAGTCTTCTGTTTTGACAGGCAGTTGCTCTGTTAAGGTTTTGCCTATAGGTTCTGGCCTAGTTTTGTGGGGTTTAGGTTTTTTGTTGTTGTTGCTGCTGTTGTTTATTTTTAGACAGGAGGCCTTGCTCTGTCACCCAGGCTGGAGTGCAGTGGTGGTGTAGCCTCAAACTCCTGGGCTCAAGCAATCCTCCCTCCTCAGCCTCCCAAATTGCTGGGATTACAGGCATAAAGCCACCACATCCTGCCATGGGTTTTATTTTTAGTGTCAGTTTAATTTTCAGAGCCCTTGCAATACTATTCTGATCTGCTTCATCTTTCTAGTACTTCTGGGACTCCCACTTAACCCCTGCTGGTGCCATTTGTGGAGGTGAAATCATGTCCTTCCCTAGATGGTTCGGTATTGCTGGGCCACTATTCTGCCCAGGAGTCTGGAGGGAGAGGAAGAATACAGAGCAGAGTCAGAGCCACGGGGCTGAGGTTTCTTCACGCCACTGGATGGAGGGCATGGGGAAGCAGTGCTCTGCTGATGCTGCCCCTGTAGGTGGATTGGCCTGCCTGTCGCGTCACAGGTATGAAGCAGGTATAGAGTCAGTGTGCCTGGGCTTCTCTGCTGCTGCTCTGGGCATGCTGTCTGCCTACCTGCACCCAGCTGGACTGGGGACTAAGATGGCCCAGAGCTTCGGTGTTGCTGTTGTTGCTGGCTAATTGGACTTGGTGGTGCTCCATTTGTGGGTAAGGGGTTGGGACAGTTGGGGCTTTGCTGCCACTGTTGAAGATGGATTGGACTACCTGCGGGTGTCTGGTGGTAGAGCTGGGGCTGGCATGACTGGGGGCTTTGTTGCTGTTGGTGCAGGCTCATCGGGCCACCCATCAATACCCTCGTAGGTGGAATAGGGGCTGGGACTCTCCACTAGGTCTCTGCTGGGTTTCCCCTTTCCTGGTCTTTGGCCAGAGAGAGCATGCTTTACTCGGACCTCTCTGGTCAATGCATGTTAAGGGTGGGTTGTAGGTTTCTTTGGTGTCTAGTCCTGGGTGCATGGGGGATTAAGAAAAAATAAAACCTAGCCTGGTGAATTTACTATGTTGTCATTCCGCATGTCCTGAGGTACCCAGCCAATCTACTTTCCTTTTTTTGTTTTTTGTTTTTTTTGTTTTTTTGAGACAGGGTCTTGCTCTATTGCCCAGGCTGGAATGCAGTGGCACAATTACAGCTCACTGTAGCTTAGACCTCCTGGGCTCAAGCGATCCTCTCATCTTAGCCTCCTGAGTAGCTGGGACCACAGGCCAGGCGTGCATGCCCAGCTATTTTTTTTTTTTTTTTTTTTTTTTTTTTTTTGTGTAGAGAGAGGGTTTTGCTATGGTGCCCACGCTGGTCTTGAATTCCTGGATTTAAGTGATCCTCGAGCCTCGGCCTCTCAAAATCTTGGGATTACAGGCATGAGCCACCACACCCAGCAGATGGAACCAATCTACCTTCTTTTTAGCTTTCAACGTTCTTTTCGTCATTGTCTGTTGAATAATTTCCAGGTATTTAAGTTGTATTTAGCAAAGAATAGCAGGGAAAAGTGAGTTTATACCATCTTGTTCTGGAGGCAGAAACACAAATCTTATTTTGAATGAATATGCGAGTATTCTTAACAAAATACTAAATCAGGTATAGAAATGTGTAAGTTATATGTTGGGTATAATCTCAAGAATGTAGTGTTGTTTTAATGTTAGAAAATTCGTTGATGTAATTCACCATATTAATAAATTCAAAGAGAAAATTCATGATCTCAATCAAAATAGAGAATTTGACAAATCTGAGAAAATTTACCAATCTTTCTGTTTAAAAACACTTAACAAACCAAGCCAGGCACGGTGGCTCACACCTGTAATCCCAGCACTTTGGGAGGATGAGGCGGGTGGATCACCTGAGGTCAGGACCAGCTACTTGGGAGGCTGAGGCAGGAGAACTGCTTGGACCCGGGAGGCAGAGGTTGCAGTGAGCCGAGATTGCGCCATTGCACTCCAGCCTAGGAGACAGAGCAAGACTCTGTCTCAAAAAAAACAAAACAAAACAAAAAACACTTAACAAACCAGGCCATTCTTATTCTGTTAAAGGAATATATCTGTAAAAAAATCTACAGTCATACTTTTTTTTTTTTTTTTTTTTTTTTTTTTGGAGACAGGGCCTCACTCTGTCACCCAGGCTGGAGTGCAGTGGCTCACAGCTCACTGCAGCCTCAAACTCCTGGGCTGAAGCAATCCTCCCACCTCAGCCTCCTAGGTAACTGGGACCACAGGTGTGCGCGCAACCATGCCTGGCTAATTTTTTTTATTTTTTTGCAGAAACGAGGTCTCATTATGTTGCCCAGGCTGGTCTCAAACTCCTGTTTTCAAGCAGTCCTGCAGTCCTGTCCTTCCAAAGTGTTGGGATTACAGGTGTGAGCCACCACACCCCACCAACAGTCTTATTTAATAAGTGAATATTGAAAGATTTCCCTTTGAAATCAGGACAAAACCCAAAAGCCCATTATCAACCCTTTCATTAAATACTAATAGTTCTAGCCAGTAAAATAAGGCAAGATAAAGAAGTAAAAGGCATAACAGGAGAAGATAGTTTTCAAATCTACAGAAAAAAAAGTTACAATTAATAAGAGGGTTCATCAAGATTGCTGAAGACAAAATCATAAACAAATATTAGTTGTTATTTATTTTTTTCTTTTTTCTGAGACAGAGTCTTGCTCTGTCACCCAGGCTGGAGTGCAGTGGCACAATCTCAGCTCACTTGTAAATCAGATGTAGAAATGTATAAGTTATATGTTGGGTATAATCTCAAGAATGTAACCACCAGAATGACCATGGGAATGAGTATAAGACTTTTTTTTTTTTTTTAAGTTGGAGTTTCGATCTTGTTGCCCAGGCTGGAGTACAATGGCGCAATCTTGGCCACCACAACCTCTGGCCTCCCAGGTTCAAGCGATTATCCTGCCTCAGCCCACTGAGTAGCTGGGATTACAGGCACCCGCCACCACGCCCAGCTAATTTTTTTTTGTATTTTTAGTAGAGATGGGGTTTCTCCATGTTGGTCAGGCTGGTCTCAAACTCCCACCTGCCTCGGCCTCCCAAAGTGCTGGGATTACAGGCATGAGCCACCGCACCCAAGCATATAAAACTTCATTGAGGGACATTAAATAAACCTATTTGAATGAAGAGCTATGTCATGCTCATGACTTAATATTACAAAAACCTTAATTTCCCTTAAATTGATCTATAGATTCAATGCAATTTGTGTGTACACTGACAATCTGATTCTAAAATTATTTAAAGGCTGGGCATGGTGGCTCATGCCCGTAATCCCAGCACTTTGGGAAGCCGAGATGGGTGAATCATCTGAGGTCACGAGTTCGAGACCAGCCTGGCTAACATGGTGAAACCCTGTGTCTACTAAAAATACAAAAATTAGCTGGGCGTGGTGGCCGGTGCCTGTAATCCCAGCTACTTGGGAGGCTGAGGCAGGAGATGCGCTTGAACCAGGGATGTGGAGGTTGCAGTGAGCCAAGACTGAACCATTGCACTATAGCCTGGGCAACAAGAGCAAAACTCTGTCTCAAAATAAAATAAAATAATTTAAAATGCAAGGACTAAGAACAGCTAAGGCTATTTTGAAGAACAATGTATACGTCTTATTTTGCATTTATAATAAGTATTTTGACTTATTAAAAGTCTTATAATAACTGTGGTCCTCATGATAGTGTGATATTGCTGTAATGGTAGAGAACTTGAGAAATTAAGTAGAATAGGAAATCCAGAAACAGACTCCTGCCTATATGGGCACTTGGTTTATGCCGTCCAGCACAATAGGTCTGTTTAATAAACAGTGCTGGATCAATTAGATATCTATTTCTTAAAAATAAAAAAAGCCAGCTGGGCGCGGTGGCTCACGCCTGTAATCCCAGCACTTTGGGAGGGTGAGGTGGGCGGATCATGAGGTCAGGAGATCGAGACCATCCTTGCTAACACGGTGAAACCCCATCTCTACTAAAAATACAAAAAATTAGCCGGGCGTGGTGGCGGGCGCCTGTAGTCCCAGCTGCTCGGGAGGCTGAGGCAGGACAATGGCGCGAACCCAGGAGGCGGAGCTTGCAGTGAGCCGAGACCGCGCCACTGCACTCCATCCAGCCTGGGCGACAGAGTGAGACTCCATCTCAAAAATAAATAAATAAATAAATAAAAATTTAAAAAGCCCTATATGGCAACATACCGAAATTTAATTCTAGGTTGATTATCGACCCAAATATGACTAACAAAACCAGAAAGCTTTTAGAAGGCAATATAAGAGTAAATCTTGGCCAGGCATGGTGGTTCATGCCTGTAATCCCAGTACTTTGGGAGGCTAAGGCAGGCAGATCACCTGAGCCCAAGAGTTCCAGACCAGCCTAGGCAACATGACAAAACCCCATTTCTACAAAAAATACAAAAATCAGCCAGGTGTGGTGGCGTCCCAGCACTATAGTCCCACCTATAGTCCCACCTATAGTCCCAGCACTCGGGAGGCTGAGACACAAGACTCGTTTGAACCCGGGAGGTGGAGGTTGCAGTGAGCCGAGATCACACCACTGCACTCCAGCCTGGGCGACAGAGTGAGACCCTATCTAAAAAAAAAAAAAGAAGTCTCTGGTTCCTGGTTTCTCAATGTCAGAATTAAAAAATAAATAAATAAATTTAAAAAAATAAATCTTCATGACTGCATTTGGAAAAGTCTCTTAAAAAGAAACACTAACCATAAACAATAAAATTGATAAGCTACATTAAAATGAACAATTTCTGTTTATCAATCACATTATAAAGACAGTAAAAAAAAAGGGGCCACAAAATTAAAGAAAATATTTGAAGACTTATAACTGACAAAGGAATTCTATCTAGATGATATAATGGCTTTCTACACATTGATAAGGAAAAGACAAACCAGATAAAAAATGGGCTATTTGAACAGTCCCTTCACAAAGAAGAAATGCAAGTGACCAACAAACATGAAAAGATACTCAGACTCATTACTAATCAGGAAAATGCAAATTTAAATCACAAGAAGATATCATTGTATACCTACTAGATTGACAAAAATTAAAAATCTGGGCTGGGCGCAGCAGCTCATGCCTATAATCCCAGCACTTTGGGAGGCCAAGGTGGGCGGTTCACCTGAGGTCAGGAATTCAAGACCAAGAGTTCGAGAGCAGCCTGACCAACATGGTGAAACTCTGTCTCTACTTAAAATACAAAAATTAGCCAGGTGTGGTAGCGCATGCCTGTAATCCCAGCTACTTAGGAGGCTGAGGCACAAAAACGGCTTGAACTTGGGAAGCAGAGGTTGCAGTGAGCCAGGATCACGCCACTGCACTCCAGCCTGGGTGACAGAGTGAGACTCTGTCTCAAAAAAGCCAAAAAACAAAAAAACAAAAACCAACCAACCAAACAAACACACAAAAAAACAGAAATCCCCAGAGGCTGGCTGTGTGGGCAGTTTGCAGGAGTAGAACTTAGAGTTGGAGTCTCGTTTGTCTTCAGAAGGGCAGTTGTATTTCTGTGACAACTGTACTTTTCCAATAATACTCTTAATATGTTCTTGGCCACCAGTTGGAATGTGAATTCAAATTTTTCGAAAAGGCACCCAATATGCAGTCTGGGTCCTCATACTCCTGACCTCAGGTGATCCCCCTGCCTTGGCCTCCCAAAGTGCTGGGATTACAGGCGTGAGCCAGCCTCTGGGGATTTCTTTCCCCACATCATGCCAGAAGAGGGCTTCAACAAGATTGTTTAGAAAGATTAGGGGTGCTTACAAAAAAAAGAAATAGACATTTCTCTCCCCTGCTGGGTGTGTAATGAACTGCAAAAACTCATGGGCCCATCCTGGAGAAGTCACTGGAGTATAGCATGGTGAGAAGGTTCTTGGGAAAGTTTGGTATGTGTGCTCTGTAGTCTAGGAGTGTCCATGAGTCTAGAAATTTGTGCCCCCTTCCCTGGAAGACAGAAGGTAATAGAGGGGCTGGCTGCCTATATATCCACCATCTTTCACTGCAAGCTTACATGTGTTTCTTGTTAGTTAATTGGACAAGGAATGATGTCTGGGTTTTTGGTAATCTTATAAGTAGACTATCCCAGAGGGGAGCCTGCTAGAGTGAGAGGACCTCAGAAATAGGAGATGGTGAGTCACACCATCAGAGGCAGCTGCCAGGGTTGGGGAAAGGGCATTACAAGCATACAGCCAGACAGTACATTGCCCACGTCAGGGTTCAAGCAAGAACCTCTCAAAGAGGCCAGGCACGGTGGCTCATGCCTGTAATCCCAGCACTTTGGGAGGCCGAGGCAAGTGGATCACTTGAGGCCAGGAGTTCGAGACCAGCCTGGCCAATATGGCGAAACCCCATCTTTACTAAAAAAAAAAAAAAAAATACAAAAATTAGCCGGGCGTGGTGGCATGCGCCTGTAGTCCAGTTACTCAGGAGGCTGAGGCACAAAAATTGCTTGAACCCAGGAGGCAGAGGTTGCAGTGAGCCAAGATCATGCCACTGCACTCCAGCCCAGGTGACAGAGCAAGACTGTCTCAAAAAAAAAAAAACAAAAAAACCCAAAAAACAAAAAAAGAACCTCTCAAAGAACTTGTAACCTGCATCTCAGTGAGAGAGCCAGTATTTGGAATGCACCACCAACAGGATTATAATGGCACTGATTAAGTAAGTTCTTAGTTCTATCTTCTCTAATTCTTTCCCCTCTACCTTGACCCTGAAGAAAGCAGAGGTAGCAAAGGGAATGCATGGGTGTATTGATTATCTGTTGCTGCAACTTGCAACAATAAAGATTTGTTATCTCACACAGTTTTTGTGAATCAGAAATTTGAGAGTGGCTTAGGTGGGTGCTACAGGCTCAGGATCTCTTGTGACATGACAGTCTAGATTTGGCTGGGATACAGTCATCTGAAGGCTTGACTGGGGCTGGAGAATCTGCCTCCAAGGAGGCTCACTCATGTGCTTGGTGAGCTGATGCTGGCTACTTGCAGGAGGCTTCAGCTCTTTATCACATGCACATGGAACTCATCATAAGGCTGCCTGAGTATATCCCAGGTGTGTCTTCTGGTATGGCCAGAGCAAGTGATCCAGGAAACAGCAAGTTGGAAGCCAAAATATCTTTTATGACTTAGTCTTGAAAGACACATTCCTCATATAGGTCACTCTATCGTTATCCTTATATAGGTCTCTCTTTGTATAGACAATATCCTTTTATAGGTCAGCCATAGTTTATGTGGGAGAGGATTACAATTACGCAAGGGTGTGAATACTGAGACCTGTCTGTTACATGATTATTGCCTGGATAGGCAGTATGGAGAGTGAGGATGAGAAAGTCCTATGAGAATTGAGAACCAGCTAATGAAAGAAAGGACTATTCAGCAACCACAAGTTGGCAGCAAAGTAGGAAATTAAGAAGTTAATTGTCTAAGCCTAATGTAGATTATAACCTGCGGCTGGACAATTTCTTAGCCCTCAGCTTGTGCTAGGCCTGCTGGTTATACTTCCATTGGTATCTTGGTGCTCTTTTTCTCCAAGCCTTAGAGACACACAGACTCCAAGGAAACAGCCTTCATTATTTAACCTCTCCATCGAAAGAACAAAATGAAGACATTTGCCTTGCATTTGCATAATTACAGCAAATACATCAGCAAATCTATTTGTCTCCACCGTTGAAGTAAATGAAGTTGAAGTAGATGAAGATCCAATAGCTTTGCATCTCTTCTCCACTCCCACCCTTGATGTGCTACCATCTTCCTGCTAGGACTATAGGAACAGATCTGGCAGCTTGCCCTCTTGCTCCCAGAGTCTCATCTTCACACAAAGCCAGGGAGGTCCTTTTAAAACATACCCAGATCACCTCACTGCCCTGGTCAACCTCCCCAGTGGCTTTCCTTCTCACTTAGTAAAATCTAAACTTTAAAATACCATTCTCTAGCCAGAAAAAAAGGTATTCTTTCTTACCAAGCACCCCCACTATACAAGCCTCTGCTGAAATCTTTTAAGAGGCTAACTGTTTAAAAGAAAATAGTTTGTTAACACGCGGTTTTCTATTTTTTTACTAAAAAAAAAAAAAATTTTTTTTTTAAGAGCCAGGGGTCTGACTCTATTGCCCAGGCTGGACTTGGACTGCAGTGGTGCAATCAACATGTGGCTTATGGCAGGGTGTGGTGGCTCACGCCTGTAATCCCAGCACTTTGGGAGGCTGAGGTGGGTGGATCACCTGGGGTCAGGAGTTGAGACCAGCCTGGCCAACATGATGAAACCTGGTCTCTACAAAAATCCAAAAAATTAGCCGGGCATGATGGTGGGTGCCTGTAATCTCAGCTACTGGGGAAGCTGAGTTGGGAGAATCGCTTGAACCCGGGAGGCGGAGATTGTAGTGAGCTGAGATTGCACCATTGCACTCCAGCCTGGGCAACAAGAGTAAAACTCCATCTCAAAAATAAATAAATAAATAAAAGAAAAAAAGAAATGCAAAAACCTGAAAAGACACCTCAAAAGGCCAGTCTTAGGTTCTACAATAGTGATGTTATCTGCAAGAGTAATTGGGGAAGTTGCAAATCTTATGACCTCCGGAATAATGACTGGTAATTATTTAGAATTCAAGCCCCTCTCATTAACTTGGTAGCCTTTCATTAGTTTTACAAGAACAGTTTAGTTTTTGGTAAGGGCTAATGTTATTTAAACTGTAAACTAAATTTCTCTGGAAGTTAGCTTGACCCACGCCCAGGAATGAGCAAAGACAGCCAGCCTGTGAGGCTAGAAGCAAGATGGAGTCAGCCATGTCCGATTTCTCTCACTGTTGTAATTTTGGAAGGGCAGTTTCAAAGGGTCCTCAAGCTCTGAAAATATAACTCAAGTTGATTTAGAGCCAGTTGTTTTATAATGTTGTCAAGTTACAGGCTACCATGTAGAAAATTGGTAAGGTAAAGCATTCTTCTTTTCTGTTTACATCAAAGTTCTGCCTCCCTCCTATAAGGAAAGTTGTGATTCCATTTGGCCCACACCAATAATTCAGGATAATCTTCCTAACTCAAGATCTTTAACTCAATGGCATCTGCAACATCCCTTTGCACTATAAGGTGACACTCAGAGTTTCTGGGGATTAGTATGTAGACACTGTAGGGATGAAAAGGTATAACACATTTTCTTCACTCATTTCAAGGTCCTGTAGTGTTCTTTCTCTTGGCCAGTTCCCCTTTGGCCATTTCTTTTCCCCTCCCCCTTCATCTACTCCCTTCTACCCTCTTATCAACTTTACACTCTTGGCTCACTCTTTGTTCTCAAAATAAAAGCTCGCTTCCCTACTTTTCTTTCATAGTAGCCCTCAGGAAGAGCCTAAATCTTTAACATAAAAAATAAATTGACTTTTCTCCAGGGCAGGGAGAATTCAACCAATTTCTGTAATCCACCTAAAGAGAAAGCGAGGCTCCCTTTCCATCCTGGAAAACAGTCTTCTCCTCTTCTCCTTCCTTCCTCCACGTGGACTCAAAGATTCTGAAACGAAAAAACAAAGCAATGTTTTTCATACTTAAACAAACCAACCAACAGAACAAACTGAAGTGAATTGTAACTGCCCAACGGGTTCATCTTGTCTGCTTCCTAGACAGAGCTGATTTGTCAAGACAGGTGAATTGTGATACAGGAAAAGTAATTCACACAGAGCTGGCTGTGTGGGCGACTGAAGTTTTGTTATTATTCAAATCAATCTCCCTGACAATTTGAGGACAAAAGTTTCTTGTTTTCTTTTGTTTTTGAGACGGAGTTTCGCTCTTGTTGCCCAGGCTGAAGCGCAATGGCACAATCTCGACTCACTGCAACCTCTGCCTCCCAGGTTCAAGCGATTCTCCGGCCTCAGCCTCCTGAGTAGCTGGGATTACAGATGTGCGCCACCACGCCCGGCTAATTTTGTATTTTTAGTAGCGACGGGGTTTCTCCATGTTGGTCAGGCTGGTCTCAAACTCCCGACCTCAGGTGATCCGCCCGCTTCAGCCTCCCAAAGTGCCGGGATTACAGACATGAGCCACCGTACCCGGCCAAGGATAGGAGTTTTTAATGATAATTTGGTGGGTGGGTGGGTGGGGGGCAGTGAATCCGAGGTTCTGATTACTCAGATTGGAGATGAAATCATAGGAGTCGAAGCTGTCCTCTTGCACTGAGTCACTTCCTGGGAAGGGGCCACAAGACCAGATGAGTGGGATTATCTGTCTGGGTGGTGCCGGCTGATCCATCAAGTGCAGGAGCTGCAAAATATCTGAAGCACTGATCTTAGGTTTTACAGTAGTGATGCTATCCCCAGGAGCAATTTGGGTAGGTTTAGAATCTTGCAGCCTCCAGCTGCATGACTCCTAAATCATAATTTCTTATCTTGTGGCTAATTTGTTAGTTCTGCAAAGGCAGTCTTGTCCCCAGACAAGAAGGGAGTTTGTTTTGGGAAATGGCTGTTATCACTTTTGTTTCAAAGCTAAACCATAAACTAAATTATTCCCAAAGTTAGTTTGGCCTACCCCCAAGAATGGACAAGGACAGCTTGGAGGTTACGGACAGGATGGAGTCAGTTAGGTCAGATCTCTTTCACTGTAATCATTGTCTCAGTTAGAATGTTTTTCAAAGGCAGTTTCATAATCTTGCAAACTCAAGCAGGAGGAAGCATAATGAAAGAGTTTTTGATGACTTTTGAGTCATGTTAAACATGGTCATTTTGAGGGAAGAGAGAGGAAGGAACTGGTTAGGCAAATAGTTAGGACAAGTCCCGTGGTAGAAGTCCTTTTATCAAAAGAGCAACCTGGAAGAAATCAAGCTGTAAGTGCAGATAAGGAAGCAAGATCCAACACCTTTATCTCTTGTGCAACCAGCTAGCTCCAGTTATATACGATGGGTTCCTTGAGCACATTCCTTTCCTTTTTGGGCATACTCAGATAAGGGAACTTGCACAAGGGGGCTTTCCTAAGACAGGCCTGCAGCTGTATAGATAAAAATGTTACGTAGAACCAGACACGTCGGCGGTGGAAAATTCCATCTCCTGACACGTGTGCAGTAAGGGAAATGAAAGAATATGGAGTAACTCAGGCTTAGGACCCACATGCACACTAGAGGGGTGGGGTGGAACTAACAAGAATTCATGCCTTATCCAACTCGACACCCAGCCCTAACTAGTTTTTCGTACCCTATGCAGATGAAACACCCTGCCCAATTAACTTGTGTATTTTTAATTTAATTTAATTTATTTATTTATTTCGATATGGAGTCTTGCTCTGTCGCCCAGGCTGGAGTGCAGTGGTGCGATCTCGGCTCACTGCAAGCTCCACCTCCTGGGTTCACACCATTTTCCCGCCTCAGCCTTCCGGATAGCTGGGACTACAGGCACTTGCCACCATGCCCAGCTGATATATATATATATATATATTTGTATTTTTTAGTAGAGATGGGGTTTCATCGTGTTAGCCAGGATGGTCTCAATATCTTGATCTTGTGATCCACCCGCCTCAGTCTCCCAAAGTGCTGGGATTACAGGCATGAGCCACTGCACCCAGCCAACTTTTTTTTTTTTTTTAATTATTTTATTTGAGAGAGGGAGTCTTTCTCTGTCACCCAGGCTGGAGTGCAGTGGGGCAATCTCGGCTCACTGCAACCTCTGCCTCCCGGGTTCAAGTGATTTTCCTGCCTCAGCTTCCCAAATGCTGTGACTACAGGCATGCGCCACCATGCCCAGCTAACTTTTGTGTTTTTTAGTAGAGATGGGGTTTCACTGTATGTTGGCCAGACTGGTCTCAAACTCCTGGCCTCAGGTGATCCATCTGCCTCCACCTCCCAAAGTGCTGGGATTACAGGTGTGAGCCACAGTGCCTGGCCCCAATTAGCTTGTTTATAAAAGCATTTACATCCAGCTGTGAAACGACAACCCTCTTGGGCCACCTCTCTGCTGCAGAGAGCTTTCTTCTTTCACTTATTAAACTTTTGCTCCAACCTCACCCTTGGTGTCCATGCTCTTTAATTTTCATGGTCGTGAGACAAAGAATTCTGGGTAGTACATCAAGCAACAAGACTGCTCCAGTAACCCCAGACTGCTTCAGTTTAGATGAAGGAAATTCTGCCAGTGTGTTTCTGACATTTGAATAGCATAAAATACTTATAATTCTCAATTTTGTCTCCAGAGTTCCAGACTTACATATCCAACATCATATTGAACATTTATGCTTTATAAGGATAAGATGCTGAAATTTTCTTTGAGGAGGGAAGTAGTTGCCACCTGATCCTCCTTTCCTTAGTGTGTCTCCTTGAAAACATAATAGACCTAATGTGAGGCCCCATCTTTGGCTTTTATGCTGCTAAGACATGAGCCATCTGGTCCTTGCAACCATAAACATCTACCTCTGAAATTAATTAAGAAATCCCGGGGCCAGGCATGGTGGCTCACGCCTGTAATCCCAGCACTTTGGGAGGCTGAGGTGGGCAGATCACAAGGTCAGGAGATTGAGACCATCCTGGCTAACATGGTGAAACCCCAACTCTACTAAAAATACAAAAAAAATTATCCAGGTGTGGTGGCAGGCACCTGTAGCCCCAGCTACTCGGGAGGCTGAGGCAGGAGAATGGTGTGAACCTGGGAGGTGGAGCTTGCAGTGAGCCAAGATCACACCACTGCACTCCAGCCTGGGCAACAGAGCGGGACTCCGCCTCAAAAGAGAGAGAGAAAAAAAAAAGAAATCCCTCAGAAGACAGAGAGGAGATAATTGAGATAATTATAAGGCATGTCCATGTATCTGTCAAGGAGCTAAGACAGAGGGTCTGTATTAATCAGGGTTGTCTAGAGGGACAGAACTAATAGAATATATATATATGTGTGTATATATATATGAAGGGGAGTTTATTAAGTAGTATTAACTCACATGATCACAAGGTCCCACAATAGGCCATCTGCAAGCTGAAGAGCAAGGAAGCCAGTCTGAGTCCCAAAGCTGAAGAACATGGAGTTCAGTGTTTGAGGGCAGGAAGCATTCAGCATGGGAGAAAGGTGTAGTCTCAGAGGCTAAACCAGTCTAGTCTTTTCATGTTTTTCTGCCTGCTTTATATTCTGCCTGCAGTGGCAGCTGATTAGATGGTGCCCACCCAGATTAACGGTGGGTCTGCCTTTCCCAGCCCACTGACTCAAATGTTAATCTCCTTCAGCCACATACTCACAGACACACCCAGGATCAATACTTTGCATCCTTCAATCCAATCAAGTTGACACAATATTAACCATCACAAGTCCACCCCTTGTCAACTGGAACCCATACACATCTCCTGAGATTGTACATAATCTTAAGATAAAGACAATAATAAAGTCATAATTATGACTAACATAATACAACTGTCCTTCTTACAACCAGAAATGCACCAATCCTCAACCCAAATGCTATTACATAAAGTTAACAATACTTAAATACTGATATGAAGTCAATAAATCTTATGTCACATGATAAAGGAAAAAGGAAATAAAATGAAGATATTTTCCAAGTACAAGTGTATACATGCACAACCATGTTTTTAACAAAGGAAGAAGGAAATACTCATGACAATTACAGTTTTCCTTTCTGCAACAGGTCACATAGTCATAGCTGGTATTAATGACTACCTTCTTTACTACCCATTCTGTATTCCCTTTGCCTTCAGCAAGCAACTCAGCAGGTTGTGTTTTTTTCCTGGTGGAGTGACCAAACTTTCATTCCTGAAGGGTCTGGGCCATTTGTAGTTCTGCCTGGATTGGGCTGTTGTATAGTTTCCCATTGACCTTTATCACAGGGCATGGTAATACAAAGAGATGCCCTAGTGGATCTCCCGTATTCTGTGCATACCCTTCCTTACCTCCATTGTGGAGCAGTAGACTGACTTCATCTTGATAGCTCAGGTCAATCACTCCGGCCAACACTGTAGCTCCCTTTTTAGCCTGTTGACTTAAAGATAGGAGGAGCCCAAAGTGTCCACGTGGCAATCTTTGTTGTGTCTCTTGGTGGCAGCATTTCTCCCTCTGGAACTGTGACCTCTAGACTAGTAGATGTCGCGGAAATAAGAAGCAAAAACTTTGCTAGTGGATCACTAGGGGTGATGGTGAGTGGTGCCACTTCCACTTTCACCCCTTGATTCCTGGACCTGTGAATCCTGGCTATGGGAGAAATAGTACCATGTATTGGATGCTGATTCAGAGCATACATGGCCTTCTGGGGAACTTTGCCCCAGACTTGAAAAGTATTGTCACCTAGTTGGCATTGTAATTGTGACTTCAAAAGGCTATTCCACCGTTCTATCAATCCAGCTGCTTCAGGATTACGGGGAACATGGTAAGACCAGGGAATTCCATGAGCATGAGCCCACTGCTTCACTTCCTTAGCCGTAAAGTGAGTGTCTTGATCAGAGGCAATGCTGTGTGGAATACCATGATGATGGATAAGGATGTGAGTCCACGGATGGTAGTCTTGGCAGAAGCATTGCATGCAGGATAGGCAAATCCATATGCAGAGTAAGTTTCTATTCCAGTGAAGACAAACCTCTGCCCTTTCCATGATGGAAGAGGTCCAATATAATCAACGTGCCACCAGGTAACTGGCTGATCCCCCCTAGGAATGGTGCCATATTGAGGATTCAGTATTGGTCTCTGCTACTGGCAAATTGGGCACTCACCAGTGGCCGTAGCCAGGTCAGCCTTCGTGAGTGGAAGTCCATGTTGCTGAGCCCATGCATGACCTCCATCCCTACCACCGTGGCCACTTTGTTCATGGGCCCATTGGGTGATGACAGAGGTGGCTGGGGAAAGAGGCTGGGTGGTGTCCACAGAATGAGTCATCCTATCCACTTGATTATTAAAATCCTCCTCTGCTGAAGTCACCCTTTGGTGAGCACTCACATGGGATACAAATAACTCCACAGTTTTTGACCACTCAGAGACGTCCATCCACATACCTCTTCCCCAAATTTCTTTGTCACCAATTTTCCAATCATCCTTCTTCCAAGTCCCTGACCATCCAGCCAAACCCTTGACTGCAGCCTATGAATTAGTACGTAATCGCACATCCGGCCATCCTCCTTCCATGCAGTGTGCACAACCAGGTGCACTGCTCAAAGTAATGCCCACTGGGAAGATTTTCCTTCACTGTTGTCCTTCAGGGATGTCCTAGAAAGGGACTGTAGTGCTGCAGCTGTCTGCTTTCCGGTGGTGCCTGCATATCATGCAGAACCATCTGTGAACCAAGTCCTAGTCTTCTTTTTCTCTTTCAACTGATCATAGGGAGCTCTCCATGAGGCCATCGGTGCAGGCTAGGGGAGACAAGGCAGGGTGGCAGGAAGGAAGACCATAGGCATTTGAGCCACTTCCTCATGTAACTTACTTGTGCCTTCAGGACCTGCTCGAACCCAATCATGTATATACCACTTCAATTTGATGATGGAACGCTGCTGTGCACCACTAACTTTATGGCTAGATGGGTCAGAAAGCACCCAATTCATGATAGGCAGTTCAGGTCGCAGGGTGACTTGATGACCCACCGTCAAACGTTCAGTTTCCACCAAAGCCCAGTAAGAGGCCAAGAGCTGCCTCTCAAAAGGAGAGTAGTTATCTGCAGAAGACAGGAGAGCCTTGCTCCAAAATCCTAGAGGCCTCCGCTGTGATTCACCAATGGCGGCGTTCCAAAGGCTCCAAATAGCATCCCTATCTGCCACTGACACCTCAAGCACCATTGGATCTGCTGGGTCATATGGCCCAAATGGCAGAGCAGCTTGCACAGCAGCCTGAACCTGCTGCAGAGCCTTCTTTTGGACTCCACTCAAACCTGGCAGCTTTTCGGATTACTCAATAAATGAGCTGGAGTAACACACCCAAATGAGGAATGTGTTGCCTCCAAAATCCAAATAGGCCCACTAGGCATTGTGTCTCTTTCTTGGTTGTAAGAGGGGCCAAATGAAGCAACTTATCGTTCACCTTAGAAGGCCTATCTCCAGAGGCCCCAAACCATTAAACTCCTGGAAATTTTACTGAAGTAGAAGGTCCCTGAATTTTAGTCAGATTTATTTCCCATCCTCTGGCATGCAAATGTCTTACCAATAAGTCCAGTGTGTTTGCTCAATGGATCTAATCAGCATAATGTCATCAATGTAATGGAACATTGTGATATCTTGCAGAAGCAAAAAGTAATCAAGGTCTGTCTGAATAAGATTATGACACAAAGCCAGAGAGTTGATATGTCCTGAGGTAGGACACTAAAGGCATATTGCTGGCCTTGCCAGCTGAAGGCAAATGGCTTCTGGTGGGCCTTATGGATGCCAATGGAGAAAAAGGCATTTGCCAAGTCAATGGCTACATACCAGGTACCAGGAGATGTGTTGATTTGCTCAAGCAATGAACCACATCTGGTACAGCAGCTGCAATTGGAGTCACCACTTGGTTAAGTTTACAATAATCCACTGTCATTCTCCAAGATCCATCTGTCTTCTGCACAGGCCAAATGGGAGAGTTGAATGGGGATGTGGTGGGAGTCACCGCCTCTGTGTCTTTCAAGTCCTTAATGGTGGCACTAATTTCCACAGTCCCTCCAAGGATGTGATATTGTTTTTGATTTACTATTTTTCTAGGTAGAGGCAGCTCTAATGGCTTCCATTTGGCCTTTCCCACCATAATAGCCCTCACCCTACCAGTCAGGGAGCCAATGTGGGGGTTCTGCCAGCTGCTAAGTATGTCTATGCCAATTACGCACTCTGGCCCTGAGGAATTGACCACAGGATGAGCCTGGGGACCCACTGGACCCACTGTAAGTTGAACCTGAGCTAAAACTCTATTAATTACCTGACCCCGCCTAAGCCCCTACTTTAACTGGAGGACCACAGTGACGTTTTGGGTCCTCTGTAATCAGTGTCAGCTCAGAGCCAGTGTCCAGTAATTCTCAAAATGTCTGATCATTTCCCTTTCCCCAATGCACAGTTACCCTAGTAAAAGGCCAGAGGTCTCCGTGGA
Source organism: Homo sapiens (assembly GCF_000001405.40). NCBI lineage: Eukaryota > Metazoa > Chordata > Mammalia > Primates > Hominidae > Homo > Homo sapiens. The sequence continues at coordinate 138,251,641 of NC_000007.14, read as the reverse complement.
GACGGGAGAAAGATTAACAGCATAAATTGGGCCGAGTGTGGTGGCTTGTACCTGTAATCCCAGCACTTTGGGAGGCCAAGGTGGGTGGATCACCTGAGGTCAGGTGAGTTCGAAACCAGCCTGGCCAACATGGTGAAACCCCATCTCACTAAAAAGACAAAAATTAGCTGGGCATAGTGGCACATGCCTGTAATCCCAGCCACTTGGGAGGCTGAGGCAGGAGAATCAATTGAACCTGGGAGGCAGAGGTTGCATGAGCAGAGATCATGCCTCTGCACTCCAGCCTGGGTGACAGAGTGAAGCTCCGTCTCAAAAAAAAAAAAAGAAAAAAAAAAGATTAACAGCATAAATTGTCAGTAGTGTAGTGGGGTCCTTCCTCAAGGGGACCCAGCATTCAACGGGTTCTGGGTCTGTAAACAGCATTCGACAGGACCCTTCATTCAACAGGTTCTGGGTCTGTAAACTGGCTCAAGTCTGGAAATTGATTGAGGGAACATGATTCTGTTTTTATAATTCAAATTAGTCCATTCGACCTAGAAGTTTTCTGCTTATATAAATTAAGTAGGAATGCAGATGGCTTCCTATCAATTTCACTTCTAGGAACATCGTGATTAATTAGCCAATGCCAGAGCTGTACGTGAGTCAGACTATTTTGATTGCTGCTTTGTCTCTGCTGTCCATTATGGTAGCTACGCCCACCTTGCCTTTGATGGCTGAGTGCTGCCACTTGGCCTCTGCCACCTCAGGATTCGTTTATTCCCCATTACATTTAAATTTTGTAGTTGAGTAAATGCAGTTCCCACTGTTAGATCTGACATACAGAGAAGAGCAATTACAGAGCTCTTTAAAGATGCAGGTGCTGCCATCACAAATCTATTTTGCAAGGCATTGAACAAGGGTATATCTTCTGGACCCTCTCAGCTGGGATGAGTAGATCTAAAGTCACTAATCCACTCCACCATCCCAATCTCCCTAAGCCTTTGGATCCCTTCCTCTACATTAAACCAAGGGAGATCAGGCATTTCCAGCTCACTCATAGTGGACCATCTTTTAATCCATATTTCAACTAATGAAGCTAATAAACTATTAGAACCTTTTTTAACTCCCCGAGCTGCAACATTAAATGCAGAATCCCTACTTAGTGGGCCCAAATCAATAAATTCAGTCTGATTCAAGTCTCTGTTCCTTCCATCATCATCCCACACCCTTAGTATCCATTCCCATGCCTGTTCTCTGCTTATATAAATTAGAAAACTCAAGCAGTTCTTTTTTGAGTGTAGTGCACCTCCTCATGGGTCACACTCTGAACCTCACCTCTGGGGGCCCACTGGGACTTTAGTCTAGTTATAGGTCTAGAAGAAAACTGGGGTGTTGGGGGTGGCTCCTGAGGGGAATCAACATTATCTTGCCTGGCAATTTCCTTAGGGGAGGCTATCACTGTTGCCTCAGGCAGCATAGGGTTTATCTCCTCAGACAAAGGTGGAAAGTCTGATGGCAGCATGGGTTGGGGAGGGGATGTTGCCACTACTGGGGATAGGGAAGCTGTTACTTCTGGCAAAAAAAAGGTTCATCAGAGTTTACAAGCTTAGTGTCCCCCGCTTCATCAGGCTCCTCCCACACATCCCCGTTCCGAGTTGCAGAGTCCCATTCTTTTCTAATCGATGCTCTCACTTTAACAGTGGACACCTGGCGAGGCTGTGCATGCACCTTTCATTGCAGGTCAGCCACTCGTGTGATAAGAGCTTGTGCCTATTTTTTCACAATTTCAGCTCTTTCTCTACAGGAGATAAGACTCTCACTCAGGACAATCTTAGCAGATTTGAGGCTCCGTATCTGCTTCTGAAGCCGGGAATTAGAATCCCTGACTTTATCATTTTCTTTCATCACTTTGTCCAGTGAACTTAGGGGGAACAAACCAACTTCATTATGTTTCTTGGTTCTCCACGTATAGTCAAAGGTATTATGTATAGAGTCACTAAACTCCTTGCCTCTCATAAGCAGTGGTAAATCAGGAGTGTCAAATGCATTTATTTTGCATAACTCTCTAAACAGGACTATCGGTGTTCTCTATAATATTAAAAGTAGAGTCTTTAGCATTTTTGGGTCTAATCATATTAAGCAGCCAACTCAGGAAGCCCCAAAATCAATGAAAAAACTCCATCCTTAATATTCTGTTTCTCTAGAACAACTTCTGGTACTAAAATCTGTATTAGTCAGGGTTCTGTAGAGGGACAGAACTAATAGGATATACATATATCTATAATCTCTATATTATATATTATATATAAATATATATAATATATTTCTATTATATTAAGTTATTATATATTATATATTATATATATTATATAATTTATTATATATAATATATAATATATTAATATAATATAAATATATATAATATATAATATATAAAAATATATTAATATATATGTTTATATTTATATATAAATATATATTATATATATATATCCTATTAGTTCTGTCCCTCTAGGGAATCCTAATACAGATATATACAGATATATATATATATATATATCGAGAGAATAACATGATCTGATACGTGTTTTATAAGGCTTCCTGAATCTATTTTCACACTGATCAGAGTAGTCTTTCTTATTTTTGCTTCCTGTTACTCTTTTTGAGACAGAGTCTTGCTCTGTCACCCTGGCTGGAGTGCTGTGGCATAACCATGGCTCACTGCAGCCTCAACCTCCCAGGCTCAAGCAATCCCCCCACCTCAGCCTCCTGAGTAGCTGGGACCCCAGCTGTGTACCACCATGCCTGGCTAATTTTCAACCATTTTTTGTAGAGATGGGGGTCTCACTATGTTGCCCAGGCTGGTCTTGAGCTCCTAGGCTCAAGCAATCCTCCAGCCTTGGCCTGCCAAAGTGCTGGTATTATAGGTGTGAGTCACTGCACCCAGCCCTCCTCTTCTTTTTTTCTCTTCCTATTTTGTCTTAATGAAAATAGCTTTACTGATTTTTCTGATTGTAAAAATTTTATACACTTGTTGGGAAAAATCAAAGAGAATAGAAAAGTTATTCTTTTTCTTTCTTTCTCTCTTAGTAAAAGTTGAGTGAAATTCCTTCAGTAACATTTGGTACATTTAACTAATATTTTGGATTATTGAAGTGAAAATATGCTCAGTCTATTTCTTGAATTTGAAACCATCCTCATGAAATTAATAAAACAAAATTGCAAGGTTTTAACAAAATTATAAGCTTGAATAGAAGCATAGTCAAGCATGAACCAGCTAGCTTTTTAGCCCACTTCCTTACAGTTGCTGAATGCTGAAAAGTCACATAGCCCCTGTCATGAGGTCCTAACTTCCCTTGTTTCTATAGATAACATTTTTAATATTAAGAAAACTCAGGTTTTAAAATTTGAGATGTTTTCCATATCCTGCATTCTGAGGATGCCTGCCAGACTGAAAACCCTTCCGAGGAACTGACTCAGCACAGAATGCAGCTTCTACATTGTTATGACTTCATCCCCCACCCCCTAACTAATCAGTGATCACAGCTCCTTATCCTTCTTCCCACCAAAACGTTCTTAAAAACCCGTCCAAAACTCTTCAGGCAGGCAGATTTGAGGTTCCTCCCATCTCCTGGTTTGGCTGCCCTATGATTATTGAACTCTTTCTCTGCTGTAACCCCTGCTGTTTTGGTATATTGGTTTTTACCACACAATGGGCTATTGAACCTGGAGTCCTATAACAAATTGAATCCCTTTAATATCTTTCCATTGCTTTTCTGATGAAGTTCACTTGCTCTACTTTTAGCTCTTTCTCTTCTTCGTGCTCTACCTTCAGCCTCGTGTTACTTCCCTTTCCTGCCTCTGCACAGACCCAGTACCTCACCTGGAGGCATTCTCCTCTACCTGGCTAACCCTTCTCCTGAAGCCTCTCAGCCCGTCAGCACCAGCCTTTGTCCTGCTGTTTAGTCGCGCCTCTCTCTCTCACTGTGGACTGTAGGCTCTTTGAGAGCAGTCCGGGAAATTTTCCCTTGGCCCTGATGACCTAAAAAAAAAGAAGTGGAGGCAAGCAAGATTAATGTAAGAGTTTATTTGGGCCAAGCCTGAGGATTGCAACCTGGAACCATAGATTCAAATTGCTTTGATTACACACTCTGATTAACAGCAGTTACAAGTGAATTTTTAAAGGGAAAGAAGAGGCAGTTCCTGAGTTGTTTACCAAGAATTTATATAAAAATAACAAGCTATTGAATGGCTATACATTGTTGTTTGTATCACAAATTCCAGGAACATGAAGATAATGAGTGAGACAGCAAGTCAGGAACAAAAATGACTTTAAACAATTGCCCCCAGGCATGAGTGGGAGGGAAAGGGGGCATAACTGAAGGCCTGTACTCATGTCTGTCTGGGCCTGCATACCTTCCATAGCTCAGACCACTCTAAGCTTTTTTTATTTTCTCAGCCCTCTGAAGGGTCACTGAAAAAGCAACTGACAAAAGGCAGATTAATAGAAGAAAAGGCATACAAATTTATTAACGTGTATGGGGAGAGAACCACAGAGTGATTATCCCAACCCCCTAGTGGGGTACAGAGGCCTATATACCCTTTCTCCAGGGGGAAGGAGGAGATGGGGAATATAGGCAATTCTTTTCAGGAGAAGTACGTTATTTTAAGGGAAAACGAATGGACTAGAAAGACATAAATTAACTTGTAAATTATTCTCTTTGAGGCTCATTGTAAGTGATTCTCATGAGGCTGAGAGGCAGGTTTGTCTTGTGGAAAAAATATAAGATCTCAAAGAAAGGAAAAATGGCTGATGGTTTTTTATACCATCTTGAGGTTACAGAAAGAATAGGGGCTTAGGTCATGGCAAAACGGGTTATGGTGGCAAAACAGGTTATGAGAGGCACAGAAGAAGAGGCCCGGCTGGCAAAGTTCGTCTTGTTATAAAGATGAAACTGTGCAGGTAGCCACCCTCAGAGAGAATAGATGGTAAATGTTTCTTTCAGACTTGAAGGCGTCAGACTTTCTGTTAATCTTTCCTAGATCTAGACAAGGGAGGGCCTCAGAGAAAGCCTGGCTGCATCAATGTTGATTCTCTACAGATGCAAATCTCGCTCACAAAAGGCAGCTTTTCAGCTATTCTTGCATTTCCAGCCCCTCTGAACAGCCATCTTGAAACATGTCAAGAAAATATATTTTGGAATGAAATATTTTGGTTTTATTTGCCTGGGCATCCAGGTACCTAGTCCAGTTCCTGGTAATTTAGAGGCACTTAATGACTATTTTTGAATAAATGCAGGAGAGAGCTTTGATTCTAGATAATCCACTCAGGAGATGCTTATTAAATATCTACTGGCTACCAGATTCAATTGGGCTCCCCTCCCTCAAGGTGATCACAGTCTCCTGCTGCTTCTTCAGATGGAAATATCCTGAACTAGAGATAGATAGTCCTACAGGCTGTGTCAGCTTGGTATCAACATGCTTTAAAGAGACCACCCTTTATCCTTCTGGGATTCCAAGCATTCTTATGATCTGGTGTTTTGTCTATTATCCATTTAGAAAAGATAAATCAGTGCCCTTTCCCCCCATTTAAAAAAGTGTGATAAAACATATATAACATAAGTTTTGCCTTTTAACCATTTTGTGTATAATTTAGCTGAGCTAAAATACATTCACAATGTTGTGCAATCATCACCACTGTCCATTTCCACAATGTTTTCATCACTCCAAACAGAGACTCTGTACTGATTAAGCAATACTCTCCAGCACACCTACCCCCAGTCTCTCATGTACTTGCTGCCTCTATGTATTTGCCTATCCAGATATTTCATTTAAGTGGAATCACATGATATTTGTCCTTTGGTGTCTGGCTTATTTCACTCAGCATAATGCTTTCAAGGTCGCAATGACCCTTTTTATTTTCATTTTCACTTTTTTTAAAAAAATATGGGGAATAAATGTTTGGTCTACTACCCATTTAGAGATAAATCAGTGCAACAATGTATTTTATTTTCATTTTTTACTTGATTTTTTTTTTTTTATGACAGGGAATACATGCTTAACATCCCTATTTATTTTTTTCTCCTTTCTTTAGATAAACTAATTGCTTTTGGCTCATGTATTTATGGTGTGTTCTTTCTATAGGAGCTTTATTACAGCTCCCAACCCCACTCCACAGTTTCTCCCACTCCTGTGGGTGTTTGCTTACACTAACCATACTAACAAGAATTCTGACCCTGGATCTGGGCAAACAGATGACATTGCTCATGAGATATCCTGCTCCTGCCTTCCACAACAGGGGATCTCCAGCAATATCTCCAAGTTAGGACTAGGAGAAAATTTGGAGCTGCCTGCTGTTGATTGACCTCTAGTTTCATTTCACTTTTCCATCACAGTTTTTCTATCAACAGTCAAGACTGAGATTGTGATCATCCTTTCAAGGTCTTTAGTTCTTTCGAAGTGTTTCGTTGTGTCAGTTTTCATCAGTTTGGCCACACCTGGCCAGTGTAGCCATGGCTAAGGTTCCTCAGCGACTCCTTCCAATTCTCATCCCGTTTCCCCTCATATCTGCTCTCTTTCTCTCTTTTAGCAACATCAACAAAATAATAAACGAAAGTTTTATGGTGCTTTATATTTCCACTGTGATTTCCTCTATGCCCATTAAATTTTATCCTCAAAACAATCTTTCCAAGGAGGTAGGGTGGGTTTTGTTTTTCTCCCTTTACATATGAGGAGACCTTAGATATCAAGAATTTCAGTGATTTCACAAATTCGTGCAGCTGATAAGTGGCAGAGCCTGAACTGCAACCAAGATTTGTTATCAGTTGCTAGGCCCAGTCTTGGCTAGACAATGCAAGAACTCAGCAAAGACTTGTTGAATGAATTAGTGATGTGTCTTGTGTTTGCTCTTGTCTGATCGACCATTCCACGGGCAGCATTTTTTTGAGTAAGCGGAGCTTTTCTAGGTGTCTTGGTAATGCTGACTGTTGTTTGGACAAACTTTTCTATGGATAATTGACGTTATCCAAGTAGCAGAATATCTGAAATTTATAAAAATTGTCAGGAAATTGTAATAAACATGTAAGAAAGTTAAGAGGACTGACCGGGCGCAGTGGATCACGCCTGTAATCCCAGCACTTTGGGAGGCCGAGGCAGGTGGATCACCTGAGGTCAGGAGTTTGAGACCAGCCTGGCCAACATGGTGAAACCTCATCTCTACTAAAAATACAAAAATTAGCCGGGTGTGGTGGTGGGTGCCTGCTATTCAGGAGGCTACTTGGGAGGCTGAGGCAGGAGAATTGCTTGAACCCAGGAGCCAGAGGTTGCAGTGAGCTGAGATTGCGTCACTGCACTCTAGCCTGGGCTGCAAAAAAACACTACATCTCAAAAAAAAAAAAAAAAAAAAAAAAAAAAAAAAAAAAAAAAAAAAAGAAAAGAAAAGAAAAAAGAAAAGTTAAGAGGACTTAGTTGACTATTCATTCCTAAAACATATGTATATTTAAGAACATTTGCCAGCACATTAGAATGGGAAGGAGGAAGGGAGTGGGAGTTGACTTTGGGTCTAAAGGAGGAAATGTTTTTATAATTAAACAGAAGAAAAGACAGCTTTCATTGGTCTATGGTGATAATAAACTATTATCTGAAGAATCTGATAAACTCTTTGCCCCTTGAGATCCAAAAAGAAAAAGCACATTCTATATATTTCTTTCACCCCTCTTCTCCATGTAATAATGAAGAAAACCAAACACAAAACACAAAAAACCTAAGCCCACCTAAAGAGTGTAGTTTTCGAATTTCACTTTTATTTGATTTTGTAACATCCTTTTGAAGAAGAGTGATGTCCAAAGAGAGAGAATTCTTTACAGAGCTGCAGTCGTAGAGTGGAAGCCATTTCTGCCGGTTGCCTGCAGATCGCTTCCACCACCTGGAGAGTTGCTCTCAATCCTATTGACTTTCTGTGACCTTCCTTTATCATGCAAACCAAGGCAGTCAAACTGACTGGGCTGGGTCCTCTCCAGTCCCCAGCAGATGGTCATTACTCACAGCCAGTGAATGGTAGGATTACGGCAAGGTTTTGGCTCCCCCTGCAACTCTGTAAACTGGTTCAACGTCCCAAGATTAGACAGACATTTGCAGTGGCTGATATCCTTCCATTCACTCTGGAGTGATTTCCTCATTTCAGTGCTTTAAATGTTTCCAAATCACAGGTAAGAACTGGTCTAAAATGTTACTTAGGAATTGATTCAAATTCTTAAATCATTTATAGGTAACAGAAACAAGTAGTAATGCAAACACAGACAAAAATCAAACAAACTTTTTCATTTTGTTTTTTGTTGCCGTTGTTTTATTTTCCTTTAATCCTCTCCTGTCCAGGAGACAAACTTGTTAATAAAAAGATCTTTATCTTGAAAGCTTTTTTCTTTTAAATGAAAAACCATTTTTAACTTAAAGGTAACAAGTTTTCTAATTTCAAAGTATCTTCAAGTTAGAAAAACTGGAAAACAGAATGTACAAGAAAATAATTTACATTTGAGAATCACATCACCCAGAGATGAGAAAAATAACTGTTGGTTGAATTGTGTTTCTTTCCAATTGCATCTGTATACTTTTATTTTATGTGAGAACGTATTAAATATACATTTTTGATTTTTATCTTATTTCACTGAATATTAGTGATCATTAGCATTTTTATGTCACTAATGGCTCTATCAAAGTGTTTTTGAGAGATGCCTTATATTTTATTATGTGGTATGCCATTAAAAAAGAAAAACCACATTATAGGCCTAGCGCGGTGGCTCACGCTTGTAATCCCAGCACTTTGGGAGGCCAAGGTGGGCTGATAGTTGAGGTCAGGAATTCGAGACCAGCCTGGCCAAAACGGTGAAACCTCTTCTCTACTAAATAGTAAAAAAATTAGCTGGGCATGGTGGTGCACACTTGTAATCCCAGCTACTCGGGAGCCTGAGGCAGAATCGCTTGAACCCGGGAGAGGGAGGTTGCAGTGAGCCGAGATCACGCCATTGCACTCCAGACTAGGCAACAAGAGCAAAACTCCATCTGAAAAAAAAAAAAAAAATCACAGGCCGGGCACGGTGGCTCACGCGTGTAATCGCAGCACTCTGGGAGGCCGAGATGGGTAGATCACAAGGTCAGGAGTTCAAGACCAGCCTGGCCAACATAGTGAAACCCCATCTCCACTAAAAATACAAAAAATTAGCCTGGTGTGGTGGCGCATGCCTGTAATCCCAGCTACTCAGGAGCCTGAGACAGGAGAATTGCTTGAACCTGGGAGGCAGAGGTTGCAGTGAGCCCAGATCATGCCATTGCACTCCAGCCCGGGCAACAGCAGGAGACTCCATCTCAAAATAAATAAATAAATAAATTTAAAAATCACCTTATAAAGGAAACTTCTGGATCCCTTTAAGGGATTTGCAGCTTGATGATGTTGCATCTTTATTATGTCTAATTTCAAGAATTATGACTTTATAGCTGGGCTTTAGTGACACATACCTGTAGTTCCAGCTACTCGGGAGGCTGAGGCAGCAACTTGGTAGCCTGGGAGGAGGAGGTTGCAGTGAGCCAAGATTGCACCACTGCACTCCAGCCTGGGCAATAGAGTGAGACTCTGTCTCAAAAAAAAAAAATTATGACTTTAGTTATCATTTTTCTTTTTACATTTAAATTAAAATTGTTTTTGTAGAGATGGGATCTCACTACATTGAATTCCTGACCCCCAAGTGATCGTCCCACTGTGGCTTCCCAAAATGCTGAGATTAGAGGCAGGAGCCACTGTGCCTGGCCAGTTTTCATTCTTCTATTATTTTTTTCTCAAATAAAGAAGAGTATGGAGATACAAAATATAAAACAAATATCTTTACATCGAAAATAGAACAAATATCTTTGTATTCGTCAATCAGAATTAATCAATGCCACTGTTTTGTCACTTTTCTCCAAAAGTTTTAATAAGAAAAATGGGATATTACATATAAAGCTGAATCCTACTTTATTCTCTCCCACATCACTCCATTATAAATCTGATGTGGATTCAACCCATCTTTTTATACATGTATATACTTTAAATTACATAGATGCTATCATTCTATGGATATGATTCTACAATTTTCATACATTGCACAGCACTGCCTTTTTCCAGACCTATTGATACATATAGATTGATTCTTTCATTGAAACTATCACCCACATAGTATCCTACTTTGTAAATATGCCAACATTTATTTATCAATCTCTCAACTGATAATGAGTTGTTTGAAAATATTTTTTCTTGTTACAAACAATTCAGCATATTTGTTATATGTTTCCTTGTATTCTTGTATACAGATGCTACAAAAGTGAAATTTTTGGGTCACAGGGTATGCTAATTTGAACAGTTATAAGATAAACTTAGGCAGATAAAAGCTGTTTAAAAATAAATTTATTTTGTAAAGACCGAGTCTCACCATGTTGCCCAGGCTGGTCTCAAACTCCTAGGCTCAAGCAGTCCTCTCGCCTTGACCTCCCAAAGTGCTGGGATTATAAGTGTGAGTCCCTGTGCCTGGCCTATTTTTTATTATTTTATATATACATATATATTTTATATAAAAATATACATATACATGTATTATCTTTTTATACATATGTATATAAAAATATATATGTATATTATATACATTTTAATAAGGATGGGGTATCACTTTGTTTTCTGGACTGGTCTTGAATGCCTGGGCTCAAGCGATCCTCCCTCTTTGGCCTTCCAAAGTGCTGGGATTGCATTTGTGGTGTGAGCTACCATGACTGGCCTCTTTTTATATTCTGAATACTAATCATTTTTGGTTTGTCTTTAAACAATAATTATGGCATGGATTTTGTTTGAAAATGTTCATCTCGATGTACCAAAATTTATATATTTTATCTTTATAATTTCTGCTTTTAAAAAATTAGTTTTGTTGTTAAATTCTTCATTACTCCAAAGGCATAAAAATGTTATCCTATATTTTTCTTTGAAGTTTTAAATAATTATTTTTGCAATGAAGTTTGTAATCCTCCTGGTATTTTCTCCTCCCCATCACATGAAATAGAAATAGATTTCTTATTGTTATGGTTCTCATACGGTAATCCAGTTGACTCAGCACCATTTATTGACTTGTCCATTATTTTTCTAGTGGTTTGTGTTGACATCTCTCTAGCACATTAAAGTCTCATATGTGGTTGGGTGTGTTTATTGGTTCCTATATTGTCCTGTCTTCATTTATATGGTTCCATCATAACTTTGGATATTATCTTTTTTTATTATTTAGTAATGAAATTTTATTTTTATATAAATTTTTCAAACCATTGATGAGTTTAAAGATGTCTTTTATTCCTACTTGGCTGAGAACATTTATCGTAAGTGAATATTGAGTTTTACTGAGTGCTTTTATCTCAGTCTATTGAGAAGATTACATTGATTTTCTCTTTCTAAAATCAGTTAATGAAACTGCCTTTGCAAAAATGATGACAGTGAGAGAAGTCTAGCGTGGCTGACTCCATCTTCCTTCTGGCCGCACAGGCTGGCTGTCATTGCTCATTCCTTGATATGGACCAAGGTAACCATGTGAGGAATTTAATTTATGTTTTAACTTTTTTTTTTCTTTTTTTTTTTTTTTTTTGGAGACAGGGTCTTGTCCTGTCACCCAGGCTGGAGTGCAGTGGTGCAATCTCAGCTCACTGAAACCTCTGCCTCCTGGGTTCAAGCAATTCTATTGTCTCACTTTACCGAATAGTAGGGACTACAGGCGCACACCACCACACCTGGCTAATTTTTTGTATCTTTAGTAGAGACAGGGTTTCGCCATGTTGGCCAGGCTGGTCTTGAACTCCTGACCTCAAGTGATCTGCCTGCCTCGGCCTCCCAAAGTGCTGGAATTACAGGCATGAGCCACCATGCCCTGCCCATGGTTTAACTTGAAAGCAAGGATGGTAATAGTCCCTCCCTAAAACTAAGTCCCTCCTTGCTCAAGAATGGAAACCTGACTTTGTAAGACTAATGAAAGGCCACAACATTAGGATTATGGGAGAGGTCTGAACTCTGCTAAAATTTAAGAGTAGCTTCTATAACTAATCGGGAGTCATGTGGCCAGAGGTCACAAGATTTGTGGCTTTCTCAATTGCTCCTGTAATAACATCACTATTGTGAAACTTAAGATTGATCTTTTGAGATTTTTTTTAGACTTGCATTCTAGCAACTGACATACCACACCCAGACTCCTGACTCCTGACTCAGCTCGTTCTGTGGCCCCACCCAGAGGCTGGTTTAGCATGGGAGGATAGTTTCCATACTCATGATTTCATCTCCAACCAATCAGCAGCAACCATTCCCTAGAGCCCCTGCCTACCAATTGCCCATAAAACCCCTAGCCTCCAGGATCTCAGAGATTTAATTAATATCTCCATCTCCCACAAGGCCCATCTCAAGTCAATTAAGCTCTTTCTTTAATGTAATGCCACAGTCTCAGTGAATTGATTTTGATTGCTAAGCAAGCAGGGAGGACCTATTGGGCAACTACATTAACATGGTAATTATGTTGAAAGTTTTATGTTGACTATCCTTGCATCCATGAGAGAACCTTTACTTGACTATGATATATTCTGTATGCACTCACACACACATTTGTACTACACATACAGTCAATTCTCATTATTCACAGCAGTTATGCTGCTTTGAATACTGAATCAGCAAATACTGAACTATTGCTCCCAGAGGAAATACACAGTTAGGTTCCTGAAAGCCTCTGTTCACAACATCTTAGTCAACCAATTAATATATAACCTTGTTTTATTTGGGTTTTCTGTCTAAAGACACCTTATTTTGACCAGGCATGGTGGCTGAAGCCTGTAAGCACTTTGGGAGGCCAAGGTGGGCAGACCGTTTGAGGTCAGGAGTTTGAGACCAGCCTTGCCAACATAGTAAAATCCTGTCTCTACTGAAAATACAAAAATTAGCAGGACGTGTTGGTGCACACCTGTAGTCCCAGCTACTCGCGAGGCAGAGGCACGAGATTCGCTTGAACCTGAGAGGCGGAGGTAGCAGTGAGCTGAGATCGCGCCACTGCGCTCTAGCCTGGGCAACAGAGTGAGACTCCATCTCAAAAAATAAATAAATAAATAAAGCCACCTTATTTTATATAGTTGATTCATTAGCATGCAGCTCATGGCCAGTACCACTATATAACACATGCCTGTACAAAGCTGACCTAATGCACATATTTTCTCTATAGGTCACATTACAGCCTTTTTGTGCTTAGGAGCAGTACACAGTACTTCAGTCCTACACTTGGGGACCATTTCAAACAGTAAATTACCAACAATAAGCACAAAATTGTGAAAAATATGGCACTAAATAGGCTGCAAAAAGGACACCTTTTACTGAATAGGTGCTGGAACAAGAAAGGAGAGTGCCACCATTTTTGACTTCAGCTAGGAATGTGTGAGTTGGGTAACTCAAAGTTTTCGCAACTCTGTGTGTGTCTGTAAATAACTGTGAAAGTGCTGTGAGTATTGATATTGGCGTTACAAAAACATTTAGCAAGTAGGCAAACTCACAGATACAGAATCTGCCGATAATGAGGATCGACTGTACTATAGAATTTGATTTGTTATTTCTAAAATGTAGCATTTTGGATGTATGTTCGTAAGTAAGGTTATATTGTTTTTGTTCTATTTGACATCAAGGTAAATTGAATTTGGTGGCTTTTCCTCCTTTTATTCTCTGAAATATTTTATGTGAAATAGGGATTATGCATTTGCTGGAGGCTTGATAAAACCTATATTTTAACATCTTGAAAAAGTGTCCTTTGGAGCAAGAAAGGGAATTATTGACTATCTTTTAAATTTCTTTAGTGTTTATTAGTTCAGTCAGATTTTGAAAAAAATCAAATTTGGTAAGGTGTACTTTTTAAAAAGATATGTGGTAGCTAAGCTATAAGGATGCAAAGGCATAAGAATGATACAATGGACTTTGGGGACTTGAGGGGAAGAGTGAGAGGGGGGCGAGGAATAAAATACTACAAATATGGTGCAGTGTATACTGCTCAGGTGATGGGTGCACCAAAACCTCACAAATCACCACTAAAAAATTTACTCATGTAACCAAATACTATCTGTGCCCCAATAACTGATGGAAAAAATATTGTCCATTTTATCTAAGGTTTAAAATTTACTTGATAAATTTTTCTTTTAAAGAACTGTGTTCCCATATTATGTTTATTACTGCAACCTCCTCCTCCCAGGTTCAAGTGAGTCTCCTGCCTCAGCCTCCCAAATAGCTGGGATTACATGTGCCCACCACCATGCCCGACTAATTTTGTTTGTTTGTATGTTTTTGTTTTTGAGATGGAGTCTCCCTCTGTCACCAGGCTGGAGTACAGTGGTATGATCTCGGCTCACTGCAACCTCTACCTCCCGGGTTCAATCGATTCTCCTGCCTCAGCCTCCTGAGTAGCTGAGATTACAGGCACCTGCCACCATGCCCGGCTAATTTTTGTATTTTTAGTAGACACGGGGTTTCTCCATGTTGGTCAGGCTGGTCTTGAACTCCTGACCTCAGGTGATCTGCCTGCCTCAGCCTCCCAAAGTGCTGGGATTACAGGCGTGAGCCACCACGCCTGGCCAAAAGTAATTACTTTTAATGGCAAAAACCACAATAACTTTTGCACCTACCTAATATAACCCAAGGAATAAAGTAAAAATCTATGAGTTCCTGCTGATACAAACAAACAAACAAAGAAATAAATAAATGGGGGAAAAGGGAAAGGTCTTTCTCACCTAAAAATATCAACGAATACATGTAGAACACATGACTCAATTAAAAAATCAACATTTGGCAACCACCACAGAATAACTGTTGTAGGGAACAATCATTAATGGATACTATATCCAATGAGTGAAAATTCGATGACAAATAGGATATTTACAGTCTCAAAGTATCTCTTTATAAGATACTTATTAATTTCAAGGGAAAGATAGTAACTCTACAGTGGAGAAACTTGGCAAACACCCACTTAACCAAGTGATCCAGCTAAATTCATCAGAAATAGCATAAATCACTCACACCTGTAATCCCAGCACTTTGGGAGGCTGAGGCGGGTGGATCACAAGGTCAGGAGATCGAGACTATCCTGGCTAACATGGTGAAACCCCGTCTCTACTAAAAATACAAAAAATTAGCTGGGCGTGGTGGCGGGCGCCTGTAGTCCCAGCTACTCGGGAGCTTGAGGCAGGAGAATGGCATGAACCCGGGAGGCGGAGCTTGCAGTGAGCTGAGATCACGCCACTGCACTCCAGCCTGGGCAACAGAGTGAGACTCCATCTCAAAAAAAAAAAAAAAAAAAAAAGAAATAGCATAAATCAATATTTATTCATCAATGTCATGACACATCTCCAATTTCCACTCAGATGGTGGTCACCATCACACAATATTTTCCAGTGAGCCATGCCCATAAATCGATAGATTCCTGGTTTGTTTACCATAAGCAATCACAAATAACCAGGTTTCTCCTATTAAAAGCATTCCATAGAAAAAGACTCGACTCCCCTGTTAGCAAATACCATTAGCTACGAGGCATGTCATTAGCACTTTCAACAGGAGATTAGGCCTGGTCTGCCTATTTTTGCGGTAATCCACTCTTCTTCCATTAATAGAAGACACTGCAGACTTACTGCTTAACCCTTTCCTTCTCATAGACATCACAAATATATTTGCATATTCTCTACTCATAACTTTTCCCCTGGTCTTTCATTGAATAGAAATCCTTGACCTGGCTATAATTCCATTCATTAATAGTTTGCTTTATGGGTTATACTTTTGAATTGTGTTTATGAAATTATTTCTCACCTCAGGTCAATTATATTCTTATTTACATTCTTCTATCAACTTTATTGGGTAATGTGTTCTTTTTTTGAGACAGATTCTCACTCTATTGCCCAGGTTGGAGTGCAGTGGCATGATCTGGGCTCACTGCAACTTCTGCCTCATGGGTTCAAGCTACTCTCGTGCCTCAGCCTCTCAAATAGCTGGGATTACAGGTGCCCACCACCTTGCCTGGCTAATTTTTGTATTTTCAGGAGAAACAGGTTTCGCCACGTTGGCCAGGCTGGTTTTGAACTCCTGACCTCAAGTGATCCTCCCACCTTGGCCTCCCAATCACACTTGGGATTGCAGGTGTGAGCCACTGCTCCTGCCAAACTTTATTGGGTCATGTTTTCTAAATAATCATTTTGGAGACAGCAGCGTTGTGTACATGGCCCTGGTCCAGCTCTCTGTGCACAGGGCATGGGCTGCATTCTTCTTTCTGAGTAGGTTTCAGCACTTTAGCCTCCAGCTTTTCAGGTTCACATTCAATGCCAGGAACTCTGAGCCATTTTGGTTTCAACCTTCAATTGCTGCTTAGACTTGAAGTTCAGTCTGTTTTTGCCATCTTAGCTTTTTTAATTTTTGCTTGGCCATATGTTTCCCCTCCAAAAAATTTATATATCTATTTATTTGAGACAGGGTCTCACTGTCATCCAGGCTGGAGTGCAGTGGCATGATCTTAGCTCACTGCAGCTCAACCTGCCAGGCTCAAGCAATCCTCCCACATCAGCCTCCTGAATAGCTGGGACTACAGGCATATGCCACCATGCCTCTCTAATTTTTGTATTTTTTGTAGAGACAGGGTTTCTCCATGTTGTTGCCCAGGCTGTTCTCCAACTCCTGGGCTCAAGTGATCCACCTGCCTTGACCTCCCAAAGTGCTGGAATTACAGGCATGAGTCACCTTGTACAGCCTCCAATTTTTTTTTTTTTTTTGAGACAGAATTTTGCTCTTGTTGCCCAGGCTAGAGTACAATGGCGCAATCCTGGCTCACTGCAACCTCTGCCTCCTGGGTTCAAGCGATTCTCCTGCCTCAGGCTGGAGTGCAATGGTGCAATCTTGACTCACCGCAACCTCCGCCCACTGGGTTCAAGTGATTCTCCTGCTTCAGCCTCCCAAGTAGCTGGGATTACAGGCATGTGCCACCATGCCCAGCTAATTTTGTATTTTTAGTAGAGATGGGGTTTCTCCATGTTGGTCAGGCAGGTCTCGAACTCCCAACCTCAGGTGATCTGCCCTCCTAGGCCTCCCAAAGTGTTGGGATTATAGGCGTGAGCTACTGCACCCGGCCCCAGATTTTTTAGCTTGTAATCCCAGCTACTCAGGAGGCTGAGGCAGGAGAATTGCTTGAGCCCAGGAGTTTGAGACCAGCTTGGGCAACATACTGAGATCCTGTCTCCCAAAATAAAAGGGATTTTATGTGTGTGTGTGTGTGTGTATATATATATATATATATATATATATATATATATATATATATATATATATTTTTTTTTTTTTTTTTTTTTTTTTTTTAAGAGAAGGGGTCTCTGTCTGTCCCTCAGGCTGGAATACAGTGGCATGATCCTAGCTCACTGTTGCCTCAAACTCCTGGGCTTCAATCCTCCCACCTCAGCCTTCCTCCCAAGTAGCTAAGACTACAGTTGTGTGCCACTACACCCAGCTAATTAAAAAATATTTTTTTTAATGCTGGGTACAGTGGCTCATACCTGATATCCTGACAGTTTGGGAGGCTAAGACAGAAGGATCACTTGAGCTCAGGAGTTCAAGACCAGCCTGGGCAACATAGTGAGACTCCATCTCTACTGAAAAAATAAAAATTATCTGGGTGTGGTGGCATGCACCTGTAGTCTTAGCTACTTGGGAAGCTGAGGTGAGAGGATCACTTGAGCCCAGGAATTTGAGGCTGCAGCTATGATTGTGCTACTGCACTCCAGCCTGGGTGACAGAGTGAGACCCTGTTAAAAACAGGATACATTTTTTTTTTAGAGATAGAATCTTACTATGTTACCCAATCTGGTCTCCAACAAACATCACCAGATATTGCAGTCAAAACATAGGTGGGCAACACACAGTTTATTCAGTTTCCTTAAGGGAAAAAAGAACTTCCCAGCCCCCTTCAGCAGCAATATATTTTTTCAGTACACACCCAGATCCTCCTACACAAGCACACCAACAAATAGGTGTGATTACACTGTGTCCAGCTCAGAATTTATTTTTAGTAAAGTTTATGCAGCATTTCTACATGTGTTGGGAGCTGAAAAGGCCAAAGGGATCGTGACCAACTCAGCATTCCACTGGAGGCTATATGATTAAACAGCCAACTGTTTATCATGAATGCAGGATGTGGGCAAACTCACACTGCGCCTGCCACCAAAAGGTTTGCTGAGGGCCATCACTCCCTGGCACCAAGCTCTTTGAAGTTATCTACTGGGAAATCTAGCTCCTATTGTTCAAAGGATGCAGTCTCGCAAGCCTGCTATGAACCAAACGGCCAATTGACAATTACCCGACAACCACCCGCTCCTTACTATCTCTTTTGCCTAATAAATATGGAGGGCTGTGCAAAGCTCAGGGTCCTTGTCCACTAGAGGCAAGGTGCCCCCTGACCCCTTCTTCCAAATATACTCTTTTGTCTTTGCCTTTTACTCCCGTGTTCGCCCCTCTTCGTTCGGTCCACCAGGGATCATGGCAGGTTACATACATGTGCAGTCTTTTTTTTTTTGAGATGGAGTCTCACTCTGTCACCCTAGCTGGAGTCCAGTGGCATGATCTTAGCTCACCACAACCTCCGCCTCCCAGGTTCAAGCAATTCTCATGCCTCAGCCTCCCAAGTAGCTGGGATTACAGGTATGAGCCACTGCGCCCAGCCCATGGGCAGTCTTGATGACAGACAGGAGAAACTTTTCACAGAAACCTTATCTTTCATGTTGATTAAGTAATTGTAATTTATTTCCCTTGTAACATTAGAAAGAAAAACCAGGTATATCTGAAAGTAACAAATTTTAGGGGGGGAATTGGCAAAAATATCTACAGAATAATTTTTTTAAGTTTTTGCCTAATGTGATATATGATGTGAAGTTTCCTCAGTGTATCCTTCTAAATGTGATATATGATGTGAAGTTTCCTCAATGTATCCTTCTAAATTGTCAGTCAAATATTCTCTTTTCATCATTGTCTGAACTTGGACAAAGGCTGCTCATAGAATCCACTCAGGTTACAATTTGGTGTTCCAATTCCACTTTTTTCCCTTAGTAGCTGTGTGACGTTGGACTAACTATACAACTTGTCAGGGTCTTAGTTTACTCATCTTGTTAATCAGGATAACAAACACGCACCTTGAGACTGTGCTGTTACATGAGGAAGGTCATGTGCATGCCTTTCTTTTCCTCCTGTGGAAAAGCAAAGAGTAAGATGGAAAGATGATAGCGAAGGGCTAAATCATTACTAACTAGCTCTGCAATATGGTGTAAGTTCCTCAGGCTCAATCTACCTCAGTGTTACCATATATGAAATAGTCTCTGAGGTTTCTTCCAAATTAACAATCCCATGTTTCGAGGGTTTGGGACTGAGTTTAAGATAAAAACTTGATAAGGCGCCTGTGCAGTTCAGTTTTTCTTTGCAAATATTTATTTATACAGGTTGAGCATTCCTATTCTGAAAGTCCAAAATCCAAAATGCTCCCAAATCTGAAACTTTTTTTCTTTCTTTTTTTTTTGTTTTTTTTTGAGACAGGATCTTGCTCTGTCGCCTAGGCTGGAGTGCAGTGGCACCACCATAGCTCACTGCAACCTTAAACTCCTGAACTCAAGTGGCCCTCCTGCTTGACCTCCCAGTAGCTGGGACCACAGGTGTGCACCAATACACCAGGCACATTTTTATTTTTTCTTTTTCTGAGATGGAGTTTTTCTCCGTCGCCCAGGCTGGAGGGCAGTGGCATGATCCCGGCTCACTGAAACCTCCACCTCCCGAGTTCAAGCGATTCTCCTTCTTCAGCCTCCTGAGTAGCTGGGATTACAGGCGTGCACCATCACACCTGCCTAATTTTTGTATTTTCAGTAGAGATGGGGTTTCACCATATTGGCCAGGCTGGTCTGGAACTCCCGACCTCAAGTGATCTGCTCACGTTGACATCCCAAAGTACTGGAATTACAGGTATGAGCCACCACACCTGGCCTCACTAGGCTAATTTAAAAAATTTTTTTTGTAAAGACAGGGTCTCACCATTTTATCCAGGCTGGTTCCAAACTCCTGGACTCAAGCAATTCTCCTGCTTTGGCTTCCGAAAGTGCTGGGATTATAAGCATGAGCCACCACACCCACCCTCTGAAACTTTTTGAGCACCAACATGACACCGCAAGTGGAAAATCCCACACCTGGTTTTATATGGTGGGTTGTAGTCCAAACATAGATACACAACATACAGTTTATTCAGCATACCTCATGGAAAAAAAGACCCTCTCAGTCCTCTTCAGCTTCAATATATCTTTTCCATACACGCCCAGATTCCGCCACGCAGGCACACTGACAAACTGTAATAAAATGGCACACGAACAGGCTGAATGCACCAATGGCAGGTTCCCCATGATGCCCCACCTGGGGCCAACACCTATGTGCATTACTCACTGTGTTTTTGTGCTCATTCTTGGCTGTGTTGTGTAAAGATACTCCTGAAAATGTCAAAAAGGCCTGCAGATACCACTATTGGTTAACAGTGGTAAGAAAAAGAGTAAGCATGTATGTCTGTAGCACAGAAAGTCAAGCTGTTGGAGAAACTGGACAGTGGTGTCAGTGTGAAACATCTTACAGAAGAGTGTGGTGTTGGAATGAACACCATATAAGACCTGAAGAGCTGGGTCCAGTGGTTCACCCCTGTAATCCCAGCACTTTGGGAAGCTGAAGCAGGCGGATCACTTGAGGCCAGGAGTTCAAGACCAGTCTGGCCAACATAGTGAAACCCCAACTCTACTAAAAATTACAAAAATTAGCCAGTTGTGGTGGCGCATGCCTGTGATCTCAGCTACTGGAGAGGCTGAGGCATGAGATTCACTTGAACCTGGGAGACAGAGCAAGACTCTGTCTCTAAATAAATAAATAAATAAATAAATAAATAAAATAAAATAAAATAAAATAAAATAAAAAGCCACCAAGCAGAATGCCTCCTCATCTCTAGATGACCCACTTCCTGGTCCCTCAACTGCTTCGGATGTTTTTTCTCACCTAAAAATTAAAATACAGTGCAATGTAACCCCTTAACCAAAAGCACAACATCGTAGGTAGAGACAACAGCTGTTGGCTGTTGTTGCAGTTTAGCGGCTGATACAGGTTTTCTGGGGATGCTACTATGCTACTTAGTTACCCTGAACACATGATTTTTGCACTGTATTAATCATATGTCATTTTTTTTTACTGTTAGGTACTTAGGTGTGAATAAGTGGAAGAAAATGACAGCTTATTGGTATATAAATCAGCGTCGGGAATGATGATGCCAAACAACCACAGACTGTCCACATGGGTGGCTGAGATAGTGACACCTTTGCTTTCTGATGGTTCAATGTGCACCATCTTTGTTTTATTCACAAAATTATTTAAAATATTGTATAAAATTTCCTTCAGGCTATGTGCATTAAGATATAGGCAACATAAATACGTTTTGTGTTTAGACTTGCATCCCAGCTCTAAGATATCTCATTATGTATAGGCAAATATTCCAAAATCTGAAAAAGTCTTAAATTTGAAACACTTCTGGTCCTAAGCATTTCAGATAAGGGATATTTAACCTGTATTCATAAATTTACTAAGTGAGGAAGATAATTTGATTTAGGAGTTAAACATCTCACATGGTAGTAGAGTGTATTGCCTAAGTTCTCTGCTTTATTCCTATACATGGGTGTGTTGTAATCAACTGCAAGAGTGGTGTCAAATAATTTATGTTTAAAATTATGAATTGAAGTGTTAAGTCCAATGGAAGAAAAAAGGAGAGCAGGGAGGAGGTACGGAAATACTGAAGATACTGGCTGGGTGCAGTGGCTCACACCTGTAATCCCAGCACTTGAGAGGCCGAGGTTTGCAGATTGCTTGAGCCCAGGAATTTGAGACCAGCCTGGGAAACATAGCAAGACCCCATCTCTACAAAAGATTAAAAACAAATAGCCAGGTATGGTGGTGCGTGCCTGTGGTCCCAGCTACTCGGGAGGCTGAGGCAGGAGTATTGCTTTAGCCCAAGGGGTTGAGGCTGCAGTGAGCTATGCTGGTGCCTTTGCACTCCAGCCTGGGTGACAGAGTGAGACCCTGTCTCATAAAAAGAAAAAAAGAAAGAAGAAGAAATACTGGAGATATGTTGGGGAAGGCACTGACTAAAATCTGCGTTTACTTTGTTTGAAAGTGTACTTAAACACTTATTTCTAACGAACAACATTGAGACTAATTTAAATTTTCTGGTGTGACTTTGCTTAATCCGATGATCTTGTGAAAGTTCTAGTTACCAGTAGAAACCAATTTTTCCTTCTAGTTCAAAATGACAAAGAATCAAGAGAAACAGAACTAATAAGGGCTCCCTGTGCTTATATTTTTACTGTTTTACGAGTCATCCATCTTCAATGAAATTTTTTTTCTTACAGGTAATCTAAATTGTTCTATGATAATTGGAAAATAACAGGATATTCTTAGATAACTGTGAGCAGGAGGCTCAAAACTGGTTCCTGTTGGAAACAGTTGCAGAGCTTTCAAGAAATACGCACATGTATACACACAAAGGGGCCTCTCCCTCAACAACGAAGGAGCAGCTAAACCGCATAGCTGCAGAAGGCCATCGATCACATTTATTACATTGCAGACAGCAGCAATTTTAAGTGAGGCTGGGCTTCCCAAATGAATTCCAATAATTCAAGTTATGATTCCTAAACTGTGTGTCAGACAAATTCAATATTACTTTTAGGGAAAAAAAGTTGAAATTATTAGTTCCATTATACAAGTAAGAGAACTTGGGTTTTATTACTTTAATCATTAATAAAGACATTACAATCCACTTGGTGATTTTTTTCAAATAAAAGAATGAGATAAATTGTGCAAATCCTACTTACTGCATTATAGTTGCATAAATGGTCATGCGTTTTTTGTTTTGTGTTTTGTTTTCTTACATCAGAAATAGATTTATTTTGGTGTCTATTTTGGATTTTGGAGACTACTTTTTTGGTTTTTGTTTTTTTCCAAAATGGAAATCTTTTTTGTTGTTTTTGCTGATTATAAATGTAATTTGTGGTCATGAAAAAGAAAAGAATACCGAAGAATATAAGGTATTTATACAAGAATAAAGTGAAATTGCCCCCAGATAATACCTTTTGGGGATATGTGGTTAAAACAAAACAAAACAAAAAGTAATTGATGTTATTTTCCAGAGCTTATTCCATCCATCCATCCATCCGTCCATCCATCCATCCATCCGTCCATCCATCCATCCATCCATCCATCCATCCATCCATCCATCCATCCATCGATCCATGCCATCTTTCCATATTGAAGAGCAGAGAGTTTGGGAAAGGCAGGAAGGAATGAATTCTTCTCAGAGAGAGGAGGACTCACACACAGTCCGTCATCGCAGCACTGTTCAGGCTGGCCTGGGAGCCGAGGATGGTAGCCCTGTTGTGTGGTGTCTGCAGAGCTGTGTGCTGGGAGTTTGGATCTCCACACTCTCGTTTTAGCCAGGTTTCTAACTCATGTAAGACAATGGGCAAATCATGCAACCTCATCTATGAAATGTGTGTCCTTTGCATGCTAGTACACACTGAATTTTTGTTTGTTTGTTTTGAGACAGGGTCTGGCTCTGTCACCCAGGCTGGAGTGCAGTGGTGCAATCTCAGCTCACTGCAACCTCTGCCTCCCGGGCTCAAACAGTGCTCCTACCTCAGCCTCCTGAGTAGCTGAGACTACAGGTGCACGCCACCATGCCTGGCTAAGAAAGGGATTATTAATTTCTTTTATTTCCTTTTTGTTGTTTGTTTGAGACAGATTCTTGCTCTGTCTCCCAGGCTGGAGTGCAGCAGCATGATCTTGGCTCACTGCAACCTCCACCTCCCAGGTTCAAGCGATTCTCCCTGCCTCAGCCTCCTGAGTAGCTGGCATTATAGGCGTGCGCCACCAGGCCCAGCTAATTTTTTTTTGTATTTTTAGTAGAGCTGGGGTTTCACCATGTTGGTCAGGCTGGTCTCAAACTCCTGACCTCAAGTAATCCGCCCGCCTTGGCCTCCCAGGATGCTGGGATTACAGGAGTGAGCCACTGCGCCCAGCCAGGATCATTAATTTTGGATATTATTTTTATTTACAAGAGCATCTAATTGGTGCAGTACTACAGACCTATGCCCTGAAATACTCTAACCAACATTTGACATGGTGTCTTTTTTCTTTTTTCTTTTTTTCAGTCCCATAATGGCTACTTAGCTCGCTTCCTTCAAGCTAAGCTTAAAATACTTAATGTTACTGAGGAATAGAGGCAAAACAGATGTCTGTGTTAACTCTGAGAAAATGCCTCAAAAATTGATCATGTCTTGTCATTGATAAAATGATAGTAGCACTGGCATCAGTAACACAGACAAGGGTTTGGGAGTGGTTGTCTATGCACACTGAATTTCAAATATGTGGTTCTCAGCAATACAGGGGGTTTTGTATGGAGCTGAATGAACCTTCCATAGTCTGAAAGCCAATCTTTGGGAAACAAATATCCGGTTGCCATGGAGACACTCAAGGTGGATGAAGGATGGATTAATCAAAATACAGTAAATCCTTTTTACGAGCTCCCTAAGAAATCTAGTGTGAAGAGAACCCTCTGCTCTGTCTTCTCTTTTTCTCCCCTCCATCACACAGGAAATCCACCATTGATGTACAATGACACACATTTATTGTACTGAGTTATGTGTATGTGCTAGTGAATGACGCTCTCTCTTGCCTGAAAGATACAGTCAGTCATATCAGCACAAGGGTACCCAAACATTATTTTTACAACCGTTTTTGAAATTTAAGAAAAAAAATCATATATTCTTTGCAACGAAAAGAAAAAAGAATAGTTAGAAACAACTGCTGAATAAAAATTGTGATTATTTATTAACTGAGCTACATTCTCTGGGGCATAAAGGATATGAAATCACTTGCACTGAGATGGTAGCTGCATTCAGGCTGAGTCTCAGTGCACAACTAATCTGATCATTTCAACTGTTCAATTTAGTCAAAAAACAAGTCATCTCAGTCACAGTATCAGTTAAATAAATAAATGAATGCATCTAAATAAATTATTCAGTTGAATAAATTAAGTGAATAAATAAATTAAATGGCTATTCCTCTCCTTCCTAACAAACTGACGGGTCAAATTAATCAAAATAGTTAATCCAGTTGTGGAAGACATTTCCAGAAGCCTCCAGTAAATCATTCTTGGGCAGCCAATTCAATTTTAACTCCTGGTCTTGAATAGCCATGGACTCAGGCTGCCTGGATGAGCTAGCGTACAGAATCAAGCGGATGTGAGTAGGTTTTGGACACCCTCCAAGGACAGATAAAGGCTCACAGTGAGGATGTTGGTTACTGCAGGCAAGGGGCCTACAGGAAGTCCAGGAGGACCAAACAGAGGCCACAGGCAGGAGGTTTTCAGGGCCTACACTCGTGTTCTCACAGGCTGAGGGAAACACAGAGGATGGGAATTCCACAGGAGTTCAGCATAGAGCGGAACAGTGGTTCTCAACTGGGGCTGATTTTGTTATCATTGGGGAAAGGTGTGTGTGTGGTTGCTACTTGCATCAAGTTAATGGATTCTAAGTAGCACAAAATGCTGCTAAACATGCTACAATGCACAGGCAGCCTCCTGCAATAAAGAAAAATGTCAATAGCGCTGAGAATGAGAAATCCTGGAGGAGGAGAATAATAGTTAATTTTTTTTTTTTTTTTTTTTTTTTTGAGACAGTCTCACTCTGTCGCCCAGGCTGGAGTGCAGTGGCACCGTGTCAGCTCACTGCAACCTCTGTCTCCTGGGTTCAAGCAATCCTCCTGCCTCAGCCTCCCAAGTAGCTGGGATTACAGGCGCCCACCACCACACTCAGCTAATTTTTGTATTTTTTAGTAGAGATGGGGTTTCACCACGTTGGCCAGGCTGGTCTTGATCTCCTGACCTCGTGATCCACCCACCTCAGCTTCCCAAAGTGCTGGTATTACAGGCATGAGCCACCGTGCCTGGCCCTAGTTAATTATTTCTAAGTAGCATTTTAGATTGAGCACCAATTCATAGATTTACTAACAGAACAGAGGGTTATAACCTCTGATCTCAGCTATAAGAAATCAGCTCCCAGTTTGGAATCTGAAGCCCTGGGTCTCGACCTGAGCCTTGCTTTTTATTATGACTGGCAAGACGGCAGCCTCTTTGAGCTCAGCTACTTAATTTGTTACATAGTGATAGTAATAGCTGCCTACCTTATAGTAAATGCTATAACAGATATGAAAACATGGAACAGTATCAGTGGTCCTAAAATAATGATTGGAAATTAACAAGCCTGGATTATCTTATCCATATGGTGTTTTTTTGTTTGTTTGTTTGTTTTCTTCTTGAGGCAAAATGGCTTACTTCTGACCAGTGGTGACATTAAGAAGAACAAAAAGAATTGATTTGGAATTGATCACTCATTTTGGATCTTCATTTGTAAAATGCCCATTTATTGCTTGAGTTGGGGGCTACCAGGTGTGAGGATGCAAGTTTGAAGAAGGTATATTTCTTTGCACTAGGAAAAAAAATAGAATAGGTAGAGAAAGAATTGGGGAGGGCCAAGGGGGAAGCAATGTAGCTAAGACAACAATCATGATAAACGAAGGATGTAAGTTTTGCTGTGAGAGATACAGTGTAACTCTCTCTTCAATCTCACTGTAAAGTCTTTAGTAAAATCTTCTTCACTCCACTATGCCTTATGAGTTCATACTGGTTTTATATCATTTTGTTTTTTATACAATCAAGTACTGAGTCCTGCTTTGCTGTGAATATGCGGGGCTACCACTAGCCCATGTTAAGGAACATTATCGAAAACTTGGACCTAAGGCGAAAGGTGATTAATGTCATGCTAAGAACATTTCTAGCAAGCCCACCCAAGGACCATCTGACTCAGGAAATTTAAGCTTGTTGGCATAATTCATTAGAACCCAGAGACTTTGCAATTCTGTAAAGTTGATCTGGTACAACAACTTTCTTTTTTGTTGAGTAGGAAAGGTAAAGCAGAAGGTTATGATTTTTTAAAATAATTTTTTTCGAGGCAGGGTCTGGCTCTGTTACCCAGGTGGGAGTGCAGTGGCGTGACCTCCTGAGCTCAAGCCATCCTCCTGCCTTATTTTTTTATTTTTTTCTAGAGACAAGGTCTCATTATGTTGTCCAGGCTGGTTTCAAACTCCTGACCTCAAACAAGAAGGTTATGATCGTATTATTCCTGTAAGATTATTATTTTTTAAAATTTTAGAGACAGGGTCTCTGTTACTCAGGCTGGAGTGCAGTGGTGGTATCATATCTCACTGCAGCCTCAAACTCCAGGGCTCAAGCAATCCTCCCACCTCAGGTGCGTACCACTATGCCGAGCTAATTCTTTAAATTTTTGTAGAGATGAGGTCACTATGCTGCCCAGGCTGCTCTTGAACTCCTGGCCTCAAGTGATCCTGAAGCCGTCTAGGGTCTCTGGAGCAGTCTTGTTGTCTGGGGTGTTATCTGAGCTCTTTGTCTCATGACCAAGAGAATTAAGGAGTGTGGACACCAAAAGTGAGGTTGGAGCAAAAGTTTAATAAGTGAAAGAAGAAAGCTTTCCTCTGTGGAGATGGGGCCTGAGAGCGTTGCTATTTCACAGTTGAATACAAAGTCTTTTATAAACAAGCCAGTGGGGTGGGGTGTTTCATTTGCATATGGTGCAAAAAACCAGTTCCTTATTTGCATAAGATGCAAATTTCTGACAGCTCCACCCCATCCCTCTAGTGAGCATGTGAGTTCTTAACATGAGTTACTCCATATTGTGTCATTTCCCTTACTGCACACGTGTCAGGAGATGGAATTTTCCATTGTGGACCTGCCTGATTCAGTGTAAATTTAATCTATACAGCTGCAGGCCTGTCTTAGGCAAGCCCCCTGATGCCAGTCCCCTTATCTGAATATGCCCAAAAAGGAAAGGAATGCGCTCACTGAAGCCCACTCTGTATACCTGGAGCTCATTTGTTGCTCAAAAGATAAATGTGTTGAGCCTTGCTTCCTTATCTGTGCTTGCAGCTTGATTTCTTCCAGGCTGATCCTTTGTTGGAAGGGCTTCTACTGGGTGTCTGTCTGAACTATCTGCCTAACTAGTTCCTTCCTCTCTCTTCTCTCAATCCTCCCACCTCAGCCTCCCAAAGTGCTGGGATTATAGGAGTGAATGGCACCTGGCCCCCTTAGGGTTTTAATCATCATATAACTTTATCTAATTTAACAACTTTATTTCAGCATTACTGCCCCCTCTCCACTTATCATAAAAATCTAGTTTCTTAAATTCTCTTTTGAACTGGGCTTTTCATCCTTCTGGGTTCCTTATTAATGAGTTTAATAAATATTTGACATGAACTCACTAGTTGTATTAGAATTATGTTTTTAACATTTTGAGAGCTATGCCTTAGCACCTGTAGCCAGCTTTTGTGAGATTTAGGAAAAAGGTATCCCTTCCTTGAGTATAATTAGTTTTCTTTTCCTTAAGCACAATTTTTAGAAGGTATTATAATTTTTCTTTCTTTATTTATTCTCTTTAAAATAGAGACAAGGTCTCCCTGTGTTACCTAGGCTGGTCTCAAATCCTGGGCTCAAGAGATTCTCCTTCCTTGGCTTCCCAAAATGCTAGGATTACAAACATGAGCCATCATGCCTGACTATATTTATTTCTTAATAAAAATTATAGCAAGAATGAAGTCATTCTATACAAATTCTACAAATTGAATGATTAAATAAATAGGAAGCACAAATATTTAATTACACTAAGAACTCACTAGAATAATTAAGAAATCATTAGGAATTAATTTGTTAGAAGGTAGTTATATGCATCTTACTTTCAGAGACAAAACATTTTAATGACAGTTTTGAGGCAGGAGAATAAGGTCTGGGAGCAGGAAACCTAAGGCCTTCTTAGAACTAAATCAAACAGAAAAACTCCAACTTTCTTAGACCAAGTAAATAACTTTGTATCTCTACTTCAGCTATGACAGGAAACATCCTCTTAATTTGCATAAGGTGTACACCAAGTAAATAACTTTGTAACCTCACTTCATCTTCTTTATTTTCATAGTGTGTACTCCAAGTAAATAACTTTGTAACTTCACTTCAGCCTTTTCATTTACAAAGGGCTTACACCAAGTAATCAATGGGAAACCTCCAGAGGGTATTTAAACCCCAGAGAATTCTGTAACTGGGCTAGCCACTTGCTGGGGCCGCTCCCGCTCTGTGGAGTGTGCTTTTGTTTCAATAAATCTCTGCTTTTATTGCTTCATTCTTTTCTTGCTTCATTTGTGCATTTTGTCTAATTTTTTGTTTAAAATGCTAAGAACCTGGACACCTCAACCGGTAACATATTTTGGCAAGCCAGTCAGGAGGTAAGCCCAAAGCTTGGGGTTTATTTTTCTCATTTTCCTTTCTGTTCCATACAGGGGAATCTCTCTCTCCTCTCTCCTCTCTCCTCTCTCCTCTCTCCTCTCTCCTCAACTGTGGACCCTTGATGGGCAGTGACTAAACAGGAAGGTAACTGCAGGATTCTGGCCAGGGCTACTCTCCAGTGTTGCCTGAATGCAAGCAGTGAATGGGGGTAGTTGCCTGCCTGGAAAGGGGAAGGATTCTTTTCTGTCTTTTCTGGTTGTGATCTCTGACCCCTACATGTGGTGCAGCTCCTCTGGGGCAAACTCACATGCCTTTCAGGCAATGTAAACCTTCTTTTCTTATGAACAATTCTTCCCTTCCCCTACTCTTCTGGCTAAGGACAAAAGAAACCTACCCAGCCTCCTATCATTACAGTTTGTATCAGTCCATTTTCACGCTGCTGATAAAGACATACCCAAGACTGGGTAATTTATACAGGAAAAGGGGTTTAATGGAATAACAGTTCCACGTGGCTGGGGAGACCTCACAATCATGGTAGAAGGCAAGGAGGAGCAAGTCATGTCTTACATGGATGGCAGCAGGCAAAGAGAGAGCTTGTGCAGGGTAACTCCTCTTTTTAAAGCCGTCAGATCTCACGAGACTTATTTTGTAACATGAGAACATCATTGGAAAGGTTTGCCCCCATGATTCAATTACCTCCCACTGGGTCCCTCCCACACTTGGGAATTCAAGATGAAATTTGGGTGGGGACACAGCCAAATCATATCATTTCACCTCTGGCCCCTCCCAAATCTCACATCCTCACATTTGAAAACCAATCATGCCTTCCCAACAGCCCCCCAAAGTCTTAACTCATTTCAGCATTAATTCAAAAGTCCACAGTCCAAAGTCTCATCTGAAGCAAGGCAAGTCCCTTCCACCTGTAAAGTCAAAAGCAGGTTAGTTACTTCCTAGATACAGTGGGGGTACAGGCATTGGGTAAATACAGCCATTCCAAATGGGAGAAACTGGCTAAAACAAAGGGGCTACAGGCCCCATGCAAGTCTAAAATCCAGTGGGGCTGTTGAACCTTAAAGTTGCAAAATGATCTCCTTTGCCTCCATGTCTCATGTCCAAGTCATGCTGATGTAAGAGGTGGGTCCCCGTGGTCTTGGGCAGCTCCACCCCTGTGGCTTTGCAGGGTACAGCCTCCCTCCCGGCTGCTTTCATGGGCTGGCGTTGAGTGTCTGCAGCTTTTCCGGGGACATGGTGCAAGCTGTCAGTGAATCTGCCATTTCTGGCATCTGGAGGATGGTGGCCCTCTTCTCACAGCTCCACGAGGCAGTGTCCCAGTAGGGACTCAGTGTGTGGGCTCCAATACCACATTTTCCTTCTGCACTGCTTAGCAGAGGCTCTCCATGAAAATCCCACCCCTGTAGCAAACTTGTGCCTGGACATCCAGGCGTTTCCGTACATCTTCTGAAATCTAGGCAGAGGTTCCCAAACCTCAATTCTTGACTTCTGTGAATTTGTAGGCTCAACACCACATGGAAACTGCCAAAGCTTGAGGCTTGCACCCTCTGAGGTCATGGCCTGAGCTCTATGTTGGCACCTTTCAGCCATGGCTGCAGCGGCTGGGATGCAGAGCACCAAGTCCCTAGGTTACACACAGTACAGGAACCCTGGACCTGGCCCAAGAAACCATTTTTCCCTCCTAGGCCTCCAGGCCTGTGATGGGAAGTGCTGCCGTGAAGACCTCTGACATGCCCTGGAGACATTTTCCTCATTGTCTTGAGGATTAACATTCAGCTTCTTGTTACTTATGCAAATTTCTGCAGCTGGCTTGACTTTTTCCTCAGAAAATCGGATTTTCTTTTCTATTGCATTGTCAGGCTGCAAATTTTCCAAACTTTTATGCTCTGCTTTCTTTATAAAACTGAATGCTTTTAACAGCACCCAAATCACCTCTTGAATGCTTTGCTGCCTAGAAATTTATTCTGCCAGACACCCTAAATCATCTCTCTCAAGTTCAAATTTCCACAAATCTCTAGGACAGGGGCAAAATGCCACCAGTCTCTTTGCTAAAACATAATAAGAGCCGCCTTTGCTCCAGTTCCCAACAAGTTCCTCATCTCCATCTGAGACCACCTCAGCCCAGACCTTATTGTTCATATCACTATCAACATTTTTGTCAAAGCCATTCAACAAGTCTCTAGGAAGTTCCAAACTTTCGCACATTTTCCTGTCAGCATACATTTTGTCTGGATTTTATATTTGTCTCTGCTAGATATTTTGAGGTGTTAGTGTGTAGCATAGAAGGTTATAAAAGTGTAAACCCAGTCAAAACAAAGTCGTATTGGTTTATGTGCCTTTTTTTTGACAAAAGAGAGTAATTTAATGTTATTAGCTAAATCACTAACTTTAAATGATAGCATCTAATATCTCAGTTTACAGAAGTAATTTAATTTAAATAAACTGTTAAAAATGAAATAAGTAAGAATTCTAGTTAACACATAATTCTGTATACAAAACGTGCCAGAAAGCGTTGTGTTATTAGTGAGAACAAGTCTAATTCAGAAGTTATCTAAAAATTAGTTCAAATGACAGATTTGAAAAGGTTAATTATGAAACAACGTAGTAAGGCACCAGTAAGTAGGGGAGAAAAATGTGGAAAAGGCTTAGATAATAAAATATTCTTTAAAACCTGATAGAGAATTGGAGAAATTTGGCTAATTAACATGTTCATAGTTAAAGCTCTTAGTCTTGATTAAAGTAAAATAAATATTGTAAAGAAATGCATCAGAAGTTTGGTAATTCTTTTTTAAGCATGAAGCTGGATTTAGTGTGGAGCCAAATTTCACATACATGCTTGCATTGCTTCACACTACGTTTACTGTTTTGCATGGATAGCACTGGCACTGGAGTACTTACTGGTCATGGGCCTACAGTGAATTTCTTCTTTCTTTCTTTATCTTTTTGGAGATGGAGTTTCACTCTTGTGCCCCAGGCTGGAGTGCAGTGGAGCAATCTCGGCTCACTGCAACCTCCGCCTCCAGAGTTCAAGCGATTCTCCTGCCTCAGCCTCCGAAGTAGCTGGGATTACAGGTGTACGCCACCATGCCCAGCTAATTTTTGTATTATTAGTAGAAATGAGGTTTTTACCATGTTGCCCAGGCTGGTCTCGAACTCCTAACCTCAGGTGATCCACCCACCTCAGCCTCCCAAAATGCTGGGATTACAGGCATGAGCCACTGTACCTGGCCTAGAGTAAATTTATTGATTGCACAGGATGTGTGGTGATATTGGTGGACTTAAGGATACTGAATTGTGTATCAGGAATAAAATATTTATTATGTGGGGTTTTGGGGGCCCTGGGTAACAATGTAGCCTCCAGGGTAGATTGGGTAGAAAAAATTTAGGGTTGGTTTCCTGTTTCTGTGTTTTTGCTTCTAATTTTTATTAATTTGCTGTTTATTCTCCTCTGGGCTTTGCTTGTGTATGCATATATATAAAACCATGATTTTTTTTTTAGTTTCTAGTGGAAAACTTTTATTTGGTTCTGTGAATAGTTATTTCATTTCCTATGCCTTTCTAGCAAGTCATCATTTGTTCCATTAATCTGGAATTCCTAGACTACCTTTGTCAGGCCCACAGGAATTGATGGGGTGCACCAGCTTTTAAAACTTAAACTGACTTTTTGGATATTAGGCTCCCTGATACTTTGAATGTATTGAGTATACTTTCATAAATAGAATTTGAGTCATTTTTCTCTCTGTCTGCCTAATTTCTCCAAAATTTGTAAACTATTTGTGAATGTTCTTAACTCATGGCAATTTATTTATTTATTTATTTTTTTGCCTACAGTTGAGTAGGGTTGCTAGGGCTGCCTAGGGAAGGAGAACCCAGAAATCTGACATGCCAGCAAAAGGGTAAGAATTTCTTACCAGTTGGACTTCTGACCTCTCTCTGTGCAAACCAATCGAATGAATGGTAAAAATCACTGTTTATCTCCTTTGTAAAGTTTTGGTTAATGTGAAAAGAAATTCTGAGGCTACTCATAAGCTGTAGCAAATCTGGGTTATTTTGTGCTATGAATTTTTCTTTCTCTGTTGTACTGTCATGAAGAGGTGTACCTTAGGATAGAACATGGGCTTAGGACCCCATAAGCTCACTGCTCGTGACAACCCAGTAGCCTGGTCAGTAACAAACTTTGCTGCAGGTCCCTGAAACAAACAAAACAACTGGATGAGGTCTCCATCTTGTTTTATGTCCCTAGGAGGTCATAGTTAGCTCTAAAAGTTGTCTTAAGTAGTTGGAAGCCTTTGCAAGCTCAAAATGAGCTACTCTAGACTCCTTCTGAAAGGAACAGTGTAGACTGTCCAATGCTGTGGCTCAGCAGCTGGGGTTTTGCCATTTTACAGTGGTGGCCTGTGTTGAGTCCTGGCTTGGGAAATGATTCCTTTCTGGTTTGATATCTGTGTGACCTTTACCATTTGTTGGTTCTTTTCCCCTCTGTGAACCATCTTGAATTTTTCTTCTCTGAGCATCTGGGAGGTTACCTTTGGTAACGTTCAAAAGCCAGAAATATTGGCCACTTCATGTGGCTAAAATTGGGTAATATGAGATTTTAAAGGATTTTTTTTTTTAAAGAATGCTGTGGTTAAGTCAGTTTAATTAAAAGTGGATTCTAACTATAGGTACATTTAAAAGGCCTTTATGTTGTGTTTTTTTTCTCTTCTTGGATCTTGTTTTTCTGGAAGAAGGTTTTTTTCTTCTCAGTCGACTGAATGATTTTTGTGGGAGTCCTAAAATTCTAGTATATTCTGAGTATATTCTATCAATCTTAATTATTACGTTAAGTTACTGTAGACCACAGAAATAACCAAATTTCCTTGTCAATAGTGTTTTTAACTACCATTATTTAAAGTCATTTGAACTCCATGGTCTTAAGTCAAATTACCTATTATAACCCATTAGTTATCAGTACTATGCCCGTAAGTTGGAGAAACAACTGGTATTCAAGAGGTCATAAGTCCAGTGTTAAGCATAGGCTCATGGAGAACTAGGATAGCCACCTTGTCCTTCCTGAGTCCTTAAAGCTTTTGTTATTAAAGGTTATGCATTCTATGACTCATCATGGAAGAGATAAAATGATCCAAATTAAATTTATACTGGAGTGCTGACTTATAAATTGCTAAAGTATTTTATAACCAATATTTGGTTTCTCAAATCCATATTCCTGGGAAGACAATCAAAGCTTCAGGTACGTTTGGCTACCTGATGGGTCACTTAAACATTTCAATTGTCATTTTCAATGCACGTTTTCTGGCTGTATAAAAGCGTTCCCATGCAAGAGGGTTGATGTTGTAACCGTAGATTATTATGCTACAGTGTATTTTCACCAGGTAAAGAAAGCTTTTTATGGTTCACTGAGTGAGGAAAATCAACCCCTTCACAGTCTAGAACCGGAAGATTGGATCTTCTGAGAACATCAGAGAAAGACTGTCCTTGCCATCCACGCTACAGCAAAACTTCGGGACCTTGAACTTGGAGTTCGTAATCTCACAGATGAAAAGGGTCCCTCCACACTCTTGGAACTGTACACCCATTGGAACCCTTAAGGTAAAGCTAACCAGGGAAGTTTCTCCCCAGAAAAAGATGGCATCCTTGATGTGAACAACTTGTCCCAACATCATGGATCAAAACTTCTCCACTATCATGAGACTCTTTGAATATTTTTTCCTTGTTTATGCCTCTATGAACAGTAGAAATGGAAAAGAGGTTTGTTGTGTGTACTTATGCGGCATACTTTTATTTGTGAAGGATTTTGCAGCCAGCCTTACACACGGATAACCTTATACTTTGGTAGATAAAAGATGAAAGCCCGATGTAGGTGAGAAAGTTTTTTGTTTTTTTTTTTTTTTTTGAGATGGAGTCTCGCTTTGTTGCCCAGGCTGGAGTGCAGTGGCACAATCTCGGCTCACTGCAAGCTCCACCTCCCACCTCAGCCTCCCAAGTTGCTGGGACTACAGGCACCGGCCATAACACCCGGCTAATTTTTGTATTTTTAGTAGAGATGGGGTTTCACTGTGTTAGCCAGGATGGTCTCGATCTCCTGACCTTGTGATCCACCCGCCTCGGCCTCCCAAAATGCTGGGATTCCAGGCATGAGCCACCACACCTGGCCTGTAGGTGAGAAACTTCAATGGTACATGTCACCTCATAATCAGTCAGAAATGGAACATTGGTTCATTCCTCTTAATCCACATCATGGGTTAAAGAGAACATTGCCAGGAGGCCTTCACTCTTCTAGAAGGGCATCATTTGTTAGGTCCTTTTTCCATGGTTTGGAGTAAAAACAATGATTAGAAATTTATCCCTCGTGATAGGCTGTACAGCAGATTCTACTGTAAAGGCTATAGTTACACAACAGACTTCAAAGACTTTAAATTCTCTTGTAAAGGTTATGATAGAATTGGCTGAATGGAAGTATCTGTGCAGCTGCTGGCACTGTGACCTATGGAGAAATGCATCAAATGAAGATTATAGAGATTCAGTGGTAGGGGATTAATGAAGGGATTGCTTATTTAGGTGAGTAGACTGTTTAGCTCATTCTTTGATCTATTTGATTTTATGTGGTTTGGTTTATGGGAACCCTGGGTAAGGAGTACACTCCAAGGTCTTGGTATTATCCTCCCGATAGTCATGATAATAGTCTCCCTGGTGAGCTGCATTATCTCAAAGGTTTTAAGTGTTGGCGTGCAGCCATCTCTAGAATGTCAAATGGTTTCTCTTTAAACTGAATGACAAGAGCTGAAAGAAATATGCCACCATGAGGACACTGTAACCTATCAATGATGTGCTGAGACCGGAAACCCAACATGGTGGTAACTGAGAGTGGCGGTAACGCCTTAAGTATTGGTCACACTCTCACCTAAGTGAGAACCTGACCAAAAAGGGGGAATTTTTTAAAACAAAATTATGGGAGGTCATTGTTTTGGACTGAGCTCATGTGCTAGGCCCCAACAGACCAAACCAAACCAAAATGGAGTCATTCATGCTAAGACTTTAAGGAAACATACAGATCTTAGAACAGATCAGGTTTTGTTTTTCTCCCGCAAATCTGTATAACAAACATTCCTGACAGCACAGGTATCCACCTCCTGAAGTTCCCATTAAATCTTTTAAACAAATGCATTTCCTGTCCCCTAGAGACTGTCAAGCTTCAGATGATCATGCAAGAAGGGTTCCAGTTAGTTCCAGATGAAGACACCCCCCACCTCCCTGGCCATCAAGAAGCTACCCTGCCTCCATTAGACAGCACAGGGTGAGAGTTCCATGATCCCCAGTAGGTAGAGACTACACCCCAAGCCAGCATGAAGGAGTTGCAGAAGAAAGACCATCAGTCCCTCTGACTCCCAGAAAGATTTATGAGGCTCATGTCTCTCATGGGGGAGATGAGGCAGGAGAATAGGGTCAGGGGGCAGGGAACCTAAGGACTTCCTAGAACTAAATCAAACAGAAAAAACCCAACTTTCTAAGACCAAGTAAATAACTTTGTAACTCTACTTCAGCTATGACAGGAAACATTCTCTTCATTTGCACAAGGTATACACCAAATAAATAACTTTGTAGCTTCACTTCATCCCCTTCATCTGCACAGGGTGTACCCCAAGTAAATAACTTTGTAACTTCACTTCAGCCTCTCCATTTAAATAGAGTGTACACCAAGTAACCAATAGAAACCTCTAGAGGGTATTTAAACCCCAGAGAATTCTGTAACTGGGCCCTTGAGCCACTTGCTCAAGCCACTCCCACCCTGGGGAGTGTGCTTTCATTTCAATAAATCTGTTTTTGTCGCTTCATTCTTTCTTTTCTTTGTGCGTTTTGTCCAATTCTTTGTTCAAAATGCCAAGAACCTGGGCACCCTCAACTGGTAACAGTTTCAATGCCTGCTTACTCATGTCTTATTTTCTAAAGGAAAACAAAGTTTTTCTTATGCCATCATATACCTTTAATAAACCTTAGTTTGGTGAAGCTATGAAATTTTCCATTGGCAGTTACTGCCACAAAGTTAACTTTATGCTTAGAGCTACCAAAGTTATAGGGCATGTGAACAGCAAATTATTGGGGCAAATATATTACAATACCTCATCTAGAGAAATGGAAGTGTTGATTTTAGAAATCAACTAAAAGTTTTAGTTTCGTATACATTGAAGTCTTGTCAGTGTCATTTTTCTTACTATGTTCACCAGTCAATTTCAATAGTTAGTGCTTACATAGTTGTAGTAGTTTATATTTCTTAGAATTCTTTAAATTACATTTGTCATCTAGAACACAGAAAGACCATGATTTTCTTTCAGTATTTTAAAACTTTCCTTTAAAGATGATATTGTTGTATCTAGCATAGAAGAAAATTGAATTTGAAATTTAGTTTTGGGTCATAGATTGGATTTTCAGTTGAATTGAAATGTCTTGGTCCTTTTTCAGGCTTGCCTATATCAGTGAGTTTGTCAATGCCAAGAGACTTTGCAAGTTTTTTAGTATCAATATATTTTTCCTAAGCATTATTGCTGTGTCTTCAAAAAAGTTATTAATTCCTTTAATGCTTTTAAGTGCATTATGTACATTGAATTTTTGCTCCTGCATCATTTTGCGTATAACATCAATTTTACTGAAGCTATTATACCAAATTGGTGCTGAGCAAATATATTTAAAATTGGTTATTTTCAAAATTATCACTTTGGCTTGTGTTACAGAAAAATTCAACAATTAAACTCACAATAATGTCTGAGTATTGCATTCTTACTTTGAGTTTCTAGGGTCATGATAGCTTTGACTGGATTTTTATCTTTTTTTTTTTCAAAAATGGCTTCAAAGTTTTCTCTTCTAAAATTATTTTCAAGTATCTCCAACTCTGATGCCAGAGACATTGCTGCGTGTTTTCTGTAAAGTTTAAAGAATGTGCAAAACAAGGAACACAGGCTGTGTTATATACATTTTTTCAGGGATTTACTGTTACTGGTCTTTTTTTTTTTTCTTTTTCTCTGAGACCGAGTCTTACTCTGTCATCCAGGCTGGAGTGCAGTGGCACAATCTCAGCTCACTGCAATCTCCACCTCCCAGGTTCAAGTGATTCTCCTGACTCAGCCTCCCTAGTAGCTGGGACTACAGGTGCCCGCCACCAAGCCTGGCTAATTTTTGTATTTGTAGTAGATACAGGGTTTCACTATGTCGGCCAGGCTTGTCTCGAACTCCTGGCCTCAAGTGATCCGCCTGCCTCAGCCTCCCAAAGTGTTGGGATTACAGGTGTGAGCCACCGCGCCCAGCCAAGGGATTTGTTGTTCCATCCCTTACATTTTCCATGTGTATTTGTAGGATTGTTATTTTCCTGGCCATCTAAATTATTTCATCTAGATTCAGTTTTTATAAGCATTCTACTGAGAATTGATATTATCTCTGTCATATAGCTCAACCATTTTTTCCCCCAGTAAATTATAGCCCCAGAAAATAAGACTGCAGACTAATAAGTAAGTAACTTTATCATTTGCTTTAGGAAATTCCTGCAAACTAATTTATTAAGGCAAACAGTTGCCTGGTTGTGGCAACAACTAGTCTTATCAAGAGTACTGTGTGCTCACCTGGACAAACAGCTGGTCTTATCAAGACAATAGTTTCGTTTCTCCAGACTTGTTTAAAGACTTGCTGTGACCACCAATCCTAAACTATTATGTCACGAACTTTCTTTCCAAATCCCCACCAGTCCCTGCCTTGAAGGACCTGCCCTGCATCACCAGACCCCAAAACTTTCCCCTGCCAAGACACTGCAGAGACTTTGCTAAGATGCTGCTCTCCCTTGCTGCCATAAGTCAAATACACTTGTCTTTGCTTGACTAACAGGTTATTCTGGCAGTTTCTGCAGAGGAATCAACAATCAACATTATTAAAAACACATATAGTCATTTTCTAGTCATGTCATTTATGGAACAAACTGCCACAAAATTTTCACCCACAGACATATTTGCCTTTTCAACATCCAGAAATCTGGTAATAATTACTATCCAGTCTATATAGCTCGTATCAGGGGCTATATCTAAAATGGCTCAGTAATATTTAGAACTTCCTGCCTTATCCAAGTTATATGTGATTTGATGTTAGTGTTTGTAGTCTAAAAAAAGGTTCTGTATTTAACATTAAAATTTGCTGTGGTTTCTGCCAAATGAGGAAAATTTTTCATTATTATGTTTATAAAGTTCTTAGATGGTCTTCTGAATGCTGACATTGTCCACCAAAAATGAATCATCTACATTCTGTCCTTCACAAGAGTGCACTCATATTTTATCTTATTTTCATATAGTTAATGTTTTGTAGCATTAATAATTATAGCTATACATATAATTATTTTATTTTTAAAAAATATTTTTCCCTTTTTTCACAGATGAAGTAAATGTAACTATATTTTAAAATCACATTTCAATTTTAAATACTTAACACTGTTGTGGATATCTGTTTAATTTTCTTCACGTTTATTAAGGGCATAGGGTAAATACTGCCAATGTTTGTTTTATTTTCTATTTTTCTTTGATTTTTTTTTTTTCTATTCCCGAAGATTTTCAAATAAAGACAGAAAACACGCTATTTTGAAGTATAAAAGACTAGTAATATTTTTTGTGACCTGGGAGAATTTGTGTGTAATGTTTTTAAAAACTTATTACCTGTAGCTTCGGGTAGATAATTACCAACTAGAGATTCCTTTAAATATGCAAATTATGTGAATGTGTACTAGGATCCACAGAAAGTATATGGGGCTTAATGGAGTCTTGTTTTTTTTCTCTTCTGGTTTTTCTGGAAATGTGTCAGTTATAATGAACATGGAGATGAAAAGTAAATTCATATTCTGTCCAAGTAGTGACACATAAGTGCTATATTGTGCTCATACCAATAACTATTCCTTTTTTCTCCCTGCATTTAATCTATTTCCTCCACAAATGTGTTCAATTATCCAAATGTATTTCTGTCATTTACTGTTTTCTTTTCTGTTGTTGTTGCTTTTACTTTTTTGTGGTTGTTTTTTCTTTACATACATATATAAAAATTATATATACTTTATATATTATATATGATAAAATATATATACTTTATATATTATATATGATAAAATATTATATTTTTGTTATTTAATAGAAACAGGATCTTATTATATTGCCCAGGCTGGTCTCCAATTCCTGGGCTCCAGCAATCCTCCCACCTAAGTCTCCCCAAATGCTGGCATTACAGGTGTGGCCCACCACATCCAGCCCATTTTCTGTTTTCTTTCTTTTTTTTTTTTTTTTTTGAGACGAAGTCTTGCTCTGTCGCCTAGGCTGGAGTGCAGTGGCATGATCTCAGCTCACTGCAACCTCTGCCTTCCAGGTTCAAGTGATTCTCCTGCCTCAGCCTCCCTAGTAGCTGGGACTACAAGCATGCACCACCATCCCTGGCTAATTTTTGTATCTTTAGTAGAGATGGGGTTTCACCATGTTGGCCAGGCTGGTCTCGAAATCCTGACCTCATGATCTACCTGCCTCGGCCTCCCAAAGTGCTGGGATTACAGGCATGAGTGACTGCGACTGGCCCATTTTCTGTTTTCTTATACTGGTAATTAGAAAAAAATTCTTTTTGACATCAGGAAAAAGTTATGTAATAGCTTCGTATTTTAACTTAGAATCTGAAACATTACAAAAATAATAGGTTTGGGGAAGACAGGTTTACAGTGGAGATACCTGGCCAACATCACCTTAGCCAAATGACCAAAGTTACCATACCAGTAATATAACCTATCAACATCATGTGCCTCCTGATGTGATGCACTAAGAAGGACTCAAAATCACTTCCGTGGTATTTTTACCAAAAATATATAATCTGAATTTGTCATAAGGAGGCCTCAGTTAACCCTGTCTGTCATTTTCCAACACTAATTCAATAACATCAGCTGGGTGTCCTACAATTTAATTTGACCTTGATGGTAACTACCTGGAGTTAGCACAGACCCTACATGTTAAGAGGCTCAAACTGCCTCATATCAGACACCAGCTGCAATTTTCAGGTGTCCTCAAGGCACCCACATTTCTCCCTACCAACCACATTGATATGGTTTAACTCTGTGTCCCCACCCAAATCTCATCTCAAACTGTAATCCCCATGTGTCGAGGGAGGGAACTTGATTGGATGATGAGGGTGGTTTCCTCCATGCTGTTCTTGTGGTAGTGAGTGAGTTCTCATGAGATCTGATGGTTTTATAAGTGTTTGGATGTTACTCCTTTTTTCTTCTCTCTCCTGACACCTTGTGAAGAAGTTTCTTGCTTCCCCTTTGCCTTCCATCATAATTGTGATAGGGACAGGAGGCAGGGAAATTCTGGGCAGAAGAGGGCCTGTCCCCAGTAAGGGTCCCACCCTCAAGCTTGGAACTGCAACCCAAAGTGAGAGCATACATTCCTGTTGTCCTGTTTGAATGTAGCCTTTTCCAAAACCACCCATGGCCCTCCCTGTCCTCCATCCTGTGCCCATAAAAACCCCAAACTCAACCAGAGAGGAGAAGCAGCTGGACGTCAGAGGCTATGCTTGGACGTTGGAGAGAAGCAGCTTAACTTCAGAGGGATGGCTTGATGGTGTAACTTTGGAGAGGAGTCTGGTTGGGGATGGCTAGACTCTGGGGGAAGATCACCTTCCTCTTCCATCCCCTTTCCACTAAGAGCCACTTTCATTGGCAATACAATCCTCTGGATTCACTGCCCTTCAATTTGTTCTTGCGACTTGATTTTTCCTGGACACTGAACAAGGGCTTCAGTACCACAGGTGAGGATACAAAAGGCTGTCACCCTGAATTTCTGCCCTTGCTGGCAGAAAGCAGCCACCTCACTCAAAAGGGCAGAGGGCTCACTGACCTGTTTAAAACTTAAGTTGTCCATGGACAACAGAGCTAAGAGAGCACTGTAACACACTCCCTCTGGGCTTCAGGGGTTGTAGGCACCCCCTAGACACTGCCATGGGGTTTGCTCTGGCCGGGACCCAAAAGCACTTGCCCCAGCTCCTGCACCTGCTCACCTGCATGCTCCCTCCCATGAAGGGTGAAGCACAGCAGGGTCAAGTGAGTGGAGTTTGCCCCTGCTGGCACTGAAGCAGTCAGCTACATCCAGTGCCCATGTGCTCCAGTTCCTGCCCACAAAGGGGTCAGGGAAATTTCCTGCTTCAATTGTAAGTTTCCCGAGGCCTCCCCAGCCATGTGGAACTGTGAGTCAATTAAACCCATTCTCTTATTAATTACCCAGTCTTGGGTATTTTTTTTTTATCACAGTGTGAAAATGGACTGATACACACATATTTGGGGGTTCTCCTGACCTGCCTCCTCTGAGGTTTGACAATTCTCTAAAATGAGTCACAGAACTCAGTAAAGTGCTATACTTACAATTAAAGTCTTATAAAGGATACAATGCAGGAATGGCCAGATGCAAGAGATGCCTAGGACAAGGTATTGGTGCAGCATGAGTTCAGAGTTCCCATGCCCTCTCCAGGTATACCACCCTCTCAGCACAGCAATGTGTTCAACTTGGAAGCTCCCAGGGCCTTGTTGTTTAAGGGCTTTTATCAAAGGGCTTTATTATGTAAGCATGGTTGTTTAAATCACTGGTCATTGGTGGTTGGACTAAATCTCCAGCTCTCTGCTTCCCTGGAGGTTAGGGAATAGGGCTGAAACTTCTAACATTCTTCTCGCAAGATTGGTTTTTCTGG
Organism: Homo sapiens; assembly: GCF_000001405.40. NCBI lineage: Eukaryota > Metazoa > Chordata > Mammalia > Primates > Hominidae > Homo > Homo sapiens. Next base: position 138,208,418 of record NC_000007.14, on the reverse strand, counting down.
CAGCTGGCCCCTATTCTGAAGCTACCTAGGGTTAGGATTAACCTCATTAGTATAACAAAGACACTCTCCTAACTCTGGAAATTCCAAGAGTTTTAGGAACTCTGTGCTAGGAACTGTGGACAAAGACCAAAAATAGTTTATATTATGCCACAAGCCCAAATTGTGGAACTGAAACTGCCACTGCAAAATTATAGCTGAGACATAGCTGACCTAGCCGACTCCATCTTGTTTCTAACCTCCAAGCTGTCCTCGTTCATTTCTGGATGTAGGCTGAACTAACTTTGGGAGGAACCTAGTTTATAGTTTATAGTTCAGAACAAAGATGAAGACGGCTCTCTCCCAAGGTGGTCCCCTTCTTGCTTGGGGACTAGACTGCCTTTGTAGGACTAACAAATTAGCCAAAAGATGAGAAATTATGGTTTAAGAGTCATGCAGCTGGAGGCTACAAGATTCTAACCCTCCCCAGATTGTTCCTGGGGATAACATCATTATTGTAAAGCCTAAGATCTGTGCTGGAGATATTTTGCAGACCCTGCACTTAATGGATCAGCTGGCACCACCCAAATTGAGAAACTGGCTCATCTGATCTTGTGGCCCATCTGATCATGTGACTCCCTATGATTTCATCTCCAATCCAAACAATCAGCACTCCCCACTCACTGGCTGCCCCCACCCACCAAATTATCCTTAAAAACTCTGATCTTCGAATGCCTGGGGAGACTGATTTGAGTAATAATAAAACTCCAGTCTCCCGCAGAGCCAGCTCTGCATGTATTACTCTTTCACTATTGTGATTCCTCTGTCTTGATAAGTCGGCTCTGTCTAAGCAGCAGGCAAGGTGAACCTGTTGGGCAGTTAAAGAACATTCCACAAAATAACCAGCTAATGGTCTTCAAAATTGTCAAAGTCAGATAATGCAAAAAAACAAACAACAACAACAAAAAACACCCCAAAACCCAAGCTGTCCTAGATTGGAAGAGACTAAGGATACATGAAAATTAACTGCAACACAGAACCCTGGACTGGATTCTGGGTCAGAAAAAGAACATCAGTGGGACAACTGGTAACATTTGAGTAAGGCTTTGAGATTAGTTAATAATATTGTATCAATATTAGTTTGCTGTTTTTGATCATTGTATGATGGTTATATAAGATGTTAAGGCTGGGCATGGTGGCTCACACCTGTAATCCTAGAAGTTTGGGAGGCTGAGGTGGGAGGATCGCTTGAGCCCAGGAGTTTGAGACCAGCCTGGGCAATATAGTGAGACCCTGCCTCTACCAAAACAACAACAAAAAAGTTAACATTAAGGAAAACTGAGTGAAGTGTATAGTCTACAGAAAATTTTTATGCCATTTTTGCAACTTTGTAATAAGTCTGATATCATTTAAAAATAAAAAATTGAAAGCTAAAAATAAATGAAAAATAGTATGCATGTTACTCTAAATATTTATATTTATTTTTCTTTTTATTTTTGAGAGAAGTCTCGCTCTCGTCCCCCAGGCTTGAGTGCAATGGCTCGATCTCGGCTCACTGCAACCTTCGCCTCCTGGGTTCAAACGATTCTTCTGCCTCTGCCTCCCAAGTAGCTGGGATTAAGGTGCCCGCCACCACACCCGGCTAATTTTATTATATTTTAGTAGAGACAGGGTTTCACCACGTTGGCCAGGCTGGTCTCGAATTCCTGACCTCAGGTGACCCACCCACTTAGGCCTCCCAAAGTGTTGGGATAACAAGTGTGAGCCACCATGCCTGGCCTCTACATCTCAATAGTAGTTATTTTTATATTGATGAAATCGCCATAATTAAAAAATTGCTGTTTTTAAAAGTGGATTAATATTTAGCAATCTCAACTATCGCAGGGACAAAAAACCAAACACCGCATGTTCTCACTTATAGGTGGGAATTGAACAATGAGAGCACTTGGACACAGGAAGGGGAACATCACACACCGGGGCCTGTTGTGGGGTGGGGGAGGGGGGAGGGAGAGCATTAGGAGATATACCTAATGTAAATGACGAGTTAATGGGTGCGGCACACCAACATGGCACATGTCTACATATGTAACAAACCTGCATGTTGTGCACATGTACCCTAAAACTTAAAGTATAATAATAAAAAAAATTGTTAAAAAATCAAAGACAATAAAACTACCAAATTTGTAATAAAAAAAAATTAGCAATCTCTATGCAGTATTTCTTTGTAAATTTTTAGTGGTAAATAAAGGTTAGTTATTATGTAGTGAATCATATGTGGAGCCAAGGGGCTTGTCCTCCTAAAGGTTTGCTGAAAAATCACTGAAATGAGGCAGATTGATTAATAGGAGAAAAGACATACAAATGTATTTAATGTATATACATGTGAGCCTTCAGAATGAAGACCCAACCCCTCAGTGAGGTACAAAAACTTGTGTAACATCTTGAGGTTACAAAAAGAATGTGGGCTCAGAGTATGGCCAAAAAAAATAATAATCATCAGTTATAGCGGTAAGTCAGGTTTTAGTGGCAAAGCAGATCACGGGAGGGAGAAAGGAAGAGGCTTGCCTAACAAATGTGGTCTTGTTATGTAGATGAAACCTCACAGGTAGGAGCCCTTAGAGAGAATAGATGGTAAATGTTCCTTTTCAGACCTTTAACTCTGTTAATCTTTCCTGGATCCAGAGAAGTGCTGGCTGTATTAATGCAGATTCTCTACAGATGGACATATGCAAATTTCTCCCACAAAAGACATCCTTGCAGGTCACTTCAAAGTATGGCAAAGAAATATATTTTGGGGTAAAATATTTTTATTTCCTTCACATGTTATAATCAAAAGACTCAGAGATACTCGACAATATCTTTCCAATATAATAAATAAGTAGGTGATCATATGAACTATTATATGAAATACTAAGTGCCCTAAGACCAACAAAGAATTTTGCTTCACATGTTACGATGCTCCCTAAACAGTATTTTGGTTGAAAAGCATCTCCTTGTGTAGAAGGACAGATTTGTTTCACTTGCTTTTGGATCTTCAAGATCTTTATATTATTGTACTTATTCCTCCTGTTTAAATTGAAACCGAATTATACATATTGAAACAGTTAGATAAACCATTTACTTTCATTTTTCAGAAAATGGTAATATGCAGATTTTATTAGCAAGAGACATTTTACTGCCATCTGCCAAAAACTCTCATAGCATCAATTTTTAGAGCCAATAACATTATAAATACAAATATTCACAAGAATGGAAAATTATAAAGATGTCTATGAGTTGGGCACAGTGACTCATGCCTGTAATCCTAACACTTTGGGGTGCCAAGGCAGCAGGATCACTTGAGCCTAGGAGCTTGATGCTGCTTGAGTGATCTATGATTGGGCAGAGGGAGATGCGCTCTCTCAAAAAAAAAAAAAAAAAAAAAAAGATAAGAATGACATCCTTTACGCCCTTGTGGTTCACAGTCTGAACAGCTGGTCTTGGAGTTACTGAAAATGGAAAAGGTCAGTTTTCCATGGGAGACCAGCCATATAAAATCTCTCGTCTAGTTGTTCTTGGATTCCTTCCAGAAAGAATAATTGAGATGTGCTTCTTTTTCATATTTTCTTTGCTCTGCAAGCCAAGTCATCATAACGTAATAATCTGCTTAAAGCAAGTGGACATTCAAGCACATATACTTTTTCTTACTTGTTTCTGTCAACCTGAAATAATCAAAAGGACCAGAATCCAGTTTAAAGAGTTTATTCAAGCAAAAAGCTGGGAATAGCCATCTGAGACACAAAGACTCTAGAGAAATGGGGTCAGTGTTCCTAAACGAAAAGCTAAGTTCTTACTTATATAGAAAGATAACAAAGACATTTAGTAGGATTATAACATTTTCTATAAAAGACTGGTTTATGAGTTACAACAATGTAATTTGTTGCAGTTTTGTTTTCTTTTCCATAATGCTTGTTTTCTTTTCTTTATAGCTGGTTTTTATTTCCTTTCCAATTAAAAAGAATGTATTTAACATCCCATCTTAAGACAATGTGATAGCCATGAAGTTTTTGTGTGAGAAAGGTAAGAGGAATGTTAATCTATAAGTGAAGAGGGAAGCGGTCTTCCTCGGGGCTCTTTAATAATTTGCAACATTTTACAAAACAATATAGGCAAGGTAAAAGGCTAATCTATAAACAGAGAAACAAAGTTTACGGCTGCCTAGGTTACAGCTGTCTTTCACGTGACTCAGGTGCCATCATCACATTCATTTATTTTGTTTTATTTTATATTTTATTTTATTTTATTTTTTGCTTGTAAAAATTTATAAGGTACAAGTGCAATTTTGTTACATGCATAGATTGCATAGTGCTCAAGTCAGGGCTTTTAGGGTACCTATCACCTGGATAACATACATTTTGCCCTTCAAAAGTAATTTCTCTTCATGTACCCTTGCAATCTCCTTACCCTTCTGAGTCTGCATGTTCTGTCATTCCACTCTCTACATTCATATGTATACATTTTTTTAAGTTCCAACTTATGAAAACATGAGATATTTGTTTTGTGTGTCTAGCTTGCTTTACCTAAGTTTTTTGTTTGTTTGTTTTTAAACAATATAGCTCTGTCACCCAGGCTGGAGTGCAATGGCATGATCTCCGCTCACTGCAACCTCCACCTCCTGGGTTCAAGCAATTCTCCTGCCTCAGCCCCCTGAGTAGCTGGGATTACAGGTGCACAGCACTCTACCTGGCTAAGTTTTGTAGGTTTAGTAGAGATGGGGTTTCACCATGTTGGCCAGGCTGGTCTTGAACTGCTGACCTCAGGTAATTCAGCCACGTTGGCCTTCCAAAGAGCTGGGATTACAGGTGTGAGTCACCGCGCCTGGCCTTTACCTAACATATTGACCTCTAGTTCCATCCATGTTGCTGCAAAAGACATGATTTCATTCTTGTTTATAGCTGAATACGTGTATATATGCCACATTTTCTTTATCGAATCATCCATGGATGAACACTTAGGTTGAGTCCACATCTTTGCTATTGTAAATAGTGCTTTAATAAATGTACAGGTGCAGGTGTCTTTTTGATATATTGATTTCCTTTGGGTAGATATTCAGTAGTGAGATTGCTGGATTGAATTGTCGTTCTATTTTTACTTCTTTGAGAAATCTCCAAACTGTTTTCCGTAGACGGTTACTAATTTACATTCCCACCAACATTGTGTAAGAGTTCCCTTTTCTCCACATCCTCGCCAATAGTTGTTTTTTTTTTTTTTGACTTTTAAATAATAGCTGTTCTGACTGGGATAAAATAATATTTAATTTTGTTTGTTTGTTTGGTTTTGAGACAGGGTCTTACCCTGTTGCCCAGGCTGGAGTGCAGTGGTGTAGTCACAGCTCACTGCAGCCTCGGACTGTTAGGCTCAGGTGACCCTCTCACCTCAGCCTGTCGAGTAGCTGAGACTATGGGTGGGCACCACCATGCCTGGCTAATGTTTGTATTTTTTGACAGGTGGTTTCTCTCTATGTTGTCCAGGCTGGTGTCAAACTCCTGGGCTCAGGTGATCCTGCTGTCTTGGCCTCCCAAAGTGCTGGGATTACAGGCATGGGTCACCATGCCTGGCTTAGATGATATTTCATTGTGGTTTTAACTTACGTTTCACTGATAATTAGTGATGTTGAGCATTTTTTCACATAACCGTTGGCCATTTTTATGTCTTCTTTTGAAAAATGTTGGGCCAGGCATGGTGGCTCATGCCTGTAATCCCAGCACTTTGGGAGGCTGAGGCAGGCAGATCACCCGAGGTCAGGAGTTCGAGACCAGCCTGGCCAACATGGTGAAACCCCATCTCTATTAAAAATACAAAAAATTAGCAGGGTGTGGTGGTGGGTGCCTGTAATCCCAGCTACTCAGGAGGCTGAGTCTGGAGAATCGCTTGAACCAGGGAGGTGGAGGTTGCAGTGAGCCAAGATCGCGGCATTACACTCCAGCCTAGGTGACAAGAGCAAAAACTCCGTCAAAAAAAAAAAAAAAAAGGAAAAAGAAAAATGTCTACTCATGTCCTTTGCCCACCTTTTTTTTTTTTAACAGACAGATATGACTGTTTCTCATTAAAGGTTTATTCACTAAAATGAAATTTGAATTTCATGATTTTCATATAATGAAATATTGTATTTTTTATTTATTTTTTTTTTGAGACAGAGTCTTGCTCTGTCGCCCAGGCTGGAATACAATGGCATGATCTTGGCTCACTGCAACCTCGGTCTCCCAGGTTCAGGTGATTCTCCTGCCTCAGCCTCCTGAGTAGCTGGGGCTACAGGCATGCACCACTATACCTGGCTAATTTTTCTGTATTTTTAGTAGAGACGGGGTTTCACCTTGTTGGCCAGGCTGGTCTCGAACTCCTGACCTCATGTGATCTGCCTGCTTCTGCCTTCCAAAGTGCTGGGATTACAGGCGTGAGCCACTGTGCCTGGCCTGATTTTCACATAATAAAATATTTTAAAAATTTGTCTTCAACCATTAAAAAATGTGAAAATCAGGACGGGTGTGGTGGCTCATGCTTACAATCCCAACTCTTTGGGAGGCTGAGTGAGCCAGGAGTATTGCTTGAACTCAGGAGTTTCAGACCAGCCTGGGCAACACAGTGAGACCTCTCCTCTGCTAAAAATAAAAAAAAAAATTACCCAGATGTGGTGGCACATATCTGCAGTCCCAGCTACTCAGGAGGCTGAGGCGGGAAGTTTGCTTGAGCCCAGGAGTTTGAGACTGCAGTGAGCTGTGATCATGTCACTTCACTCCAGCCTGGGTGACAGAGCAAGACTGTCTATTTATTTTAAAAATAAAATAATAAAATATAAAATAAAATAAAATAAAAATGTAAAAACCAGATTCAGACCATATGTTATTAGGCAGTGGGCAGGATTCAGTCCAGTGGCCATAGTTTGCTGACCCCTGTCTTAAGTGAAGATATTGATAAGCCCCAAACCTGAATCTCTCCTAAAGTCAAGACTTTCAAAGCAGATTATTAATGAGAAATGCCCTGTGCCAGATGCCCCTGTGGTATGAACAAGGTCAGGTTCCTCATACAGGACAATGGACTGGCACTTGCCCACTTTTTAATGGTATTTTTTTTGTTGTTGTTGAGTTGTTTGAGTTCCTTGTATGTATATTCTGGATATCAGTCCCCTGTCAGATGCATAGTTTGCAAATATTTTCTCCCATTCTGCAGGTTGTCTGTTCACTCTGTTGATTATTTCTTTTGCTGTGCAGAAGCTTTTAGTTTAATTAAGTCTAACTGGTCTATTTTTGTTTTTGTTGCCTGTGCTTTTGAGGTCTTAGTCATAAATTCTTTGCCTAGACCAATGTCCAGAAGAGTTTTTTCCATATTTTCTTCCAGTATTTTTTTTTTTTTTTTTTTTTGAGACGGAGTTTCACTCTTTTTGCCCGGTCTGGAGCATAGTGGTGTGATCTCAGTGCCCTTGGCTCACTGCATCCTCCTCCTCCTGAGTTCAAGTGGTTCTCCTGCCTCAGCCTCCCTAGTAGCTGGGATTACAGCCTTGCACCACCATGCCCTGCTAATTTTTGTATTTTTAGTAGAGACAGGGTTTCACCATGTTGGTCAGGCTGTTTTCAAACTCCTGACCTCAGGTGATCCACCCACCTCGGCCTCCCAAAGTGCTGGGATTACAGGTGTGAACCACCATGTCTGACCTTCTCCTAGTATTTTTACAGCCACAGGTCTTACATGCAAGTCTTTAATGTATCTTGAGTTGATATTCATATGTGATGAGAGACAGGGGTCCAGATTCATTCTTATGCATATGGCATTCTAATTTTCCCAGCAGCATTTATTGAAAAGGGTGTCCCTTTCCTAATGTATGTTCTTCTTGACTTCAACAAAGATCTGTTGGCTATACATATGTGGCTTCATTTCTGGGTTCTCTATTCTGTTTCATTGATCTTTTTGTCTAATTTTATACCAGTATCATGCTGTTTTTGGTTACTATAGATTCAGAGTCTAATTTGAAGTCAGGTAATGCAACGTCTCCAGCTTCAATCCTTTTGCTTAGAATTGCTTTGGTTATTTGGACTCTTTTTTTGGTTCTGCATGAATTTTAGAATCTTTTTTTATAGTTCTGTGAAAAATAATGTTGGCATTTTCATGGGGATAGCATTGAATCTGTAGATTGCTTTGGGTAGTATGGTCATTTTAGTAATATTAATTATTCCAATCCATGAACTGGGACTTTTTTTTTTCATTTGTTTGTAGCATCCCTAATTTCTTTCATCAGTGTTCTGTAGTTTTCCTTGTAGAGATCTTTTACCTCCTTGGTTAAATATAGTCCAAGGTATTTCATTATTCTTTAATATTATAGCTATTGCAAGTAGGATGTCTTCTTGATTTCACTCTCAGCTATATTGCTAATTGGTGTATAGACACACCCCTGATATTTGTATATTAATTTTGTATCCTGCAACTTTACTAAATTCATTTATCAAATGTAAGAGTTTTTTGGTGGAACCTTTATATTTTTTCAGGTATAAGATCATGTCATCATCAAACAGAGATACTTTGACTTTCTATTTTTCAATTTGTATGCCTTTTTCTTCTTTCTCTTGCTCAATTGCTCTGGCTAGGAGTTCCAGTACTTCATTGAAGAGTGGTGGTGGATTGCTGTTCATAACACAGGCCAGCAGAAAGATGTAAATGCTAATATTATTTGGAATGATTATTACAGAATATATCTTTATATATATATATGTATATATATGTGTGTGTGTGTATATATATATATATATATATATATATATATATATATATATATGTATTGCCCTCTGTAAGTCCCCATTCAGCATCTGGTACAGCATCTGCTACTAATTAGTAAAAGAGACTTAAAGCTTTCAATTCCCATTAAATAGACAGTTCACCCTCATTAATTGGGCAGTCCTTTTGACATAGTTTGGGGTTCTAGGCACACATGGTTTGTTATCTATAGAACTATGACTAGTTTGCCTCTTTTCCCAAAATAGGAAGAGAACCCAGCTTTTGGGAACCTGAGATGACCAAAACTTTTTTTATAACAGCCATGCCAGCATTATGTAGACAAGAGTGTGCTGTATATCTTTCTGAACTAACACTTACCACACAACTGATTAAAGGCCTAGGATTTAGGACTGAAAGATATGTGAAAAAATTCAGAATCTAAGCTGTTGGAGATCTAAATTATTTTGAGCCTTAAAAGAATGTGACCTAAAAAAGAAAACTATAGACCAATATCCCCAATGAACATAGATGCAAAATTCCTCAACAACATACTAGTAAGCCAATTCAAACAGCACATCGAACAGCACACATCATGACCAAGGATGGGATGCAAGCATGGTTCAACATATGCAAATTAATAAATGTAATACATCATATAAACAGAATTATAGATAAAAACCATATAATTATCTTAATAGATGTGAAAAAAGCATTTGATAAAATTCAGCATCCCTTTGTGATAAAAACCCTCAACAAACTAAGCATAAAAGGAATATACATACCTCAAGCTAATAAAAGCCATGTATGACAAACCCACAGCCAACATCATACAGAATGGGGAAAGGTTGAAAGCATTCCCCCAACAAACTGGAATAAGACAAGAATATTCTTTTATGATCAACTATATTCATTATGCCTAATATTTTATTTCCTCCATGGCATAATTTAAATCATCACTTCCAAACTATTAGTTTTCCAATTACCAGGTATAATGCAGTTTTTCTGTTATCAGGTCTATGTAGTTTTCCCCAAGGGCAAACCAACTCTTTAAATAAATTTTCCAGTGGCCCTGGGTCACTAGATTATCCAGAATAGAGCTCTTTGGTAAGGCAAATTAAGCGGTGGCAAACTTGGCTGGGACACTGAAGCACAGTCTCTGAGGATGCAGGGTTGTGACATAACAAACTCCTGGAAAGTGTTGGGGACTGAGGTTAAGGGTTAATGCAACCAGAAAATCTGGAGCCTGTCTTCAGAGCTGCTAGGAGAGGTTTATAGCAGGGATTTCTTCCCTTCCCTTCCCTTCCCTTCCCTCCCCTTCCCTTCCCTTCCCTTCCCTCCCCTCCCCTCCCCTCCCTCCCCTCCCCTCCCCTCCCCTCCCCTCCCTCCCCTCTCCTCCCTCCCCTCCCCTCCCCTCCCCTTTCGTTCCTTCCTTCCTTTCTTTGTTTCTTTCTCTCTTTCTCTTCTCTCTTTTTCTTTCTTTCTTTCTTTTTCTCTCTTCCTCTCTTTCTCTTCTGTCTTCCTCTCTTTCTCTTCTTTCTTTCTTTCTTCTCTCTTTCTCTTCTCTTCTTTCTTTCTTTCTTCTCTCTTTCTTTCTTTCTTTCTCAATCACAAGGTCCCACAATAGGCCATCTTTCTTTCCCTTTCCCGTGGTACCAATATGGCAGGGATTTCCCTGAAAATTGCCAGGTGTCTTCTAGCTCCTGCAAAAGCAGCTAGAATGGGCTTGCTCTTCCTCACATCCTAGCCACACTCTGAATCTAAGGGCCCCTGTGTTCAGGGTCACTCCCCAGTGACAAGCTGCCTTCTAGTGTGGTCAGTAGGTGGATGGGAGAGCTTGGGCTGGGGAACAGGACCATCAAGGGGCTCAGTTTCTTCCTCCTCACTATTTTTGTTGTCCTGGCCTAGTTTGGGTCTTTGGTGCTAGGGATCCTGATAGAGCTCTTTTTAGTTTGTCTGGACAATGTCTGGGGTGAATACCAAGAGCCAGAGTGAGGTAAGACTCCACATGTCTTGAGATGAGCTATTGGCTGAAACCCAGAGAGGGGACTAAGGCTTCTTGGAAGTTCTATGAGATCGAATGCCCTATTTAGTAGAAGGCTCAGTGTTAAAATATGAATGTAATAGTATTGAAATGTAAACTGTGTCCAGCCAAGGAGGAAACGAAACACTGAGGACTGTAAGTCAAAAACTTTGGTTCTGTCTTTCTGTCTTTACTATTCCACATAGTAGACAAGTGGCAACAGGGATAGTAGACAAGTGGCAACAGGCAGATCACTAAATCTCCCTGTGGCTTGGCTTCCTCTCTGTAATACAGTAATGGGGTTATGGTGAGGGTCACTGAGACAGCATATGTGGAAACAAACAGAAATACATGCAAAGTTGTTCACCATTATTAGTATTTTCTGTCTCATAGACACTTTAAAGATTGGAAAAAAGAAAAGAGCTTCTCTGAAGAAATTAGTCCAATACAAACCATTTAAAATCACTGACCAGTAGAGCCTGATTTCCCACATTTTCCAAATTCTAAACTAAGAGGTCAATGTTGGTTTTGGGGGCTGTATTAGTCAGGGTTCTCTGGAGGGACAGAACAAATAGGATAGATGTATATATAAAGGGGAGTTTATTAAGGAGTATTGACTCACACAATCACAAGGTCCCACAATAGGCCATCTACAAGCTGAGGAGCAAGGAAGCCAGTGCAAGTCCTAAAGCTGAAGAACTTGGAGTCTGATGTTTAAGGGCAGGAAGCATCCAGCATGGGAGAAAGATGTAGACTGGGAGGCTAAACCAGTCTAGTCTTTCCACATTCTTCTGCCTGCTTTTATTCTGGCCACACTGGCAGCTGATTAGATTGTGCTCGCCCAGATTGAGGGTGAGTCTGCCTTTCCCAGACAACCGACTCAAATGTTAATCTCCTTTGGCAACACCCTCACAGACACACCCAGGAGCAGTACTTTGCGTCCTTCAATCCAATCAAGTTGACACAATATTAACCATTATGGGGCATTTCAGCAACACCATCAACCCCCATAGATACACCACCAGATTTTTAACTCCCCCTCACTTTTTTGCTATACAGATTGGCATGACTGTTTCTTCTTCTGCTGCTTCTGCTTCTGCTTCTGCTTCTGCTTCTGCTTCTGCTTCTGCTTCTGCTTCTGCTTCTGCTTCTGCTTCTCCTTCTCCTTCTCCTTCTTCTTGACAGAATCTTGCTCTGTCGCCCAGGCTGGAGTGCAGTGGTGCGATCTCACTGCAACCTCCACCTCCTGAATTCAAACAATTCTCCTGCCTCAGCCTCCCAAGTAGCTGGGATTACAGGTGTGCACCACCACGCCCAGCTAATTTTTGTATTTTTAGTAGAGATGGGGTTTCACCATGTTGGCCAGGCTAGTCTCCAACTCCTGACCTGGTCATCCACCCACCTTGGCCTCTCAAAGTGCTGGGATTACAGGTGTTATCCTCCATGCCCAGCCAGCATGACCGTTTTAAACATTTTTAACACTGAGGAATGGAATACATATGTAGAAAAGGGAATAAAACGGCTGAGCGCTGTGGCTCACGCCTGTAATCCCAGCACTCTGGGAGGCCGAGTTGGGTGGATCACCTGAGGTCAGGAGTTCGAGACCAGCCTGATCAACATGGTGAAACCCCGTCTCTACTAAAAACACAAAAAATTAGCCGGGTGTGGTGGTGAACGCCTGTACCAGCTACTTGGGAGGCTGAGGCAGGAGAATCTCTTGAACCCAGGGAGGTGGAGGTTGTAGTGAGCCAAGATCATGCCATTGCACTCCAGCCTAGGCAACAAGAGCAAAATTCCATCTCAAAGAAAAAAAAAAGGGAATAAAACATAATTTTGCTAGCTTGGGGTCCTTCGAGAAGCAGAGGCCAAGAAGGGATTAAATGTGCAATGATTTTATAAAGAGAAATACCTTTGGGAAAGTAAATAGAGAGGGAATCGGAGAGGCTTTGGGGAAAGGCTAGGACAGCAATTGTTCCCCTGCAAGTCTGACCCAGGGTGAAAGAGAGAGAGATAGATTTGTCCTAAATTGACTTGAAGTCTAGGGAAGGTTTGGCAAAGCTATTGGGGAGCCCCTCAGCTGAAGTTTGTGGTTGCAAGCCTCCTGTATCTCCTAGGATCTGTTCTGCCCTGCTCTACCTGTCAATCTCAGCCATGAGTGGAGCAGCCTCAGGGCCAATCCTATTGTTGTGGGTGGGGTTGGCCTTACCACAATGCTGCAGTGGGGTTCTGAATGCATCTACGCCTTCAGTCAAGTAATACTCCTTGTAATAGGAGGGCTGGGTGGTGCATTCTCGTAGGCTCCACAGTAAATGTTCAGTACAGTAAATATTTATAAGGCAAACACTTGTCTGATTATCAGCTAGATTAAGACAGGAAATTTCATAATATCCCTGTGTTTTGAAACAACATCTGGCTCAAACTCCTCCTTTTCCATGGAGGAACCACAATTCTGCTTTTTATGAATGTTGGTCACTTCTTTTGGTCACTTGCCATTCTTTGGTGTTTTGCCAATTATGTATGTATTCCTAAACAATAGTTTAGTTTTGCTTATTTTTGAACTTCATATAAATGGAATTAGCATGTATGCTTTTGTGTCTTGCATTTTTGCATGATATTAACTTTAAGATTCATTTATATTATCGTGCGTATCTCTAGTCTGTTTACTTTTATTGCTGTGTGTATTTCATTGTGTGAACATCTCACAATTTATCCATTCCAATGTTTTTCCTGCACGGGCTATTGCAAACAATGTTGAGTATATAAGACCATCAGGATACATGTACGATGTCAAATGTTTTTGTGAGAGAAAGGTCCAAAGGCAGCCAGTGTTCCCAAGAAGAAGAAGAACGCTGTGCTTGGTACAGGAGGTGCTGACCAGCTCACTAAGCAAATTGCATGCAAGAGCTCAGAGCGCACCGGACTGTACCTGTTCCCTCTTTACTGAGCACAAGTAAACCTTTCTCAAAACTGCTTAACAGGCTGGGCGTGGTGGCTCATCTCTGTAATCCCAGCACTTCCGGAGGCAGAGGAGGGTGGATCACCTGAGATCAGGAGTTGGAGACCAGCCTGGCCGACATGGTGAAACCCTATCTCTACTAAAAATACAAAAATTAGCTGGGCATGGTGGTGGGTGCCTGTAATCCCAGCTACTCAGGAAGCAGAGTCAGGAGAATTGCTCGAACCTGGGAGGCAGAGGTTGCAGTGAGCCAAGATCATGCCATTGCACTCCAGCCTGGGCGACAGGAACAAAACTCCATCTCAAAAACAAACAAACAAACAAAACAAATAAAAAACAGACTACTTAGCCATGCATGTGTCAGGCATGCCTCCAGCTTTTTGTATTTCAGACCTCATGGGGCAAGGGTCTGGGCCCAGCATACTACAGCCCAAAAAGGGCTGTGTGTGGCCATGCTGCCTGGATTGGATATGAAGTGTATCTGCTGGTTGTGGGGACCGATATCTTGCAAGGGACTGGATTTTGTGTTCTCACTCGTCTTGCTGTAAATAGATGCTTGACCCTGGTGTGCATGTTGTCTGTTCTCAGTGACCTTGACTCATGCTCTGGTCTTCTCTTCCCTGGGCAGCACTTACCTGCTTCTTGACCTTGGCCACACTCATGTCATATTTTATCCCGTGGCACCATCTGACCACCTGGTAAAACAGTTCCTGTATAAATATCCTGGTGCAGATGCACATAATTTTCTCAGGGAATATGTCCCTGGGTCACTACATGGATCTCTGCTATTTACATATTTATTTTTCACTCTAGTAGTTAAATATGAAGAGCTTAGCATGATGTTGGTGGGTTTTTGACACAGAATTAAACAAGTAGAAAAAAATTTAATTTTCTTCCTTTAAAACCTCGAACATAAAAGAGAAAAAGGATTAAGATTCATAACAGTCGATGAGAGAAAGAGGGAAGTGTAGTGGAGAGTGGTGAACGAGTAGGTTGGAGACCTGTGTGCTTACTCAGGGTGACCCTGGTGTGTCCCTGGACCTCAGTATCTTCATCTCTTAAGTCCCCTTCCGGTTTAAACATTCTAAGATTGAGATAAGATAACTAGCAGCAATTTCTATCCCTTTCAACCTTATTCTAAAGGTATCCTAATCAGTTCTTTTGAACGTTAATTTTTTTTTTTTTTTAAGGGAGTCTCATTCTGTCACCCAGTCTGGAGTGCAGTGGTGCGATTTTGGCTTACTGCAACCTCCGCCTCCCAGGTTCAAGCAATTCTCCTGCTTCAGCCTCCCAGGTAGCTGTGACTATAGGCGCTCGCCACCATGTCTGGCTAAGTTTTGTATTTTTAGTAGAGATGGGGTTTCACCATGTTGGCCAGGCTGGTCTTGAACTCCTGACCTCAAGTGATCAGCCTGCCTCGGCCTCGCAAAGTACTGGAATTATAGGTGTGAGCTACTGTGCCCGGCCTTGCATATTAGAATTTTTAAATGCTTGTCATTGTGCAGCTCATGTGCTCCTTGGGTGTGGACGTGGTCTCTCCTTTGTGAATTGACAGCTGAGGATACTGGCATTCACGCAGCCCCAGGAAAAGCCCAGGGAAAGAGAATGGTGATCCTATTAGTTTGAAGATGGCAGCACAGAACAATTCTTTGGTGCAGTGGAAGATTAAGAAGCACACAAGGATAGTTTGAGCTTAGGAGTTTGCAGCTGCAGTGTGCCATGATCACGTCTGTGAATAGCCACTGCACTCTAGCCTGGGCAACATAGCCAGGCCCCTCTCTCTAAAAAAAAAAGACATACACCACGAAGTAAATTAGTTAACATGAGCTGGGAATACACAGTTTATGAGGAGGCTTGGTGGGAGCCATCAATGTATAGGACACACCCATACAGATGGGAATGGCAGATGGAGAGAACCTCTGTCATGGCAGCAGGCAGGAGGTGCCTACTACAAAGAGAGCCTCTACTCTACTCCAGAGCTCCTCCCTTAGACTACACATGCTCACTTAGCAAATTCAGCATTTCCTACCTGCCCTTTCCGTTCTTTTTTTTTTTTTTTTTTTGGAGACAGTCTCGCTCTGTAGCCCAGGCTGGAGTGCAATGGCATGATCTCAGCTCACTGCAATCTCCGACTCCCGGGTTCAAGCGATTCTCCTGCCTCAGCCTCCCAAGTAGTTGGGATTACAGGCCCATGCCACCACACGCGACTAATTTTTGTATTTTTAATAGAGACGGGGTTTCACCAGGTTGGCCAGGCTGGTCTTGAACTCCTGACCTTGTGATCTGCTGGCCTTGGCCTCCCAAAGTGCTGGGATTACAGGCATGAGCCACTGTGCCCAGCAATTACATTCCTATTACATTCTGACTCCCCCAGACTAATTCTCTGTAGTCTTTCCTTGTGGCACGCTGCATTCTTTTAATATACCTAAGGAAACTGGTGCTCGCCACCATGCCTGGCTAATTTTTGTATTTTTAGTAGAGACGGTGTTTCACCATGTTGGCCTGGAAACTGGGAAAGTCATGGCACCTCCTACCCACTCCCCCTTTTCTTTTTAGTTAAATCAAGATGTTGAACATGTGTGGGAAAAACACTGACCCTTAATAGAACAATATGCTCAGCATCCCGCGTTTTCCATTTATGGTATCTCACTTCACTTTTAACTTTCTATGATGAGTTATTTTGTAATCACTGTTTAAGAAAACAATGTCAGCCATGTATGGTGGCTCAGGCCTATAATCCCAGCACTTAGGGAGGCACAGATGGGAGGATCACTTGAGCCCAGTAATTCAAGACCAGCCTGGGCAACAAAATGAGAAAAAAAATATTTTTAATTAGCTGAGCATGCTAGAGTGTGCCTACAATCCCAGCTACTTAAGAGGCTGAGTCTGGAGGATCCCTTGAGCCCAGGAGTTCAAGGCTACAGTGAACTAGGATTGTACCACTGCACTCCAGCCTGGGCAACAGAGTAAGACCCTGTCTCTAAAAAAAAAAAAAGAAAACAACAAACAACAAAACAATACCAACAACAATCCTTGTCAACCTTGTTTGATTGGTGAATGTTGTGAAAGGAAATTAAATTTTGAGACCCCCAAACTCATTTAGCCAAAGGGAAAAGTCAAGCTGGGAACTGGGTCACGCAAACCTGCCTGCCCCATTTGGTTCTTAAATAAGATGGCTGCAAGAGGAAAGTCTACATGCCTCCCCCATGATTTGTCCATAAGAAATTCCTAGTGAGCTGTTAAAACTTTACCATGGCAATGCAAATTGATAGCTTATCTTTTTTTTTTTGAGACGGAGTTTCACTCTTGTTGCCTAGGCTGGAGTGAATCTTGGTTCACTGCAACCTCCGCCTCCCAGGTTCAAGTGATTCTCCTGCCTCAGCCTCCCAGATAGCTGGGATTCAGGCATGTGCCACCAAGCCCAGCTAATTTTGTGTTTTTAGTAGACAGGGTTTCTCCACGTTGGTCAGGCTGGTCTCGAACTCCCAACCTCAGGTGATCCGCCCACCTCATCCTCCCAAAGTGCTGGGATTACAAGTGTGAGCCTCTGCATCTGATCCAGAGCTTATCTTTATAGGTGCAGTCACCCCCACCTGCCAGACACAAATGCCTATCTGATTGTTCCCCTACCCCATTCTGTCTGTATTATTGTAACTGCCCGAGGAGTTCACCTTGCCCACTGCCTAGACAGAACCGATTCATCAAGACAGGGGAACTGCAATAGAGAAAGAGTAATTCATGCAGAGCCAGCTGTGCGGGAGACCGGAGTTTTATTATTACTCAAATCAGTGTCCCCATGCATTCAGGGAGCAGAGTTTTTAAGGATAACTTGATGGGTGGGGAGGAAGCCAGTGAGCCAAGAGTGCTGATTGGTCAGGGGTGAAATCCTACGGAATCGTAGCTGTCTTCTTGCGCTAAGTCAGTTCCTGGGTGGGGGCCACAAGATCAGATGAGCCAGTTTATTGATCTGGGTGGTGCCAGCTGATCCATCAAGTGCAGGGTCTGCAAAACCTCTCAAGCCCTGCTCTTAGGAGCAGTTTAGGGAGTGTCAGAGTCTTCTTTAGCCTCCATCTGCATGACTCCTAAATCGTAATTTCTAATCTTGTGGCTAATGTTAGTCCTACAAAGGCAATCTAGTCCCCAAGCAAGAAGAAGGTCTGCTTTGGGAAAGGGCTGTTAGCATCTTTGCTTAAACTATAAACTGTAAACTAGGTTTCTCCCAAAGTTAGTTCAGCCTATCACCAGGAATGAACGAGGACAGCTTGGAGGTTAGAAGCAAGATGGAGTCGGTTAAGTTAGATCTCTTGCACTCTCTCAGTCATAATTTTGCAAAGGCGGTTTCATTATCTTATGTAAAATGCAGATTCCCACATTTTTCCTCTGCCCTCTTTTGTTGATGCGAAAATTCTGTGCTTTTCTCTTTAAATTTGGAGCCCTCAAATCATCTTCGGAGAAAGACATAGACCTGTCTCCCGGGCACGTCCTTAACTTTGGCAAATAAATCTCCAAAAATGATGGAGACTTTTCTCATCATTTTCTTGGATTGACAATGTAAATACTTTTTATTGATTATTATAAAACAAAAGACAATGTTTTTATTTCTTTTTAACATGTAGCTGCTGTATGTGGTGCGATCTACCTTTTGAGGGGGAGACATTTCCATCAAAGGAAGGGACCATGCATAAGTTTCTCTTTAGGGCATTTACCTTGTAATTTAGTTACATTTCTGGTCTAAACAATTTCTTATAAAGAAACAGTTAAAGGCCAGGCGTGATGGCTGACGCCTGTAATCTCAGCACTTTGGGAGGCCAAGGCAGGCGGATCACGAAGTCAGGAGTTTGAGACCAGCCTGGCCAACATGGAGAAACCCTGCCTCTACTAAAAATACAAAAATATTAGCCAGGCATGGTGGCATGAGCCTGTAATCCCAGCTACTTGGGAGACTGAGGCAGGAGAATTGCTTGAATCCAGGAGGCAGAGGTTGCAGTGAGACAAGATCCAGGCTGGGTGACAGAGCAAGACTCAGTCTCCAAAAAAAAAAGGAAACATTAAAATATATGAATTGGCTGGGTGCAGTGGTTCATGCTTGTAATCCCAGAACTTTAAGAGGCCCAGGCAGGCGGATCACTTGAGCTTAGGGGTTCAAGCCTGGGCAACGTGGTGAAACCTCATCTGTACCAAAAAAAATATAAAAATCAGCTGGGCATGGTGGTGTGTGCCTGTAGTCCCAGCTACTCAGGAGGCTGAGGTGGTAGGATGGCTTGAGCTCTGGATGTGGAAGTTGCAGTGAGCTGGGCAGCAGAGTGATACCCTGTCACAAAAAAACAAACAACAACAAAAACAAAAACAAAAATGAATTGATATTGTTAAAACTAAATCTTCCTTAAAGTTAAGGTTTATGAGTTTCCAGAAAGATTTCCATTTTTGTAATTTGATACTTAAATGGAAAGAAGCCACAGTTAATCTTATTCAGTGTTAGGTGCAGTAAGTTCCTCTTCAAAGAGTTGAGTTGGCTTGTTCAGCTTCCTTGTTCTTTGTTCTCTGTTTTCTTTTTTTCTTTTTTTTTTTTTTGAGACAGAGTCTTACTCTGTCACTCTGTCACCTAGGCTGGAGTGCGGTGACATGATCTCGGCTCATTGCAAGCTCCGCTTCCTGGGTTCATGCCATTCTCCTGCCTCAGCCTCCCAAGTAGCTGGGAATACAGGTGCCCGCCACCACTCCCAGCTAATGTTTTTGTATTTTTAGTAGAGACGGGGTTTCACCGTGTTAGCCAGGATGGTCTCGATCTCCTGACCTCATGATCCGCCCGCCTCGGCCTCCCAAAGTGCTGAGATTACAGGTGTGAGCCACAGCGCCCGGCCTATTCTTTGTTCTCTATTTTCAAGCCTAACTTCCTCGTTCTTTATACTTCTTCTTGCCCCTAGTTACAGTAAATAACCTTCCCGCCAGCCTTAATCTGTAACTCACATCTATTTCTTATGTGCTCTGCAATTGCCCTTCCTGCCAAAACTACCCCTCCAGCCTTTGCTGCTCCCTAACACGCCCGGACATGCCTTGTACTGTAACAAACAGCCTCTCCCTTCCCACCAAGTTAGCCCTATTCAATTTTAAACAGTAGCCAATCAAGTCACCTTAGATTGTGTAGTCGGACTCCAGCCAATGGGGAAAGGACACAGCTACAGGAGCTGCTGCGTTAGGGATAAAAACCACTGCCCTACCCCACTCTGTGTGCTATTGCCATGGCCAGGAGTGTGAGCAGCACCTTCTGCAGAAGTAAATTTGCCTTACTGAGAAATCTTTTGTTCGAGTGCTGGTTTTCTTTATGACTCCGAGCTCTTATTTCTAACATTCAGTAACAACTGCTAAGCAATAACCTAATTGCCCTTTTCTCTTATCCCCAGTCTCTCACCTGAGGTCCTTTTAAGTAAAAAAATTATTATTTCTGAGGAGAAATAATTACCTGTCAAATATGAGTGACAAATTCAAACTGTAACTGGTAGGCACTGAATCCTTAGCTCAGTGTCAGTTTGGGCCTGGATTGGTTGTTTCAGAAGCTGAAATCTTGTAAGTTTCAGCCTCAAAGATTTGTGGTGTTAGCCTCCTGGTGCTCAGCACAGGATGTGTTCTTACCCTAACCAAATAGAAAGAGTAGGCTGAATTAACCTATGCCATATACACCTCAACCCAGGCCCTGCAACTCCTCTGTATTGTCAATGGGTGGACATGGAGGGGGATTAAAAAAAAAAAAAAAAAAAGAAAGGCCGAGCATGATGGCTCATGCCTGTAATCCCAGCACTTTGGGAGGCTGAGGTGGATGGATCACCTGAGGTCAGGAGTTCAAGACCAGCCTGGCCAACATGGTGAAACCCTGTCTCTACTAAAAATATGAAAATATTAGCTGGGTGTGGTGGCACGTGCCTGTAATCCCAGCTCTTTGGAAGGCTGAGGCAGGAGAATCACTTGAACCTGGGAGGCAGAGGTTGCAGTGAGCCGAGATCGTGCCACTGCACTCCAACCTGGGCGACAGAGCAAGACTCTGTCTCAAAAAAAAAAAAAAAAAAGAAAGAAAGAAAAAAATGATTGATGGCACCACTCACCGCCTGCAGTGGTTTGATCAGAAAATACACCACTTGCATGAATAATTTTAGATGCAATTTTTGAAGCCGATGTATTTATTGAGTAATTATGACAGATGGAGGAAAAATGACATGTAGTAAGTTAAATTCTTGTCTAAAATTGTTGTTCAAAACATGTGAAGCACAATTAAATTATTCTGAAGCAAGATTTTTTTAAAAAGCAGGATTTTCTTTTGGTGTGATTAGGCTCTGTTAATTACTCTCTTATTCTATGTTTAGAATGAAAAGGTGGGCGTCATTACCCAGTGCAGCTGGATTAACAATAACAGCCCGCCCACAAAAGAAGGGGAGGACTTGTCTTAGACCCTATTAGGATCACAAGGCCTTTGTAAGTATGCCGATCAGACTTCCTTGAACCTTGGAGACATCTCTGAGAAAGAAATGTTCTGTCACTCTGAAAACATTCCTGAGGTGGGTCAAGCATGACCTAATCATAACACAATGGATTCCTTTTATGACCAACAGGAGAAAACACTCTATGGTAAAATGAATGCCTTGCACTATATACGCCTATTTAAATTTGAAAGCCTGGGAAATTCACTACCCGGCATGGATGACTCACCCACTAACGAAAATAGCATGAAATACACGCTGGTAACTGCCAGTGACTTCTTTCCATTCATCTGTAGGGAAGCTCCAAGAGACAGTTTCCTTTTGGGACTTTTTGTCTGTGTATCTGCTTAAAAATTGTTAAAAGAGATTTCTGGAAATTGTATTTTGCAATTTCCTCCCATCTTTCTCCTTTTCCTTCTCCTCCTTCTTTTGCTCCTCCTTTCCTCCTCTTTATTCTCTTCTTTTCCTTCTCCTTGGGCATTTCCATTTGAATTTAGGTGCAGCATTCGGTGCAATCTAGGACCATTCTTGGTATGGGAATTGAATTTGGGTCACAGGTGGAGCCTTTAGCCTTACGATGATGAAAAGAATATTGCACTAGCATTTAGAAGAACTAGATTGGTTCTGTTTTAAGTATCAGCACTGGAATTGCAACTCAGGTTTTCTGATTTCAAACCCTGTACTCTTTGAAACACACCATTATTTCTTCTGTTCATTTTTGTCCTGACATCATTATATCATTTGGATATCAAATTTTTAAAATTAATTAATTTTTTTGAGACTGAGTCTCGCTCTGTCACCCAGGCTGGACTGCAGTGGCATGATCTTGGCTCACTGCAACCTCCGCCTCCCGGGTTCAAGCAATTCTCCTGTCTCAGCCTCCCAATTATCTGGGACTACAGGCACATGCTACCACACCCAGCTAATTTTTGTATTTTTAGTAGAGACGGGGTTTCACCATATTGATCAGGCTGGTCTCAAACTTTTGACCTCAGGTGATCCACCCACCTTGGCCTCCCAAAGTGCTGGATTACAGGTGTGAGCCACTGCATCCATGTCTCCATCCATCTGTAATCCTAGATTACTGGATATCAAATTTAATAGGCAACTACTAAATATTGTGGGGTTTCCTACTTGGAGAAGGTAGATTAGGATAACAGGGTATACAATTTTCCTGGGACAGATGGGTCTGGGTTGGGGTATATTCAGAATAGTTATTCCCTGAATCAGTTGTATTACTCAGAAAAGCCTATTTTGGCTTCACAGAAGGAAGGCCAAGGTGAAGTCTGGAGGGAAAGAGAATAAAAAAAATATTAGAATAAACAAAATGACTAGCTGGGAAGGTGTGTGATTTGAATGTCCCTGAAAGAGATATGTCGAAGTCCTAACCTCTGGTACCTATGAATGTGATCTTATTTGGAAATAGGATCTTTGCAGATGTGATGAAGATAAAATGAGGTTGTACTGGAGAAGAGTGGACTCTATTCCAATGACTGGTGTTCTTATAAAAAGAAGGAAATTTAGACGTGGAGAAAACGTCACGTGATGATGGAGGCTTGGGGTGATGTGTCTACGAGTTAAGGAACAACAAACAAGGAACTACCCAGGCTGGGCGCAGTGGCTCATGCCTGTAATCCCAGCACTTCAGGAGGCCAAGGTAAGAGGTTAGCTTGAGGTCAAGAGTTGGAGAACAGCCAGGACAACACAGTGAGACCATGTCTCTTTAAAAAATAAAAACAAACTAACTGGACGAGGCGGCACACGCCTGCAGTCCTAGCTACTTGAGAGGCTGAGGTGGGAGGATCGCTTGAGCCCAGGTTGAGGCTGCAGTGAGCCGTGACTGCACCACTGCACTCCAGCCTGGGTGACAGAGCATGACCCTGTCTCAAACAACAACAACAACAACAAAAACAAAACCAAACAATAAACTATCAAAAGCTAGCAACAGGTGAGGAAGGATGGAAGGATCACAGGATCCTCGCTTAGAGCCTTCAGGGAGAGCATGGCTTGCTGACACTTTAATTTAAAACCTGTAGTTTCCAGAACTGTAAGACAATGAGTTTCTGTTGTTTTAGGCTACCTAGTTTGTGGTACTTAGTTACAGTAGCTCTAGGAAATTAATACAGAGAACTAGAAATGCAAGTTGAAAAAAATCGATGGAATCGGTTGAATGAAGTGACTCAAAACTATGAAAGAATCATGCTGTTTTTATACTTAGATCTCTCAGATTCATTTCTTTATTGACTTTCATTTTGCAATACTACAGGAAGAAAACACCTAGATTAGGGTTCTGAGGTTTTCTGATAGCAGGGAAATCTTCCTTCTCAGTAACTATCAGCAAAAATAGGAAGAGAATCTTGTATCTAAGAAAACACAATATGCAAACATTACTTTTTTTTTTTTTTGAGACGGAGTCTTGCTCTCTTGCCCAGGCTGGAGTGTGCAGTGGCGCGATCTCGGCTCACTGCAAGCTCTGCCTCCTGGGTTCACGCCATTCTCCTGCCTCCGCCTCCTGAGTAGCTGGGACTACAGGTGCCCACCACCATCCTGGCTAATTTTTTGTATTTTTAGTAGAGACAGGGTTTCACCGTGTTAGCCAGGATGGTCTTGATATCCTGACCTTGTGATCCGCCCGTCAGTGCTGGGATTACAGGTGTGAGGTCCCCCCACCATGCCCAGCCTAATTTTTTAAAAAAATACATATTTTTGAGACAAGGTCTCACTCTTTTGCCTATGCTGGAGTGCAGTGGCATGATCATGGCTCACTGCAGCCTTAAACTGTTAAGTTCAAGTGACCTTCTTGTCTCAGCCTCCCTAGTAGCTGGGACTACAGGCATGTGTCACCACTCAGCTATTTTAAATTTTTAAATTTTTTGTGGAGATGGAATCTCACTACGTTGCCCAAGCTAGGCTTGAACTTCAGTTCCCAAGTGATCCTTCCGCCTCAGTCTCCTGAAGCGCTGGGATTACAGGCATGAGCCACTGAGTTTGTCTAATGCTATTTCTTGACTTCAGTTTTAGCTATTATTTATTGTCATCCCCCTATTGTGGAAAAAGACGCTTTGGCTCTTTTTACCATAATACCTTTGTCTTCTTTCTCTAGTCTCAATACTATTATTTAGTTTCCAAACTCATTGTCAGAAGTATAGATCTTTTCTCAATACATTCGCGCACACACACATACACGCACACACACATACACACACACACACACACACACAGAGAAATTGGTGAGAAAAAGTGACCTGATAGAATAAGAGTGGAGGACATGAAAAGACATTTCACAAAAAAGAAATACAAATGTTAAAACATTTATGAAAAGACGTTAAATCCAATTCATAATTAGATGAATGCAAATTAAACTGAATATACCATTTTTCACTTCTCAGATTAGCATAATCTGAAAGTTTTACAATGCATTCTTGGCAAAGCTGCAGAGAAACAGGCTCTTTCATACACTGCTGTTGTGATTGCACGTGTTATAAAGAATCTCTATGTAGGGCAATTTGGCAATATCCCCCAAATTACAAATGCATTTATTCTGTGACCTGAAACTCCTACTGATGAGCATTTATCCTTGAGATATACATATATAACGTCAGGAGTATATCAAATTATTTGTCACATTAAGGAACATTAAAAAGAAAATAGTAGGCCGGGCGCGGTGGCTCACGCCTGTAATCCCAGCACTTTGGGAGGCCGAGGTGGGTGGATCATGAGGTCAGGAGATCGAGACCATCCTGGCTAACACAGTGAAACCCTGTCTCCACTAAAAATACAAAAAATTAGCCAGGCGTGGTGCTGGCGCCTGTAGTCCCAGCTACTTAGGTGGCTGAGGCCGGAGAATGGCGTAAACCCGGGAGGCGGAGCTTGCAGTGAGCCGAGATTGCGCCACTGCACTCCAGTCTGGGTGACAGAGCGAGACTCCGGCTCAAAAAACAAACAAACAAACAACAAAGAAAATAGTAAATAATGATGTGTGTGTGGAAGATGGTGGTCAGGATGGACGGAGACATGGATGAAAACAGATATTTTATGTTTCTAAAAACTATATGAATGTACTGCCTATTGTAATTCATACATAATGCATTCGTATGCAAATGAAGAATCTGTTAAAATAAAAGTTGATAAATGGCAATTACTCTTCTCTCTCTCTCTCTCTCCATACCCATCCATCCATCCATCCATCCCTCCATCCAGTTTGAGACACTGCTGATATTTGTTCTGGATTTCATGTCCTCCTTCCTCCCTCTCCATTCTGGGTGAATTCTCTTCTAGTCTTGTTTTATAGTTGTTGTTTTAAAGAGTCTGCCCAGGTACAGTGTCTCATACCTGTAATCCTAGTGCTTTGGGAGTCCAAGGCGGGAGGATCGCTTGAGGCCAGGAGTTCAAGTACAGTCTGAACAACATAGTGAGTCCATGTCTCTACAAAAAAAATATAAAATTTAGCTTTGTGGTGTGTGCCTGTAATCCTAGCTACTCAGGAGGCTGAGGTGGGAAGATTGCTTGATCCCAGGAGTTTGAGGCTGCAGTGAGCTATGATCACACCATTGCATTCCAGACTCCAGCCTCGGTGACGGAGAAAGGTCTCCTAACCGCCATTTTCAGAATTTCCATTGTCTCTCCTCTGTGCTAGACTCTCTATTTATTAAATCCTATGTCTTATTTTCCTTAGTATTCTCCCTTGTTTGGGTAGAGACTGTGTTCCAGTGCTTATAGAGATTTGGCGTGTAAAGAAAAAAGTTTGTATTCTGTCCTCACATTGGATTAATATTTTTTTTTGTCAGTAGGCTGCAAATGATTTCTGCTATGAATTCTGAAGTCATTGCTTCATCGGTTTCTAGATTTCAGTGTTCCCACTGAAATCTGATGCCAGCCTGATTCCTGATTCTTTGTACTCGATGTGTTTTTTTTACCCTTCTCTGCAAGTTCTAAGGGTCTTCTTTTTGTCTCTGGTATTCTGAAACGTCATTGCAATGAGCCTTGGTGTAGTTTCCCTCTCATTTGTAGTCTTGTTTCTAGGGGACTCCTTTTGATCTGGAAATTGGCTTTCCTTAGTTGGAAACAATTGTTGCTGTTATGTCTAGCATCACTTTCTCATGTTAAAACTTAGTTTCCTTTCTCTGGAATTCCTATTACTTGGCTTAAATCCTAAATTGATCTTTTAATATTTGTTATTTGTTCTGTGTTCATATCTTTGCCTTTTGCTCTACAGTATGGGAGATTTCCATGGCATTATGTTTCAACCTTTCTATTGAAGTATTTACTTCCACTTCCATATTTTTAATTTCTAAGAGCTTTCTGAATGTTTCTTTTTATACCTTCTGGGAAGAAAAGGATTAGCAGCTGGTTTGTAACTTACTCGACTTGACTTGGAAATGCCAGGAAAAAAAAAAAAAAATAGAAAGGACCAAGTCAAATCTTGCAAACTAGCTAATGGGATAGCATCTACAAGCAGAAAGAGGTCTCATTTCTGGAATGATTTTACCAGGATGTACCGGGTCTGGCTAGGTTGCTCTTGCTGTGCAATTCTGGAATCCATGCATACATGGAGGCATGGCCCACTCGAAAATGTCAGTGTCTGCTATGTAATTGTCAGAGTATAAAAAGAAGATTTTTGTCAATAAAATAGCTCTATTTGTGTAATGGATGTCTTATATATACTACTTAGAACCTTACATGTTAACTCTGGACTACAGAATGTTATAAAGTGGCAAGGAAGGACTGGGGATCCGCAGTGGTCATTTCAGACTTTTCCAGGTTTTGCCTACATGTCATGATCACCTGTATCCTTTGAATAATTAGGTTTTCTGTTGGTTTATTTGTTTTGAGACAGAGTCTAGATCTGTTGCCCAGGCTTGAGTGTATGGCACAAACATGGCCCATTACAGCCTCGACCTCCCTGGCTCAAGTGACCCTCCCATCTCAGCCTTCTGAGTAGCTGGGACCATAGGCACATGCCACCACACCTGGCCAATTTATTTTTATTTTTTGTAGAGATGAAATTTCACTATATTGCCCAGACTGGTCTTGAACTCCTGGGCTCAAGTGATCCTCCTGCCTGGGCCTCCTAAAGTCCTGGGATTACAGGCATGAGCCACTGCACCTGGCCTAATTAGTAAATTTTGATACTGGCTAAGATCTCTGATTCTTATGAGTTTGATTTGATAATCTCATCCTTGGGGTTACCTCAGCATCCCATTTCATAGATTCAATATCTTCTCTTTTCTCTTTGAGGATATCAATTACGGTTTTAATTTCTTATTTAATTTTTATTGTTTTAGAGATGAGCCTTACTCGGTTGTCCAGGTTGGAGTCCAGTGACATGATCATAACTCACTGTAGCTTCAAACTCTCAGCCTCAGGCCATCCTCCCATCTCACCTTGCTGATTAGTTGGGATAACAGGCGTAAGCCACTACAGCTACCCTCAATTATGTTTTTAAAGTCATTTTTCACCGGCATTGTCTCTTTTTCCATCCAATTCCTTCTCTCTTTGTGTTTGTTGGGATCTCTTTGATGTCAAAAGCTTTTTCCAAGTGTTGACTCATCCTTAGGTGTTCATTTATATTTCAGATTTAGACACTGTGTGGATGAGTGTAGTTTTTAAAAAGGAGATTTCACTATAGGATGATCAGGGAGGGCCATCGGCTATTTTTCAGGAGACTCCGGGTGCCAATATTGGTCTGTATGAATTTCCTGTGGACTGGTCAGTGTTGAAAGTGAGGAAGCCTACACTTTCTGGATTGGGGGCTTTGTAAGTTCTCTGTTGCTACTGTAACAAATGACCATAAGTGTATCACTTAACATGGTAGAAATGTATTATCCTACAGTCCTGGAGGTCAGAGGTTGGACACAAGTCTCACTGGGCTAAAATCAAGGGGTTGCAGGACTGTGTTCTTCCCTGGAGGCTCTAGGGAGCATCTGTTTTCTTGCCTTTTCCAGCTAAAGGTTGCTCCACATTTCTTGGCTGTGGTCCCCTTCCATCTTCAAAGACAGCAGTGGCCCGTGGGGTCTTTCTCATATCCTGATACTCCCTCCCTCCTTCTGTCACTTATTAGGACCTTTGTGATCACATTGGATGCATTCAGATCATCCAGGGTTTATTAGCAACCTTAATTTCACCTTACCATGTAACATAACACGTTCACAGGTCCTGTGGATTAGGACGTGGACATCCTTGTGGGGCCATTATTCTGTCTACTGAAGGGGTATATTCCTGGTTACTATTATTCTGAAAGACAAGTAGGAGAAGGAGGCTGGGAGATGGTACCAAATGTGTGGTATGTGGAATATTACTTAGTTCCCCTTATTCAGCTAGCATCCTCAACTCTGCCTGGTGTCTGAGTTCAGAGTGCAAAGCAGTATCTTCAGAGGGTTAATTTTCAGTCTTCTTCAAGGGTAGGGGCAGAGTACTGTCCTAACTTTCTCAGGATGGGAGGACATTTAATGCTGTTTCATTTTCATTTAATTCAAAATACTTCAAAATTTCTCCTAAGACTTTCTTTGACTCATTTGTTATTTAGAAGTGTGTGCCTTAATATCCAAATATTTCAGGATTTTTCAGCTACCTTTCTGTTATTTTTTTAAGAGATGGAGTCTTGCTATATTGCCCAGGCTGGGCTTGAATCCTTGGGCTTGAGCAATACTCCCACCTCAGCCTCTAGACTAGCTGGTACTACAGGTGCATATCACCATACCTAGCTTTATCTTTCCATGATTAATTTCTAGCTTAATTCCATTGTGGTCTCACAGCATACTCTGTATGTTTTCTATCCTTTTAAGTTTGTTGAGATCTGTTTTATAGCCCAGAATGTGGTCTATATTTGTGAATGTTCCACGTGACCTTGAGAAAATGTGTTTTCTGTTGTTGTTGGATGACGTATTTCATACATGTCAATTAGATCCAGTTGATTGGTGGTGCTGTTCACTTCAGGTATATCTTTACTAATTTTCTGCCTGCTGGATTTGTCAGTTACTGATAAGGGGGTTTTGAAGTCTCCAATTATAATAGAGGTGGATTTGTCTATTTCTCCTTGCAGTGCTATCAGATTTTGCTTCAAGGATATTGACTCTGTTGTTTGGTGCATACACATTGAGGATTATTATGTCTTCTTAAAGAATTGAGTCTTCCATTGTTAGGTAATACTCCTCTTTATTCTTGAGAAATTTTCTTATTCTGAAGTCTTTTATCTGAAATTAATATAGTTACTCTACTTTTCTTTTGGATAGTGTTAGCATGGTATATCTTTCTCTTTTTACTCTTAATCTATGTCTTTATTTTTAAAGTGAGTTTGTTGCACACAACATAAAATTGGATCTTGTTTTTTGATCCACTCTGTCTGTCTTTTCATTGGTATATTTAGACCATTCACATTTAAAGTGATTATTGAAATAGTTGGATTAATATCTACCATATTTATAACTGTTTTATACTTGTTGCACTTTGTCTTTTTCTTTGTCTTCCCTCTTTTACTACCTGCTTGGTTTTAATGGAATATTTTATATGATTCCATTTTCTGTCCTCTCTTAGCATAATATTACACTTTTACATTTTTTCCACTGGTTGCCCTAGAATTTACACTGTACATTTACAACTAATCTAAGTCCACTGTTAATACTATGCCACTTCACAGGTAGTGCAGATGCATTATAACAAAGTATTCCTAGTTCCTTTCTTCCTTCCCTTAAAACATTGCTGGCACTCATTTCACTTATCCATACACTATAATCAAATTATTATCAAATTGCTATTATTATTTTGAACAATAATTATTAGATCAATGAGTATGAAAACTAAAACATTTTATCTTTCATTTATTCTCTGATGGCTTTTTCATTCTTGATGTGAACCTGCGTTTCTGTCCTAAATAATTTCCCTTGTCTCTGAAAACTTTAAAAAAATGTTTCATATACGATGGATCTACAGACATCAAATTCTTTTATTGTTTAGCTGAGAAAGTATTTATTTCTCTTTCCATTTTTGAAGGATAATGTATTGGATACAGAATTTTAGATTATTAGTTTTGTGCTTTCAACATTTTTTATATATATATATATATATATATATATATATATATATATATATATATATATATATATATATACTTTTTTTTTTTTTGAGATGGAGTCTCGCTCTGTTGCCCAGGCTGGAGTACAGTGGCACGATCTTGGCTCACTACAACCTCCACCTCCCGGGTTCAAGTGATTTTCCTGTCTCAGCCTCTTGAGTAGCTGGGACTACAGGTGTCCACCACCATGCCCGGCTAATTTTTGTATTTTCAGTAGAGACAGGGTTTCACCATCTTGGTCAGGGTGGTCTCGAACTCCTGACCTCAGGTGATCCACCCACCTTGGCCCCCCAAAGTGTTGGGATTACAGCCGTGAGCCACCGCACCCATCCATGTTTTTAAAATTGTAAATGGACAAATTATAGTTGTATCAACACTTTAAATATTTCACTCCACTCCTTCCTTCCTTCCTTTCCTTCTTTCTTTCTTTCTCTTTTTCTTTCTTTCTTTCTTTCTTTCTTTCTTTCTTTCTTTCTTTCTTTCTTTCTTTCTTTCTTTCTTTCCTTTCTTTCTTTCTTTCTGTCTCTCTCTCTCTCTCTCTCTTTCTCCCTCCCTCCCTCCCTTCCTTTCTTTCTTTCTTCCTTTCTTCCTTTCTCAGAGTCTTGCTCTTTCACCCAGGATGGAGTGCAGTGGCATGATCTTGGCTGACAGCAACTTCTGCCTCCCAGGTTCAAGCAATTCTCCTGCCTCACCCTCTTGAGTGGCTGGGATTACAGATGTGTGCCACCACGCCCAGCTAATTTTTCTGTTTTTAGTAGAGACGGGCTTTCGCCATGTTGGCCAGGCTGGTCTCAAACTCCTGACCTCAGGTGATCTGCCCACCTTGGCCTCCCAAAGTGCTGGGATTACAGGCGTGAGCCACTGCACCCAGGCATGTGGTTTCTCTTCGCTACTCTTCTCCTCCCTTCTCTTCTCTTCTCCTCTCCTCTCCTTTCCTCCCCTCTTCTCTTCTTCTCTTCTCTCTCTTCTTCAATTTGGAGACAAGGTTTCATTCTGTTGCCCAGACTGGAGTGCAGTGATGCAGTCATAGCTCACTACAGCCTTGAACTCTTGGACTTAAATGATCCAAGCAATCCTCCTGCCTCAACGTCCGGAGTAGATGGAACTACAGGCGTGTGCCACCATACCCGGCCTTGCTTTTGTGGTTTCTGAAAGAAAGTCTAACATAATCTTTATCCTTGTTCCTCTATAGGTAAGGAATTGTTTTCCTTTGGCTTTTTTAGTTGTCTTGTTTCCTGCAGGTACAGATTTTTGCTACTTATCTTGCTTGGTGTTCTCTGTGGCTTGGTGTCTATCATTAATTCCAGACATTTCTCAGCCATTAGTACTTTAGATTTTTCTTTTAGGCTAGGTGTGGTGGCTCACGCCTGTAATCCTAGCACTCTGGGAGGCTGAGGCAGGCAGATTGCTTGAGTCCAGGAGTTTGAGACTAGCCTAGACAATGTGGCAAAACCCCATCTTTACAAAATATATACAAATTGTCAGGGTGTGGTGGCACACGCCTGTCCAGCTACTTGGGGACTGAGGTGGGAGGATTGCTAAAGCCCGGGAGGTGGAGGCTGCAGTGAACCATGATCATGCCACTGAACTCCAGCTTGGGCAACAGAGTGAGATCCGGGTGTCAAAAAAGAAAAAAAAAGGCCTCTGTACATATTTTGCTTCTTTCTCTTCTCCTTCTAGTGTTCCCATTTCCCGTGTTACACCTTTTGTAATTGTCCCACAGTTCTTGAATATTTGGGGTTTTATCTATTTATTTATTTCACTCTTTGCATTGCAGTTTTGGAAGGTTGTATCAGTATCTTCAACCTCATTGATTCTTCGGCTGTGAACAGTCCAACTACGAACCCATCAAAAGCATTCTTCATGTTTGTTACAATGTTTTATATTTATTTTTCCCTTTTCATTTCTGTCAGGTAATGTGCTGACTTCGCAGGAAGGGTTGAGGGAGGCACATCTCACAGATCCAAGTGAAAGCCCAATCATCAAGTGTGAGAGCCGAATCAACCATCATGCTTAGGAATTACAAAAAGATTACAGTGTTTTTTTTATTTCTAACATTTCCTTTTGATTCTTTCTTAGGGTTTTCATCTTTCTGCCTACTTTACCCATCTGTTTTCGTTTGTTTTTCCCAAATTGAATTTTCTTTTTCTTTCTTTCTTTCTTTTTTTTTTTTTTTTAGATGGAGTTTCACTCTTATTCCCCAGGCTGGAGCACAATGGCGCTATCTCGGCTTACCGCCGCCTCCACCTCTTGGGTTCAAGTGATTCTTCTGCCTCAGCCTCCCGAGTAGTTGGGATTACAGGCATGTGCCACCACGCCCAGCTAATTTTGTATTTTTTGGTAGAGTCGGGGTTTCTGCATGTTGGTCAGGCTGATCGCGAACTCCTGACCTCAGGTGATCCACCCACCTCAGCCTCCAAAAGTGCTGGGATTATAGGCATGAGCCACCGTGCCCAGCTTGAATTTTCTTACTTATTTATTTATTGAGACACGTCTCACTTTGTCACCCAGGCTGGAGCGCAGTAGTGCCATCTCAGATCACTATAGCCTTGACCTCCCAAGTTGAAGCAATACTCCTGCCTCAGCCTCCCCCAAGTAGCTGGGACTACAGGCGTGCACCACTATGCCTGGCAAATTTTTTTTAATTTTTGGTAGAGACAGAGTTTCACCATGTTTCCCAGGCTGATCTCAAACTCCTGAGCTCAAGCCATCCACCTGCCTCAGTCTCCCAAAATGTTGTGATTACAGGTATGAGCCACCTTACCTGGCCTTGAATTTTCTTTATTTTCTTTCTCCCTTTCTTTCTCTCTTCTTCCTTCCTTTCTCCTTTTCTCCATCTCTTTCTTCGTTCCTTTTTACTTGAAAAATTTTTGTTTTAATTGTTTGTAGAGACAGTCTCACTCTGTTGCTCAGGCTAGTTCTCAAACTGCTGGCCTCAAGTGATCCTCCTGCCTCGACCTCCAAAGTGCTTAGATTACAGGTGTGAGCTACCACACCCAGCTTCCTTTCTTTTCTTCTCATCCGTCTGGTTTTTTTAATTATTATTTTTTAAATGGTAGTCAAATAAAGCAGTAGGAATGGAGAAGGAACAAAGAAATCTGTAACTGGTTGCGATCAATTAGTTACTCATCTGTTTTTGCATGTAGTTCACGTTTTCCTTTAGAGCACTTAGCATATTAATCATAATTATTTAAAATATCTGCCTGAGAATACCCAAATCTCTGCCATGTCTGAGTCTGGTTCTAATGCTTGCTTTGCCTATTCAAACTGTAAGCTTTCTTGCCTTTTTTTCTGCTTTGTAATTTTTTTGTTGAATGCTGAACATAACGTATTGGGTAATAGGAGCTGAAGTAAATGGGCCTTTAGTTTGAGGCTTTATGTTTATCTGGCTAGGCTGTGTTTAATGTTTGCTGTAGTTATAAAGTGTCAGAGACTTCAGTTTCTCTAGTGTTCTTGTTTTTGTCTTTCCTGTTGCCTTTGGGTTTCCCTAGAGTCTCCTTCTTTAATAGAGCTTGTGTCTTTTATATCTCTGTTATAATCTACTGTTACTATACTGGAACCCTATTGATGTGGTGGTAAGGTATTATGGAGAAGCAGCATTGTATAATCATGATTCAGCCTTCCTTTTCTTTCTTTCTTTCTTTCTTTCTTTCTTTCTTTCTTTCTTTCTTTCCTTTCCTCTTTCTTTCTTCCTTTCCTTTCCTTTCCTCTTTCTTTCTTCCTTTCCTCTTTCTTTCGTCCTTTCCTCTCTCTTTCTTCCTTTCTTTTCCTTTCCTCTTTCTTTCTTCCTTTCCTTTCCTTTTCCTTTCCTCTTTTTTCTTTGTTTCTTTTCTTTCTCTTTCTTTCTTTCCTTTGTCTCTTTCCCTTTCTTTCTTTCTTTCTTTCTTTCTTTCTTTCTTTCTTTCTCTTTCTTTCCTCTTTTCTTTCCTCCTTTCTTTTCTTTCTCTCTTTCTTTCTTTTTCTCTCTCTTTGTCCCTGGCTTGTGACTTTGGGAAGAGTTTTAGCTTTTTTCCCTCCCTTTATATGAGATAGGAAGCTAAAAGTGGCTTAATTGCTTATTGTCCTTCCACAAGATCAGATAAGGCTTTAACAAAGTAGTTTCTTTTGAGAGAAGCATTTTGTTATGGAGAACAGAAGTTTCTGGGCTTATTTCAAAGTGGTTACTTCTTCTCTCCACCTGCCCTACACATGAGGAGATTTTCCTGTG
The DNA here is from genome assembly GCF_000001405.40 of Homo sapiens. Lineage (NCBI taxonomy): Eukaryota > Metazoa > Chordata > Mammalia > Primates > Hominidae > Homo > Homo sapiens. Next base: position 138,173,978 of record NC_000007.14, on the reverse strand, counting down.
TTCTTCATTGTAAGAACCTAATGGGACTTCCGGAGGAAAACTCATGAAAGTATCAGGGGCGGGAGGGCAGGGGGGTGGGACGGTGTGCCTGAGATTGAGCCCATAATAGTTTTTAACTCGCAGGCTGGTCCACACTCAACCTCCAGCACTTAGTCAGTTACAGTTTAAATGTTCCCACAGGCTTCATCTCTGTCAGCTTCTGCTCCTAGTAAGCTGTGATTCACCTGTCTCTCCAGCTTTTGATGTGGGAGTTTGCTCTGTGACCTAAGTTCTCTGATGGTTCTGAGAAGAATTGCTGAAATTTAGTCTGTACAGCATCTTTTCTTGTTGTAAGGATGGGAGTGATGACTTCCAAACTCTTTACATATTTGTTTGAAAAACTCAAATCATTTTTCCTCACACCACCACCACCACAACAGAGAAGACTTCTGCGACCAAATGTGCGTGGGTTTTCCCCCATACCCTAAGAAACAGACACCAGCTGAGTGTCTTTTAATTCAAGTCACTTTTGGTGCTATCTTCCTGGAGATGGCTTCAGATCCCACATGTTGAGGGCTCAGTCCCACAAGACTGTGTGCCCCCACCCTGACTTTCTTCAGACACCAGTTGCAAGTTCAGGCCTCCAGAAACTTCTGACCAATCAGCTTCAAGTTGGGGTTTCCGCAGCCCCCTCTTCGGGTTCAGTTAATTTGCTAGAGCAGTTCACAGAACTCAGGGAAACATTTACAGGTACTGGCGTATTATGGAGGTTCTTACAAAGGGTACAGATGGAGAGATGCATAGGGAAAGGCATGTGAGAAGGGGTGCAGAGCTTCCAGGCTTCCCTGGGTTCATCACCCTCTAGGAACCTCCATGTTTTCAGGTACCTGGAGGTTCTCCAAAGCCAGTCCTCTTGGGCCTTTTATGAAGACTTCATTGGATAGGCATAATTGACAGCCATGTAGAGATGTGATTGAATAACAGGGTATGATCCAAACCCAGTAAGGCCTGTCTGTTCAGATTCTTCTTGGCCTCTATGGGCAGTATTCCTTCTTCCAGAGTACAGGGCAGAACCCCTTCTGAAATGAGGGTCTCATGACCCATAGTCACATGAGAGTTCTGCCTTGGGCAGGTGCAAAGAGGTCAAGGAGAAGGTCAGAGAGCAAGATTCTGGCTTTTTTGTTGTTGTTGTTTGGTGAGATAGAGATTAACTCTTGTTGCCCAGGCTGGAGTGCAATGGTGCGATCTCGGCTCACTGCATCCTCCGCCTCCCAGGTTCAAGTGATTCTCCTGCCTCAGCCTCCCAAGTAGCTGGGATTACAGGCATGTGCCACCACGCCCAGTTAATTTTGTATTTTTAATAGAGACAGGGTTTCACCGTGTTACCCAGGTTGATCTCGAACTCCTGACCTCAGGTAATCCGCCCGCCTTGGCCTCCCAAAGTGTTGGGATTACAGGCGTGAGCCACTGCGCCCAGCCGGAGAGCAAGATTCTGTTTACTGAAACAAGGGTTATGGGAGTTATGAGCCAGGACCTATAGGCAGAAACCTAATACCACACTATCAGAATGAAAATCTGACAGGCCTGCATGTTTCTGGCCATAATATCTTCCTATTGATTTCATTTTGGGGTCACCCCTATGCAGGACTCAGGCTCAGCTGTGGTCTAAGGGTGGCTTTCCAAGTTCCGCCATCTTCAGGTGACTCAGAATAGGAGTTTGGGGCTCTTTCCATCTCTGAGTCACTCTCTGCCAGGTAGCTCTGAGCCATGGCTATGCAGCGGCTCCCATGCAGGCCAGCTCTGTACACAGGAGTCATCACTGTTTTGGCTATGGCCTTCCTGCTTCATCCCATTACTTTACAAACAGATTCTAGCAATTCTCCTGTTTTTTGACCCACCTGTACCCCACCTATGGGGTGTCTTGGGGCCTCAAATTCCCAGAATTTTCGAGCTTCAGCATTGTGAATCCATTGTCATTAACTCCCTCTTGCTTCCACATATCCGGGTGGACTCCTTTTAGGCACTTTGATTTCAGAACTGCTAAAAGATAAACTGAGGCAGATTAATTTATTTTATTTTAGACAGAGTGTCACTCTGTCACCCAGGCTGGAGTGCAGTGGTGCCATCTCGGCTCACTGCAACCTCCTGGGTTCAAGTGATTCTCCTGCCTCAGCCTCCTGAATAGCTGAGATTACAGGCTTGCACCACCATGCCTGGCTAATTTTTGTATTTTTAGTAGAGACGAGGTTTCACCATGTTGGCCAGGTTGGTCTCGAACTCCTGACTTCAGGTGATCCGCCCGCCTTTGCCACCCAAAGTGCTGGGATTACAGGCATGAGCCACTGTGCTTGGCTGTCACATTAAAATTTTAAAGAGTTTACTTGAACAAACAGCAGTGCGTGGGTTGGACAGCTCCAGATCACAGTACCGGACAGAAGACGCAGGAGTGAAAGGCTTTTATAAGGTAAATGTGGAACCAGGGCAAGACAATATTTGGTAGGTGAAAGTGGAGCAGTAGCCATATTTGGATCATTCCAGTGGAAAGTAGTTCGAGTTTGAGGTTAGATGGCAGTTTCAGAGTGGTTAAGCTTCAGTTTCATTTTCCTTTAAGCTAGTCACTTACAAAAGAGAGCCCAGTGCAGTGGCTTATGCCAGTAGTCCTGGCTACTTGGGAGGCTGAATTGGGAGGATCACTTGAGTCCAGGAGCTCAAGACCAGCTTGGGGAACATACTGAGACTCTGTCTCTATTTAAACAAACAAACACACAGACAAACAAACACACAAACAGATGTATTTGGGTTAGGTTTTGGTTTGCTCATGTAGGAACCTAGGACTTCAGAGCCACCCCTAACTGCCTCCTATTAAATTATTTTAACAGTGCTCTCTGGTCTGTTACACCAGTTGCCAATCTTTCCTCTTCATTCCAGCTCCCAGTTTTGGGTTGATGCCTTTTGTCCTCCGCACTCCTATTCTCTTTGGCCATTTGGGCTTATGAGTCCTACTACTTTACTATTATTCTTAGTGAAATTTGTAGATGAACAGTGGCAAACATATATGTTCAATTGGAAACATTTTTGTCTTGCCTGATTCTTTTTTAACGACATAATTATCACCAGAAGGCAAATGTTCTCTAGCCGACTCTCAATTGCACTGAGAAAGAGAATGGCCAGCTCAGTATTTTGAATTTCATCAAGCTTCTTATTAAATACAAGTGTAACTTACATGTCTATCGGTACTGTCAGCCTGACGAAATCAAAGCTAATACTTTCTGATTTTCACAGAATTCTGTCATTATCTGGTGTTTCCTGAAGCCTGAAGCTCTCCTTTTATGATGTGTTTGATGGCTATGCTTGAGGGAGGCAGGATAGTTTTCAGGCAAAGGTGGCACTGTTATTAGGTGCTAGATGAAGGGTCTAAGAGAACCTCATAAATTCTTCAATAGAAAGCTGCTGGCTTATTCACATCTGCAGGGTCCCTGCTGCCTTTGTGTTTGGAATTTAAAACTATTCCCAAGGTATGTGTGAGCACTGTTCTTTGTTCACGTCCCCCTCCCCCACAGTATGGTGATCTTTCACAATCCATTATCTGTTTTCTTTTGATAGGATTTCTTTTTGGCGGGGGTATGATAACTTTGATTTTGCTTCTGTTCCATTTGTTCTGATTTCCTTGGTAATGCTTGCTTTCCTTTCATCTTTGTCATCTCTTCATTTTATATGTTTTATTTCAGTTGCAGTGAGTTTTGTCGTATTATTTCTCTTAGGAAAGTCTATTCTGGTTTAACAAAGAAAAGTAATGCTTTCCTTTACCTCACTGAGAATAAAGTGCATATATATTTTGCTACAAAAAAAAATCTATGCTTTATGGAGGAACTCTATTAGGGGTGGGGTGGGCTGGGCTGAGATTTTCGCTTGAGCCTTTACTACATTGCCCTTCTTTTGTTTGTAATAGGGAGTTAATTTTTTTAAAATCCTATGTCTTGTTTGTTTATTTTTGTTAAAATTATCTGATTTTTTTTTTTTAAACCAGAGGAGAGGAGTGCTGGTTTTAAGGTTGGTGACTTAAAACCTGATTGATTGTAAAGAGAAGTATCCAGAGACAATATTAAAATAAACTTGGCCCTGAAAATGTTGCTTTTTGGTTTCCATTTACTTTGGAGGTCTCCTGGAGCAGAGGAAAGATTACAGAATGGAGCGCCTCCACAGAGTCTTCTGTGGGAGTGTTAGTCATTCAGTATTTCTCAGTTGCCTTTGTAGATGCAAATTATCAGTTCAAATCATCTAAGCAAAGGAGAAAAAAAAAGACCTCTCCAAGTCTAATCTGAGAAGAAAATCTCCTCGGGAGTAAAGTCTCAGTTCAGAGAACAAAGGAAGAAAAGACCAAAGGATTATTTACCTTTGACTGCTTTGGGGGATTCCGAGGCCACCAAGCATACAAATGCAAAAGAAAGCTTAGGGCTAGACATTCCTTTCTCTACTCTTTCTTTCTTCTTCTTTTGTGCAATGCAATAGACAGACCTGCCCAGAGGCAAGGGAGCTAAGGAGTTTCTAAACTTGAGGTCGGGGGCAATGCAGTAGTAGTATTATAAAAGCCTTTGTTACTGATTAAGGTCAACAGGGTGAGAAAATACAGAAGCTAGAGAGAAATCTTTATGGGAATGCAATCTAAGGGTGCTACATTTGGGAAGATGACTAGTAATTTTTCCTCCTAGGAGAAAGAACAGGAGAGGTCTTTTCCTTTAGAAGATTCTGATAAGCCAACAAATAAGCCAAACTGAGAGAGGCAGCTTTCCCAACATCCAGCCTCCCCATGGGAATCACAGACTGTTGAGAAGAGGGTGTTTGTTATTCATAATGGCTGAGGCTAAGACAAAAGTGGATTTGGGCTCCCATAGCAATCCCCAGGCCTTAATCAAATGTTCTTTTTTTTTTTTTTTTTGAGACTGAGTCTCACTCTGTCACCCAGGCTGGAGTGCAGTGGCACAATCTTGGCTGACTGCAACCTCCACCTCCCAGATTCAAGCGATTCTCCTGCCTCAGCCTCCAGAGTAGCTGGGATTACAGACATGCACCACTACACCTGGCTAATTGTTATATTTTTAGTAGAGATGGGGTTTCACAATGTTGGCCAGGCTGTTCTTGAATTGCTGACCTCAGGCGATCCACCTGCCTTGGCCACCCAAAGCTTTGGGATTACAGGCTTGAGCCACCGTGCCGTCTCAAATGTTCCTCTCAAAGTCAAATAGTGAGTCTTACCTTTTATAATTACAGAAATACAGATGTTGCCACAAGTCAGACAGGGAAATACAAAACAATATCCCAGAGAAATCACCATGGGAAAAATGAAGGTGTCTGTACATTAGATTATCTTTACGTTTACTTTAAAATGCTTCAGCATGGATAGTGTGGTGTGATGTGTTCTAGTTGCTTTCATTCTTTACTTAGGAATAGTTAGTTGGGCATTTGAAGAGCCCTGACTGAAACTGGCTTTGCAAAAGTATGACAGAGAAATTGGACGTGGCTGACTGCATCTTGCTTCTAGCCTCACAGGCTGGCTGGCTTTGCTCATTCGTGGGTGTGGGCCAAGATAACTTTGGGAGAAACTTAGTTTATAGTTTAAATGATAATAACCTTCCCCCAAAACTAAACGATTCTTGTAAAACTAATGAAAGGCCATGAAGTTAGGAGGATGAGAGGGGCTTAAATTCTAAATAATTACCAGCCATTATTATGGAGGTCGTAAGATTTGCAACTTCCCCAATTACTCTTGCAGACAACATCACTATTGTAGAAACTAAGACTGGCCTTTTGAGATGTCTTTTCAGGTTTTTGCATTTCTGACAATGGATGGCCCCACCTGGACCTGCCAACCAGTCCTGTGGCCCCAACCCAGGAACTTACCCACCATAAGAGGGCAGCTTTGATTCCCTATGATTTCATCTCTGACCCAACCAATCAGTATGCCCCTACCTTAGGCCCCTGCTCATCAAAAGATCCTGGGAAAAACCCTAATCTTTGAGCCTTTGGGGAGATTGAGTTGAGTGATAACAGTCTCCTGTGTGGTGTGGCCAGCCTTGTGTCAATCAAACTCTTTTCTTTACTGCAATGGCATGGTCTCAGAGAGTTGATTTTGTGTGTGCAGCAGGCAAGGAGAACCCATCAGGGAGTTACATAATTTGGATATATGGGTGAAGGAAGTCCTCTCCTCCATTCTGAAGATTTGAGGCTGAAAGTCTGGGGAAATAAGCTGGCAATAGACAGATTAAAAGGAGAAAAAAATATATATATACATTTTATTAACATGCAGAAAGGCATCACATGGAAGTTAAGAAACTACCCAATAACTCAATGAGACCTAAAAGCTTTTATATTCCCTTCATAAGAGAGAGGGAAGGGGAGTATGTAGGCAACCTAGGGAGAGTAAATGATTATGAAAAGTACGAATCAGCCTTCAGAAGAATAGGTTATATCCTGTCTGTAGGAGGTGCTAACCTCCAGCTTTTTCTAGGTTTGACTTCTGTTGTGTGTTAATCTTCACGGATAGATAAAAATCCCCAGGAAGCATTTCTTGACAATTGGCTTCCTTCTGGAGAATCTGCACTTAGTCAGATAAGGGAAATTCAGGAAAAGCCCCTCTGTGCGTTTGGCATTTCCCAAATGACTTCAGTTTGAAGTAATCAGCATACCAATGCTGCATATTTTGGGGTGATATTTCTGAACTCTCTCAGGAAAAATATACTCCTGGATGGTAGGTTAATATTTGAAATTGTCAGTTCAGGCTTGGCTTGGTGGCTCACGCAGGTAATCCCGGGACTTTGTGAGGCCAAGGTGGGTGTGGATCACTTGAAGTCGGGAGTTCGAGACCAGCCTGGCCAACATGGCAAAACCCCGTCTCTACTAAAAATTCAAAAAAAGAATTAGCTAGGCATTGGGTTCATGTCTGTAATTTCAGCTACTTGGTGGGGGCTAAAGCAGGAGAATCGCTTGAAACTGGGAGGCAGAGGTTGCAGTGAGCCGGGATCGTGCCACTGCACTCCAGCCTCAGCAACAAAGTGAGGCTTCATCTCACACACAAAAAAAGAAATTCTCCATTCAGAAGCCACATTCCAGAAGGATTAGATTATGGCTCCAGTCGTCTTTATCTCATATCAATCCCAGGGGGTTTGTTAATTAGCATAAGGGATGTTAGAAATGATTTTTTACTGGTAAAATGAATTCAATTTTATGTGGATTGGATAAAAATGTCTTATGGATACTCTTGCCTTTGCATAAATGAGGTGTAAAAGTCCAGCTAGCCTGTCTATTCATTTTGAATTATGTCTCCAGGCTTGAAATTCTAGACTGTTTGAATTATCTCTCCAGGCTTGAAATTCTAGACTGTAGTGAGAGAATTTTTCACCTGACTCTCATTTGAGAGTTAGTTAATCCTGCTCCAAAGCTGGAACATGGTCCTCCTGTCTCTGACGCTCATAAGGTTCTGTGGGAACACTGAAAGGTCAGAGAGCTAAGACTTCATCAAGCTTATAAAACGGGTAGTATGACTATTTGGAGGGCCTGATTGCTAATACATATTTATACCCATGGCTGAATGAGGTCTGAAATTTGCTTTCATTATAACATACCATTTGGAATTGAAGTCTCTATGGTTGTCACCAAATTCTAATTACTGGAAGCTTTGGAGAGCTAATCATAAAGCAACTAATAAGGGTGTATGACCAAATTGGCTTAAGTATCTTGAAAACAGCATTGAAGCTACTTTTTTTTTTGAGATGGAGTTTTGCTGTTTCACCCAGGCTGGAGTAAAGTGGCACAATCTCAGCTCACTGCAACCTCCATCTGCTGGGTTCAAGCAATTCTCCTCAGCCTCCCAAGTAGCTGGGATTATAGGCACCCACCACCATGACCAGCTAATGTTTGTATTTTTAGTAAAGACAGGGTTTCACCATGTTGGCCAGGCTGGTCTCGAACTCCTGACCTCAGGTAATCCACCCCCTCCCCCGCCCTTGGCCTCCCAAAGTGCTAGGATTACAGGCATGAGCTACCGTGCCTGGCTGCAGCTACTTCTTTATATGATTCATGGCTTTTGGCCACAAATGCATGCAAGTAACTAGATGAATACGTATATTACTTGCATGTGCATTAAAATTATTTCTTCTTTTTCAAATTATTCCTTCTTTGCACCAGCTAGAATTTAAATATATCTACCTGATTCGGAGCATTTGGCAGAGATATTAGAGATGGAACAAGATCCAGAGAGGGTCTAATGAAATAATAATTGTGGTGGCACATGCCTGTAGTCCCAGCTACTTGGGAAGCTGAGTTTGGAGGATCACTTGAACCTGGGAGGCAGAGGTTGCAGTGAGCCCAGATTGCACCACTACACTCTAGCCTGGGTGACAGAGTGAGACCCTATCTCAAAAAAAAAAAAAAAAAAAAAAAAAAAAAAAAAAGAAAGAAGAAAGAAAAAACCTTAATAATAATTATATAATTATAATTATAGTAAAAGTAGCAAGTAGCTTTTTCCTTTTTGCAAAATTAATTCTACCTTTCAGCATGTACAAAAGTACATTCTAGAAAGATTAAAGAAATAGATATAAACACCATAAAAATCATGGAAGAAACACATAATATTTTAATCTTGGGGATAAGAAAATCATCTCAAGCAAGAAACACTTGAGAAAAAAATAATTTTTGCTCACTAATCTCTAGGTTCATGGCTGAGGCCCCTATAACAAAATACAGATTCACAAGAGAAAATCATACACATATTATTTATACGTGGTATGGAAGCCTTCATAAGGAAAGGAAGACCTCCCCCAAATGCATAAATTTGTATATTCTTTATGCTAGGTTTGATGAAGAAATATGATTGAACAAAGGGAGAATGATATCATTGAGAGAGGAAGGAGGAAGAAACCAGTCAGGCAGGCAGTTATGGTGGGTCCTTGGTTGAATCTTTTCAAACAAAAGAACAGCCAGAAAAATCAAGCTGCAGGCACAGATAAGGGAACTTGCACAGCGGCACTTGCCTAAGACATGCCCACAGCCACACAGATAAGAAAGCCTACACAGGTGACTTGCCCAGACATGCCCGTAATGGAAAATTCCATCCCCTGACACATGTGCAGTAAGGGCAACAAAGCAATACGGAGTAACTCAAGCTAAGGGCCTACATGTGCATTAGGAGGATGGGGTGGAGCTACCAGAAATTCGCATCTCATGCAAATGAGATGCCCAGCTCTAACTGGTTTCTTATAAAAGCCTTTGCATTCAACTGTAAAAATGGCAACCCTCTTTTGGGCCCCTTTCTGTGGTGGAGAACTTTCTTCTTTTGCTTATTAAACTTCCACTCCAACCTCACCCTTGGTGATCATGTTCCTTAATTGTCATGGTTGTGAGACCGAGAACTCAGGGTGATACCTCAAACGAGAGACTGCTACATTGCGGTGCGTTGGTGAGACTGTAACATAATGTTAATAAACTGGGGAGAACTTAGGAAGCCGTTTGTTCAAACTCTTCTCTTTGTCCTTGTATCTTCAGAAATGAGGATGTTGCTATCTTCTGGGTATAGGGAGGGCACCTCTCACATGAGGGTCATAAGACCTACTTGAGGGGATGGTCAGGAAATCCTTCCTAGGTTTTATGATCTGTTTCAGGGGAGTAGAGCATTGTGGGGGAGGTAGTGAGCGTGACCTTCCTGCTTCTGCTGTCTTCTCAAATGCCAAGTTTTCACATTTTGGGGTAGCATGTCCTGAATTCCTTCAACATGAAACCCAGAGTTAGAAAAAGAAAAGATTGAGCAACTTAATTAGATAAAAGCAAAATATTAAGCAATGACAAAAGATATCATTAAAAATGTTGTTAAAAGGGAAAAAAAAAGAGGAAAAAAAAGAAAACAAACAAAATGTTGTTAAAAAGCCACAGTTTGGCTGGGTGCAGTGGCTTGCACCTGTAATCCCAGCGCTTTGAGAAGCCAAGCAGGAGGATCTCTTCAGTCCAGGAGCTCAAGACCAGCCTGGGCAACACAGTGAGACACCTGTCTCTACAACCCCCCCATCCCACTTCCCAATGCACACAAACAACAATTTGGCAGAAAATATTTGCAATGTGTAAGAAAAAATCAGAAAATACTTACACTTGAGCTAATTAATTGATGACAGAGATGATGGTTCTTAATCATTGAGAACCTCATTGAGGGTTTGTCATCTATCTCAGTATCATAATTTTTCTCACACATAATGACATAATTTGAACATGTTTTCATATTATTAAGTATGTTTCTAGAACCATAATTCTTAATAGTCCCACAGAAATTCACTATGCTGAGTGTGGTGTTGAATGCTGGGGTCACCACAGTGGAGCAGCCCTGGAGGAGAATGAGCAGGGTGCTTTCATCAGTGACCCTCCTCTATCCTTTCCAGTCAGTGACACAGGCTCTTGTCAATCAACGGTGGACAATCATTTATAAAGTGTCCCAAATGATTAACTTGCATGGGTTACCTGTGTCTGCTGTTCCAGAACTGATTCAATTTCTTCAAATCCTTTTCTCCTCCTCCTCCTCCTTCTCTGCTTCCTCCTCCTCCTTCTCCTCTTCCTCCTCCTCCTCCTCTTCTTTCCCTTTTTTAAGCTAAAGATGGAAAAGAGAGGCAGGAGGAAAACATGTGGTAGTACGAAACCAGTAAATGTGTGAAAACTCCATGACTAATATTCTCAAATTATAAGCAGCTTTCTCAATGAATATATATCTATCAGTATCTATATCTATATATAGATAAAGATATAAAATTCCTCGTATTAATAGATATTTTTATAAAATAACCAGAAACTGGGTTTGACTGGAAGTTAAATGTAATACTTCCTTTCTGATACCCTTAAATAATACTTTAATTCACAGGGAATATCAAATGAAAACTGTTTTAATAGTAGTTTCTTATTTATAGATTTTGAAAAAGTTTTTTTCCTGTTAGAGCAAGCATATTGCAATTTATTTAACAATTAAATGAATTAAAATATTTTGTTTGAGAAGTTCATGATTTCAAATGATTCTAATAAAATGCTAAATGTTTTACATTTGTAACATAAGTGAAAAGCAATGAAATTGCTATAGGAAAATTAAAACACATTCTAAAATACAATGTTTCAATGTTTTCATAAGTTTATGACCTAGTAATAAGTTCTGATTAAGAAGTAGAAAGCCCTTAAATGTGGAAAGAGGAAAAAAAATCCATTCAAAGCCTCACAGTTTTTAATATTCATTGTATGTTTTCAGTCATTTTTCCAAGCAGAAGTTCTTCCCTTTCATCCTTCATTATTATTATGTTACATATACAATGTGAATTTTTCATTTTTCATGTGACATAATATAATGGGTTTTTAACAGAATTGTCATTCTATGAGAAGGATCTTTCATCTAAAGAATGCACATTTATGATATAGTCCCTGTAACAGCAAGCAAAAACACCAGGCTTAAATAGATGTGTTTATAAATGAGTCCCGCTTCAAGTCCAAAGCCTTTTTGGAATTTAGGGAAGTTTGGATAACATTACTCATTTTAGCTTTCTTCCCAGTAGCAAAGAAAATGGCTTTTGGCAGCTGGGTGTGTGATATAATGCCAATCACCAGGGGCAATGCCTGATGATTAACTTAGAAAATCTTATTACTTTTGACTGATAAAAATGGAAATGGCTAGTTTCCAATTTATAAATATTTGGTTTATTATTGCATGGCAGACACAAAACAAATTTTGTGAGAAGGTACTATTTATGTCAACTACATCCTCCCAATAGGTTGGTGAACAGATGTCTTCTGTCTATAGATCAGTGATATTTCTAGCAGACATCCCTTAGAGTACAGGCAAATCTCAGGGTCATTGTACCTACAACCAATTCAAGCACTGAGCTGGGCACTCATATTTGTTCTTAACCTTGGTCAGGAGAGGACTCACTCACTCCATCATTCATTTCCCTTCAGTGAAGTCTAGCCTCCCTAGAGAAAGCCTGCTGTGAAAGGTGTGGCCCTCTCAAGTATCAGTTTGCAGATGACTTTATGTTGACACAATAAATAATGCACAGAAAATAAAATGAATGCTACTGACCTGAAGTATTTATCTATCTCTGGCACCTGAATTCCCTGCCCAGAAGTAGGAACCCTGACTGTATGAAGAATGAACAGCACACAGCACCACCATTTCAAAGCAAAACCCCCAGCGTGCACAGAACACTGCTTTGGATAAAAGATGGCAGCTGCAGAGCTGGAAGGGTAGCTGGTTGCCATGGTAACCGAGGCTCTGATTCAGCCACCATATGCCACCTGGTGTTCTCAGCCTGAAAAAGCAGGTCTGGGTGTCCTAGATTGGCGATAGAGCTATGGCCATAGCTCTTTCGAATCAGTACTGGGTTTGAATGTGCAGAAATGTTTGCATTGTTTTATTCATCTATAGAAGATTTTGGGGCTGACACCCTCATTACTTAAGGTAGAGGTTCATCTGGGGAAAGGAAAGAGAAATACTTTTAAAACAATCATTCTAATTCTTCCATGGAAACACTGCTATATGGATATTCATTTTCAAAGATCCATCTTTTGTTCTCTTTTGTTCTCTTTTTGTTCTCTTTTCAGGGCAAATTTGTTATCCAAATCTGATAGGATTTCCAAATCCTATATGATATCCAAATCATATAATATTGCAACAGCAACTAACTCAAAATGCTGGGCACGATGATTGCAGAACATGATATATCAATTATCAGCCATCTCTGATCTTTAGAACATTTTGTCTTCTTCTAAAAGTGCTGTATGGCAAATAACAGTGGTATGACCTTATGTTAACGTTGAATTGTGTCCAATTTTTTGCTTATATATAAATAATATGTAAATTTATATATATTTAAATATGTATATATGACATTCTATAAAATTGCTAAATGGAAAGAAATCTGTTATAAATTTGTAATAATAAGGTAGAGATTGAACACCCATTTGAGACTCCTTGAGAGTATTCCACAGTGAATGGGTAGTTGTTACACAGTAGTGACTAAATATACAATATGCTATGTTACGATAATATAAGAATTTTGGCCTTTATTGTATGTTTTGTGAACTTCATGTTTGATTTTTATATTTATGATAAAAATATCAACTAGTGTTGGATATTGCTGGTGATTCAACTTTGAGATAAACATTTCAGGTTATCCTTTTCTCCAATTTCTACAGCTATTAAAAAGCTGATTACTGATTTTTTTTTTTTTTTTTTTTGAGACGGAGCCGCACTCTGTTGCCAGGCTGGAGTGCAGTGGTATGATCTCAGCTCACTGCAACCTCCACCTCCCGGGTTGAAGCGATTCTCCTGCTTCAGCCTCCCAAGTAGCTGGGACTACAGGCGTGCGCCACCACACCCAACTAATTTTTGTATTTTTAGTAGAGACAGGGTTTCACCATGTTGGCCAGGATGGTCTCGATCTCTCACCTGGTGTTCCGCCCATCTCAGCCTCCCAAAGTGCTGGGATTACAGGCGTGAACCACCGCGCCCGGCCTGATTACTGATTTTATATTAATAATCTGAGCTTGCAAAATTGTTATTTTGATGTCATTTTTACCACTGCTGGGGAAACAATTATCAACGTAGTAAATAAAATGGTTTTAAATATAAGAATAAAATAGCTTTTACTCTTTACAACTGTTCCTGAATATTGTCAGAATTTTTTAGTACTGTGCAATTAAAAAAAGAAAAAAAGAAAAAATTCGCCAGGCATGGTGGCATGCACTTGTAGTCCCAGCTACTTGGGGCCCAAAGTGAGAGGGTTACTTGAGCCCAGGAAGTCAAGGCTGCAGTAAGCTGAGATCGTGCCACTGCACTCCAGCCTGGGTGACAGAACAAGACTGTCTCTAAAAAATAAAAGGTTAGAAAAAAAAAAAAAAAAAGGCGAGGTGTGGTGACTCACACCCATAATCCCAGCACTTTGAGAGGCCAACGTGGGCTGATCACCTGAGGTCAGAAGTTTGAGACCAGCCTGGCCAACATGGTGAAACCCCATCGCTACTAATAATACAAAACTTAGCTGGGTGTGGTGGTGGGTGCCTGTAATCCCAGCTACTCGGGAGTCTGAGGCAGGAGACTCGCTTGAACCTGAGAGGCGGAGGTTGCAGTGAGCCGAGATCACACCATCGCACTCCAGCCTGGGTGACAAGAGCAAAACTCCATCTCAAAAAAATAAAATAAATAAATATAAATAAATAAATAAATAAATTTGCTCTAGAGATTGCTATAACATTCAGTATCATTTTTAATTTTGGTGTTCTTCAAAACAGCCTCATTCTAATTAACTGACTTTATGATAAGTTGTAAATATATAAATTTGAATTTAAAATATGCATTATGTCAATTGAGAATAGGTTTTTTTTTTCTTTATTATTGGGGTCCCAAATACAATTCTTTTTCTTTCAGAATGGGTTCTGTTGCTATAAAGTCTGAAAATCACTAGACTTGATCATGTCAGGGACGTAGTCAAATAACTTTTTTATTCTTATCTTTTGTCAAGACGAGGTCTCTCTGTGTTGCCCAGGGTGGTCTCAAAGTCCTGCGCTCAGGGCATCCTCCTGCCCTGGCCTCCCAAAGTGCTGGGATTATAGGCATGAGCCACTGCACCTGGCCTCAAATACCTTTTTGAAGATAATTGACCTAGTCTCAGTAGACAAATCAGTGCAGGGAATGTCAGGGACTCTGGCCTCCCTCTGTCCAGGTGGAAATACTATTAGCTGCCACTACACACATACAGAATTCACAGAATATGCATGAGATAGAATGAGCTGGCACATATAAAGAAACTTTGCCCTACAAGAGCAAAATCCTGCGATAGGCCAGGATCCTGTTAGGCCTTGAGAAGAGGATGCTGACTGGCAAGAGAAATCACATATGCTGGCGGAAGCAGCCTCAGGTGCAGCTTCGTTCTCCTGGAGAAAGATCTGCTTTGCTTCCTGCACACTTGCCTATTTTTTCTGTTTCTTCATTCCTGAATGCATCCTAGGGACTGTGACCTCCTCTGTCTTATTTTTTATATTTGTTTTGTTTGCTTGGTGATCTCCTGAATACACTCCTAGTTTTGTCCCCCTGACCTAACCACTTGACATTTGGCCCTTGGCTCTTTAATGATTAACTCACCCATGATTACCAAAAATACTATTATTCCTACTACCTGAACCACAGCTGCTCCTCTTCTCACATCTCTATCATTTATTGAGCCTCTACTATGAGGGAGGTACTATGCCAGCTGCTTTGCTCTGATTTTCCCGATTTTTACAGAAACTCTTTGAGGTAGATATTATTCCCATTTTACCAGGGGGAAAGCTGAAGCTCAGAGACAGAGAGGTAAATTCAGTAGCGCAAAAGGTCACATGGTCGATGAATTTTAGAACACATTCAAATCCAAGTTGGCCTGTGTAAAAGACGCCACATTCTTTTTCTTTTTCTTTTTTTTTAAGTTAGTTCCTGCAAGCAGAATTTTGTTTTCTCTTTCTGCCTGCCGGACTTGGTCTGCATAGGTGCTAGCCACATTCTGGCATGAGGTTGCTTCTAGAATCTACCCAAGCTCTGAATGCCATCCCGTTTTAAGATGAAGTGTTTTTAGTCTGAAAATAACCAGAGACCCTGATATAAAATTTGTATTTACAGCTTTTAAATAGAATGGCTCTGTGTGTGTGTGTGTGTGTGTGTGTGTGTATGTATGTTTATATGTATGTATAATTAATGTCAAGTGGAATTTCAATATGTGTAGGATAACTCTTTATAGCATGGTTTCAAATCATTTCATCTGGGGAGATGAGAAAGAAAGAGTGAGTGCCTAGTGTATTTAGGAACTGCAGGTCCTGTGATAACAGAGCAAACGTAACAATATTAAACTGCATTCCAGGGAACACTTTAGAATTTGTTGTATAGGTACAATGTTGCACTCAACTTTTTTCACTTAACATTATACTATATGCATCTTTTCCATGTTTTAATTTTTATAGTTTTTGGGTTTTTTTGTTTGTTTGTTTGTTTTTTGAGATAGGGTCTAACTCCATTGCCCAGGCTGGAGTGCAGTGGCACAATCTCGGTTCATGGCAGCCTCCACCTCCTGGGCTCAAACAATCCTCCCACCCCAGCCTCCCGAGTAGCTGGGACTATAGGTGAGCACTACCACACCTGGCAAATTTTTAGTAGAGATGGGATTTTGCCATGTTGGCCAAGCTGATCTCTAACTCCCGGCCTCAAGTGATCCAGCCACCTCGGTCTCCCAAAGTGCTGGGATTACAGTCATGAACCACTGTGCCTGGCCTTAATCTTTATAGTTATAATTTCTAATTGTAATCATATAATTTCTGTGTTTCACTGCGACGATTTATCATAATTTTTTTTTCTTGAGCATTGAATAGCTTCCTAAGGTGTTATCTGCCTTCCCTCCCAAGAACATTTAAACTAAATGGGCAATAAGATTTTTTAAATGCCAACTTTATCAAGATATAATTCATATGATATACAAATCACCCATTTAAGGTGTACAATTCAATGATTTTTAGTTGCACAGAGTTGTGTGGCCATCATCATTATACATTTTAGAACATTTTAATCGCTTCTCAAACTCATACTAATTAGCAGTCACTCCCTGTTTCCCTGAATCTCTCTACACTAGGCTACCACTAATCTACTTTCTGTCTTTATGGATTTGCCTGTTCTGAATATTTCATGTTAATGGAATCATACAATGTGTAGTCTTTGTGACTGGTGTCTTAGCATAATGTTTTCAAGGTTCATCTATATTGTAGTATGCACCCAACTTTATTCCTTTTTATGGCTAATTAATATTTTATTGTATGACTATACCATATTTTGTTTATCCATTTATCCATCTAGGGACACTTGGGTTGTGTTATGGTCTCTGTGTACCTGTTCTTCCATTCACACACAGGCAGCAAGGCATGTAGCTGTGTTGCTTCTCTGTCTCCTGGTGATAAACCCACACAATATTCCACAAAAATGAACAATTGAAATAGGGACTTGGTCGGTAAAGATGAATGCAGAAAAAAAAAAAACCCAATGAATGATAATGCTAGATGTGAAATTTGAGTCCAACATAAATGGAGTTATAGATGAAATTGTTGACAGAATGTTGAATGCCTGACTACACAGGCAGTCAGGGGCATTTGGTGAAGGTGACTTTATTGACAAATTGAAGAAAAATATTTATAAGAAAAAGGATGAAGATCTTCCAGAGGAAGTGACAGCAGCAAAAAAACTTTGCATTAAAGGAATTCTCAGAGATATTTTATGACATTGAAAGCATGAAGGATAAAATGTTGGTGTCTGATTCAAACTTAGAAAAGAGTATGACAGTTCTTCAAAGCATAGAAAAGATGTTTGTATTGTATCATAAATTATATGAGAAAAAGGCAAAAACTTTTCAGACTACTCTTGATATATTTTTTACAAGGAAATAAAGCAGTTTAATTTTCAATGTTTCTAAAATTTTATAGTATGCTGATTAAATATTAGTTGTACTTTTTTCCCATTTCACTATACATTTATAATCAAGAAAAAGAAAGTTTTTAATGTTTCAACAAAAATTTAAACATCACAGACAGTTGTAACTTTCCCCATTGATTATTATGACTGTTTTGCATGGTTTTAGCTTGCAGCCTTTTTTTTTGCAGTCCCACACTATCATGCAAAGGGATGATTGCCTGTAGTTTATATAATGTTGCTTATTGGTATAAATTTATGTACATTTATCTTATTTAACATAATTTAATTTTTAAATTTTTTTTGTGTGTGTGTAGAGGTGGGGTCTCACTATGTTGCCAGAGCTGGTCTCAAACTCTTGACCTCAAGAGATCCTCCTGCCTTGGCCTCCCAAAGTGCTGGGATTACAAGCATGAGCCACTGTGCCTAGTCAATTTAAAATTATTAACCCTTTTCTTATCAAATTTTTTGTTTGTTTGTTTTTGAGACGGAGTCTTGCTCTGTCGCCGAGGCTGGAGTGCAGTGGCGCAGTCTCGGCTCACTGCAAGCTCCGCCTCCCAGGTTCACGCCATTCTCCTGCCTCAGCCTCCTGAGTAGCTGGGACTACAGGCGCCTGCCACCACGCGCAGCTAATTTTTTGTATTTTTAGTAGAGACGGGGTTTCACTGTGTTAGCCAAGATGGTCTCGATCTCCTGACCTCGTGATCCGCCCGCCTCGGCCTCCCAAAGTGCTGGGATTACAGGCGTGAGCCACCGCGCCCGGCCTTTCTTATCAAATTTTAAGCTCCTATGTTGTGCCTGGCCCATAGAACCTGCTTAATTTTATATATATATCATTTTTCCCCTGAATACCTCCTTTCATTATGTTTATATTTGGTTTTTTTTTTTTTTTTTTTTTTTTGAGACGGAGTCTCGCTCTGTCGCCCAGGCTGGAGTGCAGTGGCGGGATCTCGGCTCACTGCAAGCTCCGCCTCCCGGGTTCACGCCATTCTCCTGCCTCAGCCTCCCAAGTAGCTGGGACTACAGGCGCCCGCCACTACGCCCGGCTAATTTTTTGTATTTTTAGTAGAGACGGGGTTTCACCGTTTTAGCCGGGATGGTCTCGATCTCCTGACCTCGTGATCTGCCATATTTGTTTATATTTGCTTCTGGATACAGCCTTGACCTTATACATCAGTAAAGTAAATTTTTAACATTTTTCCAATTTTTAAACAATACTGTAAACATTCTGCTCACTGTGTGTGTGTAAAATAAAATAAGAATAGTTTGAATCTAAATTTCCTTTTTTTTCCCCTGATACTCTGGTCAACTAAAGAAAAATCAGACTTTTAAAGAATTAAAGTTACAGTTTTATTTAGAGTTACTGAGCATTGCAATGTGGGAGAGTCTTTCAGAGTTTCAGTTAGACTGCTCAAAGCTGTATTTCAGTCCACAGTTTATATAGCAAGTGGTAGAGGTTCTGCATGTGCTCATGAGTGAAGTCAAATGTGCTCAGAAGTTACATTAGGGCAACATCTCAGCAAAGTTTGGGTGCAAGAGTACATCTGGTTATAGATGACAGAGGCAGAATCATTAATCCTGTCAGATGTTATCTTATGAACAGGCAAGTGCCAGGATTATTGAACTTATCTTTTCTCAAAATGCAGTGATTCAGGCAAGAGACGTGGGAACCTATGCTCTGTCCTGCTTATTGTCTCCAAGGTATTCTTCTGGAGGGCTGCACATAGTCACGGAGTCAGGGGTTTATGAAATGTTGCAGACACGCAGGATGAGCAAACATGGGCTGACCACATGACAAGGGCTGACTATGTGGCTGGCCAGAGGCAGACATTTCCTTGATTAGTTCTAATTGTTTGGCCTTTGGTTTTTAAATTTAGACCTTTAATTCATCTGAAAATATTTTTGCATCTGCCGTACAATATAGTCATAACTTTATTTTTTATTTTATTTTATTTATTTTGAGACAGAGTCTTGCTCTGTTGCCCAGGCTGGAGTGCAGTGGCGTGATCTGGGCTCACTGCAACCTTCACCTCCCAGGTTCAAGCCATCCATGCCTAAGCCTCCCGAGTAGCTGGGATATAGGTGCGCACCACCAAGCCAGGCTATTTTTTTTTGTATTTTTAGTAGAGACAGGGTTTCACCATGTTGCCAAGGCTGGTCTCAAACTCCTGGCCTCAGGTGATCCACCCGCCATGGCCTCCTAAAGTGCTGGGATTACAGGTGGGAGCCACTGCACCCAGCCTACTTTATATATTTTTTTAAATGGCGATCCAGTTGTCCCAATGCCATTTTCATTCAAGGGGCCATCCTTTCCTCACTGACTGTAAGTGCCCCAATTATCATACATTTCTTTCCCATTTGTACATGGGTCTATTTCCAACTCTGGAAGGACTCTGGAAGGAAAACAATGACCAATCACCTATCACTGTCTGATAATTGAAAATTCAAGATACTGAGATTTAAAAAAAGAAACTATTATATATAAAAAGGCAATTTAGAATGACCTCTAGCTACAAGGTGAATAGTAAAAGATCAATAGCTTTTCTTTATAATGACATCCCCGTTAGAAATAGAAATTTAAAAAATTTACAGCAGCAACAAATCTATAAATTACCCAAAGCTAAATTAAGCAAGAAAGGCAGAACACTTATGTGAGGAAAACTGTGCAATTTTACTGAAGGACATAAAACAAGAGCTGAACACAGATACATACCATGTTTCTAGATGGAAAGATTTACTATGAAAAAGCTGTTCACGTTTCTCAAAATAATGTATTAATTCTATGCAATTCCAAAGAGAATCCCCATGCAGCATTTGGGAGGGGATCTTGAAAAGTTTCCATTTTCGTCTTAAGGGATAAAAAGTGGTAATTATACCAACAATGTTTTGAAAAAGAATAATAGTGAGGGAGGACCTAATAGATACTAAACTATATTCTAAAGCAACACTAATTAGTATTTTTGGTAGGGGAATGTGTCAAATATATCAGAGGAATCAAAATAACCCAGAAATAGACCTATGTACAAATGGGAGTGAAATGTATGATAAATGGGCCATTTACAATCAGTGAGGAAAGGATGGCCCCTTGAGTAAAAATGGTATTGGGGCCGGGCACGTGGCTCATGCCTGTGATCCCAGCACTTCGGGAGGGTGAGGTGGGTGGATCACCTGAGGTCAGGAGTTTGAGACCAGCCTGGCCAACATGGCGAAACCCTGTCTCTACTGAAAATACAAAAATTAGCTGGGCATGGTGGCGCGTGCCTGTAATCCCAGCTACTTGGGAGGCTGAGACAGGAGAATCGCTTGAACCCGGGAGGTGGAGGGTGCAGTGAGGTGAGATCACGCCACTGCACTCCAGCCTGGGCAACAAGAGCGAAATTCTGTCTCAAAAGAAAAAAAAATGGCATTGGGACAGCTGGATCTCTATTTAAAAAATATAGTTATGACTATATTGCATAGCAGATGCAAAAATATTTTCAGATGAATTAAGGGTCTAAATTTAAAAACAAAAAGCCAAACAATTAGAACTAATCAGAAAAAATAGAGGCCATATATATATAATTTTAGAATAGCATAGAAAAGCCAGAATGTCTAAAAAAAGCCTCTAACAGATCTGACTAGATAATATTTTATTATGTATATATATTTCTTGGTTGGACTTCATGTACAGAGGGCTGAGTTAATCATATGCTTTAGTTTATGTCACATTATTATTATTATTTTGGTACTTTTGGCATTTTAATTTTATTTTTAGAGACAGTGTCTCACCCCATTACCCAGGCTGGAGTGCAGTGGTGCGATCATATCTCACTGCAGCCTTGAACACCTGGACTCAAGGGATCCTCCTACCTCAGCCTCCTGAGTAGCTGGGACTACAGGTGTGTGCCAGCACACCCAGCTAACTTAAAAAAAAATTTTGTTGTTGAGGTTTCACTACATTTTCCTAGCTGGTCTTGAGTTCCTGGCCTCAAGTGATCCTCCTGCCTCAGCCTCCCAAAAGTGCTGGGATTACAAGTGGGATTACTTTTGGGTTAAGTAAATATTTTTGTGATCCCATGTATCTCCACTATTGATTTATTAGCTATACTTGTTTTTTGAAAAAAATGACTGTGGTTAGGTACAATGACTCACGCCTGTAATCTCAGTTCTTTGGGAGCCAAAGCAGGAAGATTGTTTGAGCCCAGGAGTTTGAGACCAGCCTGGGAAACATAGTAAGACCTCTTGTCTACCAAAAAAAAAAAATTAGTTAGGTGTGGTGGAACGTGCCTCAGGAGATGAGGTGGGAGGATTGTTTGAGCCCAGAGGTCAAGGCTATAGTGAGTTGTGATCATTCCACTGCACTAAAAGATTGTTCCAGAGTTTCCCCTGTGCATATTTAACTTAAAACAGGCTATCATCAAACAACTTCACATTCATTGTTAAAAATCTTATTGCAATATACTTCTACTTCTCCATTTGGAAAGCTAGTTGGCAGCTAGTAGAGGGGTCAGCCTGGACATTTTGTCCTTGAGAAGGCTGACCTGTAGTCAGAATTTCATAAGTTTGTGGCTTTTCCAGATGGCTTTGGGAATTTTACTCGTGGTGTGCATGCCATGTGGTCTCTAGTATAACGTCTGTCAGGTCCTTCTGTGAGCATCTCTTCCTCAGCTGGGCCAGGGCTGTGCTACTTTCCTCATAGGAATTTCTCAATTCCTCCATTTTGGTCAAACAAGCTCCAAGTGGAACAGGTTTGGCCATGAGGAGTCAGTCTCTTCCTTTTTTTTTTTTTTTTTTTTTTTTGAGACAGAGTCTCACTCTGTCTCCCAGGCTGGAGTGCAGCGGCATGATCTTGGCTCACTGCAAGCTCCATCTCCCAGGTTCAAGCAGTTCTCCTACCTCAGCCTCCTGAGTAACTGGGACTACAGGCGCCTGCCACCACGCCTGGCTAATTTTTGTATTCTTAGTAGAGACGGGGTTTCGCCATGTTGGCCAGGCTGGTCTCAAACTCCTGACCTCAAGTGATCTGCCCGCCTTGGCCTCCCAAAGTGCTGACATTACAGGTGTGAGCCACTGCACCCGGCCTAGTCTCTTCTTGACACAGCCTTGACACAGTTTCATCAATTGTCAATTTTATCAATTGTCAATGGTGTGTGTAGCAACATGTTAGCACCTGGCTCTTAGGCAATGGAGGAGGGAGCAAATATTATGAGAAACATTGGGAATTTATGGCTTATCAAAGAGAGTAGTTTCCCCAAGTTTAGTTCAATAAGCTGCTGTGTGTGTGTGTGTCTGTGTGTGTGTGTCTTAATTGAGTATTTTAACTGTTATTTGGTTGATCAGAGGTAAATTATGGGTCATACATTCTGGTTTTGAAACATCTTGCCACAGTAGAATCTTTCTTAGAAACCAGTGAAATTCAGCATCTTAGCTCCCTTTTGACAACCTTTGACATCAGGCTTTATTTTAAATACTTCAAAAGTCTAGAAAACAAATTCAACAGTTGGGAATGGATAGTGGTTCAGATGCCAGAAGGATTAGCATGAAAGGAAAAATGGAAAAAAAAAGAAGATGCAATAAATAGTAAGACCTGAGTTCAAGTGTAAATCCCTTACCCTGATCATAAATCTTGATTCAAAGACCTTGGCAGGACTTTGTCTACACTGGATGTCATCTTGAGTCACACGATCTTAAATCACAGAATTCACAGATGTTGTCTGCATTGGCAGTGGTCTGTTTCTGGGGCTTTTAAGTGGGTTCCAGGGTCAGATTTCCAGCAAGTTTGTATGTGAAAGTTACATAACTTTTTTCTTTTTATCATTTTCTTCCAGACTAACCTCTTGGTAGATACGAGGTTGTAGAATCTTAAGTTCTTCTCCTCTTCCTCCTCCCCGCCTTCCTCTTCCTCCTCCTTCTCTTCTTCTTATAAAATATATATAACATGAAATTTATTGTTTTTTTTGTTTTGTTTTGAGACAAAGTCTTGCTCTGTCGCCAGGCTGGAGTGTAGTGATGTGATCTCAGCTCACCGCAACCTCCACCTCCCAGATTCAAGCGATTTTCCTGCCTCAGCCTCCTGAGTAGCTGGGACTATAGACATGCGCCACGATGCCCAGCTAATTTTTGTATTTTTAGCAGAGACGGGGTTTCACCATGTTGGCCAGGATGGTCTTGATCTCTTCACCTTGTGATCTGCCCGCCTCAGCCTCCCAAAGTGCTGGGATTACAGGCGTGAGCCACCACACCTGGCCGAAATTTATTGTTTTAACCTTTTTTCAGCATAAGTTCAGTGGCATTAAGTACATTCACATTGTTGTGCAACCATATCACCATTCATTTCTAGAACATTTTCATCTTCCCCAACTGAAACATCATACCCATTGAACAATAACTCTCATTCCTTCTTCCCTCCAGTCCTTGGCAACCAACATTTTACTTCCTGTTTCTACGAATTTGACTGCCCTAGGAACCTCCAATCAGTAGAATCCTATAGTGTTTGCCTTTTTGGGACTGGTTTATTTCACTTATTGTACTGTCTTCAAGGTTCATCCAGATTGAAGTCTTCTCACATATAATTAAGTATATATGAGTTAAATAATATGATAACCAATGAGGTCAGAATGTACAAGGCAGAATCTTTCAGTACAAGTCTTAAGCAAAATCTTCAGGGAATTTTAGTAACAATTTCATATAGGGAGGGTTTATAGAGATAGGGTAAAGCTCTCCTT
This sequence comes from Homo sapiens, assembly GCF_000001405.40. Lineage (NCBI taxonomy): Eukaryota > Metazoa > Chordata > Mammalia > Primates > Hominidae > Homo > Homo sapiens. The sequence continues at coordinate 138,149,807 of NC_000007.14, read as the reverse complement.
ATCATTCAGGCTCGTGGTAACACTTTCAGCCAAGGAAAAGTAAGCTCCTTTAAAAGCTGGCAGTATTGACTTTAAAATATCATTAGCTTACCTTTTTCGTAGAGCTTTAAGGATAATGTGGACAAAATGTTTCAAATTAATGTGAATACTTTGCATACATTAAAAAAATTTTTGCTGGTAAAGTGAGCTTTCATTATTATTGATGATTGAAGATATTTCCAGACAGGAAAATAAAATCTGTATGTCTTTGTATCAGCCTGTTAGTCTTTGGCAAGGGGTTGTTTCAATTTGGCCAGAGTATTTTTTAAAATAAATAATTATTAAGGATGGGAGTGGTGACTCATGCCTGTAATCCCAGCACTTTCGGAGACGGAGGTGGGAAGATCTCTTGAGGACAGGAGTTTGAGACCAGCCTGGCCAACATGGCAAAATCCCATCTCTACTAAAAATACAAAAATTAGCCAGGTGTAGGAGCACACACCTGTAGTCCCAGCTACTTGGAAGGCTGAGGCAGGAGAATCGCTTGAACCTGGGAGGTGGAGGTTGCAGTGAGCCGAGACAGTGCTACTGCACTCCAGCCTGGGTGACAGAGTGAGAGTCTGTCTAAAAGAAACAACAACAACAAAACACCAACAGTTAATACATATTGAGTGCTTACACGCATTGTCTCAGTCCTCTCAAGAGCCTTATGAAGTATTAGACACTGCACCTGGCCTATTCTGTAATTTTTGTAAAAATATGAGACAAATATAAATTAAAATGATGTTTAGTGACCAGTGTTTTATATCTTTATCTTAAAAATTTTCCAGGGGCCGGGGGCAGTGGCTCGTGCCTGTAATCCCAGCACTTTGGGAGGCCAAGGGGGATGGATCGCTTGAGGCCAAGAGTTCAAGACCAGCCTGGCCAACATGGCAAAAACCCATTTCTACTAAAATACAAAAATTAGCTGGGTGTGGTGGTGCGGGTCTATAGTCCTGGCTACTCGGGAGGCTGAGGCAGGAGAATCGCTTGAACCCAGGAGGCAGAGGTTGCAGTGAGCTGAGATCATGCCACTGCACTCCAGTCTGGGCAACAGCGAGACTCTGTATGAAAAAAAAAATTCAGGTATATGAAGATACTTCACAGTTAATTTAATATCAGCTTAAGGTCTAAAAACTAAGGACTTGGAAATTACAATCTATGCTGACACATTAAATCTGTATGATTTAAAGCCTTGTAATAATCCCTTTGATAAAGAATTATGTATTATAATTTAGTTTGACACATAATTTTAATATTTTATAATCTCATCTGAATTAGCTTATTTGACGAGTAAAATCAGTAGAGGAAATTCATAAAACTCAAATTAATTAGGCTTTATATTAGAAAATAAACCCAAGACTTGTTAAAATAAGAAATTATGGTAAATAATTTTATACTGGTAAAATCTGAGAAAAGACAGCTATTTCTAAGCTAAAAGTATTAAGCCAGTTTAATTGAATAACGAATCCTCGATTAGGATTATTATATAAAACTTTTCCCATTATAACTATATATTAGTTATGATAATTTTTAAGTTGTTTAGACAATTTGGCTCATGCCTGTAGTCCCAGCATTTTGGGAGGCTGAGGCAGGAGAATTTCTTGAGGCCAGGAGTTTGAGGCCAGCCTGGGCAACATAGTGACATCTCTATTAAAAAAATTGTTGCTGTTATCGCATTTCCTAGTAATCAAGGCCATTGGTTAAACTTACAGGTAACTTCTTAAAAACATTTTTTTCTGTTACCACCTTAGCAAGATTTTTTTTTTCTGAGATACCTTTAAAGTACAAAAAGAAAGAAAAAAACTCTAGAAATCTTTGAGTTCCTCTTCATATTTATATTAACATTTGATATATTAACACCATGTCTATTGGATAATTGGAATAATAACTTGCTTCATTAAATTTAAAAAAATCTTACAATCTGGTTTATTAATTTTCATAGAGGTAGATAAGGTATATATGTTTGCTTAAAAAACTATAAAATGGAACATTTTACCAACTCTTGTGCAAGCTGGAATTGCAATGGCTATGAAGCAGAGACTAACGTGGAAGCAGAGGTGTCAGGATCTATGAGGAATATCGATCAGTTAAAGTAGGGGTCCCCAGCCCTGGGGCCACGGACCGGTATTGGTTAGGAACTGGGCTGCACAGGAGTGAAGCGTCATCTGTATTTACAGTTGTTCCCTATGGCTCCCACTACCGCCTGAACTCCGCCTCTTGTCAGATCAGCAGTAGCATTAGATTCTCATAGGAGCACGAACCCTGTTGTGAACTGCACATTCAAGAGATCTCTGTTGCATGCTCCTTATGAGAATCTAATGCCTGAGGATCTGTCACTGCCTCCCATTGTGTCGGGAGTTGGTGGGTTCTTGGTCTCACTGACTTCAAGAATGAAGCCGCGGACCCTCGCGGTGAGTGTTACAGTTCTTAAAGGCAGTGTATCCGGAGTTTGTTCCTTTTGATGTTCGGATGTGTTCGGAGTTTATTCCTTCTGGTGGGTTCGTGGTTTCGCTGGCTCAGGAGTGAAGCTGCCGACCTTCGTGGTGAGTGTTACACCTCTTAAGGCGGCGCATCTGGAGTTGTTTGTTCCTCCCGGTGGGTTTGTGGTCTCGCTGGCTTCAGGAGTGAAGCTGCAGATCTTCGCGGTGAGTGTTACAGCTCATAAAGGCAGTGTGGACCCAAAGAGTGAGCAGCAGCAAGATTTATTGCAAAGAGCGAAAGAACAAAGTTTCCACAGTGTGGAAGGGGACCCGAGCCGGTTGCCACTCCTGGCTCCGGCAGCCTGCTTTTATTCTCTTATCTGGCCCTATCCACACCCTGCTGATTGGTAGAGCCGAGTGGTCTGTTTTGACAGGGCGCTGGTTGGTGTGTTTACAATCCCTGAGCTAGACACAAAGGTTCTCCACGTCCCCACCAGATTAGCTAGATACAGAGTGTTGAATGGTGCATTCACAAACCCTGAGCTAGACACAGGGTGCTGATTGGTGTGTTTACAAACCTTGAGCTAGATACAGAGTGCCAATTGGTGTATTTACAATCCCTGAGCTAGACATAAAGGTTCTCCAAGTCCCCACCAGAGTAGCCAGATACAGAGTGTGGATTGGTGCATTCACAAACCCTGAGCTAGACACAGGGTGCTGATTGGTGTGTTTACAATCCCTTAGCTAGACATGAAGGTTCTCCAAGTTCCCATTATATTCAGGAGCCCAGCTGGCTTCACCCAGTGGATCTCGCACTGGGGCTGCAGGTGGAGCTGCCTGCCAGTCCCGTGCTGTGCGCCCACACTCCTCAGCCCTTGGGTGGTCGATGGCACTGGGCACCGTGGAGCAGGGGGTGGCGCTCGCCGGGGAGGCTCAGGCAGCACAGGAGCCCACAGAGTTGGGGGGAGGCTCAGGCAGGGCGGGCTGCAGGTCCCGAGCCCTGCCCCGCGGGAAGGCAGCTAAGGCCCAGCGAGAAATTGAGCACAGCAGCTGCTGGCCCAGGTGCTAAGCCCCTCACTGCCCGGGGCTGGTGGGGCCAGCTGGCCGCTCCGAGTGAGGGGTCCGCCCAGCCCACGCCCACCCGGAACTCGCGCTGGCCCGCAAGCACCGCGCGCAGCCCCAGTTCCCGCCCGCGCCTCTCCCTCCACACCTCCCAGCAAGCTGAGGGAGCCGGCTCCGGCCTTGGCCAGCCCGGAAAGGGGCTCCCACAGTGCAGCGGCGGGCTGAAGGGCCTCCTCGAGTGCCACCGAAGTGGGAGCCCAGGCAGAGGAGGCGCCTAGAGCGAGCAAGGGCTGTGAGGACTGCCAGCACGCTGTCACCTCTCACCATCACCCCCCCCCGGATGAAACTGTCTAGTTGCAGGAACACAAGCTCAGGGCTCCCACTGATTCTACATTATGGTGAGTTGTGTAATTATTTAATTATATAGTACAATGTAATAATAGAGATAAAGTGCACAATCAATGTAATGTGCTTGAATCATCCCGAAACCATCCTCCACGCCCCCCTCCACCAGCCCCCGCTTCACCCCCGTGCATGGAAACATTGTCTTCTAATAAACCAGTCCCTGGTGCCAAAAAGGTTGCGGACCACTGAATTAAAGAAACAAAGATGGCCGGCGCGGTGGCTCACACCTGTAATGCCAGCACTTCGGAAGACTGACGCGGGCGGATTCACCTGAGTTCAAGACCAGCCTGGCCAACATGGCGAAACCTCGTCTCTACTAAAAATACAAAAATTAGCTGGGCCTGGTGGTGGGCGCCTGTAATTCCAGCTACTCGGGAGGCTGAGGCAGGACAATCGCTTGAACCCGGAAGGCAGAGATTGCAAGGAGCCGAGATCTCGCCACTGCACTCCAGCCTGGGAGACAGACTGAGACTCTATCTCCAAAAAAATAAAAAGAAAAAAAGACATAATTATGAACCACTAGGACCCTTGGGGGAATCATTATTAAAATCTAAGTAATTTTATTATTTCCTTCCAAATATAGCAGCATAATCTCTGTTTCTCTCTGTTTTTCAATTTCCATGTCTCTTATAATAAGACAGTCTCCTGTGTTTACTCCCTTGGGTAGGGCAACACTAAAAGAAAACGGCCCAGATGATTGCAATGTGAATAATGGTATGCTCTGTTGCTGGGGTAGCTACTGCTATGCTACTGCTTAGCTATGTTACAGCTCCGCAGCTGTTACCCCATTAGGTAACAGAAAGACTCAAACCTCATGAGACACTGGAAGGAGATGAGGAATTGCCTCATTACAGCCTCCTTGACAGATAGAAAAGTGAGTGAGAATGGCCCCAAGCATCTCCTCAAAAGCCTCCCATGTGCTCAAGGTTCAGAAGGATGCAGGATGTTTGGCCGAGGCTCAGATTAGCTGCAGTTCAAACTTGGCTCATGTGGTCTATGGATATATGCAAGGTCACCATGAGCCAACAAGGGGCCATTATTTTACATTACGTAAAATCTGTCTTCAGGAGCTTACTCCAAAGGATGTATGTGTGAGGCATTCCAAAGGTGTCTAACACCAGTCTCCAGTTCAAAGAGCATAGAAATAGAGGTGGAAATTGATGGTGCTAATTATCAGGTACAGCTTTGACTGATGACACCTGTGCATAAGGGTCATCCGTTCATGCCACACATCTGTGAAGAATGATCCTAGAATTTTTTGGTTGTGATCAGTGATTTTTTTTTGAAATGGAGTCTTGCTTTGTTGCCCAGGCTGGGGTACAGTGGTGTGTTCTTGGCTCACTGCAACCTCTGCCTCCCAGGTTCAAGTGATTCTCCTGCCTCAGCCTCCCAAGTAGCTAGGATTACGGGCATGCACCACCACACCTGGCTAATTTTTGTATTTTTAGTAGAGACGGGGTTTCACCATGTTGGCCAGGCTGGTCTTGAACTCCTGACCTCAGGTGATCCACACCCCCATCCACCTCCCAGAGTGCTGGGATTACAGGCATGAGCCACTGCGCCTGGCCATGATCAGTGTATTTGGAGCCTTGTTATTTTCTGTTCTGCCTTTTGAACTCTTAGTTGCCCAAGGCCATTTTGGACAAAACTCTGTTGTGATCTTCTTTGCAGTTGGCTGGTGTAATCTATGTGCTGCAATTGTTTCTCAGCTTTCCACAGTTGACTCTGGTGTTTAACATTTCCTTTCAGAGTCTCCTTTCCCAGAAGGCAGGTGGACTTAGCAAGAGGAGATAACTAGTTTTAGGGTTTCCAGGACAATTGTTGGGCTGTTCATGTCATTGGCTTCTTTGCCTTCCTCAGGGAGATGTTAGGAGGTAATATTTATACATAACACAATCATAGTGTATCTGACCTTACATAACCCAAGAGATCCTTTTAATACTGATATGCCTTCCTGTTTCCTCCTTCCATTGTCTCATCTCTCCCCCATCCCCAGCTTCATCCTGGAAGTAAATGCCAGAATCAGCTTCACTCTTTCCTTTTTATCTCCTGCCTTTTGTGTGATTCTTATTTATTTATTTGTTTGTTTGTTTGTTTGTTTTTTTATTTACTGGAGACAGAGTCTGACTCTGTCACCCAGGCTGGAAGTGCAGCAATGATCGTAGCTCCCTGAAGCCTCAAACTCCTCTGCTCAAGAGATCCTCCTGCCTCGGCCTTCCAAAGCGCTGGGATTATAGGTGTGCGCCATTGAGCCTGGCTTGTGTGGTTCTTTGAAGTCACCCCAGGCAGTGTTTTGCTTCTCTCTCTAGTCTCAATACTTGTGTTACCTGCCCTTTTCAGGTACAGTATTCACTTTGATTAGAAAGAAGTGGATTCCAACCAGAAGAACAAATGTGGCTATTAGTAGATCCTTGGAACTCTGTGTGTATAGCAAGGAATAGCGCTGGTGGAGTGCGAGGTCATTGGTGTAACTTTTTGAAGTGCAGGTCTTTAATGAATTATCTGCTGATTCCCTAAAAGCTTCTGCTTTTTAAATTTTTAATTGACTCCAAGGTTGGAACATGTCTAAAATTGCTCTTGTCTTTGCAGAAGCTGTTCACTGCAAGTGCTTTGGATTGCAGTTTACTCTTATTTTGTTGTCAATCCAATCTCTTGTGCTTTCTGTTTTTGAGAGTTTTAAGTTCACCGATAGTATGCTTTCTTTATTCTAAAGGTGATATGAATTTGGTCTTTAAATTGACTTTCTGCATAGTTATTTTTAAAAATTGGGAACAGGAAGGAAAGTAGATAACCAGCTTAATCTGATGTCTTATTGCTTCCATCTTAATAGCAGTCTGTTATTTATCAGAGCAATTTTCTCTTGGCTTATACTGAAGACATAATTTATAATTTGTAATTTCTGTTTCCTGCATGAACTCATTTTCACTGGGACTCATTTGTCCATGTGCTTCAAATGCAAACATTGAAAGCATGAAATCCATTATCAGTTTAATAATCTGAGAACAGATAAAATACATAAAAATAGGTGAATTATAATGGATGGGCTGTTTACTTTAAGTGCTATAGAAATAAACCTAAAAGGATTAGTTTTCAGTTGTATGCAATGAGCTGAAAGCATGGCATTAGGAACCAGTACCCTTTAGCATCTATCAAGAAAGAGTCTTGTGTTAACAGGCTTCCTCAGCCCCAGTTCTATTGACATTTGAGGCCAGATAATTATTTGCTGTGGGAAGTTATCCTGTGCATTGTAGGATGTTTAACAGTATCCCTATCCTCTACCTATTAGATGCTAATGCCACCTCTGTGTCCCCCACCCTAGTTGTGACAACCAAAAATATGTGTAGACATTGCCAAACGTCCCCTGAGGGAGCGTGGGACAAAATTAACCACAGTTAAAAATCTGGCCAGGCGCAGTGGCTCACGCCTGTAATCCCAGCACTTTGGGAGGCCGAGGCGGGCGGATCACCTGAGGTCAGGAGTTTGAGACCAGCCTGGCCAACATAGTGAAACTCCATCTCTACTAGAAATACAAAAATTAGCCAGGCGTGGTGGTGCATGCCAGTAATCCCAGCTACTCGGGAGGCTGAGGCAGGAGAATCTCTTGAACCAGGGAGGTGGAGGTTGCAGTGGGTTAAGATCGTGCCACTGCACTCCAGCCTGGGTGATGGAGCAAGACTCTGTCTCAAAAAATAATAATAATAATAATAAAACAAAAAAAAAATCGCTACGGTAAAGGAATGAAACCACTCACTCAAAACAACTTTTCCAATATTAGATGATAAAAATCTATAACACATGACTGTATGTCCATTACATCTAACCCAGTACTTTAGAATAATCTTGTCACAATCTCATGAAATATTAAAAACATTGATTGATGATATTATCTGAGCTCAGCATGATGAAAAATAAAATATCCAAGATAGAAGATAAAGCTCTACATCAGAAATTAAAATAAATAAGAACTCTCATGAACAACTGTTAATCAAAGAAGAAACCAAAATCAAATTTCAGAATGTCTAGAAAATAACAAAATTGAAAACATTACATTTATAAGATCTTAACCAAAACAGTACGTAGAGAAACATTTATTGTATTCAATGTTTATATTACTAAATGAGAAGAAAAACCAAAAAAAGAATGAAATAGGTATTCAACCTAAGAAGTTAGAAATTTATCGACAAGCTAAGAAAAACCAACAAAAGATATCAGTAAAAGAAGACAGAAAACAAACAAACAAAAAACAGTAGAACAAATCAATACATTTTCTTTTCCTTTGGGAAATTTGCTCTAAGTAAAATCCAGAAAAGAAGCAAAAATAACTCGATACACCACTAATTGATTAGTAGAAAAAGGAATAAAACCATAAATACGTATATCACTCATCTGTCACTTATATCTTCAACACAAAGGTTAAAAGAAATGAACATTAAAAATAACTATAATGCTGAGCATGGTGGCTCACACCTGTGATCCCAGAGCTTTGGGAGGCTGAGGCAGGAGGATCTCTTGAGGCCAGGAGTTCAAGGTTATAGTGAGCTATGATTGAGCCACTGCAGTCCAGCCTGAATGACAGCAAGACCCTGTCTCTAAAAAAAAAAAAAAAAAAAAAAAAAAAAACACAAAACAAAAAAACTGTAACTACAATAATTTGTTAATGGATTCACAATATAAAAAGATGTATCAAGGCTGGGTGCAGGGGCTCACGCCAGTAATCTCAGCACTTTGGGAGGCCAAGGTGGGCAGATTGCTTGAGCTCAGGAGTTTGAGACCAGCCTGGGAAACATGGCGAAACCCCGTCTCTACAAAAAATAACAAAAATTAGCTGGGCGTGGTGGTGGGTGCCAGTAGTCCCAGCTACTCAGGAGACTGAGGTAGGAGGATGGCTTAAGCTCAGTAGGCAAAGGTTGTAGTGAGCCGAGGTTGCACCACTGCACTCCAGACTGGGTGACAGAGCCAGATCCTGTCTCAAAAAAAAAAAAAAAAAAAAAAAAAAGATGTATCAAAACATCATGTCATACACTATAAATATGTATAATTTTTATTTGTCAATTAAAAATAAATTTAAAAAATTACAGACATATGTATTTATTTTTCATTTGTTCAGGCATTCCACAACCAAGTATTACATTTCTACTGTGTTTATGTAAGTGTTGCTGAAAAAAAACACAGAGTCTCCATTTTTACAAGTGAAAAATTGGTGTATTACTTGCCCTTCCTATTGTGTAATGTGATCAAAAGTGCTCTGTAAAACCTGGCCAAACATAATGTGGATTTTTTTAAATGGATAAATAGGTATGTTCTGGGTATAGTGGCTCATCCGTGTAATCTCAGCACTTTGAGAGGCCAAAACAGGAGGATCCCTTGAGACCGGGAGTTTGAGACTACCCTGGTCAATAGAGTGAGACTCTATCTTTACAAAAAATTTAAAAATTAGCCAGATATTGACTGGGCACGGTGGCTTACACCTATAATCCCAGCACTTTGGGAGCCCGAGGCGGGCAGATCGCCTGAGGTCAGGAGTTCGAGACCAGCCTGGCCAACATGGTGAAACCCTGTCTCTACTAAAAAATACAAAAATTAGCTGGACGTGGTAGCAGGCACCTGTAATCCCAGCTATTTGGGAGGCTGAGGCAGGAGAATCGCTTGAACCTGGGAGGCGGAGGTTGCAGTGAGCCGAGATCATGCCATTGCACTCCAGCCTGGGCAACAAGAGTGAGACTTTGTTACCGCCTCCCGCCCTCAAAAAAAAAATTAGCCAGATATTGTGGTGTGTAACTGAAGTCCTGCTATTTGGGATGCTGAGGTAGGAGGACTGCGTAAGCCCAGGAGTTCTGCAGTGAGCTGTAATCGTGCCACTGCACTCCAGCCTGGATGACACTGTGAGACTCCTTCTCTAAAATAAATAACCATAATTTTATATGGATTATTTTAGTTGAGAAGATGAAAAGTGTTGCAAATTGTGTTGTGTATCTGCACCTCTGTGTTCCATATCTTGAATTTATTAGAATGATTAAGGTTGATTATTAGTGTCTTGATATCTAGACACAGATTACATAAATTGAAGAAAACCATCTTCTGTCTCTTATTTTAATACTTCCCTTGTTTATTGTAAATGGCAGATGTTTATGTAATAGAAGAAAGCTCTGTTAGTATGTACTTTTGATGACTTTGCACCAAGAAAAATGCATTTAACATATATATAAACCTGTGCAAAATGTGTTCCTTAGAGTTAGAACTCAAAATGAATTTGAGATGTTGTATTGCCTGTTCTAGTATTACTTCCTCGTCTAAATTGCTTCAGTGATTTTCTATATCCTTCTAGGAAAAACAAGACTAAAGTTCTGTCATGTCCTATTTACCTATCTAGGCTTATCTCAAACCATCACTTATCTGAGTCAGTTCTTAGCATAGATGAATATGCAAATTGTGACATCAAAAATACAGAATGTGGCCAGACGTGGTGGTTCACACCTGTAATCTCGGCACACTGGGAGGCCAATGCAGTCAGATCACTTGAGGCCAGGAGTTCGAGAGCAGCCTGGCCAACATGGTGAAACCCCATCTCTACTAAAAATACAAAAATTACCAGGGCATGGTTGCATGCACCCGTAATCCCAGCTACTCAAGAGGCTGAGGTTGGAGAACTGCTTGAACCCAGGAGGTGGACGTTGTAGTGAGTCAAGATCATGCCATTGCACTCCAGCCTGGGTAACAGAGTAAGACTTTGTGTGTGTGTGTGTGTGTGTGTGTGTGTGTGTGTGTGTGTGGTGTATAAAATATTTATTTTTTTCAAGTTTCTTCAAATGTCATAATTAAAATATATATAGAGAATGTTGGGGAGGGGATCAAATTTAAATTACTATAAGCTTAAAATAGCATGTTATAACTATAAGGTGTTATATGTAAGCCTCATGGTAATCACAAAGAAAAGACCTATCAAAGATACGTAAAAGATAAAGAGAAATGAATGAAAGCGTATCTAGTTATAGTTTAAATATGGTTTGTCTACTTTAAACCTCATGTTGAATTTTTAAAAAACTTTTAAATTTCAGTAGCTTCAGAGGCACTAGTGTTTTTTGGTTACATGGATGAATTGGATAGTGGTGAAGTCTAGGATTTTAGTGCATCTGTCACCTGAGTAGTGTACATTGTACCCAATAGGTAGTTTTTCATCCCTCAGCCCCCTCTCACCCTCTTCCCTTCTGAGTCTCTAATGCCCATTATACCATTCTGTATGCCTTTGTGTGCCCATAGCTTAGCTCCCACTTATAAATGAGAACATGTGGTATTTTGGACTCATGTTGAAATTTGATTTTCTATGTTGGAGGTGGGGCGTAATGTGAGATGTTTGGATTGTGGGGGCAGATCTCTCATGAGTAAGTTAATGCCCTCCATTGGGGGTGACTGTGTTCTCACTCTGTTAGTTCCCATGAGAGGTAATTGTTAAACAGAGCCTTGCACCTCCGCCTCTGGCTTCCTCTCTTGCCATGAGATCTCTGCATATTCCAGCTCCCCTTCACCTCCTACCATAAATGGAAGCCCTCACCAGATGCCCAATCTTGAACTTTTCCAAACATCAGAATTGTAGCCAAAGAAACCTTTTTTCTTTAAAAATTACTCAGCCTCGGATATCCCTTCATAGCAATACAAAACAGAATAAGACAATACCATTACAGAAAATCATCATATCACAAAGAAAGACAGCAAGAGAGGAAGAAAGAAACAAAGGATCTGCCAAACAGCCAGACAACAATGAACAAAATGGAAATAGTCCTTACTTTCAGTAATTATTTTACATTAAATAAATTAAACTCACTGATCAAAAGACATGGAATGGCTGAAAGGATAGAAAAAAGACTCAACTCTATGCTGCTTACAAAACACTCACTTCAGCTTCAAGAATAAACGTGAACTGAAAGTAAAGAGATATAAAAAGACATCCCATACAAAAGGAAACCAGAAGAGAGGAGGAGTAGCCACACTTATGTCAGACAAATACATTTTAAGTCAAAAACTGTGAAAAGAGACATACAGTGCCATTATATCGTGATAAAGAGATCAATTCATCAAGATGATAGAACAATAGGTAATATGGAACAATATATAATACACACACACACACACACACACACACACTATTATGTACCCAACATTGGAGAACATAAATACATAAAGAAAATATTAATAGGTCTGAAGGGAGAAGTAGACAGCAAGACAATAATAGTAGGAGACTTCAACATTGCACTTTCAACAATGGATAGATTTTCCAGACAGAAAATCAATAAGAAAACATTGGACTTGAACTATACTTTAGACTAAATGGACCTAACAGACACATACAGAATATTCCATCCAACAGCAGCAGGATACACATTCTTCTGAAGCACACATAAAACATTCTCTAAGATCATATATTAGGCCACAAAACAAGTCTTAACAAATTTCAAAAATTGAAACAATGTGGTCAGGAGTGGTGGCTCCTGTCTGTAATTCTAGCACTTTGGGAGGCTGAGATGGGAGGATCGCATGAAGCCAGGAATTTGAGACCAGCCTGGTCAACGTATCAAGACTCTATTTATGTATATTTTAATGTATTTATTATAAAAATCTATTATATGTATCTATGTATATTTTTGTATATTTTATAAAAATTAAAAAAAATGAAACTATGTCAACTATCTTTTCCAACAACAGTGGTATGAAATTAGAAATAAATAACAGAAGGAAAACTGGAAACTCAGAAATATATGGAAATTAAACATCATACTCCTGAACAACCAATGGGTCAAAGAAGAAATTGAAGGAGAAATTAAAAAAAATATATTGAGACAAACAAAAATGGAAACCCTACATAACAAAATGTATGGAATGCAGTAAAAACAGTTCCAACAAGGAAGTTTATAGCAATAAATACCTACATTAAAAAAGAAGAAGGATCTCAAATAAGTAATCTAACATTATTCCTTAAGGAACTCAAAAAAGAAGAACAAACTAAGCCCAATGTTAGTAGAAGAAACGAAATAATACAGATCAGAGCAGGAAAAAAAAAAGAGAATAGGAAAAGAATAGAAAAGATCAACAAAACTTTTTTGAAGACATAAACAAAATTGACAAACCTTTAGCTAGCCTAAGAACAAAAGAGAGATGACTCAAATAAAATTAGAAACCAAAGAGGAGCCATTACAGCAGATAACACAGAAATACAAAGGATTGGCTGGGCACAGTGGCCCAGGCCAAGGTGGGTGGATCACTTAAGGTCAGGAGTTCGAGATCAGCCTGGCCAACATGGCAAAACCCCGTCTCTGCTAAAAATACAAAAATTATCTGGGCATAGTCGTGTGCGCCTGTTGTCCCAGCTACTCAGGAGGCTAAGGCACAAGAATAATCTGAACCTAAGAGGCAGAGGGTGCAGTGAGCTGAGATCGCGCCACTGCATTCCAGCCTGGGCAATAGGGTGAGACTCTGTCAAAAAAAAAAAAAAAAAAAAAAAAAAAGAAGGAAATACAAGGATCATAGGAGACTACTATGAATAATTATATAACAACAAATTGGATAACCTAGAATAAACAGATAAATTCCTAGAAATATACAACCTGACAAGACTGAATCATGAAGAAATAGAAAATTCGGACAGATCAGTAAGGAGATTAAATATTAAATCACTAATAAGCCAATGTGGTGGCTTATGCCTGTAATCCCAGCACTTGGGAGGCCGAGGTGGGCCGATTACGAGGTCAGGAGTTTGAGACCAGCCGGACCAACATGGTGAAACCCTGTCTCCACTAAAAACATGAAAATTAGCTGGGTGTGGTGGTGGGCACCTGTAATCCTAGCTACTTGGGATGCTGAGGCAGGAGAATTGCTTGAAACTGGAAGGCGGAGGTTGGAGTGAGCAGAGCTTGCACCACTGCACTCCAGCCTGGGCGAAAGAGCGAAACTCCATCTCAAAAAAAAAAAAAAAAAAAAGAAAAAGAAAAAAGAAAAAAAAGCCTTAGACCTGATGGCTTCACTGCTGAATTCTACCAACATTTAAGGAAGCATGAGTACTAGTACTTCTCAAACTCCTCAAAAAATTAAAGAGGAAGAAACACTTTCCAACTGGATTTGTGAGGCCAATATTATCCTGACATGAAAGCCAGACAAGAACACTCCAAAAAAAAAAAAAAAAAAAATTACAGCCCAATATTCCTGAGGAACGTAGACGCAAAAATCTTCAACAATAGACTTGCAAACCAAATTCAATTGCATATTAAAAGGATCACTCACCATGATCAACTTGGATTTATGCCTGGGATGCAAAGATGGCTCAACATATGCAAATCAGTAAATGTTATACATTGTATTAACAAAGTGAAGGACAAAAATCATGTCAATAGATGCATAAAAAGCATTTGACAAAATTCAGCATCCTTTAATGATTAAAACTCTGAACAAATTAGTTATAAAAGGAATGTTCCTTAGCACAATAAAGTCCATATATTACCAGCCCACAGCTAACATCATACGCAATGGTGAAAAGATGAATATCTTTTATCTAAGATTGGGAACAAGACAAGGATGTCCACTATTAAGAAATGGGAAACACCAAGTGTTTTTCCTAATCCCACATACCCCTCAGCACAACACTTCTAATGCAAAATGTGTAGGGGCTCTTCACCAGACTTCCAAGCCATTCTCCAGCAGACACCAACTGGGTGTCCTACAACTTAACTCAATTCTGATACCATCTACCTAGAGATAGAGTCAGATCCCACAGGTTAAGGACTCAGCTCCTTGAGACTGCCCCCATTTCAGATGTCAATGGTAAGCCTCAGGTTGTGACCTGTGCTTCTGACCGGTCAGCTCTAAATTGGGGTTCTCAAGACCCCCTCCTTGGGTTCTATTAATTTGCTAGAGTGGCTCACAAAACTCAGGGAAATACTTTACTTACATCTACCTATTTATTACAAAGGATATTTTAAAGAATACAAATGAACAGCCAGATGAAGAGATACATAGGGTGGAGTCTGGAAGGGTCCGGAGCATAGGAGCTTTCATCCCTATGGAGTTGGGGTACACTACCCTTCCAGTATGTAAATGTGTTCACCAACCAGAAAGCTCTCCAAAACCTGTCTCTTTAGGTTTTTGTTGTTGTTGTTATTGTTGTTGTTGTTTTTAGACAGAGTTCCTTCTCTGTTGCCCAGGCTGGAGTGCTGCAGTGTGATCTCAGCTCACTGCAACCTCTGCCTCTTGGGTACAAGCAATTCTGCTGCCTCAGCCTCCCAAGTAGCTGGGACTACAGGCACGCACCACAATGCCCAGCTAATTTTTGTATTTTTAGTAGAGATGGGGTTTCACCATGTTGGCCAGGCTGGTCTTAAACTCCTGACCTTAGGTGATCTGCCTGCCTCAGCCTCCCAAAGTGCTGGGATTACAGGCATGAACCACTGCACCCAGCCATCTTTAGGTTTTTAATGGAGACTTCATTAGGTAGGTATGATTGGCCTTTGATGACCAAATCAGCCTTCAACCCCTCTCCCCTCCCTAGAGGTGGGGGGTGTGGCTGAAAGTTTCAACCCTCCAATCACATGGTTGGCACCCCTGGCAACTATCCTGTGGTTATCTAGGAGTACTCAGTGATCAGCCATCTCATTAGCATACAAAAATACATATCGCTTTGCAGATTTCAAGGATTTTAGCAGCTTTGTGCCTGGAACCAGGGACAGAGACCAAGTATATATATATTTTATTATATCACAATATTACACTCACTCTCACCACTTTTTTTTTCAACATAGTACTGAAGTCCTAGCCAAAGGAATTGGGCAACATAAAGAAATAAAAGTCATCCAAATCAGAAAAGAAGTCAAAATGTCTCTGTTTGCTGATTACAAGATTTTATGTATAGAACAACCTAAAGATTCTACCCAAAAGTGTTAGAATTAATAAATGAATTCAGTTAAGTTTTAGGATACAGCATCTACATATAAAAATCACTTGTGTTTCTATACTTTGGCAATAAACTATCTGAACAAGAAATTTTTTAAAAAGTCACATTTATAATAGCATCAACGGGAATAAAATAATTAGAAATAAATTTAACCAAAAAGGTGAAATATCTGTATACTGAAAACTATGAAACATAATGAATTAATGAATAAAATTGAAGAAGACACAAATAAATAGGTATTTCATGTTTATGGATCAGAAGAATCAATATTGGAAACTTGTCTATATTACTGAAAGTGATCTATAGATTTAATGCAATTCCTATGAAAATGCCAATGTCATTTTTCATGGAAATAGAAAAAAAATCATAACATTTATATGGCACCTCAAGAGACCCTGAATAGTTAAAGCAATCTTGATCAAGAAGAACAAAGCTGGAGGCTTTGTGTTCTGATTTCAAATTTCATTACAAAGTGATAGTAACTAAAGCAATATGATACAAGCATAAAAACAAACACACATAAACCAATGGGATGTAACAGGAAACCAATAAATAAACCAATACATATATGATCAAGTAATCTTCAATAAAGATGCCAAGAATATACAATGCAGAGAGAATAGTCTCTTCAGTGAATGATGTTGGGAAAATTGGATATCCACATTCAAAAAGAAACAAAAAAATGAAATTGGATTCTTATCTTACACCATGCACAAAAATCAACTCAAACTTGATTAAAGATTTAAATGCAAGATCTGAAACCATAAAATTCCTAAAAGAAAATATAGGGGAAAAGCTCTATGACAGAGGTCTTGTCAATGACACCAAAAGCACAAGCAACAAAAGCAAAAATAAGCAGGCAGGATTATATCAAAGTAAAAAGTTTCTGCAAAGCAAAGGAAACAATCAGCAAAACGAAAAGTCAGCCCACAGAATGAGAGAGAATATGCACAAACCATAGATCCTATAAGGAGTTTATATCCAAAATATATAAGGAACTCTTACAACTCAGTAGTAGAAAAACAACCTGATTTTAAAATGAGCAAAGAACCTGAACAGATATTTTTCCAAGGAAGACATACAAATACTCAACAGAAAAAGGCAATAAATGGCAATTATCAAAACCATGAAAGATATCAAGTATTGGCAAGAATGTGGAGAAACTGGAACTCTTGTACGCTATTGGTGGGAATGTGAAATGGTGCAGCCACTGTGGGAAACAGTATAAAGGGTGCTCAAAAAATTAAAAATAAAACTACCACATGACGCAGCAATCCCACTTTTGGGTATATCCAAAAGAACCACAATCAGGATCTTGAAAAAGGTGGATATCTGGACTCCCATGTTCATTGCAGCAGCATTTTTCATGATAGCGAAGATACAGAAACAATCTAAATGTCTGTCAGTGGGTGAATGGACAAGGAAATTATACATATATATGTGTAATACACACATACTTCATTAGGTAGGTATGATTGGTCTTTGATGACCAAATCAACCTTTAACCCCTCTCCGCTTCCTAGAGGTGGGGGTGGGGCTGAAAGTTTTAACCCTCCAATCACATAGTTGGCAGCCCTGGCAACTATCCTGTGGTTATTTGGAGTACTCAGTGATCAGCCATCTCATTAGCATACAAAAAGACATATCACTTTGTAGATTCCAAGGATTTTAGCAGCTGTGTGCCAGGAACCAGGGACAGAGACCAAATATATATTTATACTTGATATATATATCAAGTATACATACACACACTTATTATAACAAACTATTATTCAGCCTGAACAAAGAAAGAAATCCTACCTTTTGCAACAACATGGATGAATCTGGAGGAGATTTTGCTAATTAAATGTCAGATATAAGAAGATGAATACTTACATGTGGAATCTAAAATAGCTGAACCCATAGAAACAAAGAATAGAAGGGTAGTAACAGGGTTGAGGTAGGGGAGAAATGAGGAGATGTTGGTCAAAGGATACAACCTTGCAGTTAGAAGATGAATAAGTTCTGGAGACCTAAGGTATGGCATGGTGACTATGGTCAATAATACTATATTGTATACTTGAAATTTGCTAAGATAGAGCTTGAGTATTCTCAACACACACACACACACACACACACACACACACACACAAGAAAAATCAAAGGAAAAGGTAACTGTGAGATAATGGATACGTTAATTAGCTTAATT